>NC_000006.12:85773261-86398261 GCF_000001405.40 Homo sapiens | reverse complement strand
GCATCATGATTTATAATATTTTGGATATGTACCCAGTAATGGGATGGCTGGGTCAAATGGTATTTCTACTTCTAGATCCTTGAGGAATCACCACACAGTCTTCCACAATGGTTGAACTAGTTTACAGCCCCACCAACAGTGTAAAAGTGTTCCTAATTCTCCACAACCTCTCCAGCACTTGTTGTTTCCTGATTTTTTAATGATCGTCATTCTAACTGGTGTGAGATGGTATCTCATTATGGTTTTGATTTGCATTTCTCTGATGGTCAGTGATGATGAACATTTTTTCATGTGTCTGTTGGCTGCATAAATATCTTCTTTTGAGAAGTGTCTGTTCATATCCTTCACCCACTGTTTGATGAGGTTGTTTGATTTTTTCTTGTAAGTTTGTTTAAGTTCTTTGTAGATTCTGGATATTAGCCCTTTGTCAGATGGGTAGATTACAAAAATTTTCTCCCTTTCTGTAGGTTGCCTGTTCACTCTGATGGTAGTTTCTTTTGCTCTGCAGAAGCTCTTTGGTTTAATTAGATCCCATTTGTCAATTTTGGCTTTTGTTTCCATTACTTTTTGTGTTTTAGACATGAAGTCCTTGCCCATGCCTATGTCCTGAATGGTATTGCCTAGGTTTTCTTCCAGGGATTTTATGGTTTTAGGTCTAACGTTTAAGTCTTTAATCCATCTTGAGTTAATTTTTGTATAAGGTGTAACGAAGGGATCCAGTTTCAGCTTTCTACATATGGCTAGCCAGTTTTTCCAGCACCATTTATTAAATAGGGAATCCTTTCCCCATTGCTTGTTTTTGTCAGTTGTGTCAAAGATCAGATGGTTGTAGATGTGTGGTATTATTTCTGAGGCCTCTGTTCTGTTCCATTGGTCTGTATCTCTGTTTTGGTACCAGTACCATGATGTTTTGGTTACTGTAGCCTTGTAGTATAGTTTGAAGTCAAGTAGCATGATTCCTACAGCTTTGTTCATTTAGCTTAGGATTGACTTGGTAATGCGGGCTCTTTTCTGGTTCCATATGAACTTTAAAGTAGTTTTTTCCAATTCTGTGAAGAAAGTCGTTGGTAGCTTGATGGGAATGGCATTGAATCTATAAATTACCTTGGGCAGTATGGCCATTTTCATGATATTGATTCTTCCTATGCATGAGCATGGAATGTTCTTCCATTTGTTTGTATCCTCTTTTATTTCATTGAGCAGTGGCTTGTGGTTTGTAGTTCTCCTTGAAAAGGTCCTTCACATCCCTTGTAAGTTGGATTCCTAGGTATTTTATTCTCTTTGAAGCAATTGTGAATGGGAGTTCACTCATAATTTGGCTCTCTGTTTGTCTGTTATTAGTGTATAGGAATGCTTGTGACTTTTGCACATTGATTTTGTATCCTGAGACTTTGCTGAAATTGCTTATCAGCTTAAGGAGATGTTGGGCTGAGACGATGGGGTTTTCTAAATATACAATCATGTCATCTGCAAACAGGGACAATTCGACTTCCTCTTTTCCTAATTGAATACCCTTTGTTTCTTTCTCCTGCCTGATTGCCCTGGCCAGAAATTCCAATACTATGTTGAATAGGAGTAGTGAGAGAAGGCATACTTGTCTTGTGCCAGTTTTCAAAGGGAATGCTTCCAGTTTTTGCCCATTCAGTATGGTATTGGCTGTGAGTTTTTGTCATAAATAGCTCTTGTTATTCTTAGATACATCCCATCAATAGCTAGTTTATTGAGAGTTGTTGGCATGAAGCACTGTTGAATTTTGTCAAAGGCCTTTTCTGCATCTATAGAGATAATCATGTGGTTTTTGTCTTCGGTTCTGTTTATATGATGGATTACATTTAGTGATTTGGACATGTTGAACCAGCCTTGCATCCCAGGGATGAAGCCAACTTGATCGTGGTGTATAAGCTTTTCGATGTGCTGCTGGATTCGGTTTGCCAGTATTTTATTGAGGATTTTTGCATCAATGTTCATCAGGGATATTGGTCTAAAATTCTCTTATTTTGTTGTGTCTCTGCCAGGCTTTAGTATCAGGATGATGCTGGCCTCATAAAATGAGTTAGGGAGGATTCCCTCTTTTTCTATTGATTGGAATAGTTTCAGCAGGAATGGTACCAGCTCCTCTTCATACCTGTGGTAGAATTCAGCTGTGAATCCATCTGGTCCTGGACTTTTTTTGGTTGGTAGGCTATTAATTATTGCCTCAATTTCAGAGCCTGTTATTGGTCTATTCAGGGATTCAAATTCTTCCTGGTTTGGTCTTGGGAGGCTGTATGTGTCCAGGAATTCATCCATTTCTTCTAGATTTTCTAGTTTATTTGCATAGAGGTGTTTATAGTATTCTCTGATGGTAGTTTGTATTTCTGTGGAATCAGTGGTGATATCCCCTTCATCATTTTTTATTGCATCTGTTTGATTCTTCCCTTTCTTCTTCTTTATTAGTCTTGCTAGTGGTCTATCAATTTTGTTGATCTTTTCAAAAAACCAGCTCCTGGATTCATTGATTTTTTTGAAGGGTTTTTTTGTCTCTATCTTCTTCAGTTCTGCTCTGATCTTAGTTATTTCTTGCCTTCTGCTAGCTTTTAAATGTGTTTGCTCTTGCTTCTCTAGCTCTATTAATTGTGATGTTAGGGTGTCAATTTTAGATCTCTCCTGCTTTCTCTTGTGGGCATTTAGTGATATATATTTCCCTCTACACATTGCTTTAAAAGTGTCCCAGAGATTCTGGTATGTTGTGTCTTTGTTCTCATTGGTTTCAAAGAACATCTTTATTTCTGCCTTCATTTTGTTATGTACCCAGTAGTCATTCAGGAGTAGGTTGTTCAGTTTCCATGTAGTTGAGTGGTTTTGAGTGAGATTCTTAATCCTGAGTTTTAGTTTGATTGCATTGTGTTCTGAGAATCAGTTTGTTATAATTTCTGTTCTTTTACATTTTATGAGGAGTGCTTTACTCCACCCATGTTGTCAATTTTAGAATAAGTGTGATGTGGTGCTGAGAAGAATGTATATTCTGTTGATTTAGGGTGGAGAGTTCTGTAGTTGTCTATTAGGTCTGCTTGGTGCAGAGCTGAGTTCAATTCCTGGATATCCTTGTTAACTTTCTGTCTCGTTGATCTGCCCCATGTTGACAGTGGGGTTTTAAAGTTTCCCATTATTATTGTATGGGAGTCTAAGTCTCTTTGTAGGTCTCCAAGGACTTGCTTTATGAATCTGGGTGCTCCTCTATTGGGTGCATATATATTTAGCTCTTCTTGTTGAATTGATCCCTTTACCATTATGTAATGGCCTTCTTTGTCTCTTTTGATCTTTGTTGGTTTAAAGACTGTTTTATCCGAGACTAGGATTGCAACCCCTGCTTTTCTTTTGTTTTCCATTTGCTTGGTAGATCTTCCTCCATCCCTTTATTTTGAGCCTATGTGTGTCTCTGCATGTGAGATGGGTCCCCTGAATACAGCACACTGTTGGGTCTTGACTCTTTATCCAATTTGCCAGTCTGTGTCTTTCAATTGGAGCATTTAGCCCATTTAGATTTAAAGTTAATATTGTTATATTTGAATTTGATTCTGTCATTATGATGTTAGCGGGTTATTTTGCTTGTTAGTTGATGCAGTTTCTTCCTAGACTCGAGGGTCTTTACAATTTGGCATGTTTTTACAGTGGCTGGTACTGGTTGTTCCTTTCCATGTTTAGTGCTTCCTTCAGGAGCTCTTGTAGGGCAAGCCTGGTGGTGACAAAATCTCTCAGCATTTGCTTGTCTGTAAAAGATTTTATTTCACCTTCACTTATGAAGCTTAGTTTGGCTAGATATGAAATTCTGGGTTGAAAATTCTTTTCTTTAAGAATGTTGAATATTGGCCCCCACTCTCTTCTGGCTTGTAGAGTTTCTGCTGAGACATCCGCTGTTAGTCTGATGGGCTTCCATTTGTGGGTAACCCGACCTTTCTCTCTGGCTGCCCTTAACATTTTTTCCTTCATTTCAACTTTGGTGAATCTGACAATTATGTGTCTTGGAGTTGCTCTTCTTGAGGAGTATTTTGTGGAGTTCTCTGCATTTCCTGAATTTGAATGTTGGCCTGCCTTGCTAGGTTAGGGAAGTTCTCCTGGATAATGTCCTGAAGAGTGTTTTCCAACTTGGTTGCATTCTCCCCATCACTTTCAGGTACACCAATCAGAGGTAGATTTTATCTTTTCCCATGGTCCCATATTTCTTGGAGTCTTTGTTCATTTCTTTTTACTCTTTTTTCTCTAAACTTCTCTTCTCACTTCATTTCATTCATTTGGTCTTCAATCACTGATACCCTTTCTTCCAGTTGATTGAATCAGCTACTGAAGCTTGTGCATGTGTCACGTAGTTCTTGTGCCATGGTTTTCAGCTCCATCAGGTCATTTAAGGTCTTCTCTATGCTGTTTATTCTAGTTAGCCATTTGTCTAATCTTTTTCCAAGGTTTTTAGCTTCTTTGTGATGGGTTTGAACATCCTCCTTTAGCACAGAAAAGTTTGTTATTACCGACCGTCTGAAGACTTCTTCTCTCAACTCATCAAAGTCATTCTCTGTCCAGCTTTGTTCTGTTGCTGTTGAGGAGCTGCATTCCTTTGGAGGAGAAGAGGTGCTCTGATTTTCAGAATTTTCACCTTTTCTGCTCTCGTTTCTCCCCATCTTTGTGGTTGTATCTACCTTTGGTCTTTGATGATGGTAACGTACAGATGGGGTTTTGGTGTGGATGTCCTTTCTGTTTGTTAGTTTTTCTTCTAACAGTCAGGACCCTCAGTTGTAGATTTGTTGGAGTTTGCTGGATGTCCACTCCAGACACTTTTTGCCTGGGTATCACCAGCGGAGGCAGCAGAACAGCAAATATTGCAGAATGGCAAATGTTGCTGTCTGATTGTTCCTCTGGAAGCTACATCTCAAAGGGGCACCCAGCCATATGAGGTGTCAGTTAGCCCCTACTGGGAGGTGCCTCCCAGTTAGGCTACTCAGTGGTCAGGGACCCACTTGATGAGGCAGTCTGTCCATTCTCAGATCTCAAACTCCATGCTGGGAGAACCACTACTCTCTTCAAAGCTGTCAGACAGGGACATTTAAGTCTGCAGAAGTTTCTGCTGCCTTTTGTTCAGCTATACCCTTTCCCCAGAGATGGAGTCTTCAAAGGCAGACAGGCCTCCTTGAACTGCAATGGGCTCCACCCAGTTCGAGCTTCCCTGCCACTTTGTTTACCTACTCAAGCCTCAGCAATGGTGGGTGCTCCTCCCCCAGCCTCGCTGCTGCCTTGCAGTTCTATGTCAGACTGCTGTGCTAGCAGTGAGTGAGGCTCCGTGGGCATGGGACCCTCCTAGTCAGGAGCAGGATATAATCTCCTGGTGTGCCATTTGCTAAGACCATTGAAAAAGTGCAGTATTAGGGTGGGAGGTACTGTCTGTTCCAGGTACTGTCTGTCATGACTTCCCTTGGCTAGGAAAGGGAATTCCACAACCTCTTGCACTTCCCTGGTGAGGTGATGCCCCACCCTGCTTCGGCTCACCCTCCGTGGGCTGCACCCACTGTCCGACAAGCCCCAGGGAGATGAACCCGGTATCTCAGTTGGAAATGCAGAAATCACCCATCTTCTGCATCACTCACGCTGGGAGCTGTAGACTGGGCTGTTCCTATTCGGCCATCTTGGAACCTACTCCCAAATTAAACCTCTTTTCTTCATAAATTACCCATTCTCAGGTATTTATTTATTTATTTATTTATTTATTTATTTATTGAGATGGAGTTTCACACCCTTTGCCCAGGCTGTCAGCTCACTGCAACCTCAACCTCCCGGGTTCAAGCAATTCTACTTCTTCAGCCTCCCAAGTAGCTGGGATTATAGACACCCACCACCTCACCTGGCTAATTTTTGTATTTTTAATAGAGACACTGTTTCATCATGTTGGCCAGTCTGGTCTCAAACTTCTGATCTCAGGTGATCCACCTGCCTTGCCCTCTCAAGATGCTGGGATTGCAGGTGTGAGCCACCGCACCTGGCGTCTCTATTATTTCTTTATGGCAGCACTAGAATGCGCTAATTATTCATATATGAAACAAATTTACCTTGTTTTCATTTTGAGTCTCTCTGATGTCCCATGTACCCAGTGTGCATCAGGCACCTTATGGTCATGAATGCCCCATGCTTATGGAGATCTTTTGCTCACGGGCATCCTGTGCTCATGGCCACCTTTCCTTATGGTGCATCCTGTGCTCATGGGCCATGATGTGTGGTATATGCAAATAAAGAAGGAAGTGATTAAGGACATGCATATTGTACATATCTCCTCTCTTCATGTATATCCTCCATTGCCCCACTGGACTTCACTTAAAAAAAAGTAAATGAAAAGATGTAATTACAAATAACTTCAACTAGGTAACAGCAAAACACTAAACCTAGTGTGAGACTCTTTTGAGGGGACCTTGTGCAACTGCATGATTCCCTTCCGCCACATTATAGGGTATGAGACTGAAGAAGAATACGGTCACCAGGGATGTATGGGGAATGCTTTGGGAGCACTCCCTAGTAATTTACATCCTTAGGGAATATATTTGTACCTAATTTTGGTGATATAATTAATTCCTTACCATGTGATGAGGCACTTTCTACAGAAGAAGCAACACACAAATACAAACAACTGGAACCATTAATTGAACATGACTCTTGGGCTACATGTGATTTTTCTCCTACAACACAATGAAAGTTCTTTTAAAAGATGCTGATGTGTTAAAGAAATATTGCAGGATTCAGGTTATTGTTTCTCCTAATGAAGCAGAGAGAGTTTTCCTTGTGATATTTGATAAAATAAATCAATTCATTTCATCTGCACAGATAAAATGTTATTCAAAAAGCACAGTTGTGAGATAAAATCCTTTCTTCTCTGATTCTCTCTCTTTTCTTTAGAGAGCCTTTGAAAATTCTTTTTAGTTTGTACTTTCAACTCTTTCTGTTCCCAATGAATTAGCAGATTTTAGTCTGAATTCTTATGGTTACTGTACAAAAGTTTAACTTCTATTTTCTTTTCATAAAAGAAAGAAACTAGACACCCTGACACTGCCTTTAAAATAAAAAATGAATTGTGTTATTTATAAAATTGACTTAAACTTCAACAACAAGAAAACGGACCTGAGTTTAGGCCTCCATGTAGTAGGTAGAATATTAGACATCTATTTGAGTGCAAATCATCATATGGTGTTAGCAAATAAATATAAAATTATTATTTTTTATAAATCAGCAAATTATAGCATAGAATTTTAGGTCTTCATAAATGATAAAACTTAATATCTTACTACTTGTTTGTGTCTGTCTCATGTCATAATAAAAATATACCCAAGACTGATTAACTTATAAAGGAAAGAGATTCCTTTAGAACAGGAACCTCTTTGACTTTTTTTCCTCCTTGACTCACAGCTCCACATGGCTGGGGAGGCCTCACAATCATGGCAGAAGTCAAAGGAGCAAAGTTACATCTTATATGGTGGCAGGCAAGAGATAGAGTGTATGTGTGAGCTTATAAAACATCAGATCTCATGAGACTTATTTACTGTCACAAGAACAGCATAGGAAAAACCCATCCCCATGATTCAATTATCTCCCATTAGGTCCCTCCCACAACACATGAGAGTTATGGGAGCTACAATTAAAGATGAGATTTGGGTGGGGACACAGTCAAACCATACCATTCCACCCCGGCCCCTCCCAAATCTCATGTCCTCATGTTTTAAAACCAATCATGTCTTCCCACCAGTCTCCCAAAGTCTTAACTCATTTTAGCATTAACTCAAAAGTCCACAGTCCAAAGTATCATCTGAGACAAGGCAAGTCCTTTCCACCTATAAGCCTGTAAAATCAAAAGTAAGTTAGAAATACAATGGGGGTACAGGCATTAGGTAAATATACTCATTCCAAATGGGAGAAATTGGCCAAAACAAAGGGGCTATGGGCTCCATGCAAGTCCAAAGTCCAATAGGGCATTCATTAAGCCTTAAAATTCCAAAATGACCTCCTTTGACAACATGTCTCACACCAAGGTTACGCTGGTGCAAGAGATGGGCTCCCAGAGCCTTGGGATGCTTTGCCCCTGTGGCTTTGCAGGATACAGCCCCACTTCTGGCTGCTTTCATGGGCTGGTGTTGAGTGTCTGTGTCTTTTACTGGTGCACAGTGCAAGCTGTTGATGAATCTACCATTCTGGGGTCTGGAGAACAGTGGCCTCTTCTCACAGCTCCATTAGGCAGTGCCCCAGTGGGGACTCTGTGTGGAGTCTCCAACCCCACATTTCGCTCTGCACTACTCTAGCAGAGGTTCTCCATGGGGGCTCTGCCTCTGCAGCACACCTCTGCCTGGACATCCAGGCATTTCCATACATTATCTGAAATCTAAGCAGAGGTTCCCAAACCTCAATTCTTTACTTCTGTGCAACTGCAGGATCAACACCACATAGAAGCTGCCAAGACTTGGGGATTATACCCTCTAAAGCCATGGCCAAAGCTGTACCTTGGCCCCTTTTAGCCATGGCTAGAGCAGCTGGGATGCAGGACACTGAGTCCCTAGGCTGCACACAGCAGGGGGTGCCTGGGCCCAGCCCAAGAATTCACTTTTTTTTCTCTAGGCATCTGGACCTGTGATAGGAGGGGCTGCCACAAAGGTCTCTGACATTCCCTGGAGAAATTTTCTCCATTGTATTGGTGATTAGCATTTGGTTCCTTGTTACTTATGCAAATTTCTGCAGCAGGCTTGAATTTCTCCCTAGAAAATGTGTTTTCTTTTCTATTGCATTGTCAGGCTGCAAATTTTCCAAACTTTTATGCTGTCACCTTTTGAATATTTTGATGCTTAGAAATTTCTTCCGCCAGATGCCCTAAATCATCTCCCTTAAGTTCAAAGTTCCACAGACATCCAGGGCAGGGGCAAAATGCTGCCAGTCTCTTTGTATAGCAAGACTAGCCTTTATTCCAGTTTGCAATAAGTTCTTTATCTCCATCTGAGACCACCTCAGCCTGGACCTTATTGTCCATATCACTATTAGCATTTTGTCCAAAGCCATTCAGTAAGTCTCTAGGAAGTTCCAAACTTTCCCACATTTTCCTATCTTCTTCTGAGTCCTTCAGCCTGTTTCAACCCCTGCCCGTTACCCAGTTCCAAAGTCATTTCCACATTTTCAGGTATCTGTACAGAAGAACCCCACTCTACCAGTTCCAATTTACTGTATTAGTCTGTTCTCATGCTGCTAATGAAGACATACCCGGGACTGGGTAATTTATAAAGAAAAGGGGCTTGACTGATTCACAGTTCCCCATGGCTGGGGTGGCCTCATAATCATGGTGCAAGGTAAAAGAACAAAGTCATATCTTACACGGCAGCAGGCAAGAGAGAAACTGTGCAGGGGAACTCCCCTTTATAAAATCATCAGATCTCATGGGAATTATTGACAATTACAAAAACAGCATGGGAAAGACTGCCCCCACCACCCAGCCCATGATTAAATTGCCTCCCACTGGGTCCCTCCCATGACACGTGGGAATTATAAGATCTACAATTCAAGATGAGATTTGGGTGGGGACACAATCAAACCATATCAATACTCATGACTTTTAAGTTCAGTTGGGTGAGTTTTCTGTTTTATTCTCCAGATTCTTATATCAGCAAAATGTCTAATCACTATAATTGCCTGTGAGTATTAGGTTGCATTTCAAAAGGGCAGGGCCAAAGCTGAATAACCCCAGCACTTAGTAGATGACAATTGAGTTTCCTTTGGTTGGAATTGTTGGTACTCTTGCTCTGTTACATACCTTTTGGGCCCTGCACCTTGTAGTTACCTCTGTTCTTAGACACTCTTAAAGAAAAATAAGAGGTATTGGTCCTTCCAGGTGAGTTCACTTTTTTTTCTGATATTTTTTAGAAGGGAACTTCCAAATTGATAATGTTTTTCTTTTCAGTGATGCATTGGTAAATGTTAAACAACCAGCACTAGGGAAGGAAGAGGGATGGAATGAACTGATTTGTATCTCTTGCTGAGTTCTATAATGTAAATATTCCCACCATGGCTGATTCTGAGTTACCAGTTGTCATCACTGAACGGAGAGTTGGAAAGAAATGCTAGCAACCAGGTATTATGAGGTGGTACAGGCCCACTTGAGCACACACAACAGCTACCTTGATTTTAGAAAATCATTAGGAAGATATTCAAACAAATCAGGAAGTTAAGTAAGTCTAAGTCAACCCTCTTGAAGAGGGCAATAAATCTGCTGACAATATCCTGAAACTCCGTCCATTGGGATATTCTGTACAACTTTAAATTTGTATTTTACTCAATTTGATAAAATAGATGCTTCTTCTTCTCTACCCCAGCAATTTATCAGGCTGTACTTTTTTCTCTAAATGTTCTAATCTGTCATGTTTACATATCTTAGGTTTTTCTAACTTAATAATGACTTTTCCTTCTATTTCATTCTAAAGCAGAATGGTAGTAAATCATATAAAATAAAATTTAATAGAGATAAGTTTAAGATTCTGAACTTGGTCCAGAAATCCAACCTCTTGCTTACAGAATGGGGGCATCAGAATTTAGCAATAGTACCAATAAAAATGACTTGGGCTACTAGTTTAATATATCCATATTATGATATAGCTGCTAAAAACAGAGCAGGATTTTAGCCTGCCTTATTAAAGACTGTTATCATTCTCTAACAGTGGTTCCGAGGCATGACTGCACCCTTGAATGACCTTCAAAATTGCAAACAATCCTCATGCCCAGACCGTATCTGAATTTCATCTCTCACAGACTCAGACATCAGTATTTTTTAAAACTCCCCAGGTGATTCAAATGTGCTGTCAACTTGGAGAACCACTGATCTAGCACAGTGTTTGAAAAAGTTAATATGAGTTCGTATGAGTCATCTGGAATTTCATTAAAATACAAATTCCAATTCAGTAGACCTGGAGTAGGGCTGTGAAGTTTTGATTTCTAACAACTTCCTGGGTAATTCTACCGGCTCACAGGACAATTGTTGTAAGGATTTAGAACAAGGGAAGTGTGCTCTGTTCAGCAATTAGTGGTTCATACCTGGATTATTGAGTTAATTTCCTAGAGTGACATAGGAAACTCAAGCACATTCATAGAGACAGGGATGCTGAAGATTTTACCTCTAGTTCTGCAATGCGCAGTTGAAGTAACTAGAGCTATTGAGCTAGCTGAAGAGAAGACATTGTGGAAACATGATAGCTAGTTTTAGAGAACTGAAGAATGATTACATAAAACAAAGATTAAGTTTGTTCATTCTTCCTCAAGGAATAGAACTACAAGTAATGGGTAGATGCTACAGCAAAGCAGATTTTGGATCAATATACAGTAGAATATAGTAGCCGGAGCTCACCAAAGATGGAATAGATTGCCTTGGGAAGACATGCATACTCCATAACAGGATATGATTTGGTGATAACTTTGTGAGGCTTCTACAGAAATAAATTAAGCATGGAAAGGGAGATGGATCACTCAAGATGACATTTAACACACTTTCCAAAACTGAGTCTATGATGTTCTGCATTTTTTTTCAGTCTAGTGTCTGTAGCTTCTAGCTTATGGTAGGCAGTCAAGTCTAGGATTTTAACAGTACCTACAAACCAGGGATTTCTTTCCCTTACTTTTCCATTCCTTCATGAAATTACAAAGTTTTGTTTACCTGAATATCCATTCAGATACCGCCCTTCCCCTAAGCCCCCACATATTTTCTTGTTTCATTTTGAAAATGTGCTACTTCTGTTTTGAACTAAACTGGAAAACTCTTAATGATTATGTAGCTCTTTCGATTCAGGCAACTAAAGTTGGTATTCTGATTAGTCTAAGCATCCTTCCTTATCACATCCCATTCTGACTCTCTCATTTGTTGATGGTGATAAAAGCATTCAATTTATAAGACTACTTTTTTTCCCAAACTGGTAATTATTTTAAAGGTTCTCCCTAATTTATTATTCTTGTTTATGCTTGCATCTGGGTGATGGCCTGCAATTCTATATACACAATTATCCCAAGAAATAAGAGAGTACCTGAAGAGGTGAAACACTTGCTTAATAGTCCTAATCAACATATTTGGTTTATTTTTTTTATGAATTCAACTAGGAGTGGACAAGTCAGTACAACCTCTATTTTATTTAAACTAATTTATGGTTGGTTATGTATGATGGCTAGGAAGTAATACTTCTGAATGTCTATACAGAATTTTTCAGTAAAATCAGATATTAAAGTGCTAGAATCATGCTAATAGACTGGTAATTTAATATGGCAGCATAAAAATTAATGTGGTTTCTGAGCTGTGGGTCTCATAGATCACTGAGACCTGGAAACATTTACAGTTTTCTCCTTGGTTTTCCTTCCTAACATCATGAGTTATTTAAAACTCCCTGCTGTTTCACAAATCAGCGTTTTCCTTTATTTCAGTTTAATTCAGTTGGTTCTAACCTCACTTCTCAGAATTTTATGGAGCTGTTTTGAATCTCAGTTTTAATAAAGTTTTCATATGCAATTATATCCATGTCAAGACTTTTTTATGTGTTTGACAATATAATCAAAGACTTCTTAAGAGATTTCAGGTGTTATTATCCATAGAAACATATATAGTGTTCTCAAATAGTGAGGAATAGTGAACAAAATTGTAATTCTTTTCCCAGTGATATTTTTCCACAAGTGGCCTCACATGTGAAGAAACTGGATGTAATACTATTGTCATGCTCCTTCTTTATTTTAACCCTTAAAAATCACTCTTGTCCATTCTACAACAAATATCATTAGCCTCTATCTAAGAAAAAATCAAAAATTTACATAGGAAAATAAATAAAGACTAAACAGAGAGCCACACCATGTACTTAGGTAGAAAAACTCAGCATCATAAAGATGTCAATACTATATAAGTGCATCTATAAATTTAATGTAATACCAACAGGATATTGTCCATTAGACAAGCTGACTGTAAAATACATATGGCAGAATAAGCAAGCAGGAATAGTCAGAATAATTATGAAAAATAAAAGAAATAAAAGGAAGTAGACATACTAGATATGAGAACACTTTGCAATAGCTGAAATAATTAAAATAGTGAAGAACTAAAACAAAAATCATTATGGTACAGGCTGTTCATTTTTACTAATAATTTTACTGGAAGTGTCAATGTACCCATAGTTTAAAAATACATTTTCTAGCATTTTGTTGCAGACAGTGGGTGGACATGTGACTAAATCTGGGTCACTGTAGATAAACTAGAAGTTATTGGCTGGTTGTATTATTTTCCTATTACTCTTGTAACAAGTTACCACAAGCTGAGTGTCTTGAAGCAACACAAATTTATTACCTTACAGTTTTTGAAGTCAGAAGTTCAAAATATGTCTTATGGGGCAAAAATCAAGTTGTCAATGGTGTTGTAGTCCTTCTGGATGTTCCAAGAGAGAATCCAATCCCTTGGTTTCCAACTTCTAGAAGCTGCCTGTATTCCTTTCCTCATGGCCTCTCTCTCTCATCTTCAAAGCAAATCACTCCAACCTTCACTGCTGTCACCACAAATGCCTTTCTAATCTTGACTCTCCCACTTCCCTATGTAGATCCTTTTGATTACATTGGGCCCACCAGATAATTCAGGATAATCTTCCTATCTTAAGAACCTTAACTTGACCATACTTTCCAAGTCCCTTTTGCCATAGAAGGTAACAAATTCATAGATTCCAGGGAATAGAACATTTTGGGATAGTAAGATTCTGCCTGCCACAGTGGCCTTTTGAAAAGCTTCTTAGAAGAAACCTGAGAACTCCCAATGCCAGCCATGATGGCAAAAAACTGAACTTGACTTCTTGCCATAAACAGCTAGAAAACTGGAAAAAATATCTAAAGCAAGTGCTTTCAGTTATGGTAACTGAAAGCACCAGACTGATCTCTGAGAAAGGGACACAGATTAAATGATTATCACAGTCACCCTAGATTTCTTTCTGGAGTTAGTTTCCAGACATGTGAAGGCAAAGGAAACCAGTCTTGGGGACTCTGAATTAAAGAGACAAAGATTGGAGTTCAATAGGCCAAAAGTGACAAGAAGTTCCAAGGATGAGTTCTAAAGGTGAAAAAGCTACACAGAAAATGAGCTTCAAAAATTTGGGTAAGGACCATCTTCAGTCCTTAAATAATATTAAGCCATGCATGCAGAAAGTGAAATTTCACAAAGCTAGCCAAAAAAACTACCAGGTAGTTGTGAGATGAACAATAAGAGAATGCACTAAGCATGGAGATTTTGAGTCCCAACTAGGAAGAGTAGAAGTCATTGGTGGTTACCAGGTCATTCAGTGGAGACTCTGAGGATCACAACTTAGCAATGGTACTGAACTATCACTGAAGTGAAAATTACTTTGGAGAAGGAGAGAAAAAAGAAGAAATAAAGGGAAAAAAGTAGGTGCATACAGATAAGAAAGAAATAAAAATAAAAAGGCAAAAATTGGCAGGAAACTGAGTCAGAAGTATTAGCCATTTTGCAAGTTTTCTCTTTATGCACCAAACTTTCACATGATTGCTGGAGCTACAGCAGTTATATTACCACTGTGAAACACTTGAGGCTAAAGGCTGAAAGCCAGCAATAAGGTTTTCAGAACAGTGATGGAGAGAGCTTGATATATTAATGATATTGTTGGACCATGCAATGGTGCTGCCTGCTTGCACCAGACTTTACGTTACATGAAAGAGAAATAAAATCATCTTGTTTAAACAACTATTATTTTGGGTTTCTTTTACACGAAGCCAGACTAAACCTCATCTTAATCACAGATTAGTACAATACTCTGAAAAATTTTTTAAATAGGTGAAAAATATATACAATGTTTGGTTAAGAAGATATGGGATAAAATGACAATAGTGATATTTCAAGTTAGTGAAGAGAATTTAGATAATTAAAAAAAATGTTACCGGGAAATGGGATAACCATCTGAAAAAAATGTAAAGTGAGATCAGTATCTTACATTATTCAAATTGAATTTAATATGAATCAAACATTTAAATGTAAAAAGTGAAACTAAAAAAGTGCAAAAAGAAATCAGGAGAATTTAAAAAATAACCTCAGAGAAAAAGATCTTTCCAAGTACAACACAAAATGTAAAAGCCATAAAATAAAAGATTGATAAATTCAGTTACATAAAAGTAAAGAAAATGCGTGGCAAAAATACATAGGCAGAGTTAAAAGAGAACTAACAAGCTGGGAAAAATATTTGCAACTGATATCACAGCAAAGATATATTTTCCTTGATGTACACATATAGAGAGCTCTACAACCAATAAATAAAAGACCATTGATGCAACGGAAGAGTAGAGGGTGTGAACAGATAGGTCACAGAGAAAAAGCAAATGACTCCTAACCATATGGAAAGACATTTGATTTTACTCATGATCAGATTATTACAAGTTAAAATTAAATGGCATAGCATGTTAGCACATCAGATCAACGTGGTGGTAACGAGAAATAGGATTCTACTCTCATACATTGTTAGTGAGAGTATAAATTGCTTCAAACACAAGTCCAGAAAATATGGAAGTATCTTTTCAAATTAAAAATGTACATACCTTTTGATTAATCAATTTGATCCCTAGTTATTTAACCCAAAATGCTCTCTCAAATGTGTGAAAGAATTTATTCCTTCATTCAACAAACAACTGCCTACTCTATTTAAAGCACTCTTCCAGTCACTCTCTATATAAAAGTATTTACTGGATATCACATATTTTGTGATAAAAATTAGAAAAATCAAAGTCTGCATTAATAAAGGGCTGATTAAATAAATTATAATACATCAAACAATGATAAATTATGGACCTATTACAAAGAAGAAAGCATAAGCAAATATAAGCAAATGTGGTGATATGGAAAGATTTTCTGGAAATCTTTCTGAGGGCAGGGATTTTTGTCTTGCTTGCTTCTGTATCCCTAACACATAGAACAATGTATAGCACATATTAGACTTGCAATAAATATTTGATGAACTAACAAAGAAAAAATACAAGGTGCAGAATGTCACACTACAATTATATGTGAGAAAACATGAATAAATATATACATATATTCACTTCTAAATGATTAGAAACTGGTAACAGGGCTTGCTTCTGAGAACAGTGCTAGAATATGTGGGATCAGAAAGGGAATTAGGCTGCCTTTATACCATGCAACCTTTTGTAAATTTTGAATGTTGTGCCATGTGCATTAATTACCTTTTCAGAAGAAAAGTACACTCATTCATCACATTTGAATCTCTTCAGATCCTTTTTTCCTTCCCCGCAGGTGCTGGCCTGAGTAGGAATTATCATTCCTTGGTGGTTTCTTACATACTTTAAGCAAAATTTTAGGCAGTTTTCATAAATATATTCCTTTTGCTAGCATTTAAAAGGGGCATGTCTGTTAACCCTGCACCTACTCACAAACGATTCAATTGAGATGACAAAAAGTGCAATGACTCATCTCCAAATAAAAAGATGTGTGTGGGCCTTCCAGGGCCTTGTGAAAAGACAGTGACCTTCATGGCCACCCAACAGTTTTAGCAGGTATTATTTATTGGGTCAGCACTTCTCAGAGGCATTCCCATTCTACTCCCACCTCCAGACATGCACACTCATGCCATCCCACATGCATACTGCTCCCAGCCTGGGCCCACCTTCCACAGCTGTGTTTCAAAACACCCCGTGATTACATCTCTCAAAACTCTCATTCAGGACTTATAATTTCTTATATTCTTATCTGTCTCTCACATTAGACCGAGAATCAACTCCTTGAGGCAGAAACCTGGTTTCAATGTTTTATAGGCCTGACATCTAGCACAGTGTCCAGTTTAGTAGTTCTTTAGTAAATGCTTGATAAATGAATACATGAAGGAATTAATGAATATTTCAGATGCCTTTTGTAAGGAAATTCCAGCCCCATGGGTAAGAATTTTAGTGACACTGTTGAGGCTTGACCAGATCAGTGCTACTCCAAGTGGAGAAAGGACCCAGTTCAATGGGTCAATGTAAACTGCATCTGCTGGAGAGGACACCGTCATTACCAGAGAAACAGTGCTAAGACTCTGATAGAAAGAAAAGCAAGACACAGATGCAGTGGGGAGAAGAAGTAAAAGGGTTTGGACTCCACAGGAACATGTCAGATGCACAATGTAAGAAGAACAATTTCAAACCTTTTAGCAGGTTGACCCTGAATGCACCAAGAGAGCTTGGATCTCAGCTATCGGGGGGCCAGAAGTTCAAGGAAGACAGGATGGCTACTATATGCAAGTCTGAGCTGGCAAAGAGCCAGTTCTGAGCTGCCAAGATCATCACTCTTATCCTGCTGTGTAAAGAATTGTTCCCACACACGCCATCCTACCTGTGCAAGATATTGCTGACATTTCCCTATTTTGCACATTGTTCAAATCCAGCTCACATCGTGATTTTTCTAATGGGGCTGGGGAAGACTGAACATTCAGATTTCAGTAGTTGAAGTTTGAGTAATACCATTAAGTGTTGCATTGAATTGTTCCTAATGATTTTGTGGGTGGTAGTTGTGCCTCCTAACCACATTAAGAGCTCTTTCTGGGCACAACCATTTCTTGGCATCCTTTGTAAGTCTGCAGTGTGCTGGGCACATACTGACTGGATGATCACTTGCTGATTGACTAACTGAAATATGCATCTGCCCACAGACAAGACTTTTTTGAGCACAGTATTCTTGCTTAGATAATGAATCATATTTGAACTCTGTCATTTGCAAATCCTTTTCACTCTGCTATGGAATTTACCTTTTTAGATTAATGTACCCATGTACCAGAGTAATGTTAGGTCAGCTCTCCTTGGTAGAGACTGTTTTTCACTAAGATTCATATAATTTTCAAATTCTACTTATGCAAGCACTTTATAGGATAGAAATTTATTCTGGACTTCAGTACAAATGTATTGGTTGAGAGTATTCTGATAAGGTATGAACAGGGAGACCCAGGACCTAGCCTCAGTCTCCTGCCAGCTAACCATGAGAATTCGGCAGGTTCTCCAACCACCACCTCCCTCATTCCTAGCCCTGGCCTCAGTTTCCTTGACCCTAAGTAAGGTCTGGACTGAATGATTGCTAAGGTCTCTTTTAGCACTGCTCTTCTCTAAGGTTATGTTATAATGGCTTTATCTGTGCTTCCCTTTGCTATTAACAGTACACTCTGCCACCAAAGTGTTGGAGGAATATAAGACAGTCCATATTTAACTTTCCTTACAATGTCAAAAATTAACTTTAAATGCTGGGGAAACAAGCTAAGGAGATTTCCTCCACCATATTATACCTGCAAATTACATTACCATGCAGGTGATCTAGAAATCTTACTGGTAATAATTTTGTTTACATAAAGGTATCCAGTATCCCTGTTAAATATGCAAACATTTGGGCATGAAGGGTAGCATGTTCATGTTGGCGGGATGTTTCAGGCTGATCCCTGCATGGGAAAGACCCTAGGGGACCAAACAATGGATGTAGCTTTAAACAGGGGAAAGAACAATGAATTTACACAGCTGTGTAATATCTGGGACATAGTTTCTTCATCTGCAAGACAGGAATAATAAAGTTCTTTCTAAAATACAATAATGAGTTTTTAAAATTTGTATTGAGCATTCTTACTGTATTATAACCTTTTGGCAGAGGTGGAGGCTCATAAAAGAGGAGGAGAGGGATGAAGAATGAAGATAAAGAACATTGGTGACTGCATGAGCAGCTTGAAGCCAAAAATAACAAGCACTTCAAATAGATGCATTTTTTACAACAACAATATTTTGATATTTTCCAAATAATTATGATGTCAGCCATGTCCTAAGTCTGGAAAGATTACTACTATTCACATGGTTTGAACCAATACAGATGTTGCTGAGGTGTACATGCCCACACATAATCTGTAGATGGTTGTGGTGATAGTGTGATCAAGGCACAACCATCAGATCACACAAATGAACACACAGAAAGGAATGAGAGGGACAAGCCCTTCTAGTTGGAGCCTATGTTTCATAGTCACCCCACAGAAGTGGGATGGATCTCCCACCCAAATTTGGGTCCACTGTCAAGACTAATGATGGCACAAATATATCAAGTGGGTGTTAAGAGATTCATTACTCATGAATGGACATTTTTTGAGGAGAGCAGGGCAGACACTCAAACTGGTCTGAAAGTAGCTTGAGCAACCGGAAAGACAGTGGGAAATAGTGGTCTTGGTTTTCTTTGTGGGTAGGGGTGCAATCTGGGGCTTACATGATTTGAACTTCCTACCAGCACCAAGGGAGGGAGCACACTGGCTTTCTTTTTGGCTTACATGGATGTAGCACCAAAGGGGAAAGGAGATACGAAGCTTAAAAGTTATCAGTGGCCAGATATCAAAAATAGAGTTGGGCTTTTCATTGTAGAGCTTTATTATAGATCCTGTTTAGACTTTTTATATTTATTATATACTCATTGGTTAAGTAAAGGAAATGCAAAGAAGCCTTTATGACAAACTCAGTCTCTTTAATTTTCACTGCATGTCAACTCTGCTCTAACCAATTCTGATGTATCTTAAACATTTGGGTCTCTTTTCTCAGCCAACATCCCAGAACATCTATACTTCAGATATTCTACAGAAAGTTCAGTCTTAAAATTTCTATTTCATTCCTGGCTAACTGTGTTAAGATAAATGTTAAAATGATTTGACTCCAAGTTCTGTGAATTTTCTCCTTGCATTAAGGTGAGGTACCTGAGTACAATATTTCAACCAAATAATAGTAGTTTAGCTACCTTGAAAATGTCTCTACTAAGCTGCTGCACTTTTTGATTTATTTTTGATTGAGTTAGTGTTACTGTGGCTGCATAAAAAATAATCTCAACACTTAATGGCTTAAAAGAACAATAGTCACTTATTATTCCCCACAGATTCTGTAGGTAAGGAACTCAGAAAGACCTCCCCTGGACAGTTTCCACATGCAATTGCAGAGGTATTTGTCTGGGGTGGGGGGTAGTCATCCAAAGGCTTAACTGAGATTAGAGCATCCACTTTTACTAAAGTCAGTAACATGGGTTTCAAGTTAGTGCAATCTCTTAGTCATGAACCTCAGAGACTCATGGGTCCCTTGATGGGCTGCCTAAGTGTCCTTAGAACATGATGACTGGCTTCCCCCAGAATAAGTGATATAAGAGTGTACCAGGTAGATGCTATGTTGCCTTTTATGATCTAGCTTCTGAAGTCACTCAATATCACCTCTACCACATTCTATAGGTCAAGGCAATTATTAGGTTGGTACAAAAGTAATTGGGGTTTTGCCATTACTTTTAATTACAAAAACCACAATTATGTTTGCACCAACCTAATACAAAGATCTTCCCATTTTCAAGGAAAGGGAACATAGGCCCTTCCTCTTGATGGAGTTATATCAACATCATATTGTGAGAAGAGCATGTGTGGCAGCCATCTCTGGAAAATATAATTAACAGCAGGATTGATGTAATAGGGATTAAACACATTTTTTCTATAACTTTTTAAGACTACTATTGAAAACCTTGTTCAATATGTTATTCAGTGTTTTACATATACAGACCTTTGTGATAAAATTCTTCCAAAGTTTAGTGTTAGGAGAAAGTCTAGTCTTCCTGATATTTGTGTATTTTCTTTTGTCAATAAAAAGCATAGAATATATAATCTTTCTCTTTTTATCTTGGCTTCCATAAGGCTTAGAGTTAAATTTGCTATTCATTTACAATAATTGCCTTATTATTGGATTGTAACATAAATACTTTCCACATTCTCTAACTAAAATGCTATCATTATTCCATTCTTTTTTAAAAATACATATTTAATTACAATAGTAGAGGATGTTAATTTTTAAAAGTTGAAAATTAACTTTCTACAGTTAGCTAGAACTAATAATTTTACTGTATCTTTTTTGAGAGTGCCCCTTTCTTTTCTCTCTCTCTCCCTGTCTCACACACACACACAGACACAAACACACAAACATCCCTATATATAAATACAATATCCACATTCCTCATTTGTTCTACAAACTAAGATTTTACTATAAATACAGTTCTGTAATTTGCTTTCTTCTCCAGTTTACACATCATAGACAACATTCTAAATTATTACATACAGACCTATCTCATACGTATGTGCCATATGTATTTATTCACACACGTGTGTCCATTTAATATAACTTTAATTGTTTGCTATTGTAAATAAAGCTACATACAAATCCTTGAACATAAATTGTTTTATTTCAATTGTGCAAGTATTTGCCATTGGGTCAATTCCTTGAGGTGTAATTACTGGATTAAAAAGAATGCATATTTAATATTTTGATCAAGACTGCCAAATTGCATTTAAACACATTGTACTAATTTTCGTTGTTTGCCTTTCTTATTAAAAACTATTCTGTACATAAGTATTTCTCATTATAAGTAGCCTTTTATAATTTTAAAAAATATATAGGTAATTTTAAAATTACCTGTCATGCCAGTATCAAAATATCCCATGTACCTCATAAATAAATATACATGCTATGTACACATAAAAATTAAAAGTTAACAATTAAGAAAAAAATACCTGAATAAAAGTAAAAGATTTCAACCCTAAATAATCAGGCAACAGATAAAACCTGGCTTTTTTCATACTGATAGCAGAAGTCGCAGCAATAACTTCCTCTTACTGGGTTGCCAAGATCAGTCACCTGCCCTGTTTTAGTATCACAGAGGATTATCCAGGCAGACTAATTTGAAATGGGCTTTTTAGTCCTTCACTGTTCAAAGAACCATAATTCAGGACCACAGAGAGATAGAGGTTTGCTTTTTATCCCTTTGTACTGCCTAGCATATGGGAAAATAAATAACAGTAACTTTCAGATTGTTCAGCTGAATGCTGTTTACATTGTATTACGTTTCTGTAGAGCATGGGAAAATGTGGAGGCTAAGTAAAGATAGAAGAGTGGATAAAAATGGTATTGTATTCTCTCTAGCATCTTCCTAGGTCAAGGCTCAGGTTTTATATCTTGGGAGGAGGGATAGTCAGCTATATGTGGAATTGTCAGGTGGAGACAATAAAGTACCTTCCAAACCCAAATATCTGCTTTTCGCTACAGGCAGTTTCTACATACAGATCAACCCAGCAGGAAGGTTTTATTTTGCTTTCAAGATCTTTGTCAAATAGAGCTGCTATAAGCAGTAGCACAACATATCAAAAAGTGATTCAGTGCAGAATTTTTATTTTCAATAATTATTGGAAAGTAGAAATTGCAATAGGTTACAAGAGATGAGTAGACACAAGATGGGAACGTCATTTAAAAAAATTGGGTTCTGGGGAAAAGGTGAAGGAAGGGGTGCTGGGAGATCCCAGTCTTCTGAAGAAAGGATTTTTACATGCCTAAAACATGCTTCAAACCATGCAGTCATGGACTTGTGTGTAAGGAACAGTCAACATGATAGAAAGGGTTAAGGTCTTATAGACTGGTGTAGAATGAAAATTGATTAAACATTATAATGAAAGATGTTTGGGAAGATTTGAGCAGGCAGAAGAAAGAATCAACGAAGTTGAAGACAACTGAAATTATTGAGTCTGAGGAACACAAATATGATTGAAGAGAAGTGAGCAGAGCCTAAGGGACTTGTGGGACAACATCAAGTGGACCAACGTGTAGATTGTGTGAATCTCAGAAGAAGAGAGAAAAGTGAAGAGATTACTTAAAAAATGGTTGAAAACATCACAAGTTTGATTAAGGACATAAATATAAACATTCAAAATGCTCAATGAACTCTAACTAGGATGAACATAAAGAGAACCATACTAACACACATTATAATCACAGTCAAAAGTCAAATACAAAGAGAGAATCCTGAAAACAGCAAGAGAGAAGTGACTCATCACATACAAGGGATCCTTAATAAGTTTGTCTGCAAACTTCTCATTGGAAACTTTGGAGGCAAGGAAGAAGTGGGCCAATATATTCAGAGTGCCAAAAGAAAAACTATCAATCAAAAATTTTTACATCCAGCAAAACTGTCCTTCATAAGAGAGTGGGAAATGAAGATATTCCCATATAAACCAAGGCTGAGAGAGTTTGTTATCATTAGATCTGCCCTGTAAGAAAAACTAAAGTGATTTCTGTCTGTTTAAATGAGTACACTAGACAGTGATTAACATAATTATGAAAATACAAAGATCTCACTGAATGTAAATATGCAAGCAATTATAAAAGCTAGTATTACTGTCAAAATAATTTGTAACTTCACTTTTTGTTTTCTACACATTTTCAGAAACTAATTTTTAAAAATAATAATGAATCTAAAGGTTTGTATTGTTGCAATTTTGGTCTGTAACTCCACATTGCATTTTCTACATAATGTAAGAGATTTATCATTATGAAATTATTAGTTTATGTTTTTAATAAAAAAATGCATAAATATATAATTGATTTTGTAACAACTGAAAAGGGTAGGGAATTTGGTCTCGCTCTGTGTCCCCACCCAAATCTCACCTTGAATTGTAATAATCCCCACAAGTCAAAGTTGGGACCAGGTGGAGGTAATTGGATCATGGGGGTGATTTTCCCCATGCTGTTCTCATGATAATGTGTGAGTCTCACAAGACCTGATGGTTTTATAAGTGTCTGGTATTTCCCCTGCTTGCACTCATTCTCTCTCCTGCCTCCCTGAGAAGAGGTCACTTCCTCCACGTTTATAAGTTTCATCAGGCCTCCCCTGCCATGTGACACTGTGTGTCAGTTAAAACTCTTTTCTTTATTAATTGCCCAGTCTTGGGTATTTCTTCATAGTCATGTGACAATGGACTAACACAGTGGGGATCGAGATGTATAGGAGCAGAGGTTTTTGTATGTTATTGAAATTAAGCTGGTATAAATTTAAATTAGGCTGTTATAACTTTAGGATGTTAACTGTAATCCCCATGGCAATCGTAAAGAAAATGGTTGTAAAATATACACACAAAATGAGAAGGGAATTAAAATTTCACTTTAAAAAATCAGCCAAACAGGCCAAGTGTGGTGGTGCATGCCTGTAATCCCAGCACTTTGGGAGGCTGAGGCAGGTGGATCACCTGAAGTCAGAAGTTCCAGACAGCCTGGCCAACATGGTGAAACCCTGTCTCTACTAAAAATATAAAAAATTAGTCAGGTGTGGTGGCAGGTACCTGTAATCCCTGCTACTTGGGTGGCTGAGGCAGGAGAATCACTTGAACCTGGGAGGCAGAGGTTGCAGTGAGCCGAGATTGCGCCATTGCACTCCAGCCTGGGCAATGAGAGTGAAACTCTGTCTCAAAAAAAAAAAAAAAAAAAAAAAAATCAGCTAAACATCAACACATCAAAGACAAGAAATGGGGACAAAATCTCCAAGGCATATAGAAAATAACAAATTAACAGAGGCAAGTCCTTTATGAGCAATTTAAATGGAAATGTATTAAAACCTTCAATCAAAAGACAGAGATTGAAAAATGGATTTTAAAAGCCTATAAAATCATAATCTAACCATATGCTGTCTACAAGAGACTCACTTTAGAGCCAGACACAAATAAGTTGAAAGTGAAAGGATGGAAAAAGACATTCCAGGTAAATAGTAACCAAAACAGTGCAGAGGTAGCTATACAAACATCAGACACAATAGACTTTAAATTAAAAAGTTTACAGGAGACAAATAAGAGCATTACATATGAATAAAGTTTCAAAACATTAATATATAACAACTATAAGCATTTATGCACCTAACAAGTGACCACCAAAACATATGAAGAAAAAATCAACAGAATTTATAGGAGAAATAGACATTTCCACAATAATACACAGGGACTTCATTGTCCCACAGTTTCAATTATGGGTAGAACAACCAGACAATACATAAGAAAGGAAATGGAAGATGTGAACAACACAATAAACCTACTAGATCTAACAGACATAGACAGAACACTATACTCAACAGCAACAGAATATATATTCTTCCCAAGTACATGTGGGGCATTTTCCAGGATTGTCCATACAAGCGTTGGTGAGGATGTGGAGAAATTGGATCATTTGTACACTCTTGGTGGGACTGTGAAGTGGTATAGTCACTCTGGAAAACAGTATGATAGTTTTTAAAAGATTTAAAAATAGATTTACCACATGATCCAGCAATTCCACTTCTAGATATTTACCCAAAGGAACTGAAGCAAGATCTTGAAGAGATATTTGTACAACTATGTTGACAGCAGGATTATTCACAACATAAAAAATGGGGGAACAACCCACTTGTTCACTGACGAATGGATGAGCAAAACGTTTTATATGCATACCATTAAACATTATTCAGCCTTAAAAAGAAAGGAAATTCTGACACATACTACAACATTAATGAACCTTGAGAACATTATACTAAGAATAATAAGCCAGGCACAAAAAAACAAACTGTGATTTTACTTATATGAGGTACCCAGAGTAGTCAAAATCAGGCAGAAAGTAGAATGGCAGTTGGGACCATCTAGCGGGAGGGAGAATGGGGAGTTAATATTTATTAAGTAATACAGTTTGAATGATGGTGTTCCCTCCAAAATTCATCTTGAAACTTAATTCCCAATACAACAGTATTAAGAGGTATGACCTTTGGAAGGTGCTTAAGTTATGAGAGGTCTGCCCTCATGAATGAGATTAACACCCTTATATAAGGTCTTAAGCTTAAAGGAAGTACTCTCTGGCCCCTCTACCTTCCTCATTGTGAAGACATAGCAACAAGGTGCCACCCTAGAAACAGAGCAGCCCTCACCAGACATAAATGCAGGAACTTTGATCTTGGACTAGTGTGTTAGGGCAGTTTTACATTGCTATAAACACATGAGGCTGGGTAATTTATAAAGAAAAGAGATTTGACTCACAGTTCTGCAGGCTGTACAAGCATGGCTCTAGCATCTGTTTCTGGTGAGGCCCCAGGAAGCCTCCACTCATGGTAGAAGGTGAAATCGAGCATGCACATCACATGGTGAGAGAGTGATATGGTTTGCGTGTGTATCCACTGAAATCTCATTTTAAATTTTAGCTCCCATAATTCCCACGTGTTGTTAGATGGACCCAGTGGGAGATAATTGAATCATGGGAGGAGTTTCCCCCATATTGTTCTTGTGGTAATTAATAAACCTTATGAGACCTGATGGTTTTATAAGGGAAACCTCATTTGCTTGGTTCTCATTCTTTCTCTTGCCTGCTGCTATGTCAGACATGCCTTTCACCTTCTGCTACAATTGTGGGACCTTCCCAGCCACATAGAACTGTGAGTCAATTAAACCTTTTCTTCTTTATAATTTAACCAGTCTTAGCTATGTCTTTATTTTTATCAGCAGTGTCAAAATGGGCTAATGCAATAAGTTGGTATGGGTAGAGTGGGGTGCTGTTGTAAAGATACCTGAAAATGTGGAAGCAACTTTGGCAGAGGGTAACAGTCAGAGGTTGGAACAGTTTGGAGGGCTCAGAAGAAGACAGGAAAATGTGGGAAATTCTGGAACTTCCTAGAGACTTGTTGAATTGCTTTAACCAAAATGCTGATAATAATATGGACAATGAAATCCAGGCTGAGGTGGTCTCAGATAGAGATAAGGAACTTGTTGGGAAACTGGAGTAAAGGTGACTTCTGCTATGTTTTAGCAAAGAAACTGGTGGCATTTTGCCCCTGCCCTAGAGATTTGTGGAACTTTGAACTTCAGAAAGATGATTTAGGATATCTGAAAGAAGAAATTTCTAAGCAGCAAAGCATTCAAGAGGTGACTTGGGTGCTTGTTAAAGCATTCAGTTTTAAAAGGGAAACAAAGCATAAAATTTCAGAAAATGTGCAGCTTGACAATGTGATAGAAAAGAAAAATTCATTTTCTAAAGAGAAATTCAAGCTGGCTGCAGAAATGTGCTTAAGTAGTGACGAACTAAATGTTAATTACCAAGACAATGGAGAAAATGTCTCCAGGAAATGTCAGAGACCTTTGTGACAGCCCCTCCCATCACAGGCCCAGAAACTTGGGAGGAAAAAATGGTTTTGCCATCTTGGCCTAAGGCCTCCCTGCTGTATGAAGCCCAGGGACTCAGTGCCCTGTGTTCCAGTCACTGTAGTCATGGCTAAAAGGGATCAAGGTACAGTTCAAGCTATGACTTCAGAGGATACAAACCCCAAAACTTGGCAGCTTCCACATGGTATTGAGACAGTGAGTGCACAGAAGTCAAGAATTGAGATATGGGAGCCTCCATCTAGATGTATGGAAATGCCTGGATGTCCAGGCAAAAGTTTGCTGCAGGGCAGGGCCCTCATGGAGAATCTCTGCTAGGGCAGTGCAGAAGGGAAATGTGGGGTTGAATCCCCCACACAGAGACCACAGTGGGGCACTGCCCAATGGAGCTTTGAGAAGAAGGCACCATTCTCCAGACCCTAGAATGGTAGATCCACTGACAGTTTGCACCATGCACCTGGAAAAGCTGCAGACAGCCTGTGAAAGCAGCAGGGAGGGGAGGCTGTATCCTGCAAAGCCACAGGAGTGAAGCTGCCCAAGATCATGGGAACCCATCTCTTGCATCAGCGTGACATGGATATGAGACATGGAGTCAAAGGAGATCATTTTGGAGCTTTAAGATATGGCTGCCCCACTGGATTTTGGGCTTGCATGGGCTTGTAGCTCCTTTGTTTTGGCCAATTTCCCCCATTTGGAATGGCTGTATTTATCCGATCCCTGTACCCCCATTGTATCTAGGAAATAACTAACTTGCTTTTGATTTTCCAGGCTGATAGGTGGAAGGGACTTGCCTTGTCTTAGATGAGGCTTTGGACTGTGTACTTTTCAGTTAATGACAAAATTATTTAAAACTCTGGGGGACTGTTGGGAAGGCATGATTGTTTTTGAAATGTGAGGACATGAAATTTGAGAAGGTCCAGAGGCTGAATGATATGGTTTGGCTCTGTGTCTCCACCAAATTCTCATCTTGAATTGTAGCTCACATAATTCCCACATGTTATAGGAGGGACCTAGTGGGAGATAATTGAATCAGGGTGACAGTTTCCCTCATACTGTTCTCATGATAGTTAATAAGTCTCACAAGATCTGATGGTTTTATAAGGGAAAACCCCTTTCACTTGGTTCTCATTCTCTCTATCGCCTGTCACTATGTAAGATGTGCCTTTCACCTTCTACCATGATTGTGAGGACTCCTCAGCCATGTGAAACTGTGAGTCCATTAAACTCTTTTTCTTTATAATTTACCCAGTCTTGGGTATGTCTTTTTTTTTTTTTTTTTTTTTTTTTTTTTGAGATGGAGTCTCACTCTATCACCCAGGCTGGAGTGCAGTGGTGCAATATCGGCTCGCTGCAACTTCCACCTCCTGGGTTCAAGCAATTCCCTGCCTCAGCCTCCCAAGTAGCTGGGATTACAGGCACCCACGACCACACCCAGCTAATTTTTGTATTTTTAGTAGAGATGGGGGTTCACCATCTTGCCAGGCTGGTCTTGAACTCCTGGCCTTGTGATCAACCTGCTTCAGACTCCCAAAGTGCTGGGATTACGTGCCTGAGCCATCATGCCCAGCCATTTATGTCTTTATCTTAATCAGCAGTGTCAAAGCAGACTAATGCAGAGAAAAGGCAATGGGTAGGGGGAGATTCCACACACTTTTAAACAAACAGTCCTCACATGACTTTACTTGCTATTGCAAGGATAGCACCAAGTCATTCATGAGGGATCTTCTCCCATGACCTAAACACCTCCCACCAAGCCCTTTCTCCAACATTGAGATTATGTTTCAACATGAGATTTGGAGGAGATGAACATTTAAAATATATCATTCTGCCCTGGCCCCTCAAATCACATGTCCTTTTCATATTGCAAAATACAATTTTTTTGTATTAATAGTCCACAAAAATATTAACTGATTCCAGCGTCAAGTCCAAAGTCATGAGTCTCATCTTCCATCTACAAGCTGTAAAATCAAAACAAGTTCTTTACTTCTAAGATACAACAGTAGTACAGGCATTGGGTAAACATTCCCTTTTCAAAAGGGGGAAATTGGCCAAAAGAAAGAGGCAATAGGCCCATGCAAGTTGGAAACCAGGCAGGGCATTCAGTATATCTTAAAGCTCCAAAATAATCTCATTTGACTCCATGTCCCACACCCAGGGCACACTGGTGAAAAGGATGGGTTTCCAAGGCCTTGGGCAGCTCTGTCCCTGTGGTTTGGCAGGGTGCAGCTCCCTTGGTTACTCTCATGGACTGGAGTTGAGTGCCTGCTGCTTTTCCAGGCAAAGGGTTCAGGCTGCTGATAGATCTACAATTCTGAGGTCAAGAGGGGTGGCCCCCTTTGCACAGTTCCACCAGGCAGTGCCCTAGTAGAGGTTGTCTGTGGGGGCTCTGTCCCTGTGCCAGGCTTCTGCCTGGGCACCCAGGCTTTCTGATACATTCTCTTAAATGTAGGTGGAAGCCGCCAAGTCATCTTCACTCTTGCCTGTAGGCTTAACACCACGTGGAGGCTACCAAGGCTTTCAGGCTTCCCCCTCTGGAGCAGTGGTCCCAGCTGTACCTGGGGCCTTTTGAGCCACAGCTGCAGCTGGAATAGCTGGTATGTGGGGAGCAGTGCTCTGAGGCTGAGCAAGGCAGCACTGTTCCAGGTCTGCCCCTGAAACCATTATTTCCTCCTAGGCCTCTGGGCCTGTGATGAGAGGGGCTGTCTGAAAGATCCTGAAATGCCCTTGAGGACTTTTTCCCATTGTCTTGACTATTAGCACTTGGCTCCCTTTCAGTCACGCTAATCTCTCTAGAAAGTTATTGCTCCACAGCCTGCTTGGATTCTTTCTCTACCACATGTCCAGGCTGCAAAATTTTCAAACTTGTATGCTCTGCTTTCCTTTTAAATATAAGTACCAACTTTAATTCCTTTGCTCTGATTTTAGGCTGCTAGAAGCAGCTAGGCCACATCTTGAATGCTTTGTAGCTTAGGAATTTCTTCCAGTAGATATTAAAACATGATTCTTAAGTTCAAACTTCCACAGATCCTTAGGACATGAACACAATGCAGCCAAGTTCTTTGCCAAGTTCTTTGCATGGGTGACATTTTTTCTAGTTCCTAATAACTTCCTTATTTCCATCTGAGACCTCATCAGTCTGGACATCACTGTCCATATTTCTATCAGTATTTTGTCACAACCATTTAACCAGTCTCTAAGAAATTTCAAACTTCCCTTCATCTTCCCCTTTTCTCCTGAGCCCTCCAAACTCTTTCAACCTCTGCCCATTGCCCAGTTTCAAAGTCACTTCTACACTTTCAGGTACCTTTATAGCAACACCCCACTCCTCAGTACCAATTTTCTGTGTTAGGCCATTCTTGTATTGCTATAAAGAAACACCCAAGGCTGGGTAATGTATAAAGAAAAGTGATAAGAATGGCTCACAGTTTTGTCTGCTATACGGTAAGCATGGCTCTAGCATCTGCTTTTGGTGAGGGACTCAGGAAACTTTCAATTATGGCAGAATGCAAAAGGAGCCACCTTGTCACATGGCAAGTGAGGGAGCAAGAGAGAGATCAAGGAGATGACACACACTTTTAAACAATCAGATCTCACTAGAACTTACTATTATGAGGACAGCATGAAGCCATTCATGAGGGATCTGTCCCCATGACCCAAACACCTCCCACCAGCTCCTACCTCCAACATTGAGGATTACATTTCCATATGATATTTGGAGAGTACAAACATACAAACTATATCACTCAGTCTCAGGTATTTTGTTATAGTCATACAAATGAACTTAATACAATGAATATAATTTTAATTTTGCAAGATAGAAAGAGCCCTGGTGATGAATTGTGGTGATGGTTGCTCAGTGATAATGAATGCACTTAATAGCACTGAACTATATACTTAAAAATTGTTAAGATGGTAAATTTTATTTTATATGTACTTCATAATTTAAAATGTTGGAAAAGCAAGATTCCCTTTAAACATTCAGTCAAACATCCCCCTATGCAAGATAACTATAATCTCTATATGTCTGTCTCTTCCAAATGGAACTATAGACTCACTGACAGGCCCCAGGACAGGGCTTTAAGTCTGCATCTCTTCAGTCAAGGAGTAGAAAAAAATGCATCTTAGTCTGAATGCCAATTTGGCAGAATAGCCACCCCCTTATCTCTGAATCTTGGGCTCTCATGGCCCTTTCAGAAGTGAAAACAATGATGGAAGGGGTTCCTGTGAGCAAGTGAACATGAGAGAACCTTCATGAGGCACCAGGGACATGAAGACTGGAACTCAATATTTCAGTATTAATGTGTAGATGAGAATTCCAAATGATAAAATAAGGGAGCAAAAATAGAAACAAGTCTCACATAAGACCAGTTAGCATGGACAACTTTTCAGAACTCAGCTGTAGACATTCCTCCTCCTTGAGCAGACAGAAAATTCAAAATGTTGGTGACATCAAAAAGAAACTAAATCTCTCTCAAATGGATTTAATGGGTATTTTTAATGCATAATTACTCCCACCAGTCTCATCTCAGCCAGGTGGGGTTTTCTCTTTCATTTGATTTATCAATACTATCATTTGTTAGAAGTTCTCAAACCAGCATCTATTACTCTTCCTAGAAGACTCACTAAAAGGCTGCTTATCAAGCCTCCAAGGCATAAGCTTTCAAAGGGAAGAAAAATGATCTATTTAATTCTTTTAGTCTAGGAGCATGTATAAACATGCACTTGATTAGTGTTTTATGTTGCAATTCATGGTCATGGTTGACATTTCATTTATAAATCTAACCTGAGAGAGCTGGTTCCAAGATGCCCAAGGCTAATCTGGAAACATATGTGTTTCTCTGGTGGAAATGGTAGTGGTGCCGAGGGGTACTTAGAATGTAAGAAATTTTGGGACTGTTTTCAAGCGACTTAAACATCTGAATTCAGTACTTCCGGAAGACACTGAAGGCCTCTAGAATGCAGCCTCCTTTCGTACCTTGAAAAAGAGTTTCCTCATTCTCCTTGTTTGCAAGAAATCATTTCCTAACAAAGCCACTCAGAATTAGGGTCCAGCTCTCATTAAGAACTCTTTTAAAAGTGATACTTTTAGAAGACCTGTACTGCACTTGGCTCACCACCAGACAGCACTGCAGAGAGGCTGGCCTTCATTAGTGCTGCCCAACTTAATACCAAGTTTCTAGTTGCAAAGAAGCCTGCCCTGGGACAAGAGAGGGTTCAGGGTCCTAATGGACTATCAAGTCTTCCAGCATAAGTCACTATTTACAAATAAAAAGGCAGACTTCTACTAGCCAATTAAAACTGGGTTAAAATTTCTCCTGAATAAGCAAAGAGACTGCCAACAGCCAAATATTTAAGCCAATTACCAAAATCCTAAATCATAATAGACTCTCAGAGTCCTGACCCTAAGTGTGTAGCCTCCGGAAGAAGAGAAATAAAGTTAAGCACTTTGAACTAATCATTTTTAATCTCACTAGACTGAAAGACATATATCCGGCATCCAGTTATTGGCAATGGCATATGACATTTCAAAAGTTAATGAACAAGAAGGATTGGAAGAAAGAATTGAAGTTGTATTTACAATGTGCTTATACATCAAAGTAAATTTGAGTAAGGGGCATAGCCGTTTTGTCTAGTTTCTCCTAGCCCAGCCACCTGTTTAACCCCACATCATCCTTATGGTGACTGATATTTTCGCAGCTTGCAATTGAAAGAGACAGTAAATAAAGATATAATAAAAACAGGGTGAGTCTACCAGCCATGAGAAGTATTTTTGTAATAAAATAATTTGTAAAAATTCCATTTATTAGCATAAACCAAATCAGATCCTTCTTTCTTTCCTTCTGTTATGAGTTGAATTGTGTACCATCCCAAATCCATATGTTGAAGTCCTAACCCCCAATACCTCAGAATGTGACTGTATTTGGAGATAGGGTATTTAATGGCCCTAATCCAATATAATTGATGTCCTTTTAAAGAGGAGTTTAAGGACAGGTGCGGTGGCTCACATCTGTAATCCCAGCACTTTGGGAGGCTGAGGTGTGTGGATCACTGGGTCAGGTGTTCGAGGCCAGCCTGTCCAAGATGGTGAGACCCCCATCTCTACTAAAAATACAAAACTTATCCAGGTGCAGTGGTGGGCACCTGTAATCCCAGCTACTCAGGAGGCTGAGGCAGGAGAATTGCTTGAACCCGGGAGGCAGAGATTGCAGTGAGCTGGGATCATGCCACTGCACTCTAGCCTGGGCAACAGAGCAAGACTCTATCTCAAAAAAAAAAAGAGGCATTTTAGGCAAAAATAGTTCCATTTGAGGATGCAGTGAGAAGGCAACCATCTGCAAGCCAATGTGAAAAGTCTCAGGAGAAAGCAAACCTGCCAACACCTTGATATTGGACTTCCAGCCTCCAGAACTGTGAGCAAATACACTTTTGTTGTTTAAGCCATTGTATTTTGTTATGGCAGCTTTAGCAGACTAATATACCTTATTTGTTTCTTTTCAATAGATTCATCGTTCTAACGATTCATCATACTAAACCATTCATACACACACACACACACACACACACACACACATACACACACACACAGTCATATTCTGCATAATGGCATTTTGGTCAATGATGAATCACGTTTATAACAGTGGGCCCATAAGATTATAATAGAGCTGAAAAATTTCTGTCACCTTGTGTTGTTGCAGCTGTAGTAACATCTAGTATGACACATTACTGACATGTTCATGGTAATGTTGGTGCAAGCAAACCTACTGCGCTGCCAGTTATATAAATGTATAACACAATCAATTATGTGCAGTACATAATACTTGGTAATTATAATAAATAACTAGGTTACCAGTTTATGCATTTGCTATACTATACTTCTATAGTTCTTTTAAAGTGTACTACTTCTACTTACATATTTTAAAAATTGACTGTAAAAAGCCTCAGGCAAGTCCTTTTGGAGCTTATTCCAGAAGAAAGCATTGTTATAAGAGATGATAGCTCTTTGCATGTTCTTGTCCCTGATGACCTTCCAGTGAAGCAAATTGTGGAGGTGGAAAACAGTGATATTGATGATCCTGACCCTGCATAGCCTAGGCTAATATGTATGTTTATGTCTTTGTTTTCAACAAAACAATATAAAAAGTAAATATATATACACATATAATTTACATATGTATATGATTTTAAAAATTGAAAAAAACTTGTAGGTAAGGACATAAAGAAAGAAAACATTTTTGTATACCTGTATAATGTGTCTGTGTTTTAAGCTAAGTGTTATTACAAAAGAGTCAAAATGTTAAAAATTAAAAGCTTGTGAATTAAATACGTTAAAATTAAGCTAGAGTTATTAAAGAAATAAAAATATGTTTAATAGACTTAGTGTAGACTAAGTGTATAATGTTTATAAAGTCTACAGTAGTGTATACAGTAATGTCCTAGGATTTCACATTCACTCACCATTCTCTCACTGACTCACCCAGACCCAGTTCCAGTCCTGGAAGCTCCATTCATGGTAAGTGTCTTATACAGGTGCTTATATATACAATGCCCTAGGTATCTTTTATACCATAATTTTACTGTACCTTTTCTATGTTTAGTTATATTGAGATACACAAATAAAGTCAGCCTTCTCTATCCATGTGTTTCACATATGTGGATTCAACTATGAAAATCAAAAATATTCCAAAAGTAAAGGATGGTTGTGTCTGTACTGAACATGTACAGACTCTTACTGTTGTTATTCCCTAAACAATAGGTTATTACAACTATTTACAGACTATTTACATTGTGTTAGGTATTATAAGTAATCTGGAAATGATTTAACGTATATTGCAGGATAGGGGTAGGTTCTATGCAAACACAACACCATTTTATATTAGTGACTTGAGCATCTGTGGATTGTGGTATCTATGGGAGGTCCTGAAACCAATCCCCTATGGAGGGACAACTGTATTTACCATTGTGTTACAGCTGCCTATAGTATTCAGTACAATAACATGCTATACAGGTTTGTAACCTAGGAGCAATAGGCTATACCATAGAGCCTCTGTGTGTAGCAGGCTGTATTACCTGTATGTGTAAGTACACTTTATGATGTTAACACAATGAAAAATCACCTATCAACACATTTCTCAGAACTAATCCCTGTTTTTAAGTGACACATGCCTGCGTATATATTTGACATGTATATGATTCAATCTAACTGCAGGATTTTCTCCTTAAAATGTTTTTTTTTTAAATTTGCTGATAGCTAAAAAGATTTAAACAAACTTTCCAGATTTGAAACTCATGTTTCTATGACAGTCGTGAAGGAACTAAGATATTACTCCTCTTGCAAGCTAAGAAATTAGCCTACTACAATATCATAGATACTGGCAGAAGACACAAAACTCCTGAGTGAGAGACAAAGCATTTATTATCACAGGACAGCAGGTGGGAGGAGCCTTATATGCACATTGTTTCCTCTTGCCTTCAAAGTTTAATGAGGGTTACATGAGAAGGTTATAACCCCAGATGAATGCTGTATACACACGGGGTCCTCATCACAACTGAGGAGCCCAAGCTTAGAACACTTTTATTTGTCCCAGAGTGAAACATTATCTTTATTATATTGGACAGTAAACAAACCCACCTTCCCTTCTGGAAGGAGACGCTATGTCTATCTTCCAAGGCTATTATATAAAATCTGCCCTCCACATCCACAGATTCAGCCAACCACAGATCACAATTATTCAGAAGAAATAATAAAAATGACATCACAGCAATAAAAAATAATACAAACTAAGAAACAACACAGTATAACAGCTATCTACATAGCATTTATTTGTATTAAGTATTAGAAATAATCTAGAGATGATTTAAAGTATCCAGGAGGATATACATAGGTTTTGGCAAATACGCTGCCATTTATTTATTTATTTATTTATTTATTTATTTATTTATTTATATAAGATGGAGTCCTGCTCTGTTACCCAGGCTGCAGTGCAGTGGCATGATCTTGGCTCACTGCAGCCTCACCTCCTGGGCTCAAGTGATCCTCCTGCCTCAGCCTCCTAAGTAGCTGGGATTATCTGCATGCACCACCATGTCCAGCTAAGTTTTGTATTTTTAGTAGAGATGGTGTTGCACCATGTTGGCTAGGTTGGTCTCGAACTGCTGACCTCAAGTAATCCACCCACCTCAGCCTCCCAAAGTGCTGGGATTACAGGCATGAGCCACCATGCCCAGACTGCCATTTTATGTAAGAGACTTGAACATTTGTGGCTTTTGGTATACATGGTGTGGGGGTCCTGGAAACCCACGAATATCTAGGGGCAACTGAACAGATATCATCCTTGAAAAAATAGTCTGGAACAAAGGTAGTAAGTGTCTCTGCTCAAAGAAATACAAAAGGAACCCATGGAGAATTGCTCCCAACAATCATTTTAAGGAATAGTTTATTTGCTATATATATATTAACCATCTAAAAAATTTTAGAAGCTCAATTTGTGAAAGTTTATTTTAAAGAAAAGACTTGGGTCATCATAAGTTAGCAGAGCCACAAATTAGTAGCAGATTGGCTGGACAAACAAGATTACATAATTTGCTTTGTCTCTGGAAAATAATATTTTTAACTTTCTTTAACTGCATGTTTAAAAAATTTCCCTATGAATAAAAAATGCACTGTTTCAAAGAGATTTATACATCTCTATTGTAAGGGAGAATTTTCTCTTAAAGCTAAAGTTTGAGAAAAATAATGATTCAATGCTGCTAAATGTCTCTCTTTCTTAGGAACATTGTCTTCACTTGGTTACCAGGACAACCAGCTCTCACCTGGATTTACTTTTGCTGCTCTGGCTGCTTGTTCTCAGTTTCCTGGGTGGTTCCTGCCCTTCACCCTGACTTCCTACCTTTAGAGTGGCCCAGGGCTTAGTTCTGGACCTCTTCCCTTCTCTATTTACCTTACTTTCTTGGTGCTTCTCCACCCTCTTGTGCTGTTGTTTTATGCCTCTGGCCTAGCTTGCTCTTCTGTCCAGACTTACATGTTCCACTGTCCAACTGCCTACAGAACAACTCCCTTTGATGTCTAAGAGATATCTTAAACTTGAAATGTCCAAAGCTGAACTTCTGATTGTCACCTAATTTTTTCCATACACAGCATTCTCATCTCAGTCAGTGGCAACTCCAGCCTTCTGGTTGCTCAGGCCTCAAAACTTGGAGTCATCCTTGTCTTCTCACTTTCTTTCACATCCTATATCTGGTCCATCAACAAACCAGTCTTTTCTTTCTCTGGAATATATCCGGAATCTACTTCTTACCTCATCTACTGCAACTACTTCAGCACAAACCAGCTTAAGTTGTTATCTTCTCTCACGAGGATTAATACAAAAGCATCCTTGCTGACCTCCCTGCTTCCACCCTCATCTCTTAGTGTCTGCTCTCTACACAGTTAGCTGTCCTGATCCTGTTAAAATATAAGCCAGATCATGTCTCCCCTCTGTTAAAAACCTTCCAGAGGATTCGATTCCAACATCCCTTAGAACACATAGTCTATAAAACCCTGGATGACCTGACCTCCCATTATCTTCCTAGCCAAATCTGCTACAATTGTCTCTTATATTCCCTCGGCTCCAGCTACACTGGCCTCTTTCACATCATCATTGATACTAGACATGATCTCCCCTGAGGACTTTTACACCAGCTATTCTCTCTCCCTGGAGCCCTCTTCCTCCACATGGTTACTCCATCTCCTTCGCCTCCTTCTAGTTGTTTAACGATGGCATGAGATGAGGCTACCCCATTGGTCTAATATAGACTGCAACTGCTGCCTTCACACCACCACTGAATCTCCCACTCTGCTCAATTTCCTTCCACAGCATATATCCCCTTCTAATATACTATAAAATGTACTTATTTATTATGACCGTATATTATACTATATAATTATTATACTATGTAATTATCATTAGTATATAATATTATGGCTATACATTATACTATATAATTTATGTATTTATTATAACTTTTGTTTATTGTCTGTCTCCCCCAGCTAAAATGTAAATTCCATCATGGTGAGGAGTTTTTCTGTTGTTTATATATAGCACCAGTAACTAGAACACTTCCTGGAACATACAAGTGAACACAGAGGTACACAAAAAATATGAACAAATTTATTAGCTTCCACATTTGATGAACTAAGAAATTAACTACCTATATAACAATTAATGTTATACTTTTAATATAATTTTATGGCCGAACAATTTTCACATGTAAGCACATACGCAAAAGATATTTTCAAAAATGTGAATAGACTTAAATGAGAAGATAAACGTTGTCGTCTTTTTCATATTAAAAAGATTTGAAATATATATATTTCAAATATACATTAGGGGAATTGATAACTAAACTGTCATATGTCCCTTTGATATAGGAATTGAAACTATATTTACAAAGATTGATACATAATAAAACTGTAAAAAACTAGAATAAAATATAATATTGTTTTCAAATTTCTGTATGAAAAAGTTTGTCCTAAATTATAAACCAAAGAAAGAAACTAGAAGGAAAAAATTCAATGGAATTTATTACATAAAATTGATATTTTTTCTATGAAAAGAACATTTAAAATACATATTTTAAAAACAAACACTGAAAAAAATCAACAACTGGGAAAAGTATTTGCTCTAAATATCACAAAGAACTGTATCCATAGAACATTTCTGTCTTTATCTGTTTATATTGGTAATATTTAACAGAGAGAACCACTCCCTCCTTGAAGCATTTATTGGCTTGGCTAGGAGGACATTGTTCTCTTGGTAGTCTTCCTACCTCACCAGCTATTTGTTCTTAATCTCCTTTGCTGGTTCCTTTTCACCTCCCCTACTTCTGAATTTTGGAAAGCCCCAAGACTCAGTCCTGTAGGTTTTTCTCTTCCCAATTGACATTCACTTTTTACATGATATAATCCAGTCTCACTGCTATAAAACATCACCTAATTGCTGACATCTTCCAAATTTATATCTTCAGCCTACTCCTCCTTTAACTCGGACTCATGCCCTCAACACTGTACTTATTATCTTCACTCTAATATCTAACAGGCAACTCAGATTCAACAGGGATAAACCCAAATTTTTGCTCTCACTTTCTCAATCTGCTCCTCCTCTAGTATTCCCCATTTGATAAATGTCAACTCACTCTTCCAGTTGCTCAGGTCAATCTTGGAGTTATCCTTTTCCTCTCTCTTTCTCTCCACCCTCTAATCCATTTTTAAATCTTACTAGCTCTAGCATCAAAATAGACCCTGACACTAAGCTATCTCATGACCTCTACTGCTTCTATACAGGTCCAGAGATGAGAAAGCCTCTCTTGCCTGGATTACTGCAATAGCCTCTTTAAGTGGTCTCCTACTTTCACCCTTTTCCTTCTCTATTTCCAATTCAGAATCCTGAATTATCCTTTTAAAATATATCAGATTATGATATTAAAAACCCTGCAATGGCTTTTCATCAAAGTCAGAGTGAAAGCCAAAATCCTACTGTAGCTAACAAGGCACTGTATAAGGTAGTTCAACAGAATTCATGCCTAGAAATGGTCATGCCTCTTCTGCTAAGCCATTAGTGTGGGTGGTTGAGTCAGTGTAGTTAGGAGTTGAACTTGGTTTTGTTGTCACTAAGGTTACTTTCAGGGCATTTCTTCAAATTCCTCTCATGTAACCTTTGTTCAGGGTGGGGGTGCCAGAGGATTTTTCCAATATTCCTGCTCTACTCTCAGTTTTAGGTGAACCAATGCCTATGAGAGGGTCTCTCTCTTTCTCTCTTTGTGCCTTCCCCAAAGATAGTCTGCTGCTGTTTGTTACTTCTTGGTGCTTGTCAGCCTGGTGGGGGGTGGGAAATCTCTGTTACCTGATCTCAGGGTAGGGCTTTCCTTTAGTGACCTTCCCCTTCTTCAGCAGAAGAAGGCCTCTCCAGATCTGGGCTCCTACTACATGGGTAGAAGGTTTACTCCTCTCCCTGCCTTCACAATAGTGGATCTTCCACCAGAGCCTTGGGATAACAGCCTTCGCTATCCTTACCCAAGCCGGATAAGAATTTATTCCTTAGAAATAAGGAAACAGGGAAAATTTCATGTTTCTCACAGTGGTTACTGCCCTCATTTCTGGCCAGCACCACGGACAGTGCATGTGTTTTGTTGCCCTGTCCACCCACCCTGTTCTTTCTCTTGAACACCCAGCAAGTCCGTGAAGAAGAGCCTGCAACTGGGCACAAATGCCCCTCTGTCTTCAGCTCACAGGAATTCTATAATTTCATGCTGACCCACATTCAGCCTTTAACAATTTGACACAAATCTTGGCTTAATGCTTCTAACACCTGCACTTGTAGGGAAGGAAGCCTTGTCTTCCCTGCTTGCTCTCACAGGTGGGACAGTGCTAGTGTCCTGTCACTCCAGGGAGGTGCACTGCTGTCCCTACATTCTTGGCCAGTGAGTTGCCTATGACTTCAGCTCTTATGATTCTAAGAAAAGATATTATTTTGTAAATTATCCAGGTTTTCCTTATTATTTTTTCATTATTAGGAGTGATGTTCTTTCCAGCTTTCTAGATCCTCGTGAAAGACAAAAGTCCCACCCAGATTTATCTTAAGTCATTTATCTTAAGAAAACAATAAGTACATACAATGATATTTATTTGAAGTGTTATGCATTTTGGTATATTTTTAAATTAAGTAAAATTAGAAAAACTCAAACTTTGGCTTTAGTCAGCATAAATAATAGTAGCCACTGAAACAAACAAGCTTCACTTCCTGGAGGCTTCACACAATAACATTTATTTCCTAGTCACACCAGAATTTGATGCAGGCTGAGGGACTTTCTTGTGTGGTTCTCCTCCAAGTGGTGACTTTGAGGGATGTCTTTCTATATAAAACTCTATTGTCTGAGTCCTTCTGCTTCTGCAGAGAAAGAAAAGAAAAGAAAGAAAAAGAAAAAGAAAAGAAAGTAAAAGAAAAGGAAAGAAAAGAAAAGGAGACTGAAAGGTATATTTTAGGGGCCAGGCCTGATATTCCTGGCCCAGATTTCATTGACCATTAGTCAGTTATATGACATCAGTCTAACTGCAAGAGAGGTTTGAAAATATCGTCTTTCTGGGTGCCTAGGAAGAGGAAATGGGATTGATGATCATCTAACTAGTCTATGCCACAGTGTCATCACAGAAAAAAAAAATTAAATTATGCCACATTTATATATTGGAATATTATCTATTCTTTAAAATTGTGCTTTTGTAACAATTCTAATACTGATGGAAAACTCTTGAGACATAACATTAAATAAGAAAAAATATAAATTATAAGATACACAATGATTCCAATTATTGTGTATATGTACATATACATATACATTTATGGCAATAAAAAGACTAAGAGAATATTCACATAATTCATTGGCTTTCCTTTAATCTTTATTTTCTATAATTGATATTGATTATAGGTGATTTTTTCCCTATAACATCTATATTTTCCATATTTTTACAATAAGCTTGTATGATTTGATGATAAAATTGTTTAACTATTGTTTATTTTAGGGTATAATTTAGAAAAAATATATCAGGAGTGTTTTGAGAAAACTAGGGCATTGAAACTGCAGGGAGTAAGTTTTTGCAGCAACTTCGTGAATAGTACATATTTTATATTCACAGCCTGCAAATAATTATCATTTTCATAGTACGACTCATTTGATTAGCTAATCTTGATCTAAAGACAACACTTGTGCTTCTAAAAGTGAAATACTAGTTACTATAGATACCATCTTTTAAAAGTGCCTTTTAAGTTATTATTAAATGAGGTCCTAGTAAAATAATGTTTCAATTAATAATAAATCTGGATAATTAATAGCTAATATGAGTAAACGAAAATGCATGGAATCATGTAAAGATACTCCTTTTCCCATTTAACTTTTCATACTGAATTGGGCACTAAGTCATCTTTCCTCTAACTTCTTAATTTGTGTAGAGGCAATCCGTCCTGTCCTTTCCCACCCCAGTTGTTTGTATTTACCTTTACTGATACTCTCTGTTTAGTCACCTCCTTCCCAGCCTTCCTTTCTCAAAACTATTATCAGGATGATTTTTCCAAAACGCAAGTCTGATCCTGGGTAGGAGTAGAGCTGAGAAATAGGGAGACCTCATGCTTGCAAGGCACATGGGAAAAGACTCCAGGGCAGGGTGAGCACTTGGCCCAGAGTGCGTGCTCAGTGAACAACAAGATAGAAAAATCTGACCACAGGATTCTGTGGGGAGGCTGTTTGTGCTGCAGGACAGGGTTCCTGCTAGGGTGCTAAAGGAGATGAGAGCAGACAGGAAAGGCAAGCCATTCATTTGAATTTGAAGCTGTGGCTAAAAGTTTTGGTTTGATATGTAGAGCAAAAGTGAGAAGCTACTCAAGGATTCTGAGCACTGCAGTGACAAGAATAGAAAATTAGATCTATTTTCTCTCTCCAATTTTCCTGATATAACAATGAGAGCTTTTGTCCACTTTTAGAAGATTTGGATGAAAGCAGGCATTCGAATTTTCTCTTAGGCTGTTAGCTCACTTCATTTAATATTTAGCCATATTAGTAATATCTAAGAAGTGTGTATATGCTGCTTTTTGTTATTATTTTTTACTATTTAAATAAATTCACTCTTTAAAACTAAATGATTGGTTTAAGGTTACTGTGAGCAAAAAAAAATCTGGCCATCACCATTACTTCCTGGGTCTACCCTCTGTGATGGCAGATAAGGAGCCCTTTCACCCATCCTTTGTAACCCCAGGGCCATGCCCACAGGAATGTTCTTCCCCATTCTCTCTCTTGCTATGCTTCTGATAGGCAGATAAGGACCCTGTGACTCAGAAAGGGGATCTACAAAAGAAATACTCTATAAAAAATAAAAGCCATTAGGATTTAAATATATTACCCTCTTTTATGTAACAAATTTTAAAAAATATTAATAGGTATGATAAGATGTTTCATTTCTCTAGTTAATATTACTACAGAAAAGTAGAATTCAAAGTCAGGAAATGAAACAGCAAAAAGGCTGTAATTTGATAAATGAGAAGAAGCAATTGTAGCTCCCACTTTCCAGAGCACCAGCAGTCTTACCTTTCTGCCCTCTCTCCATCACAAGCATGAAAAATCTTCACAAATTTTGCATGCTTTTTATCACTGTACATCTAATTACCTTCTCATGAAAAATTATTTAAAGAGAGATGTTTTATAGCATAAAAACAATACATCTAAAATATTAGACCTGAAAAGGAAGGCCTACAAAACCATATTGGTAGAGGAAAAACACTAGTTTATAATAGTTCCCCCACTATGGGCCCTGAACCTGATCCCTGGTCTCATTTTCAGGCCTTTGTTTAGGCTCATAGTAAGAAGTGGGGTGCAAGATTTTGAAACAAGCTTCACTTGCACCCCAAAAGCTGGTGGATGGCTGTTTGAATATGTACAGATTGATAAATAAAGGGCTTCATGAGAATGAAAATAAATAAATAAATAAGAGGTTTAGAAGCAGCAGCTCTCTGCTAAAGAGACCAAAATAGAACTAAATTCTCTTGTTCTATACATTTCTGTGTATGATTTGTCTGAAATTAGGATCTATTTTCCCTTCCTTTTCTGGAGAGAAGCTGCTCTTGTCCAGGAATCCCTTCACACTAGGCTTTTAGGTAGCTCTCCTAAACAACAGGGGGAAACAACCAGTCAGGCCTTTCTGAGGCCTCTGGCCTCTGTGAGAAGTGGCATCACCAAAGGTGAACTTGAGGCAGGTAAAGATGCAGCTAGCCATCTAGTTTGAGAATTCTAAAAATGGCATCGTGAACCACACATGCATGCCCACAAACACACGCACATGCTTGCTATATCCCTAAAATGCTGTCCCCACCACATCACCTTCCTGCTACCATCTTGCTTTAAGACAGTGAATTTTGCTGGGCCTAAAGCAGGGGTAGAGAGCTCCACGAAGCAAAGAGAACATGAGAATGAGAGTGAGGAAACCTGGGTAATCATACCTACTGTGTACCTTCCAAGCTTTGAGAGCTAAGGCATACCCTCCTGGGCCTTGGTTTCCTTGAGTATACAATGAGAGAATTGTACCACGTTATCTCTAAGGCTCTTTTCACTCTAGGGTTGCATTATTCCATACTATCTCATTATATCCTCCCCTGGCAGATTGAAAAGTGGAGGGTATAGTGGAGACCACACTGGTTTGGAAGTAAAGAGCCCATGTGGGTCCTAGTCCTGGCTCTGCTACTTAGCAGTTGAGCATCGAAGTCAAGTCACTGAATCTGTTCTTACTGTAGGGCAATCATAGGGATCACATGAAATAACATTCATCCATTAGTCAGCTTGTAGTACATAAAAAACCACACCAAAATTTAGTGGCTTAAAAAATTACAATTACTTTTCATGATTCTGTACATTAGCTGGGTGGTTTTTCTGATCTGGTCTGGTACAATTGGTCTCTAAAATCTGCAAGTGGTTTGGCTGGGGCTAGGTCATCCAGGATGGCTTTACTCACATGTCTGGCAGGTGGCAGCCTAGTTGTTTAAGAGGCTTAGCTGAGATTCTTCATCTCTGCTCCATGTGTCTCTCATCCTCCAGGAGCCTGGCCTGGCCTTCATCACATGGTGGTCTCAGGGTTCCCAGGGGCAGAAGCAAGCCCCAGATGTACAGGTGTTTTTTAAACCTCTGCATGCATCACATTTGCAAATGTCCCATTGGCTAAAGTAAGACATACAGCTAAGCCCAGAGTCAAGGGAAACACTAGATGAGAAGAGTTTCAGAGAATTTATGTCCATTTTGCAATTAACCAAAATACACTGAAAAGAGCTTTGAAAGTTACAGAATTAATCATAAATTGTTTATGTTTTACTTGTAAATATTTGGCTTAATTTTTTCCAGCATTAAAAATATCTTTATTCCTGCATTATCCTCTAAGAGTTCCTCATAAGCTGTCAAAAATGCCTTGACTGATTGATTTATCTGAATAATCCATTGTCACTGAAGTCACCAACTGGGCCCTAAAATGTGAGGAAGAAGAGGTAAAGGAAAGATAAGAGAGTGAAGGTACATGGGTAATGTGAGAGCACCAAGATCCAGGGCAAGGTAAGCATCCAAAATAGCCCACATGCTGCCAAAAAACACTGGTTTCACAGTCTTTCCAGGCTGGCCCTGGTAGTGAGGGTGGAAGAATTCAAGTAACTGCAGGGTACTAATGGGAGCTGTGCCATAAAGATCTGCATAAAGGAAAAGATATCCTATAAATGATTCAGGTAGGTCAGAGCATGAGTTATGGTGTGACAAAAGCTGATAGGAAACAAGGACTGGAAATAAGAAGTAAGTGAGCTGGAAAATCTGAACTGACTTATGGGAGAGTTCCTATAATGACATTCATCTGCTGGACACTGTCAAGGGGAGTTAGCTGATCAGCCAGTGGGGCCAAATGGAGAATGGAGTTGGTGGGTCCTGAACAGTGGGGATAACTCAAAGCAAACACTGATGCCAAAGTTCTAAGCTAGTCATAGCATAATAGCAGTCAATGGCTGAGGGTGTTGGAAGGAACATTCCCTCCCGAGATGACTGGCAAGAGCTAGGCAAAATCCAGGACCGTAGGGAACTAGATGAAATCCAGAGCGGTTTCTAAGGATATAAAGTGTGTCTGTATTGAAGGAATTGAAGTCTCACCCAACAGCTTGAGCCAGTAGAGCAAAGATTGGGGAAAGCTGAGACTAGGATCGATGGCAGCAGACACTCAGGACTCACTTCAGGAACACTGGGTTTGTGCCAGTACTAATCGTTTTGGATCCACCTACTGCTGACAGTCTTCTTGCCCTCCTCAGGACTGACTCAGTTGTTGGATGGGTCTGCACCTTAATGCAGAAAGGTTTGGTGACACCCAGCTGACAGGAGCTGAGAGCCCTTCTGCCTTTATCTCAGATCTGCTTACCTACTACAAATCAGACAGAGTTGCTGCTCTGAGCGCTGACTATGGAGACAGGCCTGAGTGGAAAGGCCAGTTTTATTATTCACTACTCATGTGACATGGGCACTTTTATTCCCTTGTCCATCAACCAGCTTCTGTAAAATACAGATCATAATCATACCTACTGTGAAGGATGCTGAGAGATTTAATTAGTTGAGTTAATGGACATGGAGGGCATAGAACAGTGCAGGCCCATGGTAAGTGTTACATAGTTACCATGATGAGTCTGCCTTCCCTCTGCTAAGAATTTCCACTTACTATGGGACTTAAGAAAAGAGGAAGATCAGATTTCCTACACTTAGAGTTCCTAGCAACTTTGTCCTTTCAAACGGTGTCGCCATCCAATTTTAATCAATATTAAGCAGGTTTGGCTAGAGACTCTAAAAAGGGAATTATTTAGCTTTTACTGAAGGTTTTTCTTTGTATTTGGCAGTTCTAGCCAAGTCTGTTTATCACTACAAAAGGGAAAAAAATGCAAGCATGACTTTATGATTACACTTGGAGGCACCTTCTGATGTCTCCTGGAAGGAAATTGGTCAAGGGCAACAGAGTGCCTATGAATGAGGGAACGTAACAGACATTAAAATATAGGGTACAAAATGGAAAATTATATAATAGAGATCAATATTAAGAGGCAAAGAGTGACGTTTGCATAATTTCATAAGATTTGTCCCCCAACTGTTTTCTGAAAATTGTATACTCCTCACCTATGCTTCCCCCTGAAGAGAAATATATCTTCAGCAGCTGTATACAAGTGATCAAATAAAGCAAGACATTTAGAGCCTCCCATTAAAAGAGAGCATCTGCTGTGCATCAGCCCCAGAATCTTCATCAGAAAAAATATCTGTCTTTTCTGTTTCTATACAGTCCAAGGGCACTATCTTGAGTATTTTTATCAGCCACTTACCCTCAAAATAAGACTTCTCAGTGGTCAGCTGTAGCAAGGGGCTATAAAGAGAAGTTCAGGGAGTTAGGAGGTGAGGGATGGTCACACACAGGCTTTAGATACCACCCTGGATGTGTATGACAACATAGTTGTATAATTTTCACTCTGCCCCACAGCATCTAGAGATAAAAGAGCTGTCATGGAGGACAAAATGAGGTCTCTTCCCTGGAGAAATAAAATCAGAGAATAGTACAATACAGAATAACACCTCAGAGCACTGTACTACCTTAAAACGTGCAAAGAACTTGCCTGTACATTTTATCATTTAGTCCTCAAGATCTGTGACTTTCTGAATTGATATCTACATTTGACAAATGAGAGACTTGAGACTTATGAAAGATCATTGACTTGCTCAACGTCATAATGCTAGTTAACAGTTGATGCTTGGACTCATGGTAGGTCTATCGGTTTTTTTCCAATCCCTTGCCCCGTGGGTCACTCCCTAAATTACCTTTACATTTGGTCTACTTTCTTGGTTTGGGGAAAGAGAGTGCAGTCAAAGTCCAGTTCGGCTAGAATACACACTCATGTTGAGATTCCAGGAAAAGAAAATGTTAAGTATAGTGTTACTGTGTGTGTGTGGTGCGGGTGGTGGGTAGGGGTCAGCCATGGTGGTTCCTGAACTTGGATTCCCCAGATGTAATTAGTTCTAAAAGCCTGACAATGAGCCAATATCACCCAGTCAACTATGGGAAATGCAAGCAGCCCCTCAAATCTCAAATTTCTGTAGAAATTTGAGGTCTATTCTATATAGAAATTTAAAATAGCCATTTGCATTTCCCATAGTTGAGTGGGTGATATTTCAGGATAAACCACTAAAAGAGTCCTTCTAAGTTTCTCTGTGCTTTCTTTCCTTTACCACTGGAAGCTATGTAGTAGCTCTATTACATTTACTTCAAATCCAAGTTACAGAAAACCTTATCCACTCACATTCTCTTGTGTGCTCTTCTATAACTTAAAAAAATGAATTATTTAGCCACAGAGAGAGTGAAGTCTATTTATTCCCTATTCATAAAATACAAACTATCACTCTTCAAAACTGTAATGCAACATTCAAATTGTGTGCTTTGTTAATTAAATGATGGTCAACTGTATCCTCGCAGGTTTCCCAGCCATAGGCAAAAGTGGGCTAGGTTTCTCAGATGTACACTAGGACAACCATGCCTATTAGCACCATCTATTGCTTTTCTAAGGACACCACCTGCCCTGGGGAGCTTGTGTTCTTCCAGCAGAAGTCAATCTGTCAAAGACACAGACACTGGTGAATCCATTCTCTGATTCTCCAATGAGCCATGCCTTTTCAAAGAAAAAGGACTTTGATTACGTGTCCCGATTCTCTCACTCAATATGATCAACAAGAAAATTTCAAAGGTCTCAAATCTCCTTTTCCCGAAAAATCGTGAAAAGAAATAGAGCCATCTGGGTGTTAATGCAGGATGGGGTTTTTGTAGGTTATCTCATTCAATTACCTCATTTAATAAATGAAAGAAGTAAACCTAAATAAGTAGTTACAGCAATTTAGATGATAAGAGATAAGTGATTAGGAGTCATTCTTTGTGCAGAAGAGTACTAGATTAAAATGGTGCTTCAGAAAAATGAATAAGGCAATAAAACAATTGGGGTGAAATAGTGAAGTATTAAAATTCAAGGTAAAGTAATGACAGCCATAGTTGTTGTGAAGGAAGTAGGAATGTACACGAAGGTGTGAATCCACAACACATATCACGGAACATGCCTCAGCTCTGTGTGGATAACTGGAAGGAGGGTGCTGGTATATTTGGGATTTTTTTATCTGTTACTTGAAGAAATTTTATTTTTAAATTTTGTGGGTACATAGTAGGTGGATATATTCATAAGGTACATGAGATATTTTGATACAGGCATCCAATGCCTGTTGTGCTATCTTATTCATTCTTTCTAACTGTATTTGTATGTCCATTAACCATCCACGTGTCCTCCTCCACTATTCTTCCCAGCCTCTAGTAACCACCATTCTACTCTCTATCTCCATGAGTTCAATTGTTTTAATTTTTAGCTCCCACAAATAAGTGAAAACAAGTGAAGTTTGTCTTTCTGTACCTGGTTTATTTCACTTATCATAATGACTTCCAGTTCCATCCATGTTGTTGCAAATGACAGAAACTCATTCATTTGTGTGGCTGAATAGTACTCCATTGTGTATATGTACTACCTTTTGTTTATCCATTTATCTGTTGATGCATACATAGGTTGTTTCCAAATCTTGGCTATTGTGAATAGTGTTGCAGTAAACACGGGAATGCAGGTATCTCTTCAATGTACTTATTTCCTTTCTTTTGGGTATACACCTAGCAGTGGGATTGCTGGATGATGTAGTAGTTCTATTTTTAATTTTTTGAGGAACTTCCAAACTGTTCTTCACAGTGGCTGTACAAATTTCCGTTCCCACCAACAGTGTACAAGGGTTCCGTTTTCTCCACAACCTCACCAACATTCATGATTGCCTATCTTTTGGATAAATGCCATTTTAACTAGGGTGAGATGATATGTCATTGTACTTATCATTTGTATTTCTTTGATGATGAATGATGTTGAGCACTTTTTCATACACCTGCTTGTTGTTTTATGTCTTCTTTAGAGAAATATCCATTCAGATCTTTTGCCCATTAATTATCAGATTATTAGATTTTTGTCTAATGGACTTGATTAAGCAGCTTACATATTCTGGTTTTTAATCCTTTCTCAGGTGGATAGTTTGCAAATACTTTCTTCCATTCTGTGATCTCTTCACTTTGTTGAATTGTACCCTTTGCTTTAAAAAAAAGCTGTTTATATTTCTTTATTTACTCATTATTTTTTTGAGACAGAGTCTCGCTCTGTTGTCCAGGCTGGAGTACAGTGGCATGATCTTGGCTCACTGCAACCTCTGCCTCCAGGGTTCAAGTGATTCTTCTGTCTTAGCTTCTTGAATAGTTAGGACTACAGGCATATGCCACCACACCTGGCTAATTTTTGTATTTTTAGTAGAGATGGGGATTTTACCATGTTGGCTAGGTTGGTCTTAAACTCCTTACCTCAAATGACCCACCAGCCTCGGCCTTCCGAGGTGCTGGGATTACAAGCATGAGACACCTTACACAACTGCTCTACAGCAGCTTTTTCACTTGATGTGATTAATTTGTCCATTTATGCTTTGGTTGCCTGTGCTTGTGGGGTATTATTAAATGAATCCTTGCTCAAACCAATGCCCTTGAGAATTTCCCAATGTTTTGGAAGTTTCATTGTTTGAGGTATTAGATTTAAGTCTTTAATTCATTTTAATTTTTTTTTAATATGGTGAGAGATTGAGGTCTTAGTTTCTGATATGGTTTGGCTGCGTCCCCACCCAAATCTCATCTTGAATTTTAGCTCCCATAATTCCCACACATTGTGGGAGGGACCTGGTGGGAGATAATTGGATCATGGGTATGGTTTCTCTCATACTGTTCTCATGGTAGTGAATAAGTCTCATGAGATATGATGGTTTTATAAGGGAAAACCCCTCTCACTTCATTCTCATTCTCTTCTCTTGTCTGCCACCAGGTGAGATGTGCCTTTCACCTTCCATCATGATTGTGAGGCCTCCCCAGCCATGTAGAACTCTGAGTCCATTAAACCTCTTTTTCTTTATAATTTACCCAGTCTTGGCTCTGTTGTTTATCAGCAGCATGAAAACAGACTAATACAGTACATTGGTACGGGTAGAGTGGGGTGCTGCTGTAAAGATATCAAAAAATGTGGAAGAAATTTTAGAACTGGGTAACAGGCAGAGGTTGGAACAGTTTGGAAGGCTCAAAAGAAGACATGAAAATGTGGGAAACTTTGGAACTTCCTAGAGACTTGTTGAATGGCTTTGACCAAAATGCTGATAATGATATGGACAATGAAATCCAGGCTGAGATGGTCTCAGATAGAGATAAGGAACTTATTGGGAACTGGAGTAAAGGTGACTCTTGCTATGTTTTAGCAAAGAGACTGGTGGCATTTTGCCCCTGCCCTAGAGATTTGTAGAACTTTGAACTTCAGGAGGATGTAGGGTATCTGGAAGAAGAAATTTCTAAGCAGCAAAGCATTCAAGAGGTGACTTGGGTGCCTTTAAAAACACTCGGTTTTAAAAGAGAAACAGAACAAAAAATTTCAGAAAATTTGCAGCTTGACAATGTGATAGAAAAGAAAAACTTATTTTCTGAGGAAAGATTAAAGCTGGCTGCAGAAATGTGCATAAGTAACTTGGAGACGAATGTTAATCACCAAGACAATGGGAAAAATGTCTACAGGACATATCAGAGAACTTTGTGGCAGCCCCTGCCATCACAGGCCCAGAAACCTAGGAGGAAAAAATGGTTTTGTGGTCTGGGCCCAGGGCCCCCCCTGCTGTTTGAAGCTTAGGGAGTTGGTGCCCTGTGTCCCAGCCAGTCTAGCCATGGCCAAAAGAGACTGAGGTACAGCTCAAGCTATGGCTTCAGAGGATGCAAGCCCCAAGGTTGGCAGCTTCCACATGGTGTTGAGCCTGTTGGTGCACAGAAGTTAAGAATTGAGGTTTAGGAATTTCTGCCTAGATTTCAAAGGATGTATGGAAATGCTGGGATGTCCAGGCAGAGGTGTGCTGCAGGGGTGGGGCCCTCATGGGAACCTCTTCTAGGGCACTGCAGAAGGGAAATGTGGGGTTGAAGCCCCCCACAGTGTCCTCACTGGGGCACTGCCTAGTGGAGCTGTGAAAAGAGGGCCACTGTCCTCCAGACCCCAGAATGGTAGATCCACTGACAGCTTGCACTGTGCACCTGGAAAAGTCACACACACTCAACACCAGCCCCTGTGGAATCAGTCTGGAGGGAGGCTGTACCCTGCAAAGCCACAGGGGCAGAGCTGCCCAAGGCCATGGGAGCCCACCTTTTGCAGCATGACCTGGATGTGAGACATGGATGAAAGGAGATCATTTTGGAGCTTTAAGATTTGACTGCTCTGCTTGATTTCAGATTCGCATGGGGCCTGTAGCCCCTTTGTTTTGGTCCATTTCTCCCATTTGTAACAGCTGTATTTACCCAATGCCTGTATCCTTATTGTGTCTAGAAAGTAACTAATTTGCTATTGAGTTTTCAGGCTCATAGGTGGAAGGGACTTGCCTTGTCTCAGATGAGACTTTGGGGTGTGGACTTTTGAGTTAATGCTGAAATGAGTTAAGATTTTAGGGGACTGTTGGGAAGGCATGACTGGCTTTGAAATGTGAGGACGTGAGATTTGGGAAGGGCCAGGGGCAGACTGGTATGGTTTGCCTGTGTCCCCACCCAAATCTCATCTTGAAGTGTAGCTCCCATAATTCCTACATGTTATATGGAGGGATCTGGTAGGAGATAATTAAATCATGGGTATGGTTTCCCCCATACTATTCCTGTGATAGTGAATAAGCCTCATGAGATCTGATGGTTTTATAAGGGGAAACCCCTTTTTCTTGGCTCTCATTCCTCCCTGCTGCTGCCATGTAAGATGTGCCTTTCACCTCTACCATGATTGTGAGGCTTCCCTAGCAACACAGAACTGTAAGTCCATTAAAGCTCTTTTTTTTAAATAAATTACCCAGTCTTGAGTATGTCTTTATCATGAGTGTGAAAACAGACTAATACACTTTCATTATTCTGCATATGAATATCCAATTTTCCCAGCACTATTTATTGAGGAGACTTTTTTCCCCAATGTATGTTCTTAGCAACTTTGTCAAAAATGAGTGCACTGTAGGTGTGTGAATTTGCTCCTAGGTTCTCTTTTCTGTTTCACTGGTCTATGTGTCTGTTGTTTTGCCAGTACCATGCTGTTTTGGTTACTATAGTTCTGTGGTATAATTTAAAGTCAGGTAATGTGATTCCTCCAGTTTTTTGCTCAGGATAGCTTTTGCTATTATGGGTCTCTTGTGGGTTTCATATAAATTTTAGGATTGCTTTTTCTATTGTTGTGAAAGATGTCCTTGGTATTTGGATAGGGATTTCATTGAATGTGTAGATTGCTTTGGGTAGTATGGATATTTTAACAATATTGATTCCTCCAATCCATGAACATGGAATATCTTTCCATTTTTTATTCCCACTTCATCTTGTGTCAATGTTTTATGGTTTTCATTCCAGAGATCTTTCACTTCCTTGGTTAAGTTTATTCCTAGGTATTTTATTTTATTCATACCTGTTGTAAATGGAATTCGCTTCTTGATTTCTTTTTCAAAATGTTTGCTGTTGTCATACAGAAATGCTACGAATTTTGTGTGTTGATTTTTCCATACTACAACTTGACTGAATTTATTTATCTGTTCTAAATTTTTTTGGTGGAATATTTAGTTTTTCCAAATATATCATATCATCTGCAAACAAGGATGATTTCATTTCTTCCTTTTCAATTTGGATGCCCTTTTTTTTCCTTTTCTTTGATTCCTCTGGCTATGATTTCCAGTACTATGTTGAATAACAATGGGAAAAGTGGGCATCCTTGTCTTGTTCCAGATCTGAGAAGAAAGGCTTTATATTTTTCCCATTTAGAAAGATACTAGCTGTGGGTCTGTCATATGTGGCTTTTATGTGTTAAGTATGTTTATTCTATACCCAGTTTTATGAGGGTTTTTATCGTGAAAAGATGCTGAATTTTATCAAATGCTTTTTCAGCATTAATTGAAATGATCATATGGTTTTTCTTCTTCATTCTATTGATATGATGTATCACATTGATTGATTTGCTTATGTTGAACCATCCTTGCATTCTTGGGATAAATTCCATTTGGTCATGTTGCGTATGTTTTTATTGTTTTGTTGAATTTGGATTGTTAGTATTTTGTTGAAGATTTTTACATCAATGATTATCAGATATATTAGCTGTAGTTTCCTTTTTTGATGTCTTTGTCTGGTGTTGGTGTCAGGGTGATATTGGCCTCATCGTATGAGTTTGCAAGTATTTTCTCTTTCTCTATTTTAAAGAATAATTTGAATAGGGTTGATATTAATTCTTAGTTAAATGTTTCATAAAATTCAGCAGTGAAGCCTTCAGATCCTAGGCTTTTCTTTAATAAAAAATTTTTTATGATAGCTTTGGTCTCATTGCTTGTTATTAGTCTCTTCAGGTTTTTGATTTCTTCATGGTTCAATCTTGATACATCGTATTTGTCTATAAATATATCAATTTCTTCAAGATTTTCCAATTTATTGGCATGTAGTTCTTAATAGCAGCCCTTAATGATCTCTTGAATTTCTATGGTATTGGGTGTAATGTCTCCTTTTTCATAGGTTATTTATACGCATATTCTGTCTCTTTTTCATATGTTATTTATATGCACATTCTGTCTCTTTCTTAGTCTGGCTAAAGGTTTGTCAATTTTCTTTCTCTTTATCTTGTTACAAACATAACTTTTGTTTCATTGATCTTTCGTATTTTTTGTTTCAATTTCATTTATGTCTGCTATGATCTTTATTGTTTATTTTCTTCTACAACTTTTTGGGTTTGGTTTACCCTTGCTTTTCTAGTTCTTTGAGATGCATCTTTAGGTTGTCCATTTGAGATTTTTCTACTTTTTTGATGAAGGCACTTGTTGCTGTAAACCTTCCTCTTAGTACTGCTTTCACCGTATTCTATAGTTTTTGCTATGCTGTGCATCCATTTTTATTTGCCTCAAGAAATTTTTAAATATTCTTAATTTCTTCATTGATCCACTGATCATCCAGGAGCATATTATTTAATTTTTATGTTTTCATAGTTTCCAAAATTTCTCTTGGTTTCCAGTTATATTCCACTGTGGTCAGAGAAGATACTTGATATTCTTTAAATATTTTTGAATGTTTCAAGCTTTGTTTAGTGACCTAATATGTGGTCTAATCCTTGACAATGATCCATGTGCGAGGAAAAAAAATATGTATTCTGCAGTTGTTGAATGAAATGTTCTGTAAATATCTATTAGGTCAATTTGGTCTTTTCATCAGGATAATCTGTCTAATGCCAAAAGTGGGCCATTAAAGTTAACAGCTATTATTGTATTGGAGCCTTTCTATCCCTTTAGCTCTAATAATATTTGCTTTATATATCTTGGTGCTCCAGTGTTGTGTGCATATATATTTAAAGTTACCGTATCCTCTAGCAGAATTGACTCCTTTATCATTATATAGTGACCTTCATTATCTCTTTTTATAGTTTTGGTCTTGGAATCTACTTTATCTGATATAAGTATAGTGACTCCCGCTCTATTTTGGTTTCCATTGGCATGGAATATCTTTTTTTAAATCTTTTAATTTTCAGTCTATGCGTGTCTTTATAGGTGAAGTATGTTTCTTGTAGGCAACAGGTCACTGGGTCTTGTTTTTTCATCCATTCAGCCAGTTTATGCCTTTTGATTATAGAGTTTACTCCATGTACATTCAATGTGATTATTGATAAATAAGAACTTATTCCAGCCACTTTGTTTTTTTTTTATGTGTGTGTGTGTTGTTCTCTTCTTTCTCTCCTTTCTTTCTTTTAATATAGATGACTTTCTCAGATGGTGTGTCTTTATTTCTTGATTTTTAAATTTTTTTGTCTATTTATTGTATGTTTTTAGATTTGAGGTTACCATGAGGCTTGCAAATAATACCTTATAACCCATTATTTTACACAGTTGACAACTTAATGATGATTGCATAAACAATCAATCAAACAAGAAAAGAGAAAATTAATAAATTTCATCTCTCTGCTTTTTAACTTTTTGTTGTTTCCATTTATATCTTCTTGGACATTTTATGTCCTGAAAGGTTGTTTGAGATATTATTTTTCATAGGTTCATCTTTTAGTCTTTCTGCTCTAGATATGAGTAGTTTACACACCACAATTACAATGTTATACTATTCTGTTTTTCTGTGTACTTTCTATTACCAGTGAGTTTTGTACCTTCAGATGAGTTCTTATTACTTTTTAACATTATTTCCTTTCAGAATGAAAAACTCCCTTTCACATTTCTTGTATGACAGTTCTGGTGTTGACAAAGTCCCTCAACTTTTGCTTCTCTGGGAAAATATTTATCCTTTATGTTTGAAGCATATTTTTGTGGAAAAAACATATAATGGAGCTTCAATATATCTTATCTTTTATAACAGCATATGTTACTTTTTATTCTCTTGCTACTTTTAGAATCCTTTCTTCATCCTTGAAATTTGGGAGTTTGATTATTAAATATTGAGAGGTAGACTTATTTGGGTTAAATCTGTTTGGTGTTCTATAACCTTCTTGAACTTGAATATTTATATCTTTTTCTAGGTTTGGGAAGTTCTCTGTTAGTATCCCTTTGAATAAACCTTCTATCCCAATCTCTAATTCCTTTTTAAAATCAATAATGTTTACATTTGCCCTTTTAAGGATATTTTCTGTATCTTATTGCCATATCTTATTCTTTTTTTAACTTCCTCTATGTATTTTCATATAGCCTTTCTTCAAGATCACTAATTCTTTCTTCTGCTTGATCAATTCTGCTGTTAAGAGATGCAGATGCATTCTTCAATATGTCAGTTGAATTTATCAGCTATGACATTTCTGCTTGATAATTTTTAAATTATTTCAATCTCTTTGATAAATTTATCTGATAGGATTCTGAATTCCATCTCTGTGTTATCTTGAATTTATTTGAATTTCCTCAAAACAGCTATTTTGGACTTTCAGTCTGAAATGTCACACCTCTCTGTCTCTCTGGGATTAGTCACTGATTTATTATTTAGCTCATGTAGTCATGTTTTCCCAGGTGGTCTTGATGCTTGTGGGTGTTCACCAATGTCTGGGCATTGAAGAGTTAGGTATTTATTGTAGTCTTCACAGTCTGGGCTTGTTTGTAGCTGTCCTTCTTGGGAAGGCTTTCTGGGTGTTTGAAAGGACTTGGGTGTTGTGATCTGTGCTTGGTCACTGCAGCCATATCAGCATTAGAAGGTACCCCAAGCCCAGTAATGCTATAGTTCTTGCAGACTTGTAGAGGTACTGCATTTGTGGCCTTGCGTAAGATCCAGAAGTATTATCTGGTTTACCAGAAAGACACTCTTATTCTCTTCCCTTAATTTCTCACCAAACGAATTTGGTAAGCTTCCTAGAGGTGGGTGAGGGGTGACACAAGCACCCCTTGGTCACCACCACTGGGTCTGTGCTGGGTCAGACCTGAAGCCAGCACAGTGCTGGGTCTTTCCTAGTGTCCATTTTGACTACTACCTGGCTACTACCTATGTTCAATCAAGGCCCTAAGGCTCTACAATTAGCAGGTGGTGAATCCAGCCAGGCTTGTGTCCTTCCATTTATGGCAATGAGTTCACCCTGGTCCTATATATGTCCAGAGATGCTATTCATATGCCAGGGCCTGGAGTCAGAAATGTTCGGAATCTACTTAGTGCTTTGTTCTACTGGGTCTGAGTTGGCACCCAAGCCACAAGACAAAGTGTTTCCCATTCTTCCCTCCCATTACTTCAAGCAGAGGAGTCTCTCCACATGTTCACCACTAAACCAAGCCCATGGCAAGTACTGCTTGGCTACTGCCAATGTCTACTGAAGCCTAAGGGCTCTTCAGTCAGTTTGTGGTGAATTCTGCTAATCTTGAGCCTCTCCCTTTAAGGAAGTGAGCTCCCTTCTGTCCCAGAGTAGGTCCAGAAATGTTTTCTGGAGCCTAGAAATGGGAACCAAGGAGCCTACTTAATGCTCTACCTGATTGTGGCTGAGTTGGTACCTAAGGTGAAAGACAAAGGCCTCTTTACTCTTCCTTCTTTCCTCAAGCAGAAAGAGTGTTTCTGCATGGCCACCATATCTGGGAATACGCTGGGTTACACCTGAAGCCAGCATTGCTCAGAGTCTCACCCAAGGCCTGCAGCAAGTACTGCCTGGCTACTACTTCTGGTTTTTCAGGGCCCAAGGAATCTTGAGTTGGCAGGTGATTAATCCCTCCAGGACTGGGTCCTTTCTTTCAAGGCAGTAGGCTCCCTTCTGGCCCAACATTTGTTGTAGTGTGTCTAGAAATGTTGTCTGGGAGCTAGGGCCTGGAATCGGGGCCTCTGGACTCTGCTTGATGCTGTATTCTAACTATGGTTGAGCTGGTATATTTGTTGCAAGGCAAAGTCCTCTTACTCTTTCCTCTCCTCCCAGAGTTGTCAGCTGTACTGCCTGGGGTTGGAGGAGGAGTGGTGCAAGCACTCCCTTTGCCACCCCAGCTGATATCTCACTAGATCTCATGTACTCCAAGTTCACTAGCTTCAAGCCCAGCACAGCACCAGGGCTTGCCCAGGGATTGCAGTTCTTATAGCATAGATTGCCTTTCAAGTTTATTTAGGACCCCAGAGAACTTTAGCCCACAGTGGCAGCATTTGCCAGAATTCAGGTTCTGACCACTGGGATGAGCAATTTGCCTCTGGCTAAGGGTAGTCTAAATGTTTCCTGTGTGGGTGCCTGCTGAGTTCTGCCCCCTGTTGCTTTCTACTGTGACAGGGCAGCACTGAGTTCCAATGTGAAGTCTCACAATCACTGCACTATCCCTGCCCCAAGCAAACAGATTTTCTCTCTGTGCCACATGGCTGCTGCTGTGTAATGGGGGAGGGGTGGTATAGGCTACTCAAGACTCTTTCCTACCCACCTTAGTTCCTCTTTCCTTAATATGATGTAAAAACCAGGTACTGTAATCACTCACCTGATATTTTGGTTCTTATGAAGGTAGTTTTTTTGTGTGGATAGTTATTCAATTTGGTGTTCCTGTGAAGGGGACAATCACTAGAGGCTTCTATTCAGCCAACTTGCTCTACCTCCTGTCTCTGTAGATAGGTGTGAAGTGTCTCATGTGCATCACTCTGCCAGACACCAGGGATGTTACTGAGAACAAGAGAGAAAAGTCCTGGCCTCATGGTGTTTATAAAAAGAATAGGAAGAGGTGATTGAGTAACAGAAAAAGAAACCAAACAGCACAGATAGTTTTGAATGTTGGAATTAGACCTAGTGTTTGGCTGATCTAGAGACCTAGAGGTGGAAGGAAACTAAAATATCCCTATTTGCCAACCTAGTTTGTTTTTCTCTGTCCAAAGGCCTCTTCCAAATTTTTTTTTGATCCAACTATGAGGTAAAACTAGGAAGTTATTTCATTTTACCTCTGACATCCTTGCACACTGCTTTACATTTGTTGTTTCCTTAAAAGCACTTCTCAAAATTCAAATTATGCCTCCCAGCTCAAATACACTGATATCTGTAAAACAAGCCTGTCCTCTGCCTGGCCAGACCCCTTTTGCTTTCACCATATTCTTAATCTTTTATTTTTTTCTTCATAAGACCTTCCATAGCTCTGCCATTTCTAATGCATATGGGAGACTTTCTTCTTCTTCTTTTTTGAGATAGACTCTTACACTGTCAGCCAGGCTGTAGTGCAGTGGCACCATCTTGGCTCACTGCAACCTCTGCCTCCCAGGTTCAAGCAATTCTCCTGCCTCAGCCTCCCAAGTAGCTAGGATTACAGGTGCCTGCCATCATGCCCAGCTAATTTTTTGTATTTTTAGTAAAGACAGCGTTTCTCCATGTTGGCCAGGCTGGTCTCAAACTCCTAACCTCAGGTGATCCACCTGCCTTGGCCTCCCAAAGTGCTGGGATGCTGGGGTGGCATGAGCCACCGCACCTGGCCAAGTTTTATAAGAAAAAGATGACATAATTGCTTGATTTATAATGCCTTTCTATTACTAATTGATCATCAGGCTAGAGACCAACTGTGTTAGTCAATTTTCACAATGCTATAAAGAACCACCTGAGACTGGGTAATGTATAAAGAAGAAAAGGCTTAATTGACTCACATTTCTGAATGGCTGGAGAGGCCTTAGAAAACTTATAATCATGGCAGAAGGGGAAGCAAGACACATCTTACATGGCTGCAGGAGAGAGAATGAGGAGGAACTGTCAAACACTTTCAAACCATAAGATTTCATGAGAACTCACTATCATTAGAACAGCATGGGGGAAACCACCCCTCTGATCCAAGCACTTCCCACAAGTTTCTTCCTTCAAGATGTGGGCATTACAATTTGAGATGAGATTTGGGTGGGTACACAGAGCCAAACCATATCACCAACACATCTAAGAATTAACTTATCATTGTCAAACTCCGACCTGGACTTTCCATTTATTTTAATATTACAAGCTCTCCTCTTCCCATACATCCAGACTATTGATGCTCTGTCCTTTTTTTCTTCCTTTTCTTAGGAAGAATATTTTGTTGTCCAGATGAGAAGCAAATGTGTGGAATAATCGGGTTATTTCTCCAGAGAGTAGAATGGGTCCTTATGTAGTTAGTGAAGTGTCTGAGCTGGCGTCTGCATAGTGAGAACGAGCATGCAAGCACATTTTTAGTAACTTTAATGAGACTTCTGTACCCTTGACACTCAGAGCCAGGTGTATCGGACAAACTAGAAAAACAACAAGAATACACACTTTACCCCAGAGAAGTTTGACCCAAAACAAAAATCTCCAAATTTTCAGTGACATTGGAATAGGAAAGCCCAGCTCTTTGAAAATATAGTTCAAAGAGTACAGGGCCAATAAGTTGTTTCTATTTCTCAATTTCTCTTTGTCAGCACTAAATATATCAGTTCCTCAAATTCATCTCTAGCAAAAATATAAATAAATAAGTGTTGATAATTATTTAATTATGAAATAAAGACAAAGTTTAGTTTTGACAATAAGATACTTCTAACCCAAAAGAAAATATATGATTGTAACTGGGATAAATTAAGATTTTATTGAAAAACTTTATAGCACAGAAATACTTTTCAGATTGATGAAAAGGAAGCTAATATTTATTAAAAGGCCCAATGTTTTAGACACTGTGCTATAATTTTTCTACAAAGCTGTAGTCAAGTACAATGAATTAGACACATAATAATTCAAATGCTAATGCAATTTTTAAAACTTGGAAAGCAGTATACTTTAACTTGCTGCTTTTTTCATGAGTTATTGATTGTAAAGTTGAAAAGAAAAAGTGATTTTAAGTGGTTGCAGTGAGACTGCTGGAGATGAGATTGCAGTTGATTTTCAACACTTTGAGGACTTATCAGAATCAGCAATCTTGATTGGAAGCCCAGGTTAAATATAAGATTGCATTTACAAACCAGTGGCTTGTTGTATCAGCCAAACTGTTATATTACTAACTCTATTAACTTTTAGTTTGCATGTGTAGAAGGTAGTGGAAAAAAATAGTTTCATTTTATATAAAAGGAAGCACAGATACAGAGAAGCTAAATGGTTTTTATTTAACCTTCCACAGAAGATTGACTGATGTTGAATTAAATTTAACTCCTGGCTACAAGAATTTATGGTCTGGATGTTACCCTTTTTCTACATGAAAATAAATTCTTATTAGGCTATCTGTATAGCTTTAACTCTCAATTGCTGAGGATTAAGATGTTAAATACACCCACTACTCTTAGCCCCTCCTTTCTTCCCTCTGCCCACAGTGTAATCCATAAAGAAACTCAAGACCTTGACCTTCTGAAGTAAGACCTCATTATCCAGCAATGCTAGAATGAGTAAGGGGGCCAAAACACAGACAGCAGTCCACTCAGATAACACACACCATTTCTGAAATAGTGCTCCTTGCCATTATCAGAGAAGAAAAAGTGAAGAGAAAACATAAATCAAGGAAAGCAAAATTGTTTTAAAACTTAAATGGATTATTTTAGAATTTTGTAGGTATTCTCATTGAATACAACCTAGTCCTCCCAAATTTATTGGGACAAACATCCCGATCATTTCAATATGAATTTCATCTAGGTAAGATTGGAAAAATAATGCATCAAATCTGCATGAATATCATAAGGGAGCAATGTCACTTTTGAGAGTTGTACCCTTCTCTACAGGCAGCAGGAGGGTTGCAAGAGGTCAGGGCTAGGAATCAGTACATGTATGGTCTGGTCTTAGCTCCACCCTCCCTTTATTACCTGGGGCTATCACTTGACTTCTTAGAGTTTCAGTATCCTTCCTTATCAATAAAATGAATGTATTCTTTGTAACTCCCTTACAGGTGGCTCTCACTGTCTTTGACTAAGGAAGAGACCAGGATGTGTGGCAGATCTGTATTGTATTGCATCAATTTAGCTAGACTGGAACCATATTTCCCAGAATCCCCTGCTCAGCATAGTTTCCCCTTAGTCTGGGCCACAAGAGGCTTAGGCAAGATTTGGAAGGTGGAAGTGATGTAGCAACATCTTCCCTTTTTATACCTGCAAGCTCAGGGAAGAACATGAGGCACTGCTGCCTCACACACAGTGTTGCTCATTTGCCAGCTGGCCTGGATGGCATGGAGGAGCAGCTAGGCCAGCCTCCACAGCACCTACAGTCCCTGCTGGGTCATCCTTCAGCTTCCTGGACTCCTGGGTCAGGAGAATGTTAAGCTTTATGACGAAGAGTCTGGTTTCACCTAGAGATACTTTAACATCAAAATTGGAGGCTTTTAGGGGAGACATTGACAAGAGTTTCAGCCCATCCTTTTGGGTTACAGGTCATCAGCGCCTTGCTTCCTCCATTTCACATCCATTTGCCCTTCCCAAATGCCTGCCCTGCAGACTCCAGGGTACAGCTTCAGGTACAGAAGAAATAGCATCCCACAGACTTAGATCCCACAGTTGCATAAGGTTGAATCTCTATGATATATTACTTATCATATATATATATGATAAGTATATATATACACACACATGCACACATAGAGAGAGAGAGACATAGTGAGAGATACCTATGTATTCATGTATGTATCCTATTGATTTTGCTTCTCTGATTGAATCCTGACAGATATAGTTGTATCTGAAAAACATGGACTGTTGATCTCAATATTCTCAGCATCGAGCTCATTGTTCATCTTAGCAAGTACTCAACAAAATATTAAATTCAAAGTATTTATTTGGCAAACATCCAAGCATTAAACAAACTAAGGCTTTTTGTTTGTTTGTTTGAGACAGGGCATGTCACCCAGGCTGGAGTGCAGTGGCACGATCTTGGCTCACTGCAACTTCCACCTCCTGGGCTCAGGTGATCCTCCCACCTCAGCCTCCCAAGTAGTCGGGACTACAGATGTGCACCACCACACCTGACTAATTTTTGTATTTTTAGTAGAGACAGTGTTTCTCCATGTTGCTTATGCATGCCTGTCTCAAACTCCTGCACTCGAGTGATCTGCCTGCCTCGGTCTCCCAAATTGCTAGGATTATAGGCATGAGCCACTGTGCCTGGCCATGTATTTTTAAAAACACAATGATCACCAAAAATAAATAGCAACTAGCTAATGAATGTTTTTTCTTGAGAACTTATTTGTCAGACAAATTATCTAAGAAAAGTTTTCTGCCTTAGTCAGATCAACTTATATATGTTTGCTATGTCTTGTCTGGTTCTTTGATATAAAATTAAAACTTGTAAAATTTAAATATAAAAATATTTTTATTTTTTATTTTTTAATGGAGCAAACAGGAAGCTGTTTGTAGCCAGCTAGTGGTGATTATTTCAGATTATAAATAAATATTTGTAATGAGATAAAAATAGCAAACATATTTGAAGTGGATAATATTCTTATTTATAAGTGGAACGTTTTTACCTTTTTATTCTCAAAGATAAACATAGTTACTGGTTTCAATGGTGATTGCAAAGCTAAATCCAAGTAAATACAGTTAATGTTAACTGAATTTTTTCCAAAAAGAAGATATAGGCATATTTTTGAAAACCATAGAGATCTTATATTTCTCCCAATTAAAAGCATCATGTTATATAATATGATTCAGCAAAAGAAATAACTGTAATGGAGTACCAATGACTTAGAAAGCCAAGGAACTGGAGCTAGATACAATCCTGGGAGTGGGTAGCCACTGGGACTTTGAGGTACAGAAGGTCAAGGGACTTATAGCCAGGCAGGTAGGACATCGCAAATAGAATGTTAATAGGAAGTAGGGCCCCAGTACTTGGAGGGATGTGAGAAGAAGATGAGGTAAAATTGATGCAATTTCTAGACCAAGATTATAGGCCATGAGTTCAGGGACTGGATTATTCATTAATCTGTTGCCTATATTTTCCCTCCCTCTTGTTTCTCCTGAGCCATGTTTATATCTAAACCTGGCCTAAACCACCAGCCACATTGTTATGTTTACTTATGTTCCAGCCCATAGTTCATTCCAGAATTAGAGTGACAGGACCTTATACATTCACTACACATGGCATCTCATGGATGTATCACAGCATCTCAAATTCAACATGTTCAGAACCTGTTTTGGCCAGACCCTCTTCCTCTTTTCTGCATTCCTTCATTCATCTATTATTTCTATTAAACATATGCTGAATGCCAACCATGTACCAAATCCTAGAAATTCAGCAACAAATTAGATGGTCCCAGGCCACAAGAAATTTATAGTCTAGTGCAGCAGTTTGGAACTCTAGCTACAAAATGGAATCACCTGGAGAATCACTATATTGTTTTCTACAAATAGAAATCCTGCTGGGACTTTGGTTGGAATTGAAATTAATCTATAGATAAGTTTGGAGAGAACTGGTAATTAATAATACTTAGTCTTCCAATCTATGAACATGACATATCTCTTATTTAAATCTTTGATTTATTTCATGAATGCTTTTTAGTTTCTGCATACAGATCTTGAATGTTTTTTGTTAAATGTATTCGTAAGTATTTCATGGTTTTGGCTCTATTGTAATCCGACTTAAATTTTAATTTCTAAATATTTATTGATAATTCATGAAAATATTATGGTTTTAAATAGTAACCTTGTATCCTAGAACTTTACTAAATTCATTTATTAGTTTTATTGGCTTATTTTATGGATTATTTGGGAATTTTTGTAGAGGAAGTCATATTGTCTGTGAATAAGGACAGTTTTGTTTCATCTTTTTTATCTGTATGAATTTTATTTCCTTTTTCTTGCCTACTGCAAGGACCTTTATTACAATATTGCACAGGAGTGGGGAGAGTGCATAGCCTTACCTTGTTATACATGTAACATTGGTAACAGTTTTCAGAAAGATATCCTGTAGATGATTTTGAGTAATCAGATGAATATTTTAGGAGGGGACTCCATTTGTAGGGTGAAAGGAGACTGGAGTTTAGAGTGAGATATACTGGGCTTAAAAGCTGACTCTCCCATTTACCAGGTTTCTAGCCTGAGTTGACTTAATTGTAAAATTGAGGAACTAACTCATACTTATTTCACAGATTTTCATGAGACTTAACAGAGATAATGTATAGAAAGAACCTAGGACAGTGCCTAGCATCATCTCAGAGTGTTCATACAATCCCATCTATACCATACGAAGTCATTTCTACTTTGTAACTTTGTAACCCCTCCAGGCCTCAAGTTTCTCATCAGTAAAAATAGGTATAAGTTATAATGCCCACTTCTAAGGGTCATTGTGGGGATTAAATTATGAATTTAAGCAGGGTAAATAAAACACTGACAAAACCGATGAGGTTCTATACAGATGTTAACTATGATTATCAGCATCATTGTTATTATCATTATTACAATGCTAGCTCACTTCAAGATTGGTTATTGATTGCTGCATAAGAAACCACTCCAAAAATCTGTGGCTGAAAAATAACAAAAAATCATTTACTTGCTTATGATTTTGTTTTGGGGAAAAGTCTGTGCTTCACATAATATAGGCCAGAGCAGCGCAGATGGGGCTGGGGAACCCATGATAACTTCACATTCATGTCTGGGGCCTCCATTGGGGTGGCAAAGTGTCTACGGCAAAGCTGAGCTTCTCTTCCTTTGTAATCTCATATCATCCATGGCTTTTCTCCACATAGCCTTCCTCTTCAGTGCAGTAGTGTAAGATTTTTAAATAGTTGCTCTGGGCTCTGAGACAGCAAACACAAAAGCTACAAGGACTCTTAGGGTGTATGCTTGAAAAATCTCAGAATGTTATTTCTACCACATTCTATCATTTAAAGTGTGTTAACAAAGCCAGTCAGATTTAAGGAAAAGGAAATAAACCCATCTCTTGATGAAGGATAGCAAAATCACCTTGTAAAGTTATGTAAATCATGTGGCCATCTTTGGAAAAAATTTACCTCAATTTTTGCACACTCCCATGGGAATAGCCTCAGTTAACTATGGTCACAAGTATATTCGCATTGGACCAACAAATCTCAAAAACACCTTCCAAATCAGCTGTCGACTCAAATTGTTATGTAGCAACGTGTAGGCAAGGGCCTCTCTGTGTGTTACTGCAGGGTCCTGCCAGGTGGGCTGGCTGCATCTCGGCAGGAAGGGCTCTGGATGTGGACTTTGAATTTTTTCCTAGTGAGCACAACCGCAGCCTCATTTATTTAATGGCCATCAAAGTCTTTGTGCTAATTGGCTGTCTTTGCTGGCCATGAATAAAGCACTCACACCTGAAGAGAAGAGACTTCTTAAAAGAACGCAGACTTCTTAAATATACAATTGCAACTGTGGTTTCTCAGTACAATTATAAGTTTTTTGTTTATTTTTAAAGCATGTAAATTATCTGTATTTGCAAAAATATCTTGATTTATTAAAGTTGGCGATTTTGCTACTAAACTAATCATTTCAGGTCTGTCCACAGTTCTATTTTGATAAGCAAAACTTGGCATGCATACTCTTCCAGGCTCAAAATGTAATTCCTACTGGGGAGCTAAAATAAGGTTTCCACCTGCCCACTTTAAAAATTAAATGATTTTTAAAGTGTTGTTTTTCTACAATGTCCAAGCAGATCTTGGCAAGACTCAGAAACGCAGCTGTTCTTTTCACCATGTCAACGTTACTTAATTAATCCATGAGGGCTAGACTTCCTGTAGTTACCACTGATCTTATCCAGCACCCTCTTTGAGGCCAATATCAGCATTTTGCAACATTACCCTCTTTCCTCCCCTCCTAATAAATCCAACTTCTAAAGTATTAGCAATGTCAGCAGGATTCACAGAATGTTACTTAACACATCAGCAAAACTTTCAATCCCCCCTGCTTAGATCTATGATCTCTTCTCTGTGAAAGTTCTCTCACTACCAGAACCCTGTGTCTCTCCTCTGCTTTCTTGAAACCCCTTTATTCTCACAAGCAATCCTAAACTTGGATACTCTACTCAACTAAACAAATCCCATAGAAAAGCAGCTATGGGATTATCAATGTTTATAGGGTGGGCTCAGTAAAAAGAAGTTCCTTCCCATCTATCCCCATTCACTTTATCAAAAATTTACTGAACAAGAGAAATCTTGAGGCAGAGAGAGAAAACTAGGGTGGGAAGTGCTAGGGAGCAATGAGGAGCTCTGCTTGTAAGAAAAATAAAAAGCAACAATCTGTCATGGGAAAGGAGGAACTGCTTTTTTAGTCTCGATTTTTCCATTCATCTATCAGACTCTTGCGTCTCAGATTATCAAATACAAAAATGTACCATTCCCTGGCCTAAAGCAACCAACTGTGAAGTTTGATTTAAACATGTCACCTTCTACCATGAATCCAGCACTAAGCAAGGCAGAGAAGGGTGCAGCCGAATTCTCTTTCCATCTGAAAACTATCAACTAGAATTTCTAGAGACTCCCAGGTATGTGATTTCTAGAGAGCAAGCAAGACAGTACAGGAAAAAATTAGACACATAACAGGTGATTAAAAGGTGAAAGCTATAAAATTCAGAAAAGCCAAGTGCTCCGAATCAACTGGGGGAGTCAGAAAAGGTTTCAAGATCTGTCCATGCTGACATCATGGCCCAGACAAGATATTTTTACTAGACAGAAAATTTGGGGTTGGCAGGTTTTTTGTTTTGTTTTTCATTATTTTGAAGGCATCAACTCATTACTCTCTGGCTTTCAGATTTTCTGAAGGAAGTCTGCTATAATTCTAACCTTCATTCTTCTCTATGTAATACGTTTCCCTATGATTTTTTTAAAAAAATTCTGCCAGTTTTCAAGTTTTTTGTCTATCCTTGGTTTTTAGGTGTTTGAGTATAGTGTATCTAAGTGATTTTGGGGGGTATTCATCCTGAATATGGTTCTTTAATATTCTTGGGTCTATGGTTTGATATATTTTATTATTCTTGAAAAATTCTCAACCATTATATCTTCATATATTATTGTACTCTATGCTCTCTCTTTTCCTCTTTGGAGATTCCAATTACACCTATGTTAGACTGTTTGATATTATCTCAAACTCCTGGATGCTCTGTTTTTATTTCTTACAATCTTTTTTCTCTTTGAATTTCAGTTTGAGTAATTGGTATTGGCCTATCTTCAAATTCACTAATTATCTTCTAAGCTGTATCAAGGCAACTGATGAAGGCATTCTTCATCTCCATATGTTTTGTTTCTAGCATTTTCATTTGACTCTTTCCCATACTTTCCATCTCTTTACTAAAATTTCCAATCTGCCACTGCATGTTTCTACCTTTTCCATATTAAAACATCTAACATGTTAATCATATGTATTTTAAACCTGTCAGATAGTTTCAATATCTAGATCACCTCTGAGTCTGGATGTGTTCATTGCTTTGTCTCTTCATGAGGGCTTTTGTTCCATTGATTTCTGTGTATCTCATAAATTTGTGATTGTCAGACATAGTGTGTCTAACAGTGAGCCTAAGGAAAATAATAGTTATGCCCGGAAAGTTGAATCAATTTAATTAAGAGCTGGGTTTTTAATTTATTATTATTGTCATGGTTACTTTCAGTGCATCATCAGCTTCAAATTCCTCTGGCATTATCTTTCACTTTTTATTAATATAATTGAGTTGCTTGCCATTTCTAAACCAATTACTAGCAAGGAAAATGGAATTACCCAGATGATTTAGACTAGCAAGTGGGAGTAATTCCCTGAGTCCATGGATGGGTCCAGCTTCCCAGCAGCATTTAGCTATCCAGTTTCTGAAGAATACCACAGTTTTGTTAGTAAAGAGAAAGAGAGAAATGACTGTTAAGTAGACAATCAGCTTTTAGGTTTATGCCCAGACTAAAGCATGGTGAGTTTTGTAGCTCACCTTAACTCTTATGCTTACAACTGCATGTCTGGCCTTAAGAACTTGCCACCGTGATGACAAGATGGAGAGCTAAACCTAAATAAGAAATTTTTCAGAATCCAGGCCCATTTATATTTCTTACTCTAAAATGCCACCTTGTAATATCTGGTCCAGCTGTGTCCTTGAATATATGCTGAAGTTACAGATTCTTCTACAGTATATTGGACTGGGTGGTGGTGAAAAGGGAGATTTGGTTTATACTTTTCCTAGAATAGTAGCTCTCAAACTCTAATGATGCATCTGTGCAATCACTCTCTTCCTGGCATATTCTCAAAATAAAAATAACTAACATTCACATTATTTACCAATCATGAAACTCTTTTGCATATTAAGCTCCCCCAAACACAACAACAACAAATGAGCCAGCTAACAATCAACTGCCCACATTATTTATACCAAAACATCCTGCCTGTAATTTGTTGTACCTTCATCATCTAGGTGATGTCACCCTTTTCTTTTATTGATCCTTCTCTCTAAGTTTCCCCCAACATGTGCCTAGTACCTTCCTAATGTTCATGATTATCCATTCAGAATTTCTTTCTTGAAGTGCTCTGAATTATTTCCCTCATAATTCTTATTAAAGTTACTGTCTTAGTCCATTTTCTGTTGCCATAGCAGAATACCACAAGCTGGGTAATTTAAAAAGAATGAAAGTTTATTTAGCTCCTGACTCTGGAGGCTGGGAAGTCTAAGAGCATGGTGTCAACATCTGCTGAGGGCCTTTTGCTGCATTGTAACATGCAAGAAGGCATCACATGGCAAGAAGGCAAAAGCAAGAGAGCCAGAGATAGCTAACTTTTATAACAGAGCCACTTCCATGATGATAAACCCACTCCCATGATAGCAACATTAATCCATTAGTGAGTGCAGAGGGATTAAGTTTTCAACACATGAATTTTTGTGGGACACATTCAAACATTATGAATTCCTATTTAAGAGTGCCCTGGCTTCAAGCTAATTGCAAGGAGGAAAATTCTTCTTACCAACTCACATCAAGATGTAAATTATTGACAAAAATGTAGTGAGGGGATCACAAATGAATTAGGCATTTTCTTACATCTTTATAAGAAAATGATCCAAGCCTGAATTAGGTATTATTTTACTGCAAAGTTTGTGAGGAAACATAAAATTCTACCGTACATAGTCAGGTAAAATGCAATCACCACTTTGTCTTTTAAAGTCTAAAATAGTTTTTAATTGATAGTGATTATGGAAAACATACATTGTTATTATAATAGATGTCTTAGTTTATATCAAGCTTACATGTGCTTAAAATGGAATATTTCAAAGAAAAAATACAATGAGGCTTAAATTTTCTTTTATTTACTTCTATTGCTGTAAGTGTCCTGCAATTGTCGAAATGCTCTGTGGCTTTGGGGCTGCAGCAGAGGAAAACTGAGGCTATGCGTTTGTCAAATGACAGTATTGAGTCCATAAAATACTCATAGTTTCTTGTATTTCTTTTAATATTTTGTGACACATTATGGAGGTATAGACTATTACACAATTTTCCTTCAGCAAGGATTTAGATGAAACTCTGCTCTATCTATCTATGAAGGCAGTGTCCAGTTCTCAAACATCATTTGCACATTAATCTCACCACAGAAAAATTTGAACTTTATGAAACCTTTTCAGAAACCTCAAAGGCTATCATAGTCTTTAAAAAGATAAGATGGGGCTGGGTGCAGTGCCTCACACCTGTAATCCCAACACTGGGAGGCCAAGATAGGTGAATTGCTTGAGCTCAGGAGTTTGAGACCAGCCTGGGCAACATGGTGAAACCCTGTCTCTATTAAAAATACAAAAATTGCCTGGGTGTGGTGGTGCACATATGTGGTCCCAGCTACTCAGAGGCTGAGGTGGGAGGATCATTGGAGCCCGGGAATTCGAGGCTGCAGTTAGCAGTGATTGTACCACTGCACGCCAGCCTGGGTGACAGAGTGAGATCCTGTCTCAAAAAAAAAAAAAAAAGATAATGATAAGACGGGGGTGGTGAAGGAAGATCTTTGCCGGGAAACAAGAAATACATTGGTGCACAAATGTTTGGCATCCTCTCCTCATAAGCCATATTGGTCTAATATCTTACTATCTCTTATCCAACCAACAAAAATAGTCTCTGAATCATCTTGATTGTACTCCTGAGCTTTCATGTCTCCTCTCCACACTGAAGTCAGAGAGGTCTTTAAAAATGTTGTAAAATGTTATATCATCTCTAATTTAAAACTTTTCAGTTAATTCCCATTATCCTTAGAATAAAATCCAAACTTCTTACAAAATTCTAAATGATCTGGCCTCTGCCTACTCATCTGGCCTAAGCACATGCCACTCTCCCCTTCTGCACTATGCTGTAACTATTCTAGCTTTCTTTCTGCTACACGAGCACATCAATCTGATTCTGACTTCAGGGACATTTCACTGCCACTCCCTTCACCCCGAATTCTATTTATGCTTTTTTATTTTTAATTTTTGTGGGTACTATATATATGTGTGTATATATATTTATGGGGTATATGAGATGTTGTGACACAGGCACACAATGCATAATAATCACAGCATGGAAAATGGGGTCTCCATCTCCTTAAACATTTATCATTGTGTTATAAACAATCCAATTATACACTTTTAGTTATTTTTGAAATGTACAATTAAATTATTATTGAGTGTAGTCACCCTGTTGTGCTATCAAATAGTAGATCTTATTTGCTCTTTCTATTTTACACTCATTAACCATCCTCAACTCCCCTCCACCCCCACTCACCTCACCCTTCCACTACCCTTCACAGCCTCTGATAATGATCCTTCTACTCTCTGTCTCCATGAGTTCAACTGTTTTTATTTTTAGATCCCATAAATAAATGAGAACATATGATGTTAGACTTTCTGTGCCTGGCTTAATTAACTTAACAGAATGATCTCCAGTTCCATCCATGTTGTTGCAAAGGACAGAATGTCATTCTTTTTATGACTGAATAGTACTCCATTGTGTTGATAAATGAAAATGTTCAGCCAAATTAAATTTAAAGGAGTTTAATAGAGCAATAAACAATTTGTGAATTGAGCAGCCTCCAGAATTAGAGTAGGCTCTGAGACTCCAGTGCAGCCATGTGGGAGAAGATTTATGGACAGAAAAAGGAAAGTGACTTACAGAAAATGAAAGTGAGGTACAGAAACAGCTGGATTGGTTACAGCTTGGCTTTTGCCTCATTTAAACATGCATTGAACAGTTGACTACATTTGATTGGCTGAAACTCGGTAATTGGCACAAGTGTAGGCTATGATCTATTTACACTTCCACTTGTTCACAATGTATAGAAAAGCCTTTAGACTGAAATTAAAATATGTAAGGAGGCAGCTTTAGGCTAAACTTGATTGAACAATTCCTCCCTTTTGGTCACCTTCTGAATTTTGAGAGATTGACCAAAACTTTAGTCATTGATGTCACTATCACCACTGTAAATGTATTTATTTGGTTTTGAAACCCACTTGGAAACAGTAGAACGGTGGGTTTTGCAAGGTAGAAACAAAGACTTCAGGCTATTATTTTTTTTAAGGGTTAGAGGGTACCTCCTTATGCTGGAATGTCCTGTTAACAGGATAAAACAAACAAACAAACAAACAAACAAAAAACAGGACCTGGTCTGTTCTAGGATCTATGTGTTTTCTTAAAGTCTTAGTATGACTATGTCACATTTAACATGAGTGACTCCATTTTAGTTTGGTCTGACCTGTTGGGGCCTAGTGCATTACCTCAGTCCAAAACAATAGCCTCCCATAATTTTATTTAAAAATTCTCCCCTTTTGGTCAGGTTCTTACTCAGGCAAGAGAGTGACCAAAACTTAAGGTCTTAGCAGCACTCTCAGTTACCATCATTTTGGGTTTTTGGTCTCAGGATATCATTCATAGGGTACAGTGGTCTCATGCTCACACATTTCCTTCAGCTCTTGTCATTCCAGTTAGAGAGAGACCATTTGATATTCTAGAGATGGCTGCATGCAAGCATTTAAAACTTTTGAGACAATACAGTGCACCACGGAGGCTACTGTTATGACTATCAGGAGGATAACACCAAGAGTTTGGAGTATGCTCCTTACCCAGGATCCCCATAAACCAACCCACCTAAAATTAAATAGATCAAAGAATTAGCTAGATAAACAGTCTACTTGCTTAACTAAGCAGTCTCTTAGTTTATCCCCTACAACTGAATCTCTATAATCTACATTTGATGTGTTTCTCCATAGTCCACAAGTGCCAGCAGCTACACAGATACTTCTGTTTAGCCAGTAAGTAATCTAGAGCAATTCTATCATTTACCATTATTTTCACAAGAGATTTTAAAGTCTGTTATGTACCATAGCCTTTACAGTAGAATCTTCTATAGAGCATATAATGAGGGATTCCTTTATAATCACTGCCTCTTTTACTCCAAACTATGGAAAAAAGAACCTAACAAATGAAGCCCTTCTAGAAGAGTGAAGGCCTCCTGACAATGTTCTCTTTAACCCATGATGTGGGTTAAGAGGAGTGAACCAATGTTCTGTTTCTGACTGATTATGAGGCACTAAATCTACCATTAAAGTTTCTCACTTACACTGAGCCTTCATCTTTCATCTATTAAGTGTAAGGTTATCTATGTATAAGGTTGGCTGCAAAATCCTTCACAAATAAAAGTATATCCCATGAGTGCACACAATGGATCCCCTTTTCACTTATATTTTCCATAGAGGCACAAACAAAGAAAAAACTTTCAAAGATAAGAGTCTCATGACACTAGAAGTCTTAATCCATGATCTTGGGAAAGGCTGTTCACATCAAGGGTGCCATCTTTTTGGAGGGAGAAACTTCCCTGATTAGCTTTACCTTAAGGAACTTTTGAAGTTCCAACAGTGTGGAGGGAGCCTTCTCAGGGATTTTAAGATTATGAACCTAAGGGTCAAGGCCCTAAAGTTTTGCTGCAGTGTGGATGGCAAGGGCAGTCTTTCTCATATGTTCTCAGAAGATCCAATATTCAGGTTCTGGATTGTGAAGGGGCCGATTGTCCTCAGTCAGTGAGTCATCAAAACCTTTCTTTACCTGGTGAAAATACACTGTGGCATAATGATCTACTGTTATAACATCAGCCCTCTTGCATGAGAAAACTTTTATACAACCAGAAAACATGCATTGAAAGTCACAATTGAATGAGATACATCTATAAATGTTTAAATAGCACATCAGGTAGCTGAATATACCTTAAACTTTGTCTTCCCAGGAATATGGGTTTGACAAACCAAACATTGGTCATAAACTATTTTAGCAATTTAGAAGTCACCACACCAATATATACTTAATCTGGATAAGTTTATCTTTTCCATGACGAGTCATGGAATATGGAACTTTTAATAACAAAAGCTTTAAGGACTCAGGAAGGAAAAGGTGTCCGTCCTCGTTCTTCATGAGCCCACGTTTAACATTAATTTATGTCCTCTTGAATACTGGTTATTTCTCCAACTTAGGTGCATAGAACTGACAACTGATGGGTTATCATAGGTAATTTGACTTAGACCGTGGAGTTTATTTAAATTGTGTATCTGAACAATTTCAGTATTGGCTGATTTAGCATGAAAATCTGGCAATGTATTTACTTTGTATTCAATTAATTTTTGTGCTCCTTGGGTTAGCAGTTTTATAAAGTAGTCAGTATTTTTTATTATTAAAATTCCAGGTATTTTTACCCAGTTCAAATGACCTGATTCTAAAGTTACCAGAAACCCATATTCAAGCATGATTTTCAGGGTCTTTTCCATCCTTTCATGAAACCCCTGAAAGACACCAAATTCTAGGATTTTGCATGCTTAAAGTTTTCAGAAACTGCATCAGTATTAAGCAGTTAGCTGTGGAAATGACTTCAAATAGTCACAGTTAAAGATACAATTGACAAGGAAATTTGGTTATTTCTATGGTCAACAATAATCATAATTATGATTGATGTATGTACTCAAACATAATAGAATTTTAGAAATCCCATACAATTTTGGAACATATATTAACATTCACTAAAATATACCCTGAAGAAAATTAAACATTATTTTTTATTTTGACAATGCTTCTCATGTAACTTAACGTGTCAGATAATCCTGTTTACCTCTCTTTTGGATGTTTCAGGGGCACTCTGTAGCATCCCAAAGTTAGAGGTCACAAAGGACAATATTGAAGCTGAAATTTGATTTGGGGAAGCCTGTCAAATATGTTAGTGCTTTAATACACTTGATGTTATAAAATAGAGTTCCAGGTCACCACAAGTCATTCATTAGCCAAAATTATGACTCAAAAATTTTAAAAAGGCAAAACTCATTGATAGAGGGAAGACTTAGCTTTCCAAACAATCTGTCTCTTGTCTTTCTCTTATTTTTCCTGTAATTTATTCAAAAGACAAATAAAAATATTGCATTGCCCTTTTATATTACATTAAAATCTTGTTCAAGAGAGAAAGCCCAATCTCACTCTTGTATTAGTGTACCATTAATGTCAACCCCAAACCTTAATAAAACCTTATAGAAAAATCTATTCAATCTTAATCAGTTTGATCATAAGGTGAAATTCTCATAAATGTTTTATAATCCTTTAAAAATAAAAGCAGATCAGTGCTCTAAGAAAACCCTATTGTGCTATTATTCCAATGTTCAATTTAGGGGAAAACTGGATAATGCCCCTTTAAATATAGACAATATGTTCACACACAATATTTTTTTTACAAAATTTTTCACAAACCTTCTAAAACTTTATCAAATCTTAAGCTTTATTCTATTTAACTTAAAACAATACTTTATCCCTTTAATCTAGGCAAAAAAAAATTACATTCTTAATCTTTTACCAAAGGCACATTTCACTTCCCTCATACACCTTGCATGTAAAACTGTTTTTCCAGTAGTCTCAATTACATGGTACAGTGTTAACTCTTAGCAATTTTTATTTTTGGTGAAAAACCTGGTAAGTAAGTAATTTTAATTATGTACTAGATGTGGAGCCTAGGATACCAGACAGGAGTGCAGATAAAGTCTGACTCTTTCCAGCATAGCCAGGGGCCTTGGCTAACTCCACATGTCCCCATACTTTACCTAGATTCTAATGGCTCCATGGCAGGTAAGTTGAACTATTTTCAAAAATCAAAGAAGTAGTTTATTACCTTAAAGCATTTAGCAAATCTAGTATCTGATCTGCCTAATTTAGATCAAATATCTTTTTTTAACAACAATCTTTACAACTCTTTATTTCTCAAAGCTTACTAAAGCCACATGAACTAAAAGGCATTACAGTTTTTATTTTTCTGACAAAATATTTGATGTAAGTGCTTATTATTTTTAAGATAACTAATCAGAGCTCTTTCATATATAAACATTACCCACTTAACACATATATAACTACATAGAAGAAGATCCAGTAGTTATAAGATTTTTTTCATTTGCCAGTTTTAAAGTTTCTTAATTGGATTACTGGCTTCAGGGTGGAGTTCTTCAAGGAATAGGGCTAAGAAAACATGCAGTTTCTAGGGCCTAATAAGCAGGCACAGCTGGAAGGCAAAACAGATTCCCCCAAATTCAGGGTTTCATTTTCATACTGGATCCTGGATCCACAAAAGAGAAATACTATAGAACAAGATAGTGCAATAATTTTACCATGCATTTCACTGCAAAGCATCCAAAGCTGATCAGCCCATTCTATGATTAGCCCATCCCCCATGAAAGTCTTATCTCTCAGTAGGCAGTGGGGGCATTTCCATACCTTCTAGGTGACCAAGAACATGCTTCTCTGATCGAAACATGCAAAGAGTTGAGCATCCCACCATAACTGCCATTAGCCATCTATAAAACTTGTCTCACAATGCCAAGTAATTTCTGACACTTCCAAGAGTCAAAAACATCAAGTAAAGCAATGAAAAACAGAACAGAGACTTAGATTTTGAGAAGGATACATTTTCAATTCCTGGGGTTCCTTGAGGAAAACAAAGATTTTTCCCAAAACAGGATCTGTGGTGTCTCATTTTTTTTTCCAAGGAGTTCCTAGCTGTTAGAAATGATCTTGGGTCCTCTCATATGTGCATCAAGAGTGGGAAGAGATAAAATTGAGAAAAACAATTCAGTTGACTGAGAAGAAAAAGACCTTTTTTTCTAGAAAGACACTACCCAAGAAGAGAAAAAAATATACAAAGGCCTTTTAAATATATATATATTATCTCATATATAGTATGTGTCTATATAATCATATATATGTGTGTGTGTGTATATATATATATATACATATATATAGCTTGGATATCCACTTTTAATTAAGCTGACTTTTAACTATTGCCCTTACTATGAGACTCTAGCCAGACCAAATGGTCAATATTTCTGGTGTTTGAAATTTACCAAAGGTAATCTCTCAGGTTCTCAGAGAAAATAAAATTCAAGACAGGAAGTCAGAAGTTGTTCATGAAGAGGAAGAAAAATCAATAAATGGCAAAAGTCACACAGATATCAAACCCGAAAGGACTCATTCTTTAAGCCAGGAATTGACCTCTGAACCTAGGCACCATTGTGAAAAGGCAAAGCTTTAGCTACTGAGCTATAGTACTGGGCAATCTCCATTGCTCTTTCCAGAAGGAGTCTAGCATAGTCAATTTTGAGCTTGCAAAGTCTTTTAACTGCTCAAGATAATTTTTAGAGCTAACTATGACATGAAACCCCAAATTCCTGTTCCCTGGATGGCAGAGACCAAGAGAAAGTACTGCCTGGTGGTTACAAGGTCAAGCTCCCAAGGACATAAAACAAGATGAGAGGGAAACCTCATCTAGTTTCAGGGATCTACAGCCAAGTTTGTAACTGACCAGTTTGCTGGGCTGACTTGAACAGCCGGATTACAGGGGTCCTAATCCTATGTTCTATTCTATGGTATCCCTCTTTACCACAGAATGACACAGAAAGACAAATTCATAGCACAAAGTACACCAGATTAGCTACAGCTTAAGTGAGATACAGTAACAGCTGGATTTGTTACAGCTCAGCATTTGCCTCATTTGAATATGATTGAAACAGTTGGCTCCATTTGATTGGCCAAAACTTAGTGATTGGCACAAGTGCAGGCTACAGTCTGTTTACACCTTCATTTATTATAGTTCATGATGTACAGAAAAACCTTTAGGCCTGATATGGTTTGGCTGTGTCTCCACCCAAATCTCATTTTGATTTGTAGCTCCCATAATTCGTTTGTGTTGTCGGAGGGATCCAGTAGAAGATAATTGAATCATGGGGGCAGTTTCCCCACTATTGTTCTCACGGTAGTGAATAAGTCTCAAGAGATCTGATTGTTTTATAAGGGGTTTCCCCTTTCACTTGGCTCTCATTCTTTCCTTGCCTGCTACCATGTAAGATGTGCCTTTCATCTTCTGTCATGATTGTGAGGCCTCTACAGCCACATGGAACTGTGAGTCCATTAAACCTCTTTTCATTTATAAATTACCCAGTCTTGGTTATGTCTTTATTAGCAGCATGAAAATCGACTAACAAGGCAGAACTTAAAATATGTAAGTAGGCAGATTTAGGCTAAACTTGATTTAACAGTATATGTGTACCACACTTTCTACCATATTTTCTTTATCCATTCATCTGTTGATGGACACTTAGGTTGCTTCCAAATGTTTGCTATCATGAACAGTGCTGCAACAAACATGGGAGTGCAGATATCCCTTTGATATACTGGTTTCTTTTATTTGGGGTATAGATCCAGCAGTAGGATTGCTGGATCACATGGTAGCTCTACTTTTATTTTTTCAGGAATTTCCATATGTACTCTATTGTGGTTGTACTAATTTACATTTCCACCAACAGTGTACATGATTCCCTTCACATCCTTGACAGCATTTGTTATTGCCTGCCTTTTGGATATAAATGATTTTAACTAGGGTGATATGAAATCTCATTAGCTTTTAATGTGCATTATTCTGATGATCAGTGATGTTGAGCCCCTTTTCACACACCTGTTTGCTATTTGTTTGTCTTCTTTGAGAAATTTCTATTCAGATCTTTTGCCCATTTTTAAATCAGATTATTAGATTTTTTTTCTATTGATTTGAACTCTTTATATGTTCTGGTTATTAATGTCTTGTAAGGTGGGTAACATACAAATATTTTATCCCATTCTGTGGGTTGTCTCTTCATTTCATTGATTGTTTCCTTTGTCATACAGAAGCTTTTTAACTTGATGTGATTGCATATGTCCGATTTTGCTTTGGTTGCCTATACCTATGGGATATTACTGAACAAATTTTTTGCCAGTTCATTGCCCTGGAGAGTTTTTCCAATGTTTTCTTTTAGTGGTTTCATAGCTTGATATTGTTGATTTAAGTATTTAATCCATTTTGATCTGTTTATATGGCAAGAGATGTTGGTCTAGTTTCATTCTTCTGCATATGGATATCCAATTTCCCAGCACCATTTATTGAAGTGGTTGTCTTTTCCCCAGTGTATGCTTTTGGCACTGTTGTCAAAAATGAGTTCACTATAGTTGAATAGATTTGCTTCCGGGTTTTCCATTCTGTTCCATTGGTCTATATACCTGTTGTTATGCCAGGACCATGCTGTTTTGGTTACCATAACTCTGTAGTATAATTTAAAGTCAGGTAATGTGATTCCTCCAGTTGTGTTCTTTTGCTCAGGATAACTTTGGCTATTCTGGGTCTTTTGCAGTTCCATAGAAATTTTAGGATTGCTTTTTCTATTTCTATGAAGAATGTCACTGACATTTTGATAGGTATTGCATTAAATCTGTAGATATCTCTGGGTAGTATGGACATTTCAAATAATAATGATATTGCTAGTTCATAAACGTGGAATATCTGTCCATTTTTTGTGTCCTTTTCGACTTCTTTCACCAATGTTTTATAGTTTTAATTGTAGAGAGGATTCATTTCTTTGGGTTAGTTTATTCCTAGGTATTTTATTTTATTCATAGCTATTGTAAATGGGATTACTTTCTTGATTTCCTTTTCACAATGCTTGCTTCTGGCTTATGGAAATACTACTAATTTGTGTGTGTTGATTTTGTATCCTGCAACTTTATCAAATTTGCTTATCAGTTCAAATAGTTATTTGGTGGAGTCTTCAGATTTTTCCAAATATTAAGGTCATATCACCTGCAAACAAGTCTAATTTGACTTCTTCCTTTTCAATTCAGATGTCCCTTCTTTCTTTCATCTGATTACTCTAGCTGGGACTTTCATTACTATGTTGAATAACAATGGTGGAAGCGAGCAACTTTTTCATGCTCCAGATCTTAAAGGAAAGGCTTTTAGTTTTTCCCTATTCAGTATAATACTATTAATAGCTGTGGGTCTGTCATATATGATTTCTATTGTGCTGAGATATGCTCATTCTATACCTATTTTTATGAGGGTTTTTATCACGAAGGAATGTTGAATTTTATTAAATGTTTTGTCAGCATCAATTGAAATGATCATATGGTTTTTGTCTTTTATTCTGTTGATATGATGTATCACATTGGTTGGATTGTGTATGTTGAACCAATTTTTCATCCCTAGGATAAATTCCACTTGGTCATGATGAATAAACTTTCTAATGTGTTATTGAATTCAGTTTTATTCCATTGAGGTTAGAGAAGATACATGTTATTATTAGGTTGGTGCAAAAGTAATTGTGGTTTTGCTCAAAGGAACCTCATTTCATCACAGCTTTTACTTCTGAAAGGGCCATGAGACCCCAAGGTTCAGAGATAAGGGGGTGGCTGTTCTGCCAATTTGGCAGTCAGGCTAAGGATTTAAAAGCCATGTCCTGGAGCCTGTCAGTGAGTCTATAATTCCATTTGGAAGAGACAGGCAAATACAGATTAGAATTATCTTGCATAGGACAATGTTGATAGACTAAAAGTATAAGGGAATCTTGTTTTTCCAACATTTTAAATTATAAAATACATATACCATAAAATTTACCATCTTAACCATTTTTAAGTTTATAGTTCATGTTGTTAAGTACATTCATTATTTTTGTGCATGTTATTAGGTTGGTGCAAAAATAATTACAATTCTGCCATTATGTTTAATGAAAAACAGCAATTACTTTTGCACCAATCTTATCTTTCAATTTTTCGAATGTTTGAAGACTTGTTTTGTGGCCTAATTCTCACTCATAGGTGGGAATTGAACAATGAGAACACATGGACACAGGAAGGGGAACATCATGGACACAGGAAGGACTGTTGTGGAGTGGGGGGAGGGGGGAGAGATAGCATTGGGAGACATACCTAATGCTAGATGACGAGTTAGTGGGTGCAGCGCACCAGCATGGCACATGTATACATATGTAACTAACCTGCACATTGTGCACATGTATGCTAAAACTTAAAGTATAATAATAATAATAATAAAAACCTGCACATGTACCCCTTGAACCTAAAAGTTGGAAAGAAAAAGTGTTTAAAAATAAAAATTAAAAAAAAAAAGAATAATGTATGTGCTGGAGAGAAAAATGTATATGCTGTAGCCATTGGATAAAATGTTATGTAAAAATGTGTTAGGTCTATTTGGTCTATAGTGCAGATTAAGCCTGATGTTTCTTGGTTGAGTTTCTCTCTAGATGATTTTTCCAATGCTGTAAATAGGGTATTGACATCTCCAGCTATTATTTTATTGGGGATTATCTCTCTGTTTAGCTCTAGTAATATTTGCTTTGTATTAATATATCTGGGTGCATAAATATTTAAAAATGTTATATCCTTTTGCTCAATGAACCTCCTTAATCACTATAAAATGAACTTCTTTGTCTCTTTTTATAGTTTTTGTCTTGAAATGTATTTTTTCTGACATAAGTATAGCTACTCCTGCTCTTTTTTGGTTACATTTGTATGAAGTATCTTTTTACATGCCTTTATTTTCAGACTGTGTATGTCTTCATATGGGAAAAGTGTTTCTTATAGGCAACAGATAACTGGATCAAAAAAAAATTCAGCCACACTGTTATTATTGATAACTAAGAACTTAGTCCTGCCACTTTGTTGTTTTCTGGTTACTTTGTCATGTTTTCTTCCTTCTTTCCTTCCTTCCTGTCTTTCTTTTAGTGAAGGTGATTTTCTCTGTTGGTGTGTTTTAATTTCTTGCTTCTAATTTTTTGTGTATTCATTGTATGTTTTTGGATTTGAGGTTACCATGAGGCTTCCAAATATTATCTTATAACTCATTATTTTAAAATGATGACAACATGAAACTGATCGCACAAACAAACGAGCAAAATGAAAACTAATAAAAAAACTCTATACTTTAACTTTGTCACCTGCTTTTTAATTTTTTGTTGTACCTTTTAAAATTATCAAATATTTTCAAGACATACCATCTATGACTTGAAAAGCTGTAGTTATTATTTTTGATTAGTTCATCCTTGTATATTTTAATTCAAAATAATTCAAAATATGAGTAATTTGCATACCACAGTTACAGTGTTATATTTTCTGTTTTTCTGTATGCTTACTATTACAAGTGAGTTTTTTACCTTCAGATTATTTCTTATTGCTCTTTAACATCCTTTTTTTTTTTTTTCAGATTGAAGATGAAATCCCTCAACTATTTTGTTTCGTTTTGGTTCTTTGTCTAGGAAAGTCTTTATTTACTTCATGTTTAAGGAATACTTTCACCGGATATGCAATTCTAGGATACACGTGGTTTTCCTTCAGCACTTTAAATATCACTTTAAATGTGTCATTGTCAGTCTCTCCTGGCCTGTAAGGTTTCCACCGAAGAGTCTGCTGCCAAATATATTGGAGCTGCATTGTATGTTATCCATTATTTCCTCTTGCTGCTTTTAGGATTCTTTCTTTATCCTTGACCTTTGAGAGTTTGATTATTAAGTGACTTGAGGTAATCCTTTTTGGACTAAATCTGCTTGCTGTTGTATAACCTTCTTTCATTTGAATATTGATATCTTTCTCTAGGTTTGGGAAGTTGTTTATTATCCCTTTGAATACACTTTCTACCCCTACCTCTTTTCCTACCTCCTCTTTAAGTCCAATAACTCCTAGATTTGTCCTTTTGATGTGATTTTCTAGATTTTGTTATGGTGCTTTATTTTTTAATTCTTTTTTCTTTGGCTCCTCTGTGTATTTTCAAATTGCCTGTCTTCAAGCTCATTAATTATTTCTTCTGGTTTGAGACTCTAATGTATTTTTTAGTATGTTAATTTCCTTTTTTAGCTCTGTAATTTCTGCCTGGTTATTTTAAATTTTTATTTATCTCAATATTTTTCTTAAATTTATCTGATAGGACTCAGAATGCCTTCTCTGTGTTATCTTGAATTTCTTTGAGTTTCTTCAAAACAGCTATTTTGAATTGTCTGTCTGAAAGGTCATATATCTCTGTCTCTCCAGGATTGGCCCCTGGTGCCTTATATGGTTTGTTTGGTGAGGTCATGTTTTCCTGGATGGTCTTGGTGCCTGTGAATGTTCATCAGTGTCTGCAAATTAGAGAACTTGGTAGTCATCGTAGTCTTCACAGTTTGGATTTGTTTATACCCATGCTTCTTGGGAAGGATTTCTCAGTATTTGAAGAGACTTGGGTATTGTGACCTAAGTTTTTGGTTACTGCAGCCATATCTGCATTAGGGGGCACACCAAGCCCAGGAATGCTTTACTTCTAACAGACTCCTGGAGGTTCTGCCTTGTTCTTGTATAAGGGCCAGAAGAGTTCTCTGGATTACCAGGCAGAGACTCTTTTTTTCTCTTCTCTTACTTTCCCCCAAACAAACAGACTCTCTCTGTGTTTGTGTGTGCTGAGCTTCCTGGAGCTAGGGGAGAGGTGACACAAGCACCCCTGTGATCAGTACCACAGGGACTGTACTGGGTCAGACCAGAAGCCAGCACAGCACTGGGTCTTGCCAAAGGCTCACTGTAACCATTACCTGGCTATTACTTATTTTTGCTTAAGGCCCTAGGGCTCTGCAATCACCAGGGAGCAAAACCAGCCAGTCTTGCATTCTTTCCTTCAGGTTAGTGAATTTCCCCAGGCTTTTGGTTGGTCTAGAATTGATGCCTATGAACGAGGACCTGGAGCCAGAAACCTTAGAAATTTACCTTTTGCTCGATTCTACTCTGGCACCAAGACCTTAAGCAAAGTCATTCAAACTCTTCCTTTTTGTTTTCTCCAGACAGGGGAGTCTCTCCCCATGACCACCACAGGCTCACATGGAGTACTGCCAGGGTACCACCAGTGTTAATTTAAGGCCAAAAGTCTTTTTAGTCAGTTTTTGGTGAATTGTGACAGGCCTGGGACTTACCCTTCAGAGCTGTGGAATCCCCTCTGGCCTTTTGTCAAGCAAAAGGAGCCTCTTCTTGTAGCCACCACAGCTGGTAATATGCTGGGTTACACTTGAAGCCAGCATGTCTCAGAGTCTCATCCAAGGCCCATGGTGTGTACTAGTTCATTACCTCTGCCAATTATTTAGGGCCTAATGGCTCTTTAGTCTGCAGGTGATGAATCTTGCCAGGACTAGGTCCTTCCCTTTAAGGCAATGGGTTCCTTTCTGGCCCAGGTTGTGTCTAGAAATGTTGTCTGGAAGCTGGGGCTGAAATGGGGTCCTCATGACTTTGCCTGGTTCCCTATCCTATTGTGGTTGGGCTGCTATCCAAATTGCAAAATAAAATCCCCTTTACTCTTCCCATTTCTCTCCTCAAGTAGAAGGAAGAGGTCTCTTTTGGAGCTGTGAGCTGCACTGTCTAGGGTTGACGGAGGGGTGATACAAGCACTCTCTTAGCTACCCTGGCTGATGTCTATGTTGCATGCCCCAAAGTCCACTGGCTCTGAGCCCAGCACATCACTAGAACTTTCCTAGGAGTTTCAGTCCTTGTGGCCTAGACAGTCTTTCAAGTTTATATAGCACCCTAGAGCACTTTAGCCCACAGTGGTGAGGCTTGCTGAAACTCGAGTTCTGAATGACTGCTTGAATGGGTGATTCTCCTCTGGCTAGGGCTGGTCTAAATGCTCTACCATTGGACATTGGCTGAGTTCAAAGAAGCCCAGTGTTGGCAGCACTGAATTCCAATGAAAAGTCCTACAATTGCTGTGGTCTCCCTCCCGCAAGCATACTGATTCTCTCTCCACACCATGCAGCCTCTGCCAGGAACAACAAAGGGGGTGATGTTGGCAATTCAAGACTGTCTTTCCAACCCTCTTCAGAGCCTCTTTCAATGATATCAAGTTAAAAACAGATACTGTAATTTCTAACCTAATTTTTAGTTTTTATGAAGTGCTTTTTTCATGTAAATGTCAAATTTGGTATTCCTGCAGGGAGGAGGATCAGTAGAATCTTCTATTTAACCAGCTTTCTCCACCTCTGTCCCCCCAATTAAATTTTTTGTAGCTGTTGTAAATGAGATTGAAAATGAGACTTTTTAAAAAATAGTTTGCTGTTAGTGTGTAGAAACACTGCTGATTTTGCATATTAATTTTATATCCTGCAACTTTATTAAATTTGTGTATTAGTTAACTGGGTTTCTTTTTTTCTGGAAGACTCCTTTCTTTGTGTGTGTGTGTGAGACAGGGTCTCACACTGTTGCCCAGGCTGGAGTGCAGTGGCACGATCTTGGCTTACTGCAGCCTCTGCCTCCCAGTTTCAAGTGATTCTCCCACCTCAGTCTCTTGAGTAGCTGGGATTACAGGTGTGTGCCACCATACCTGGCTAATTTTTTGTAGTTTTTGGTAGAGATGGAGTTTCACCATGTTGTCCAAGCTGGTCTCAAACTCCTGACCTCAAGTGATCCACCTGCCTCAGCCTCCCAAAGTGTTGGGATTACAGGCATAAGCCACCATGCCTGGTCTTGGTGGACTCTTTAGGGTTTTCTGTATGCAAGATTATTCATGCCATCAGCAAACAGTGTCAGTTTTACTTCTTTCTTTTCCATTTGTATGCCTTTTGTTTATTTCTCCTGCTTAATGTCTCTGACTAGAACGTTCAGCACTCTGTTGAATACACGTGGTAGGAGTGAAAATCCTTGTCTTCTTCCTGATCTTTGAGAAAAAGCTTTCAATTTTTCACTGTGGAGTGGGATGTTAGCTATTTTCTTATTGTGTATTGCCTTTATTTTGTGAAGGTATATTCCTTTTATTTTTTTTTTGAGTTTTTAATCAATGGAAAAATGTTGAATTTTATCAAATGTCTTTTCTGCCTCTATTAAGATGATCATGTGGTTTTTGTTCTTCATTTTGTTAATGTGATGTATCACATTTACTGATTTCCATATGAACCATTCTTGGATTTCTCAGATAAATCCAACTTGCCCATGCTGGAAGATCTTTCTAATGCGTTGTTGAATTTTTTTGCTATTATTTGTTGAAGTTATTTGCATCTGTGTTTATCAGAGACATTGTTCTGTAATTTTTTTTCTCATAGTGTTGTCTGGCTTTGGTATCAGAGTAACGTTGGCCTCATTAAAATAAGTTTGGAACTATTTGCTTCAATTTTTTGAAAAAGTATGAGAAAAATTGGTATTAGTTCTTCAAAGTTTGGTAGAATTCAACAATGAAACCATCAGTTCCTGGGTTTTTGTTTCATGGGAAACTCTTTGTTACTAATTTACTCTTTTCATCCATTCAGATTTTCCATGTCTTTATGATTCAGTTGATAGGCTGTATGTGTTTGGGAATATATTTTTTCTAGGTTATCCCATATTTTGGCATATCATTATTCATAGTTGTCTTATAATATTTTCAATTTCTGTGGTATAAGTTGTAATGTCTTCTTTTTACTTTCTTATTTTACTTACTTCAGTCTTCTCTATTTTTCTCAATTAGTCTAGCTAAAGATTTGTCAGTTTGTATCTTGCTTTAAAAAACAACTCAGTTTTATTGATTATTTTGTATTATTTTCCTAACCTCTATTTCATTTATTTCTGCTCTGATCTTTATTTTTTCTTCCCTCTGATAACCTCAAGCTTAGTTTGCTCTTTTCTACTTCCTGGGGGTGTACATTTAGGTTGTGTATTTGGGATCTTTTTTATTCTTTAATCTCAGTGTTTATTACTATAAACTTTCTTCTTAGAACTGCTTTTGCTGCATCCCATAACAATTGGTATGTTGCGTTTCCATTTTTGTTTGGCTCAGGATTTTTACAAATTTCTCTTTTAATTTATTTGTATCCCATCAGGTGTTTAGGAATGCAATACTTAATTTTCAAGTTTGTAGATTTCCTTAATTTCCTCCTACTATTGATTCCTAATTTCACACTATTGTAATCATAAAAGATATTTGAGATGATTTTAATCTGCTTAAATTTGTGAACACTTATTTTGTGACCTAACATATTATCTATCCTGGAGAATGTTCCTTGTGCACTTAAGAAGATGTGTATTTTGCTGCTTTTGGTTGGAATATTCTGTATATGTCTGTTTGGTCCATTTGGTCTAAAGTGTAGTTTAAGTCCATTGTTTTCTTATTGATTTTCTGTTAAGATGATTTGTTATTGAAAGTGGGATATTGAAGTTTTCTATTATTATTGTATTGCAGTTATCTCTTTATGTCTGCTAATATTAGCTTTATATATTTAGGTGTTCCATTGTTGAATGCATATATATTTACAATTGTTTTAAATTAATGATGAATTTATTTTATTATTATATATAATGACCTTCTTTCTCTTGCTTCACCATTTTTTTACTTAATATCTATTTTATCTAAGTATAGCTACTCCTCATGTCTTTTGTTTCTCATTTGCATAGAATATCTTTGTCCATCCTTTCACTTTTAGTCTATGTATCCTTACAGGTGAAATGAGACTCTTGTAAGCAGCATAACTTGGATCAGTTTTTTGATACATTCAGTCACTCTATGACTTTTGATTAAATAATTTAATCAATTTACATTTAAGATACTATTAATAAGTAATGACTTGCTTCTGCTATTTTGTTCATTATTTCTTGTTGTTTTGTAGATCCTTTATTTCTTCCTTTATTGATGTATTCCTGTGTGATTAGATTATTTTCTAGAGTAGTATGTTTTGATTCCTTCTTTTTATCTTTTGTGGTTTTTGCTTTGTGGTTATTATGAGGCTTATTTAAAATATCTTACATTTATAATAGGCTATTTTAAACTGATAAAAATTTAACTGATTGCATAAAAAACTATACTTTTACTTTACTTACCCACGTATGTTTTGTCACAATTTACATTTTTTAATATTTTGTCATTAACAAATTATTGTAGCTTTATTATTTTAAACAGTTTTTGCCTTTTACCCTTCATACTAAAGATATAAGTGATTTAAACACCACTTTAAGTATTAGACTATTCTGAACTGACTGGATACTTACTTTTACCAGTGAGTTTTATACTTTCATATGTTTTCATGTTACTAATTTACATTCTTTTCTCTCACATTGAAAAACTCCTTTTAGCATTTCTTGTAAGACAGATCTGCTGTTGATGAACTCACTCAGCTTTTGCTTGTCTGGGAAAGTCTTTATCTCTCCTTCATTTCTGTAGAATAGCTTTGGTGGGTAGGGTATTCTTGATGGCAACTTTTTTTTTCCTTCAGCACTTTGAATCTATCACCTCACTCCCTCCTGCCCTGTAATATCTCTGATATAGTTTGAATGTGTGTTGCCACCCTAATCCCGTATTAAAATATACTCCCCAATATTGAGGATGGGACCTGGTGGAAGGTAATTGGATCACGGGTTTGGATTTCTCTTGAATGGTTTAGCACCATCTCCTTGATACTGTCCTCATGATAATGAGTTCTTGTGAGATCTGATCACTTAAAAGTGTGCAGCACTTCCCCTCTCACTCTCATGCTTCTGCTTTTGCCATGTGACATGCATGCTCTCCCTTTGCCTTCCACCATGATTAGAAGCTTCTCGAGGACTCCCCAGAACCAGATGTCACTAAGCTTCCTGTACAGCCTGTGAGGCCATGAGCTAATGAAACCTCTTTTCTTTATAAATTATCCAGTTTCAGATATTTCTTTATAGCAATATGAGAATGGACTAAAATTTATCTGCTCAGAAATTTGCTGCAAGCCTTATTAAAATTTTTTTATGTGACATGCTTCTTTCAGGATCACTTTTTGTCTTTGATTTCTTACAGTTTAATTATAATATATCTTAGAGTAGCCTTGTTTGGATTGATTCTCATTGGAGGCCTTTGATCCTCCTGTAACCTGAATACATATATCTCCCCTTACATCTGGAAGTTTTTCTGCTATTATTATTTTAAATAAACTTTCTGGCCTTTTGTCTCTCTTTTCTTGTTCTTAAACTGCTATAATTTGAATATTTGCTCTCTTAATGCTGTCCCATAAATCCTGTATTTTTTAAATTCCTTTTTTTTCCCCCTCTGACAGTATATTTTCAAACCATCTGTCTTTGAGTTTACAGATTCTTTCCTCTGGTGAATCAAGCCTGCTGTTGATGCTCTCTATTGGATTTTTTATTCCATTATTATATTATTTTAGATCCACAATTTTTTTAAGATATAATTTTAATCTCTGTTAATTTTTTGTTATGGTCTTTTTTTATTCTATTGAATAGTTTCCATGTATTTTCTTGAAGTCTTCTTAAGATGATTATTTTGATTTTTTTGTGAGACAGTTTATATGTCTCTATTTCTTTAAGATCCACTATTGGGAAATTATTGTTTTCTTTTGGTAATAATATGACTTTTTGATTTTTAGTTTTTCTTATTACCTTACATTGATGTATTTGCATTTGGTGAAACAGTTATTTCTTCCAGATTTTACAGGCTAGTTTTCATGTGGAAAGACCATTGTTTACAGGGGAATATGAGGGTATTTGATAGGTATGATGCAGCAGCCCTGGCACCACTGAGGGTGCATCTGTGTAGTCTCTGTGCAGCTTTGACAGCTGAGATTGATGTTGACAAAGATTGTAGGGATCCTCAGAAGCTAGGGATGTGGATTTCCACAGTGGCACTGAGGGCTGTTGGGGTCTTAGGGGGTGATGGATGCTAAGGACCTTCCAATCTCTTTTTCTCCTACTGGGGAAGCTGTGGCTGAGGGGATCCTTCCTGGCACTGGGTCTGGCTTGTGGACTCACTTTTGGTGGCTGTGGCATCAGTGTCTGATGATTGGTGCCCACGGGGTGCCACCAAACTGAGGCCTGAAGCATAGGCAATGTGGAGGGACTGGGGCAGTAATGGCACTTCTGTCCAGGGTACAGCCACCCCTGCTGCCATGTTGGTAACAGTGTGCAAGGCATAGATGCTTATGAAGCAGCTGGGATCCAAGAACAAGAAGCACAGGCATGAGAAGGGTTACAGTGATTCCAAGGTCAGGGCAGGACCTACCTCTCTATGGCAGCTGAACTAGTGAATAGAACATGGCCATCCTCACAGAGACTGTGGCTCTAGTTCCCATAGTGCAAACCAGCTCACTACAGGGATGGCTCCAGGGTCTAAGGTGTGGGGGACATACTGTAGACAAAGCGCTCAGGTCTGGAATGTGGGCAGTCACAGGCAGCTATGGCTCAGAGGTCAGGGCATGCGCAGGATTCGGAGAGGTGACAGCCCCTTTCCTGAAATGGCTCAGGAATAGCAGCTTCTTGGTGGAGGCTGGGGGGGTTCAACCATGCCTTCCATTCTGGGGTTCCCTGGCAGGAATGGTCATTTGTTACCTCAGTGGCAGAAGGTGCTGCTCTCCTTTGCAGAGAGGCCACTGAGGACCACAGTAGTTCCCACCACATGGCCGATACAAAGAGCTTTCATTTTTCTTCTTTGTTTCTAGCCATTTCCTGGCATATCAGGTGTGCCAATCTCACACGTGAGTATGGTGTTTGTCCTTAAAAGACTTCTTATGGTGATAAAACTGCAGACTTTGGCAAGGTCACAATCATTAGACACTACCAGGAAAATCCTTCAACGCATTTTTATGCTAAATAAGAATGAGAATAGGGAAGTGTAAAGTGGAAGACAAAAAGGAAAACTCCAAAGGGTGGCTGGCAAGATGGTGGAATAGGAACAGTTCTCGTCTGCAGTTCCCAGCAGGATCAATGCAGAAGGTGGGTGATTTCTGCATTTCCAACTGAGGTACCTGGCTCATCTCATTGGGACCAATTAGACAGTGGGTAGAGCCCATGGAGGGTGAGCCAAAGCAGGGTGGGGTGTCACCTCACCCAGGAAGTGCAAGGGGTCAGGAAACTCACTACCCTAGCCAAGCAAAGCTGTGAGGGACTGTGCCATGAGGAACTGTGCGTTCTGGCCCAGATACTATGCTTTTCCCACAGTCTTAGTAACCCACAGACCAGGAGATTCCCTCAGGTGCCTACGCAACCAGGGCCCTGGGCTTCAAGCACAAAACTGGGCAGCCATTTGGGCAGACACCGAGCTAGCTGCGGGAGTTTTATTTCATACCCCAGTGGCATCTGGAGTATCATCAGTGAGAAAGAATCATTTACACCACTGGAAAGGGGGCTGAAACCAGGGAGCCAAGTGGTCGAGCTCAGTGGAGATCCCACCCCACAAAGCCCAGCAGGCTAAGATCCACTGGTTTTAAATTCTCACTGCCGGCACAGCACTCTGAAGTCAACCTGGGACACTCGAGCTTGGTGGGGGGAGGGGCATCCACCATTACTGAGGTTGGGTAGACAGTTTTCCCTTCACAGTGTAAACAAAGCCATTGGAAAGTTCGAACTGGGCAGAGCACACTGCAGAAAAGCCGCTGTAGCCAGACTGCCCCTCTAGGTTCCTCCTCTCTGGGCAGGGCATCTCTGAAAGAAAGGCAGCAGCCCCAGTCAGGGGCTGACAGATAAAACTCCCATCTCCCTGGGACACAGCACCTGGGAAAAGAGGCGGCCGTGGGCACAGCTTCAGCCAACTTAAACATTCCTGCCTGCCGGCACTGTAGAGAGCAGTGGATCTCCCAGCACAGTGCTGGAGCACTGCTAAGGAACAGACTGCCTCCCCAAGTGTGTCCCTGACCCCCGGGCTTCCTGACTGGGAGAAACCTGACATCAGAGGTAGACAGATACTTCATACAGAAAGCTCCAGCTGGCATCTGGCAAGTGCCCCTCTGGGATGAAGCTTCCAGAGGAAGAAATAGGCAGAAATCTTTGCTGCTTTGCAGCCTCTGCTGGTGATACCCAGGAAAACAGGGTCTGCAGTGGACCTCCAGCAAACTCCAGCAGACCTGCAGCAGAGGGACCTGACTGCTAGAAGGAATACTAACAAACAGAAAGGAATAGCAAGAATATCAACAAAAAGGATGTCCACACAGAAACCCCATCTTAAGGTCACCAACATCAAAGAACAAACGTAGATAAAGCTACGAAGATTAGGTAAAACAAGTACAAAAAGGCTGAAAATTCCAAAAACCAGAATGCCTCTTCTTCTCCAAAGGATCACAACACCTTGCCAGCAAGGGAAAAAATTGGAGAGAAAATGAATTTGATAAACTGACAGAAGTAGGCTTCAGGAGGTGGGTGATAACGAACTCTTCTGAGCTAAAGGAGCATGTTCTAACCCAATATAAGGAAGCTAAGAACCTTGAAAAAAAGGCTAGAGGAATTCCTAATTAAAATAACCAGTTTAGAGAAGAACATAAATTACCTGATGGAGCTGAAAAAGACAGCATGAGAACTTTGTGAAGCATATACAAGTATCAATAGCCAAATCAATCAAGTAGAAGAAAGGATATCAGAGATTGAAGAGCAACTTAATAAAATAAAGCACAAAGAAAAGATTAGAGAAAAAAAAGAATGTAAGGGAATGAACAAAGACTCCAAGAAACATGAGACTCTATGAAAATACCGAACCTACATTTGATTGGTGTACCTGAAAGTGACAGGGAAAATGGAACCAAGTTGGTAAACACTCTTCAGGATATTATCCAGGAGAACTTCCCCAACCTAGCAAGACAGGCCAACATTCATTTCAAGAAATAGAGAGAACACCACAAAGATACTCCTTGAGAAGAGCAACCCAAAGACACATAATCATTGGATTCACTAATGTTGAAATATAGGAAAAAATATTAATGGCAGCCAGAAAGAAACGTAGGGTTACCCACAAAGGGGAGCCCATCAGACTAACAGCAGATCTCTTTGAAGAAGCCCTACAAGCCAGAAGAGAGTGGGGGATGATATTCAATACTCTTATAAAAAATAATTTTCAACCCAGTATTTCATAACCAGCAAACTCAGTTTCATAAGTGAAGAAGTGAAATTTTTTACAGACAGGCAAATGCTGAGAGATTTTGTCACCACCAAGCCTGCCTTACAATAGCTCCTGAAGGAAGCAGTAAACATGGAAAGAAAAAACTGGTACCAGCCACTGCAAGAACAAGCCAAACTGTAAATACCATTGACATTATGAAGAAACTGCATCAACTAGCGGGCAAAATAACCAGCTAGCATCATAATGGCAAGATCAAATTCACACAAAACAATATTAACCTTAAATGTAAATGGGCTAAATGCCCCAATTAAAAGATACAGACTGGCAAATTGGATAAAGAGTTAAGACCCATCTGTGTGCTGTATTCAGGAAACTCATCTCATGTGCAAAGACACACATAGGCTCAAAATAAAGGGTTGGAGGAATATTTACCAAGCAAATGGAAAGCAAAAAACAAAACAAACAAACAAACAAAAAAAACAAAAGCAGTTGCAATCCTAGTCTGATAAAACAGACTTTAAACCAACAAAGATAAAAAAAAAAAAGAAGGGCATTGTATAATGGTAAAGGAATCAACACAACAAGAAGAGCTAACTATCCTAAATATATAGGCACCCAATATATGAGCACCCAGATTCATAAAGCAAGTTCTTAGAGACCTGCAAAGAGAATTAGACTCCCACACAATAATAATGGGAGACTCCACAATGAGATACCATCTCACACCAGTTAGAATGGCGATCATTAAAAAGTCAGGAAACAACAGATGCTGGAGAGGATGTGGAGAAATAGGAACACTTTTACACTGTTGGTGAGACTGTAATCTAGTTGAACCATTGTGGAAGTTGGTGTGGCAATTCCTCAGGGATCTAGAACTAGAAATACCATTTGACCCAGCCATCCCATTCCTGGGTATATACCCAAAGGATTATAAATCATGCTGCTATAAAGACACATGCACATGTATGTTTATTGTGGCACTATTCACAATAGCAAAGACTTGGAACCAAGCCAAATGTTCAACAATGATAGACTGGATTAAGAAAATGTGGCACATATACACCATGGAATACTATGCAGCCATAAAAAATGATGGATTCATGTCCTTTGTAGGGACATGGATGAAGCTGGAAACCATCATTCTCATCAAACTATCGCAAGGACAAAAAAACAAACACTACATGTTCTCACTCATAGGTGGGAATTAAAAAATGAGAACACATGGACACAGGAAGGGGAACATTACACACTGGGGTCTGTTGTGGGGTGGGGGGAGGGGGAGGGATAGCATTAGGGGATATACGTAATGTTAAATGATGAGTTAATGGGTGCAGCACACCAACATGGCACATGTGGCACATGTATACATATGTAACTAATCTTTACATTGTGCACATGTACCCTAAAACTTAAAGTATAATAAAAAACAAAAAACAAAAAAAAAAAGAGATTTGCATTAAATAAATATAGCGTATTAAAGATTTTAAAAAAAATAATAGTCGGAGACTTTAACACCCCACTGTCAATATTAGACAGATCAACAGGACGGAAAATTAACATGGATATTCAGGACTTGAACTCAGCTCTGGATCAAGCAGACCTAATAGATACCTACAGAACTCTCCACCCCAAATCAACAGAATATACATTCTTCTCAGCACCACATCACACTTATTCTAAAATTGACCACATAATTGGAAGTAAAACACTCCTCAGCAAAGGCAAAAGAACAGAAATCATAACAAACAGTTTCTCAGACCACAGTGCAATCAAATTAGAACTCAGGATTAAGAAACTCACTCAAAAACCACACAACTACATAAAAACGGAACAACCTGCACCTGAATGACTGCTGGGTAAATAACAAAATTAAGGCTGAAATAAAAAATTTCTTTGAAACCAATGAGAACAAAAACACAACATACCAGAATCTCTGGGACCCAGCTAAAGCAGTGTTTAGGAGGAAATTTATAGCACCAAATGCTCACTTTAGAAAGTGGGAAAGATCTAAAATTGGCACCCTAACATCACAATTAAAAGAACTAGAGAGGCAAGAGCAAATAAATTCAAAAGCTAGCAGAAGACAAGAAATAACTAAGATTAGAGCAGAACCAAAGGAGATAGCAACATGAAGAACCCTTCAAATATCAATGAATCCAGGAGTTGGTTTTTTTTTTTTTTTTTGAAAAGGTTAACAAAATAGACCACTATTGAGACTAATAAAGAAGAAAAAAGAGAAGAATCAAAGAGACACAATAAAAAAGTCATAAAGGGGATATCACCACTGGTCCCACAAAAATGCAAACTACCATCAGACAATATTATAAACACCTCTGTGCAAATAAACTAGAAAATATAGAAAAAATGGATAAATTACTGGACATGTACACATTTCTAAGACTAAACCAGGAAGAAATTGAATCCCTGAATATACCAATAACAAGTTCTGAAATTGAAGCAGTAATTAATAGCCTACCAACTGAAAAAAGTCCAGGACCAGACAAATTTACAGCTGAATTCTACCAGAGGTACAAAGAGGAGCTGGTACCATTTTTTCTGAAACTATTCCAATCAATAGAAAAATAGGGAGTCCTCCCTAACTCCTTTTATGAGGCCAGCATCATCCTGATACCCAAATCTGGCAGAGACACAAAAGAAGAAAATTTTAAACCAAAATCCCTGATGAACATCAATGCGAAAATCCTCAATAAAATACTGGCAAACCAAATCCAGCAGCACATCAAAAAGCTTATCCACCACGATCAAGTCGGCTTCATCCCTGAGATGCAAGGCTCGTTCAACATACACAAATCAGTAAACATAATCCATCACATAGACAGAACCGATGACATAAACCACATGATTATCTCAATAGATGCATAAAAGGCCTTCGATAAAATTCAACACCTCTTCATGTTAAAAATTCTCAATAAACTAGGTATTGATGGAACGTATCTCAAAATAATAAGAGATATTTATGACAAACCCACAGCCAATATCATACTGAATGGGCAAAAGCTGGAAGCATTCCCTTTGAAAACTGGCACAAGGCAAGAATGCCCTCTCTCATCACTCCTATTCAACATATTATTGGAATTTCTGGCCAGGTCAATCAGGTAAGAGACAGAAATAAAATGTATTCAAATAGGAAATGAGGAAGTCAAATTATCTCTGTTTGCAGATGACATGATTGTATATTGAGAAAACCCCATTGTCTCAGCCCCAAATCTCCTTAGCTGATAGGCGTCTTAAGCAAAGTCTCGGGATACAAAATCAATGTGTAAAAATCACAAGCATTCCTATACACCAATAATAGACAAACAGGAAGCCAAATAATGAGTGAACTCACATTCACCATTGCTACAAGGAGAATAAAATACCTAGGAATCTAACTTACAAGGGATGTGAAGAACCTCTTCAAAGAGAGCTACAAACCACTGCTCAAGGAAATAAGAGAGGGCACAAACAAGTGGAAAGATATTTCATGTTCAAGGGTAGGAAGAATCAATATCGTGAAAATGGCCATACTGCCCAAGGTAATTTATAGATTCCATGTCATCTCCATCAAGCTACCATTGACTTTTTTCACAGAATTAGAAAAAACTAATTTAAATTTCAGATGGAACCAAAAAAGAGCCCGTATAGCCAAGACAATCCTAAGCCAAAAGAACAAAGCTGGAGGCATCATGCTACCTGACTTCAAACTATACTACAAGGCTGCAGTAACCAAAACAGCATGGTATTGGTACCAAAACAGATATATAGAACAATGGAACAGAACAGAGGCCTGAGAAATAATGCCACACATCTACAACCAACTGATCTTTGACAAACCTGATGAAAACAAGCAATGGGGAAAGGATTCCCTGTTTAATAGTGGTGTTGGGAAAACTGGCTAGTCATATGCAGAAAACTGAAACTGGACCTCTTCGTTACACCTTATACAAAAATTAACTCAAGATGATTAAAGACTTAAACATAAGACCTAAAACCATAAAAACCCTAGAAGAAAACCTAGGCAACACCATTCAGGACATAGGCATGGGCAAGGGCTTCATGACTAAAACACCAAAAGCAATGGCAACAAAAACCAAAATTGACAAATGAGATCTAGTTGAACGAAAGAGCTTCTGCAAAGCAAAAGTAACTATCATCAGAGTGAACAGGTAACCTACAGAATGGGAGAAAACTTTTTCAATCTATCCATCTGATAAGGGGCCAAAATCCAGAATCTACAAAGAACTTAAACAAATTTATAAGAAAGAAACAGCCCATCAAAAAGTGGGCATAGGATATGAACAGATACTTCTCAAAAGAAGACACTTATGTGGCCCACAAATATATGAAAAAAAGCTCATCATCACTGGTTATTAAAGGAAAGCAAATCAAAACCCCAATGAGATACCCTCTCATGCCAGTTAGAATGGTGATCATTAAAAAGTCAGGAAACAACAGATGCTGGAGAGGATGTGGGAAAATAGGCATGCTTTTACACTGTTGTTGGGAGTGTAAATTAATTTGACCATGTGGAAGACTGTGTGGCGATTCCTCAAGGATCTAGGACCAGAAATACCATTTGACCCAGCAATCCCATTACTGGTTATATACCCAAAGGATTATAAATCATTCTACTATAAAGACACATGCATGTGTATGTTTATTGCAGTACTATTCACAATAACAAAGACTTGGAACCAACCCAGATGGCCATCAATGACAGACTAAATAACGATAATGTTGCATATATACGCCATGGAATAGTATGCAGTCATAAAAAAGGATGAGTTCATGTCCTTTGCAGGGATATGGATGAAGCTGGAAATCTTCGTTCTCAGGAAACTAACATAGGAACAGGAAACCAAACACCACACGTTCTCATACTTAAGTGGGAGTTGAACAATGAGAACACATGGACACAGGGAGGGGAACATCACACACCGGGTCCTTTCAGCAGGTGGGGGGCTAGGGAAAGAATACCGTTAGGAGAAATACCTAATGTAGATGACAGGTTAATGAGTGCAGCAAAACACCATGGCACACTTATACCTATGTAACAAACCTGCACATTCTGCACATGTATTCTAGACTTACAGTATAATAATAATAATAATAATAATAATAATAATAAAGAAAATTTCATTCTATTTGAAGAGTATTTTGTGGTATTTTTCTATTTCTGTAGGTTTGTTTTTTACTACAGAAACCAAAATATTAAAACTATTTTTTAAAATAAAGCATTCTACTGTGAGTCCTTTAAAGACAAATATCATGCTCCCTCTCTGCCTTTTTTTCCTCTCTCACTTTAGGAAAAGAGTGATAGAAATTAATTAGAAAAATTAGCCAGACCTAACTAATTACTGCTTTCCAAAAAAAGGAATTCTCTGAATGTGAACAATTTTTATCAGCAGCCTTAGCGAGAGGCACTTTTCAAATTACTGGGGCTGATGTCTTCCCTTTGGGGAAGGACTGCTGTCTTGGCCCAGAACTATAGCTAATCCTCACTGAGTGTTTGACAGGAGCAGAACCTAATTCTGGGCCCTGCCTCCTTCTTATCTTCATCTACTTTCTCCTATGTAATACAGTTAAGTACTCCAATCCTCACTAATTTAATATTTACATAATTAGCTGAGGGCTTAGAGGGAATTATTGTATTTTTATAAGCCTCCTCCCTTAATCCTTTTTAACCATTTCTTAACCCTTATGCACCAAACATACACACACATAAATTCACGTTCACTTGTTTGGAGAGCAAGTACCCTCTGGTCTACACAAAATGATGTGCCAAACTTAATTTTAGAAATTAAAGCCTTTGTTTAACTGACTAAGCCTTAGTTTAACTGACTGAGGATTTGCCTCAAGGTAAAGTTGTAGAGCATTGGCCTTTTAAAGGCTTAAGAACAAAAATTTGACAAATTTGGAACCCAAATTGGCACAGTCTATAGCTATTTTTTTCATTTTTTGGAACCTCTCTACTCTTTTCTTTATACAGAAGAAGGCTTAACATATTTCTGCTGTCAGGCAATTTGAGAGATTCCCCTGCTACTATTTACAATATGGAAACAAGAATTTATCATAAAGGTTTTTCTCTTTGTTTCAAAGTAAAAAAGAAATATCAATAATTCTGCAAAAGTCTTCACCTCTGGAACACTTTCTAGAGGGAAGAAAAAGACCACCTAACCCACCCTTCTGCATTTACTCCACCTAAAACTCAACACTTTCTGTATTGAACAGAAAGATGGAGACTGATATTGGTGAGAACAAGATTGAAGAGAAAACTGTTCATGCCAGGAGCAAAAGCAACCTTTTGCAGAGTTCAGAGAACTCAGTTTTAGAATGCCTATAAGATTGCTATTATGGCTGAGCATGAGTTTTGTTTTGTTTTGTTTTGTTTTGTTAAAGAGGGAGATTTAAAGTTCTGATTACAGTTCTTTTGGGCTAATGTTATTGGAAACTTTCATCTAATTAAAGAAAGAAATTGTAGACAATGCAAGGAGGATAGCCATGTCTGTGATGAGAAAATTTCTGGACCAGGGCTTGTTGCAATGACCTGTATTCTCTGCTCTGCTGAGACATACACAGAGAAACAGCTCTAAGCAAGGAGTTCCTAAAGTACTTAGAGTAGACCAGGAATTGTAAAACAGAGTGGCACAGCCATTCATGGCAAAAGGCAATTTCTCCATCTGAGAAAGGGACATGTTATTCTTAGAGATTATGTCAGGAATAAGGATCCCTTTTTTCCATAGACATTTATTGAAAAACAGCTGTGTTCACAGACTGGCATAGGGTACAGGTGCTACTGATCCTGTGATTAGTGCTTAGAAAAATCAAGTTTTTAAAGTGCCCTGGCATAAAGTGACACTAAAGCATCTTGATTAGAATACAAAATTAGAAACAAGGAAAACAATTCACTTACCCAAAAGCGATGAAAACACAATCATTTACTAAATCAAAAGAGATTATTATGGGAAAAATTAGTGGTTAGATCAATCATGCAAATACTTTTTTAGGTGCTGTCCCATTAAAATATTATTTTACTTTAATTCTTCTAGATCCAAACATATTTATGAAATAGCTGACTTATTTTGCGATTTTTAAAACACGTTAGGCAACTTGTCTGATTTTGAAAAGGACGAGCACTGAAATATAGGGGAAAAAACCCAATGGTTTTATTATGGTTCTAACATCTATTATCTAATGTTGCTGAAAAAAAGTCTCTTAAATGATCTGTATCTGAATTTCCTCATTTCTTTTCTTTTTAAATTTTTTTAAAATATTTTATTTTATTTTATTTTATTTTGAGATGGAGTCTCACTTTATCACCCAGGCTGGAGTGCAGTGGCCGGATCTTGGCTTACTGCAATCTCTGCCTCCCAGGTTCAAGCAATTCTCCTGAGTAGCTGGGATTACAAGCCCACGCCACCATACCCCGCTAATTTTTTTTATTTTTAGTAGAGATGGGGTTTCACCATGTTGGCCAAGCTGGTCTCAAACTCCTGACCTCAGGTGATCCACACACCTCAGCCTCCCAAAGTGCTGGGATTACAGTTATGAGTCACAGCACCCAGCCGAATTTCCTCCTTTCTAAGCTGAATAATATATTTATGAGATAATATATCCATATCCTTATTCTAAAATTTAAAAGATAGGCACTATATATAATATTAATATGTACATAGTATATTAATAAAAGATATAAGAAAAACATGAGATCAGACTATGTGATACAAGACAATGACAAATAATCTGTTTTCTCAGTTTAAAAATTAATTAGTGTTTATTAGAACTAACGCATCCAAATGTGTGCTGTCTTCACAGTAGAGACCATGAGAGGTACAATTATTTAATAGAATGCTACTGCTCAAAACATATCTGGATTTTTTTTGAAACTATTATCAGAAATTAACTTATAAGACACAAGACAAAAATCTATCCTATTAGCTTGTCAATTAAACCTTGTTAGGCACCAAAACCAGGATTTCTAGTTTGAACACTCAACACATTCATCAGAATTAGGTCCATGTGGCTCACAGCACTTAAAAAGTTAATCACATTCAAGGATTTTCAAACTGTTACAAACTCTAAAAGCAAAATGCAAAATAACAGTTCCTGAAATTCATTTTTTTGTAAGGCAGTGTCATTGAAATCATTGTATAACTTCCCAAAATTATTTAGAAAGGAATGGCACTATTTACCTAAGTTTTGATCACGTTTTTCAAAAATAATTTCCCATGCTTAATAGTTCCGCTTCAAACATTGCAAGGTCCCTCATAGACTCTAGTTCCCATAAAGGAAGTAAAAGATTGACTGAATGTGAAGTCCATAATACCTGAGGCCATTTAATTATGAAGTTGTGATGCTTAAAAAATTCATCTTAGACTATAATACATTTTGAATTATTAATCCTATTAATTAAATTCTATTTATCAATTAAATCTTTAGTTTTAAATATCAGACTCTGTCAGCTGAAACATAATGAAATTATACCAAATATCAAGTCAACTGCAAGAACCCAAAACTCTCCTGGATCATTAAAGCAACAGTTGTCACAGATAATTTTGTTTTGTTTGAATTATTCAATACTTATGATGAAATAAAGGCAGCCCAAATTCTTTGCTCCTTTTTTCAGTATCCCCTTCATTTGATAGGTCAAAGCTGGCCCTATGACTGCTTTGACCAATAGAATGCAGCAGAAGTAATGCTATTAATATACAAGTGCAGAGGCTGAGCCTTAAGAAATCTTCAGCTTCTGCCTTCATGCTTAAGGCATTTCCTCTGCCATCATACTGTTAGAAGCTCCGTGAAGCAGCCATATCGAAAAGAATGAAGGTACTTTGTTGGTGCCAGCTGTACTCCTAGTCAAAGCCAGAACACATTGGTAGTCTGTAAGGGAGCCCTCTTGGATGGTCCAGCTTCAAGAGCCTCCAGTTGACTGCAGGCCCAACTAATACCACAGAGAATGTAATCTGACTCCATTACATACTAGCCATGTTTCTGGAGCCGATTATTTAATCCTCTGTGTTTCAGTTTCCTCATTTCTAAATTGTAGCAATAATAATACCTTCCTTACTGATTTGTTGGTGATAAAAGGAAATAAAACATCTGAGACATCTATGTGACAGAGTAGGTTTCATCAAATGAATAAATAAATTTGTAATTTTTAAATGGTTTTTACTTTAATAAACCTGTCAACAATCTAGTGTAAGCTGGGGAGCACCCTCATACCCAAGAGCTTACTCGAGGATCTCTCTCCACTACTCATTCTTTATTTTTATTTCTAGGAAATGTAACACACAGTGCTTAAAGGGACTGACTCATACCTGTTACTTGATGGGGACACTGGCAACAATTCAATGGAAGTTTCTTAACTGACTTTTCTTCAAGGGAGCATGTTCTGATTATCACCATCAACATCATCATTGCTGTCACCTGCTCATTTGGCATGACTTCTGTAAGTTTTCTATGAAAACTATCCATTCAAACTATATTTACCACATACAACTACAGCTTCTTTCCTCCATTGGACAAATGCCCTAGAACCTGAGGTCAAGTCATGTCCTGGGATACTACCCTACAATAAACATCACATACAATACATATGCAATAGCTTGGATGTATCTCAAAGGCATTATGCTGAATGAAAAAAAGCTAATCTCAAAAAGTCACTACTATATGGTTCCACTTTAATTACATTCTTGAAGTGATAAAATTATAGAGATGAAGAACAGATCAGTCATTGACAAGAGTTAGGTATGGTGGGAAAAGCGGGGTACATGTGACCATAAAGGGATAGCGCAAGGAGATCTTCATGGTGTTGGAGTAGTTCTGTATCTTGTCTGGAACATTGGTTATGCAAATCCACATATGTGATAATATGGCATAGAACTATACATGCATATTGTATCAGTGTCAGTTCCCTGGTTGTGATATTTTTCTATGGTTATGTAACATGTAATCACTGAGGGAAACTGGTTAAAGCATAACCAGGACCCCCTCCATACTATTTTTGCAATTCTCTATAGTCTATAATTATTTTAAAATTAAAAAAGAAAAATACTAAATGCTTGGTAATAATGGGGAGCAATTGAAAGGTTCAAACATTTTGGAAACTGTCAGTAACTAGTAAATTTAACCTGTATCTGTTATCCACCCAAGAGATATAAATCCTATGTTCACTGAAAGATACAAGAATGTTTTGAGCAGGTTCACTAACAAAAGTAAAAAATGGAGACAATCCAAATGTTTACAATCTGAAGAATAAATAAAATGTGGTAGATTCATACAGTAGAATGTGGCAAGACACATAAAAATGTCAAACTACCAATATATGCAACAACTTGATTGAATCTCACAGATACCTTGTTGAGAGAAAGAAGCCAGATATAAATGAATTGATTCTGTGTGTAGAGAAGTCAGAAGGATGTTTAGCTCTGGGACCATGGTACTAACTGGCAGGGGGCATGAGGAGACCTTCCAGAAATCTTCTGTATTTAATCAGTGTAATGGTTACACAGGTGTCACTGTACATAAAAATTTATTAAGCTGTACACTTCAGATTTATATATATATATATATATCACTTTATACATTTTATGCTTCAGTTAAAAAATAGGAAAAATGCGGAATGCTGAACTTAGTGGTGAATGGTGTAAGTCATGATATATTAAACAAGGCAAGACTCCTAAAGCAGCTAAGCATCAGGATCTCCTTCTTTTGCCTTTTTTGTTTTGTGTGGCACTGACAATAGGAAGTAGACAACACTGAGGAGAGATAAAGAAGGTATTCTAATATTGGAGCTAATAAGATCTTGAGAGATTTGTGAACCAAGCTTAAACCAGATCCCTGATTAGATTCTGCAGAATGGTAGACATACTGTGTGATTCACAAAAGTACCTAATATGATACACATGGAGTGTGTCCCTTTAACATACCATTCAGGAGATAGGCATGAGCAAAGACTTCATGACTGAAACACCAAAAGCAATGGCAACAAAAGCCAAAATTGACTAATAGGATCCAATTAAACTAAAGAGCTCCTGTACAGCAAAAGAAACTATCATCAGACTGAACAGACAACCTACACAATGGGAGAAATTTTTTGCAATCTATCCATCTGACAAAGGGCTAATATCCAGAATCTACAAGGAACTTAAACAAATTTACAAGAAAAAAACAAACAACCCCATCAAAAAGTGGGTGAAGGATATGAACAGACACTTCTCAAAGGAAAACATTTATGCAGCCAACAAACATATGAAGAAAAACTCATCATCACATCATTAGAGAAATGCAAATAAAAACCACAATGAGATACCATCTCGTGCCAGTTAGAATGGCTATCATTAAAAAGGCAGGAAACAAAAGATGCTGGAGAGGATGTGGAAAAATAGGCACGCTTTTACACTGTTGGTGGGAGTATAAATTAGTTCAACCATTGTGGAAGAAAGTGTGGTGATTCCTCAAGGATCTGGAACCAGAAATATCATTTGACCCAGCAATCCCATTACTGGGTATATACCCAAAGGATTATAAGTCATTCTACTATAAAGACACATGAACATGTATGTTTACTGAAGCAGTATTCACAATAGCAAAGACTTGGAACCAACCCAAATGCCCATCAGTGATAGACTGGATAAAGAAAATGTGGCACATATACACCATGGAATACTATACAGTAATAAAAAAGGATGAGTTCATGTCCTTTGCAGGGACATGGAAGAAGCTGGAAACCATCATCTCAGCAAACTAACACAGGAACAGAAAACAAAATACTCCATGTTCTCACTCTTAAGTGGGAGTTGAGCAATGAGAACACATGGACACAGGGAGGGGAACATCACTCACTGGGGCTGGTCAGGGTGTGGGGGGCTAGGGGAGGGATAGCATTAGGAGAAATACCTAATGTAGATGACGGGTTGATGGGTAAAGCAAACCACCATGGCATATGTATACCTATGTAACAAAGCTGCACGTTCTGCACATGTATCCCAGAACTTAAAAAGTATATATAAAAAAGAAACCCCCAGAATTCCAACAAGCCACTGGCAGTAGGTGAATGACCTGGTACCAGCAGCATAGTATAGATCTAGCAGATTTAAAAAAAACTTCAGGGAAAAAAATCAAATCAAAGTAGCATTATTTCAAAGTTGAGCTAATTCCACAAAAATAATCTATATTTAATTTAAAACATTACAATGAGGTATCTTCAAAAGGCAAAATCTTTTCTTGTCAAGAGGCCTGAGCATTAACAATTAAACAGGCTGAGTTTGAACTTCATAGCTTTACTTTATATTTTAATTATGTTGCTATTTTTATTTGTGGTTCTTAATATGCTTCTGTCACCATCACAAAACACTGGGGAATCCTCTGGCATCTACCATAATACCAATTAATTCACTTAGTAACCCAGAACTGCAGGCCTAATGTCACAAAATGGGGATTACCAGCCTTTTGGAGGGGAATTGTTATTATTGGTTTTATTAAAACTATTTTGTTACCTTGCTGAAAAAAGCAACAGGATTATGACATCATGGAGGAAACAGTTAATAAGCCTGCATGGAAGTTATCTGCTCTTCGCTTATGTAACCACAGAAGTTTAGGATAAAATTCCAGTTGTGTTTAACGTAAACCAGACAGCATTTTTGTGACTCCAGTCTTCTCAAATTTTTCTAGGAGTCCCCTAGAGGGTGTCTTTTCTGGGTACATGAAGCAGGTATTTGAATCTCCTTGCGATGATTACCATTTCCACCTTTCCCTCTGGATTACTGAAGGCCTCTCGCAGAAGGGAATGAAGCCTGGCCAACCAATGCCTGTACAGTGGTGCCAGTTTTACACCCTTCCTACTTCTTTGCTATTCCACTTCTGTAGTCTAGCCATATGTTACCTTGTGTGCCTTAATATGGCCCAATTGTGCCCTTTTTTTTAATCTGTATGCCTCAATATAGAGAATCCAAAGAAATGAGACCTATGCCTTAAAAATATCAGATAATTTAATTAACAAAATAGTTTTTTTTTTGTATTACTATTTGGTTTTTACTATCACTTTTGTAAAAGCTCCTCTTCCAAGGGCTCATGTTGAAATAGGTGACAGTATGGTCTCCACATAATCCAAAAAATCACTTCCCCTTATGTCTTAGTCTACTGTCCTTGAGCCAAATTTGCACACATTTACTTTTCTTCCCTTAGTGTAAGTTCTTCATAGAAATCTCCTGAGTGCCGTGGGCAAATAAGGCCCAAGTGAACCAATCCCTGTGATGACCACAACGTTAAAACAACACCCTCAACACACCTCCTTGCTCAGCTGGCTCATAGACACTTTCCAAATCTCACCAAAGTGAAGGGAAACTGCCAGCTCCTGATCAACAAGCTTGGCACACAATTCATGTAGAAACAGTGAAGGAAATCTGCTTTGCGCTGTTTGGCTCTTATTTCAACATTCTATCTCAGAGTACAACATTTTTAAAGTGGGCAAAATTGGTCCCAATTAGGTACAACTTCACAAATATATCCTCTCAACACCTCCATCCTTGTGGCTTTTTAATATCATCTCCTATGGAAATAGTCATCTGCTCATCATTTTTATTCTTTACTACTTAATCCCTACATTTCCCCCAACTCTCACCTACAGGGACCAGTTAATTGTCTTTGTGACTGGGCCCTGCTAGCCAAGAGCTCACTAAAATAGTTTAGAAAAGTCTTAGGTTAATTGGACAATGCATCCTGAGAGAGAGAAAGGGAGTTTAATCAGTAATTTGAGTCACATTTTATTATAAAGAGTTATGAGACCTTCATTTCCCTATCACACCATGTGTGCCCAGACTTCAAAACAAAAGGCACTGATTTGTTCTTCCCTGCAACTTTCTATACCCAAGGAGAGACTGAAAATGTAGCTCCTACATGCCTAAATATTGTTTTTCCTCACTCAGTTGTGTAGATGTGACCAGAAACTAGTAAATACTATTTCCATTTTGTAACTCATTCCAGAGGTGATTTCACTTTCAATAAGAGTTTGTTTAGTTCTGTTTCTTGGGAGGAAGCATTTGGCATGGAGCATCATTTTGTGATTATATGGATCCTCTATCTAGTGCAAAGAAAAATCCCTGCAGGCTGCCATGTCAGCAAGCAACAAGGATGTCACAGATGTTAGTGGGTTTGTGATGTGGTATCTGTTAACATTTCAAATGTGTGCTGTTTCCTCCAGGAACTGCACCAGGGCTTTCAAAAAGTGAAATCTACTAATTCTTTTTCTCCAAGATAAATGTTTGATTTATCCACACTTTTCAGAATACTTATGTTATTTAGTGTTCAGACAAACTCTTGGAAACCTCTTCATAGATTTAAGCATCCTTAGAAGTGTGAAAAACTTTAAAGGTCATCCAAATCATTTTATAGACCCAAGGAGTTTAAGCGACTGGCTTGAGGCCTCCAGGCTACTTGTGGCAAAGTTGGGACAAGTCTAGTGTACCTAATAACCAGTCCTAAATATAGTTGGTTTTTGTCCTATCCAACAAGAAGCATTACAGGATTAAAACTCTCTCCTCTGAGATTCCACTTTAATGCATTGAAGGCAGTGGCTGATTTTGTGAGAACAACCTGTAGGAAGTGCCTACAGTTTAATGTGAGGAGCCTGAGATATCAACTTGTTTTGGTTAACTGTGATTCTATCCAAGTGATTTCAGCTCAGTTTTGTCCTTCATGAGAATGAGAATCAAGTTGGTATAGTGGCTTATCTACAGGGCTGTGTGAGGTCATCATTTTGAAAATAGATTACAAAGATAAAACAGTACACGTAGCATTTTATTATTATGGTGCATTCTTATTTCCTTACTTTCTGACAAAAATTAAAAGATTCCATTTAAAGGTATGCAACATTGATTTATTAAAATATAAAACCAATACTGCTTTTAGATCACTTACCCATGTAAACATTGGGTTCTTAAGAAATCCCTAAGCTCATGAAGCCAAGAGAGGAGGACTGTGTGTATTGGTTTAATTATAGTACCTGCATTTTTTGCAAGGGTTAGACCTTGTCATGTGCTTCGTGAGATATTGTGTCTCTAGTTTCACTATTCTTCATACATCTCATTCTGGTGCTATCTCCGAGGCTTGGTCTCACCATTTGCCAGAGATGCAAAATCTCATAGTCAGAAGCATGTGTCAGTTTTAGGTGTGGACCACATTTGTTAAAACCTGACAATGGAACCTTCCAATTAAATAAAAGTAGGAAAAAGACACACTATACATTTCAGTAAAGATGTGAGATCTGTGATATCTAAATCAAGTTTTCCAAGAAATATTTGCAGCAAGTCCAAGCAGAACAACAAATGAATGTCAATAAATAAATTAAAAAAGGAGACACTGAGGATCCACATATCCACATGTGAACCATTCCAGCAAATTGAGAAGTGGCCTCTCAGAGCCTAAGGCACCACTTTTTAAAGCTCAGATTTTCTTACCAGCAACTGGATCATTCTGAAGTTGTCCTAAGTGACCCTAAGCATTACCTCTAGGTGCCTCTTTCTTCATATCTAAAAGAAGGTTAATATCATTCAGTTTTGAAATTCATGGACTGAAGCATAAAGATGATTATCTGTTTAAGTGATTATGGTATTTTAGCATTTCTGATATACGTTGTATATTCAGTTTGGATTTTGCAGTGACTTTTATTCTCATTTAATATTTACTTGAATAAGATTTCTCTGAAACATAGCTAGCAGTCAAACATATTATGACTAGATTAGAATCTGATATGAAAAGACTTTGGCTAAATAACGTTGTTCAGAAGTCTTGGCTATATTAGCAGTAGTTTGCATTTTAGTAGGAATTTCAAGAAAATTGGTCTTGGCTATACTGAAGAAACATCATAATGCTCTAAAAAGCAATAGTTTATTTAGCAGAAATATAATCTTAGTTGGGGAGGGAAGACTCAGTAGTTCATATATCAATTTTAAATGTCAGTCTTAGTATAAATCTGTCTTATGAAAAGTATTATTCGTTCATCTTAGCCTTCAGTCTTCTTAGAGCACCCATCTCTCTTCTAATACTTGTTGACCTGTTCGGGCACTACACAGATTCATTCAGAAACCCAAGGGGTTCATCCTCCTTTTATCTTTCTGTATTTTTAGGTTTAGCAGAGGCTTGAAACCCAAATCTTTCTGGGTATTTAATCCATATATATCCCTTTCGCCTTTCAAACAATCATATTTGGCATAGCAGGTTTTAAAATATGTAGTATTCAGGGGTTCCTGGGCAAAAAATTGTGAATATTAATGAAGAAAGCACAATGAAAATTATGTTAAGTTTAAAAGATCTGTTATAAATACTTAAAGAATGAGAACCACTATATTAACTAATTCTTGCTGTATAACAAATCTTCTCAAACCTAGTGGCTGAAAGCAACAAACATGTATAATCTCACAGTTTCTGTGGGCTAGAAATCTAGATACCTCTTAGTTGAGTCCTCTGGCTCAAGGTATTTCATAAGGCTACAGTCAAGATGATAACTGCCTTCTTCTCATGGCTTGACTGGGTAAGGAACCACTTCCAAGTTCACTCATGTAGTTGTTGGCAGGATACAGTTCTTTGTGTGTTGTTGGACTAAAGGCTTCAGTTCTTCACTGGCTGTTGGTTAGAGATCATCCTCAATTCCTTGCCATGAGGCATTTCCAACATGACATTTTTTTCATCAAAGTGTGCAAGCAAGAAAAACAGAGAAAGAAGATATACAAGGAAGATGGAACTCAGAATCTTTTAAAATCTAATCTCAGAAATGACATCCTATCACTTTTGTCATCTTCTATTCATTAGAGGTAATTCACTAGGTCCAGCCATACTCAGAGGGAAGGGGTTACACAAAGCCATGAATACCAGGAGGTGAGGATCATTGCCAGCCATTGAAGAAGCTGCCTACCACATCCCCATTGGAATCCCAGTGTAACCACCAATGTGTTCGCCTTGCCTACTGCCTAGACAAAGCTGATTTATCAAGACATGGGAATTGCAATAGAGAAAGAGCAATTCATACAGAGCCAGCTGTGTAGGAGGCTAGAGTTTTATTATAACTCAAATCATTCTCCCCAGTAATTCAGGAACTGGAGATTTAAAGGATAATTTAATGGGTAGGGGGGCAGTGAATTGAGAGTTCTGATTGGTCAGGTTGAAGATGAAATCATAGGGAGCTGAAGCTGTCCTCTTGCACTGAGTCAGTTCCTGGGTGGAGGCCACAGGACCAGATGAGACAGTTTATTGATCTGCATCTTGGGGAGGTTTAGAATCTTGCCGTCTCCATCTGCATGACTCCTAAATCATAATTTCTAAATCTTTTGGCTATTTTGTTAATCCTACAAAGGCAGCCTAGTCCCCAGGTAGGAAGGGGATTTGTTTTGGGAAAGGGATGTTATATTTGTTTCAAAGCTGAACCATAAACTGAGCTCCTTCCTAAGGTTAGTTTAGCCTATGCCCATAAGTGAACAAAGACAGCTTAAAGATTAGAAGGAAGATGGAGTCAATTTGGTCTGATCTTCACTGTCTCAGTTATAATTCTGAATTATATTTTGCCTTTGCACTTTTTGACAAATAGATGAAGTTTCCCTCATACCTATACTCAGTGCAAGAGGACAGCTTCAACTCCCTATGATTTCATCTCTGACCTGATCAAGCAGAATCCCAATTTACTGGCTCCCTACCCACCAAATCATCCTTAAAAACTCCAGTCCCCAAATTACTGGGGAGGCTGAATTGAGTAGCAGTAAAAAGGTCTGTTATCGTCTTTGTTCAAAACTGAACCATAAACTAAGTTCATCCCTAAGGTAAGTTTGACCTATGCCCAGAAATGAACAAGGACAGCTTAAAGATTAGAGGCAAGATGGAGTCAGTTAGATCTGATCTCTTTCACTGTCTCAGTTATAAGTTTGCAATGGTGGTTTCACCAGCAGGCTCAGCAATAAGAGCTAAAACTTAAGAAAGGCTTCTGAACAGCAAAGGAGATATTCTTATACCTTTGCCCTTTTTGACAAATAGATGAAGTATCCTTCATACCTATAGAAAAAGACAGCCAAGTTAACTTGAAAAAATGGTAAAAATTAAACTTACAAATTTTATAAGTTTAGGTAAGCTTCCTAGGAAAAGTCTAGTTCTAGTTTTCAGAGATGATAGATTAAAGATAATGGGGATAAAAGGGATGCTTAAAGCTGACATATTGGACAGTGTTCACTGTTTACAATTGAAGAACCTGCAGAGATTACTGCAGTTACCAATTTTATTTCTAGCTGAGCCATTTAATGTGGAGACAAATGGAAAAATTATCAGAGGGCATGAGGTCAGTGCATGATGTCCCTCAGGGAACAAACCTTGGTACTGTAAGATGAAGGAACTCCTGCTTATTCTCTTGAATGAAAGGACAACAAATCAAAGGGTAAATAAGAGTACCTACCCAGCAAGGCTATGCTGTCTGCACTACTAAAGAGTTTTAGCCCATCTAGGATATGGGAAATAAATTCTCAGACAAGGCACAGTTTTGATATTAATCTTGAGTTTCATTTCAATTGCTTCATTGGCTGGACATTTTACCAGAATTACCAAAAAGGCACAAAAATGAGAAGTGTGTGGAACATAGATACAACCAAGGGCCTGCAGTCTTTTGGGGGAGGAAGCTCTCTTTCCAGCAGACTCCAAGAAAAGGCAGAATGGTGAGAAATCCTGCATCTCAATAAATGCTGCTACCCTGATCCTTGAAGCAGGTCCACCATGCAGCAGCATGGGAAACCCCTGGGAGCTCCACCCCAGAACTACTGAATTGGACTCTGCATTTCAACAAAATCCCCAGGGGATTCAATGCACAGTAAAGTGTAACAAGTGCTGCTGTAATGAAACTTCAAAGAGCTTTGAGAGAACTGTGGGGATGAAGACTAAGTTCAACTGAAGGTATTAAAGAATGTTTCATAGAAAAAGTATCATTTGAGCTTAACCTCATGAGATGTGTGCTACAGTTTGGATATGGTTTGTTTGCCTTCACTGAGTTTCATGTTGAAATTTGATCCTCAGTGTTGGAGGTGGGGCCTGGTGGGAAGTGTTTGAGTCATGGGTCTGGATCTCTTGTGAATGACTTGGTCTCACCCTCATGGTAATGAATGAGTTCTTGCTTTATAGTCCCCACAGGAGTTTCCTCTAGGGCTGGTTGTTAAAAAGAGCCTGATACTTTCTCTCTCTTTCTTGCTTCCTCTCTTGCCATGTGATTTTCATGCACTGACCTTCTGCTGTAAGTGGAAGCTTCTTAAGACTGTCATCAGAAGCAGATGTTGGTGCTACGCATCATGTACAGCCTGCAGAATGGTGAGCCAAATACACCTCTTTTCTTTGTAAATTACCAAGTCTCAGGTATTCCTTTATAATAACACAAATGAAGAAAAATGTGTATAATGTCAACAGACATGATTTCAAAAAGAAGAAAATATTTTCTTTGTGAGGAAACAAAAATGATAAAATCATAGGCAATAGTCTAATGCAGGAAAGTAAACTTTGTTTTAGGAATGAAAAATGTACACTCTTGATTCCTGGGAGCCAAGATGGCTGAATAGGAATAGCTCCAGTCTACAGCTCCCAGTGTGAGCAACACAGAAGACAGGCAATTTCTGTATTTCCAACTGAGGTACCGGGTTCGTCTCACTGGGGAGTGCCGGACAGTGGGTGCAGGACAGTGGGTGCAGTGCACTGTGCGTGAGCTGAAGCAGGGTGAGGCATCACCTCATCTGGGAAGCACAAGGGGTCAGGGAATTCCCTTTCCTAGTCAAAGAAAGGTGTGACAGATGGCACCTGGAAAATTGGGTCACTCCCACTGAGAGGTGACAGCATGCTGGCAGTCCTCACAGCCCTTGCTTGCTCTCGGCACCTCCTCTGCCTGGGCTCCCGCTTTGGCAGCACTTGAGGAGCCCTTCAGCCTGCTGCTGCACTGCAGGAGCCCCTTTCTGGGCTGGCCAAGGCCGGAGCCGGCTCCCTCAGCTTGCAGGGAGGTGTGGAGGGAGAGGCGCAGGTGGGAACCGGGGCTGCACGCGGTGCTTGCGGGCCAGCGTGAGTTCCAGGTGGGTGTGGGCCTGGCAGACCCTGCACTCAGAGCGGCCAGCCGGCCCCACCAGCCCCAGGCAGTGAGGGGCTTAGCATCTGGGCCAGCAACTGCTGTGCTCAATTTCTCGCAGGGCCTTAGCTGCCTTCCCATGGGGCAGGGCTCGGGACCTGCAGCCCGCCATGCCTGAGCCTCCCACCCCCTCCGTGGGCTCCTGTATGGGCCAAGCCTCCCCAGTGAGCACCGCCCCCTGCTCCACGGCGCCCAGTCCCATTGACCACCCAAGGGCTGAGGAGTGCGGGCGCACGGCACGGGACTGGCAGGCTGTTCCACCTGCAGTTCTGGTGCGGGATCCATTGGGTGAAGCCAGTTGGGCTCCTGAGTCTGGTGGGGATGTGGAGAACCTTTATGTCTAGCTAAGGGATTGTAAATACACCAATTGGCACTCTGTATCTAGCTCAAGGTTTGTAAACACACCAATCAGCACCCTGTGTCTAGCTCAGGGTTTGTGAATGCACCAATCGACACTCTGTATCTAGCTACTCTGGGGGGGACGTGGAGAACCTTTGTGTCTACCTCAGTGATTGTAAATGCACCAATCAGTGCCCTGTCAAAACAGACCACTCAGCTCTACCAATCAGCAGGATGTGGGTGGGGCCAGATAAGAAAATAAAAGCAGGCTGCCCAAGCCAGCAGTGGCAAACCACTTGGGTCCCCTTCCACACTGTGGAAGCTTTGTTCTTTCTCTCTTTGCAATAAATCTTGCTACTGCTCACTCTTTGGGATCACACTGTCTTTATGAGCTGTAGCACTCACTGTGAAGGTCTGCAGCTTCACTCCTGAAGCCAGTGAGACCACGAACCCACTGGGAGGAACAAACAACTCCAGACGCACCGCCTTAAGAGCTGTAACACTCACTGTGAAGGTCTTCAGCTTCACTCCTGAGCCAGCAAGAACACAAACCCACCAGAAGGAAGAAACTCTGAACATATTAGAACATCAGAAGGAACAAACTCCAGACACGCCACCTTTAAGAACTGTAATATACACCGTGAGGGTCCACGGCTTCATTCTTGAAGTCAGTGAGACCAAGAAGCCACCAATTCCAGACACACCACCCTAATACTGTGCTTTTCCAATGGGCTTAACAAATGGCACACCAGGAGATTATATCCCGCACATGACTCGGAGGGTCCTACGCCCACAGAGCCTCGCTGACTGCTAGCACAGCAGTCTGAGATCAAACTGCAAGGCAGCAGTGAGGCTGGGGGAGGGGTGCCCACAATTGCCAAGGCTTGAGTAGGTAAACAAAGCGACCTGGAAGCTCGAACTGGGTGGAGCCCACCACAGCTCAAGGAGACCTGCCTCCCTTTGTAGGCACCACCTCTGGGGGCAGGGCACAGACAAACAAAAGGCAGCAGTAACCTCTGCAGACTTAAATGTCCCTGTCTGACAGCTTTGAAGAGAGTAGTGGTTCTCCCAGAACACAGCTGGAGATCTGAGAATGGGCAGACTGCCTCCTCAAGTGGGTCCCTGACCCCCAAGTAGCCTAACTGGGAGGCACCCCCCCAGTAGGGGTGGACTGACACCCCACACAGCCGGGTACTCCTCTGAGACAAAACTTCCAGAGGAATGATCAGGCAGCAGCATTTGTGGTTCACCAATATCCAATGTTCTGCAGCCACCACTGCTGATACCCAGGAAAACAGGGTCTGGAGTGGACCTCCAGTAAACTCCAACAGACCTGCAGCTGAGGGTCCTGACTATTAGAAGGAAAACTAACAAACAGAAAGGACATCCACACTAAAAACCCATCTGTATGTCACCATCATCAAAGACCAAAGGTAGATAAAACCACAAAGATGGGGAAAAAACAGAGCAGCAAAACCGGAAACTCTAAAAATCAGAGTGCCTCTCCTCCTCCAAAGGAATGCAGCTCCTCACTAGCAATGGAACAAAGATGGACAGAGAATGAATTTGACGAATTGAGAGAAGAAGGCTTCAGAAGAACAAACTACTCCGAGCTAAAGGAGGAAGTTCAAACCAATGGCAAAGAAGTTAAAAACCTTGAAAAAAAATTAGATGAATGGCTAACTAGAATAACCATGCAGAGAAGTCCTTAAAGGACCTGATGGAGCTGAAAACCATGGCACAAGACTTACGTGACAAATGCACAAGCCTCAGTAGCCGATGTGATCAACTAGAAGAAAGGGTATCAGCGATGGAAGACGAAATGAATGAAATGGAGCAAGAAGAGAAGTTTAGAGAAAAAAGAATAAAAAGAAATGAACAAAGCCTCCAAGAAATATGGGGCTATGTGAAAAGACCAAATCTATGTCTGATTGGTGTACCAGAAAGTGATGGGGAGAATGGAACCAAGTTGGAAAACACCCTACAGGATATTGTCCAGGAGAGCTCCCCCAATATAGCAAGGCAGGCCAACATTCAAATTCAGGAAATACAGAGAACGCCACAAAGATACTCCTTGAGAAGAGCAACGCCAACACACATAATTGTCAGATTCACCAAAGTTGAAATGAAGGAAAAAATGTTAAGGGCAGCCAGAGAGAAAGGTCGGGTTACCCTCAAAGGGAAGCCCATCAGACTAACAGCTGATCTCTCAGCAAAAACTCTACAAGCCAGAAGAGACTGGGGGCCAATATTCAATATTCTTAAAGAAAAGAATTTTCAATCAAGAATTTCATATCCAGCCAAACTAAGCTTCATAAGTGAAGGAGAAGTAAAATACTTTGCAGATAAGCAAATGCTGAGAGATTTTGTCACTGCCCTACAAGAGCTCCTGAAGGAAGCACTAAACATGGAAAGGAACAACTGGTACCAGCCACTGCAAAAACATGCCAAATTGTAAAGACCTTCAAGGCTAGGAAGAAACTGCATCAACTAACGAGCAAAATAACCAGCTAACATCATAATGACAGGATCAAATTCACACATAACAATATTAACCTTAAATGTAAATGGGCTAAATGCTCCAATTGAAAGACACAGACTGGCAAATTGGATAAAGAGTCAAGACCCAACAGTGTGCTGTATTCAGGAAACCCATCTCATGTGCAGAGACACACATAGGCTCAAAATAAAGGGCTGGAGGAAGATCTACCAAGCAAATGGAAAACCAAAAAAGGCAGGGGTTGCAATCCTAGTCTTGGATAAGACAGACTTTATACCAACAAACATTGAAAGAGACAAAGAAGGCCATTACATAATGCTAAAGGGATCAATTCAACAAGAAGAACTAACTATCCTAAATATATACGCCCCCAATACAGGAGCACCCAGATTCATAAAGCAAGTCCTTAGTGACCTACAAAGAGACTTAAACTCCCACACAATAATAATGGGAGACTTTAACACCCCACTGTCAACATTAGACAGATCAACGAGACAGAAAGTTAGCAATGATATCCAGGAATTGAACTCAGCTCTGCAACAAGCGGACCTAATAGACATCTACAAAACTCTCCACCCCAAATCAACAGAATACACGTTGTTTTCTGCACCACACCACACCTATTCCAAAATCAACCACATAGTTGGAAGTAAAGCACTCCTCAGCAAATGTAAAAGAACAGAAATTATAACAAACTGTCTCTCAGACCACAGTGCAATCAAACTAGAACTCAGGATTAAGAAACTCACTCAAAACCGCTCAACTACATGGAAACTGAACAACCTGCTCCTGAATGACTACTGGGTACATAAGGAAATGAAGGCAGAAATAAAGATGTTCTTTGAGACCAATGAGAACAAAGACACAACATACCAGAATCTCTGGGACACATTCAAAGCAGTGTGTAGAGGGAAATTCATAGCACTAAATGCCCACAAGAGAAAGCAGGAAAGATCCAAAATTGACACCCTAACATCACAATTAAAAGAACAAGAGAAGCAAGAGCAATCACATTCAAAAGCTAGCAGAAGGCAAGAAATAACTAAAATCAGAGCAGAACTGAAGGAAATACAGACACAAAAAACCCTCCAAAAATCAGTGAATCCGGGAGCTGGTTTTTTGAAAAGATGAACAAATTGATGGACCGCTAGCAAGACAAATAAAGAAGAAAAGAGAGAAGAATCAAATAGATGCAATAAAAAATGACAAAGGGGATATCACCACCGATCCCACAGAAATACAAGCTACCATCAGGGAATCCTATAAACACCTCTATGCAAATAAACTAGAAAATCTAGAAGAAATGGATAAATTCCTCTACACATGCACCCTCCCAACACTAAACTAGGAAGAAGTTGAATCTCTGAATAGACCGATAACAGGCTCTGAAATTGAGGCAATAATTAATAGCTTACCAACCAAAAAAAGTCCAGGACCAGATGGATTCACAGCCGAATTCTACCAGAGGTACAAGGAGGAGCTGGTACCATTCCTTCTGAAACTATTCCAATCAATAGAAAAAGAGGGAATCCTACCTAACTCATTTTATGAGGCCAACATCATCCTGATATCAAAGCCTGGCAGAGACACAACAAAAAAAGAATTTTAGACTAATATCCTTGATGAACATTTATGCAAAAATCCTCAATAAAATACTGGCAAACCAAATCCAGCAGCACATCAAAAAGCTTATTCACCATGATCAAGTGGGCTTCATCCGTGGCATGCAAGGCTGGTTCAACATATGAAAATCAATAAACGTAATCCAGCATATAAACAGAACCAACAACAAAAACCACATGATTATCTCAATAGATGCAGAACAGGCCTTTGACAAAATTCAACAACCTTCATGCTAAAAACTTTCAATAAATTAGGTATTGTTGGGACGTATCTCAAAATAATAAGAGCTATCTATGACAAACCCACAGCCAATGTCATACTGAATGGGCAAAAACTGGAAACATTCCCTGTGAAAACTGGCACAAGATAGGGATGCCCTCTCTCACCACTCCTATTCAACATAGTGTTGGAAGTTCTGGCCAGGGCAATTAGGCAGGAGAAGGAAATAAAGGGCATTCAATTAGGAAAAGAGGAAGTCAAATTGTTCCTGTTTGCAGATGACATGACTGTATATCTAGAAAACCCCATTGTCTCAGCCCAAAATTTCCTTAAGCTGATAAGCAACTTCAGCAAAGTCTCAGGATACAAAATCAATGTGCAAAAATCACAAGCATTCTTATACACCAATAACAGACAAACAGAGCCAAATCATGAGTGAACTCCCATTCACAATTGCTTCAAAGAGAATAAAATACCTAGGAATCCAACTTACAAGGGATGTGAAGGACCTCTTCAAGGAGATCTACAAACCACTGCTCAATGAAATAAAAGAGGATACAAACAAATGGAAGAACATTCCATGATCATGGGTAGGAAGAATCAATATCATGAAAATGGCCATACTGCCCAAGGTAATTTACAGATTCAATGCCATCCCCATCAAGCTACCAATGACTTTCTTCACAGAACTGAAAAAACTACTTTAAAGTTCATATGGAACCAACAAAGAGCCCACATCGCCAAGTCAATCCTAAGCCAAAAGAACAAAGCTGGAGGCATCACACTACCTGACTTCAAACTATACTACAAGGCTACAGTAACCAAAACATCATGGTACTGGTACCAAAACAGAGATACAGACCAATGGAAGAGAACAGAGCCCGCAGAAATAATGCCACATATCTACAACCATCTGATCTTTGACAAACCTGACAAAAACAAGCAATGGGGAAAGGATTCCCTATTTAATAAATGGTGCTGGGAAAACTGGCTAGCCATATGTAGAGAGCTGACACTGGATCCCTTCCTTACGCCTTATACAAAAATTAATTCAAGATGGATTAAAGACTTAAATGTTAGACCTAAAACCATAAAAATCCTAGAAGAAAAGCTAGGAGATACCATTCAGGACATAGGCATGGGCAAGGACTTCATGTCTAAAACACCAAAAGCAATGGCAACAAAAGCCAAAATTGACAAATGGGATCTCATTAAACTAAAGAGCTTTTGCACAGCAAAAGAAACTACCATCAGAGTGAACAGGCAACCTACAGAATGGGAGAAAGTTTTTGTAACCTACTCATCAGACAAATGGTCAATATCCAGAATCTACAAAAAAACTCAAACAAATTTACAAGAAAAAAACAACCCCATCAAAAAGTGGGCAAAGGATATGAACAGACACTTCTCAAAAGAAGAGATTTATGCAGCCAAAAAACACACGAAAAAATGCTCATCATCACTGGTCATCAGAGAAATGCAAATCAAAACCACAATGAGATACCATCTCACACCAGTTAGAATAGCCATCATGAAAAAGTCAGGAAACAACAGGTGCTGGAGAGGATGTGGAGAAATAGGATCACTTTTACACTGTTGGTGGGACTGCAAACCAGTTCAACCACTGTGGAAGTCAATGTGGCAATTCCTCAGGGATCTAGAACTGGAAATACCATTTGACCCAGCCATCCCATTCCTGGGTATATACGCAAAGGATTATAAATCATGCTGCTATAAAGACACAAGCACACATATGTTTATGTGGCACTATTCACAATTGCAAAGACTTGGAACCAACCCAAATGTCCAACAATGATAGACTGGATTAAGAAAATGTGGCACATATACACCAGGAATACTATGCAGCCATAAAGAATGATGAATTCATGTCCTTTGTAGGGACATGGATGAAGCTGGAAACCATCATTCTCTGCAAACTATCGCAAGGACAAAAAACCAAACACCGCATGTTCTCACTCATAGGTGGGAATTGAACAATGAGAACATATGGACACACGAAGGGGAACATCACATACCGGGGCCTGTTGTGGGGTGCGGGTAGGGTGGAGGGATAGCATTAGGAGATATACCTAATGCTAAATGACGAGTTAATGGGTGCAGCACACCAACATGGCACATGTAAACATATGTAATAAATCTGCACATTGTGCTCATGTACCCTAAAACTTAAAGTATAATAATAATAACATAATAAAAAAAGAAAAATGTACACTGTTAAACTGAAGCCCAATTGCAATGGCCTTTGTGTATTTGCTATGGGTACCCTTTTTTAACTTTATTCTCATGGCAACAGGGAGATTGGAATTTTTCAAACATTAATCAGTAGCAATAGGGATAAGTATCTCCTGGCAGTGTGGAAGATGTGTTGGCTTGAGGAGAGACAAATGACCCATAAATTAGGAGCAATTAACATAGATAGACATAGATTTAGAAACTGTAGTTCAGAGATGAGGTTATGCCACACTGAAATTCTACAGCAGTAATGGAAATAAAGGAGAAATGAGAGGCATTCCATAGGCCAAATCCACAGCTCCTGGTAAGTGGTAGAAGATTTGTGCCTGAGTAATGGGGAGAAAGAGGATATTATTCAGGGAGAAGGAGTCATGAAAACATGACCAGTTTTAGAGGAAGAAGAGTTTGTTCTTGGCCATGAGATAATTAAAACTTTGAGACATTGTTGCTTTCACACATTGTTGCTCATGCCCGTTTCCTGCACTGCTACATTTTTTGTTTTTACCACTCTCAGCCTTTCCAGTGTCCTCTTTTGAGGATTCCAGCAGATGCCTGAAGGAGTCAGTGAACCTTCAACCCATTCCACAAAGATTTTATCTTTTTATTCTGGCTCAAGGTACAACATGGAAGAAACTCTGATGAGGAAATTACATCCTTGTAGTTGCCTAGAATGCTCTGGACTTTAATTTCATATTGAACAAACGGAGTAAAAAGGAACCCCTCTCAGTAGGGAGCCTGGAAAAATTAATTATGTCAGATATCAGGAAAGAATAGGAAAAGCATAAAAGAATGTTGGTTGTTACTCTAATTTAAAAGATCCACAGAATCTTTAGAGATAATTCTACAAGGAAAGAAATTAATAACTTTTTTCAGGTAACCCCAAACTTCTTTACTGGTTACAAATGATGAGGCGATCATGTTGCAATTGAAAGTAATATTTTCTTTCCTTTGTTCATGATCTCATTCTTGATGAATTACCTAATTCCTGTTATGAGCCAAATAACAATGTTTTGGTCAACAATGTACCATATATATAATGGCGTTCCCATAAGATTATAAAGCCATATTTTTAGTGTACTTTTTCTATGTTTAGATACACAAATACTTACCATTGTGTGACAATTGCCTGCAGTATTCAGTACAGTAACATGCTGTATAAGTTTGTGGCCAAGGAACAATAGGCTATACCATACAGCCTAAGTTTATAATAGGCTATCCCTTGGGTTTGTGTAAATATATTATATACTCTATGTTGTTCCCACAATGACAAAATGACCTAACAATGCACTTTTCAGAAGCATCCTTGTCATTCAGCAACACATTAATGTTGATGCATTTACAACGTATTGAGTTGGACAAGATGACTGACTAGACATAGCCAGGTGGAACAGTTGCCACCAAGGGACCAGTAAACTGGTGCACTCCTAACAGATCTTCAGAGAGAAGGCACTGAGAGTGGACAGAGAGAGAACACAGAAGTTGGGCTGAAGGGGGAGGAAGCTGGGAACGCTTCATGAGGCTACCAACACTAGGACTCATTCCTGGCCCCTCACAACTCTAGGGAAACAGGTGAGTTGAACTGGAAAGGAGCAACCCACTCTTACTGCCAGTCTCAAGAATTCTGGGCCTCTGGAATCCTGGCAGGAGGAGACTCCTCGCCTACCACAGACACTTGAGTTGGCAGGAAAAGCTGCTTAGAGAAGTGATAGGGGAAGCACTACAGGCAGCACAGAGCCCATAGGATTTGTTATTGGATCATCTATAGTGGAGCACAGCCTCCTAGGCTTGACTTGCTCACGTAGGAGATTTTAGCCCTAGGAGAATTGCCACACCTGAACTCTGCAGAGCGGTCTTGCTCATCAGATAGAGCTGGTCTGATCTGAGGACGCCTTGGTCTTCTGGCCTCTCCTGAGGCTGCAGTCTTGTTATGCCTGTTTGCAGTGCAGCCTCACCTGAGGGCCCACATCATAGTTCCTGTGCTGGAGGACTACAGCTGACTAGCAGAGAGCTCCAACAGAGAGGCCATCATGGACACACATCAGCCCGTCTACTCCCTCCCAACTCTGCAGCTTTCCCTGAGCCCACAGCCAACCCCCGACCACAATATTGCTTCGCTGATGTGTGCATACACGGTGGATCTTGCCTTCTTTGTCCTGCCAGCACACATGTGTGCATGCATCCTGCCCTGCCACTGCTGCCAGCATGAGTACACTCCTTACCTTTACCCCCACCTTACCACCATTACAACTGGAGCCTTGGTGGGCACAGAGCCTACCAGCCCCACCCCCACTAGCCCCCCACCCCTGCACCAACACTGCTTTTGGAGTAAAACTGGGCATGGAGAACAGTGGACTCTTCCCCATCCTGAGCAGCCACCTTTGCCTTAATCCCAGCACTCCATCCCTGCACTAACAGCACCATCAGCATGATTGCATGCACAGTCACCAGCAGGACCCTCCATACCCCCAGAGTGGAGGAGTGCTGCCTCCACTACTGCTGCAACATTCATATCCTTGCACATCATCAGAGCTCTTGGGTGACCAGGTGTATTGTCAATGCGCAGCAATAATTTGAAAGAAATCATTTTTCTGAGCAGAGGGCCTCAATAGTGGGCTTAAAATATCCAAGAACCATGCTGTAAATAAAATTATTATCATTCAGGCTAGGATGTTTCATTTACAGAGCACGGGCAGAAAAGATTTAGCATAATTCTTAAGGGCACTAGAAGTTTTGGAATGGTAAATGAGCATTGGCTTCAACTTAGAGTTACCACTGGATTAACCCCTAAAAAAAGAGTCCGACTCTCCCTCTGAAGCTTTGAAGCTAGGCACTGATTTCTCCTCTCTATCTATGAAAGTCCTAGATGACATCTTCCAAAAAAAGGGTGTTTCATCTCTACTGAAAATCTTTTATTTAGTGTAGCTATCTTCATCAATTATCTTAGCTACATCTTCTGGGTGCTTGTTGCAACATCCACATGAGTACTTGCTGCCTCACCTTGCACTTGCACACTCCAGGCAAGCAATCAATTTTGCAGTGGACACCAGCTTGGGGTCCTTTGATTCAATTTTCACACTGTCTATCTGGAGACAGCATCACGTAATACAGACTGGGGGCTCAGCTCCACAAAACTGCCCTACTTCATAGACTCTCAAGTCCTGGCCTCTGGAACTTCTGACCAATTATCTTCAATTGGTGTTCAAGTAATTTCCTCTTTGGGTTCAATTAATTTGCTAGAGTGACTCACAGAACTCAGGAAAGTACTTATATTTACTGGTTTATTATAAAGGTTATTACAAAGGATACGGGTGAAGAGATGCACAGGATCAGGTATGGGGGAAGGAGTGCAAAGTTTCCATGCTCAGTTTCCATGCTCACCCCAGGCATACCATCCTCCAGGAACCTCCATGTGTTCAGCTATTCAGAGCTCTCTGAACTGTTCTCTTCGGTTTCTATGGAGGCCTTATTACATAGATGTGATCAACTAAACCATTGGCCATTGGCCATTGGCCATCAAATTAATTTACTTCAGCCTCTCTCCCCTCCTGGGAAGTCAGGGGCAGGGCTGAAAGTTAGCAAACCTCTAATCATGCCTTCATTTTTCCAGTTATCAGCCCTCATTTTGAAGCTACCTAGGGACTGCCAGCCATCAGTCAATCAATAGCACACAAAAAGATAACACTTTGGGGATTCTAAGGATTTTTGGTGTTGTATGCCATAAACAAGGCAAAGACCAAATATATATTTTACAATATCACAGGTCCCATCTCCAAATACCATCATATTGGAATAGGGCTTCAATATGTGAATTTTTGGGGAAACACAAATTCCATAACAAATAATACTTGATAGCAACCACAAAACCTTAATGGCATACAGCAATAAACATTTATTTTTGCCTTACAATTCTACAATCAGGTGATGTAGCTAGCTTGGCTAGATTTTCTCTGGGTCTCAGCAGGATTTACCCATGTGTCTGGCAGTTAGCTGGTTCTCTGCTGGGACAACAGGGCCATAGGCCATTTGTTTTTTATTTTATTTTAGGATATATTTGGATGATTCTCCTAATGATGGCACAGAAGCAGGAACAAGAAAACTCAGCAACATAAGTGTTTTATAAGGCTGTATTTACATTATTTATCGCTAAAATCCCTTTGGTGAAAACGAAGTCACATGGCTGGTTCCAGATTCAAAGTGAGAGGATGATACAAAATTATATGAGGATGAATGTAGATACAAAGAGAGATGAAGAATTGGAGCCATTAATGTGACAATATATCACATACAGAAATATGTGCACACATGCACTAAGAAACATGTGTGAAAAAATATCTAACATCATTATTTGTATAATGATTTCTTACCTCCCAAAAGTCCTTCAACAGAATCGATTGTAAAATAGTCATGAAAATGAATAAATACAGCTATATATATACATATACAAAAGAGTATGCATGAATCTTCTAAGCATAATTTACTTACATAAATTCAAAACCATGCAAAACTAATCAATAATGCTTGGGAATACAAAGAGTAAAACTATTTTTTAAAGCAATAAAATTATCAATAAAAATTATTACTTTTTAATCAATGATTAACAAAAATAAAAACCATGCACATGGCTGTATCTCTCAGCAAGTTCGGGGGAGGGTGGTATAGTAATTTCTGAGAGGGACTGCAAAGTAGATTTCCATGGTGCAATCTTCCACTTCTTTAGAGGGGTTATGCTGCTTACATGGATGATCACACTGCTTACATGGATGGTCACACTGTAATAATTTATTGACCTGTAAATTTAGCAATTTTCCAGGTGTCATGTTTCACAATAAAAAGTACTAAAGGAAAAAAAAAGAAGGGCATGCACTTCCTTTATGGATTTTTTTTTTCTTCTGGATATTATACAAAATCAGCAACCTGAACAGACTAAAAAAACCTACCAGGTCCATTTTCATCGATGTCAGAAAATAAATGTAATTGTCAGTCTCTAAAACTGCAGAGGAGCTTCTAAAAGAAGTAAAGAACGGCTAAAAAAGTTGCACAAGTTGCCTCTTGGGAGTTAGAAGAGGTGGGAAAGGAAATGCTGATTTCATTTAAACCTCATAGAATGAATTGACTTTTGAAACTATGTGTATGTAAAACTTTGATTTAAAAATTGCAAAAGTTTATAAAATCAGTGGAAAGTGTTTTAATAAGTATAGTTGTAATGGTATCGGAAAAGATCAACATAGTGGTTCAGCTAAACCTGTCACTGTTTTTTCCTGTGTGTGGGTATCTCTAAGGGAGAATGAAAGTGTACCTCTCCATATCACTTTCTGTTCCTTCCTTCTAGAATATTCTTGAGGTTTCATGAATGACTTCATATTGTTCATAAATAATTCTTATTTTTGGTGATTGTCTAAATCAAATGGAAAAATAAGGATTGTTATTACAATAAGAATCTAGCAATTCCAGGGGCATTCCATGATGGCCGAATAGGAACAGCTCCGGTCTGCAGCTCCCAGCATGATCAATGAAAAAAATGGGTGATTTCTGCATTTCCAACTGATGTACTTAGTTCATCTCACTGGGACTGGTTGGACAGTGGGTGCGGCCCACGGAGGGTGAGACAAAGAAGGGCGGGGCGTTGCCTCACCCAGGAAGCTCAAGGCGTCAGGGTATTTCCCTTTCCTAGCCAAGGGAAGCCATGACAGACCACCTAGAAAAATGGGACACTCTGGCCCAAATACTGTCCTTTTCCCAAGGTCTTAGCAACTGGCAGACAAGGGGATTCTCTCTCACACCTGGCTCAGTGGCTCCCACACCCATGGAGCCTTGCTCACTGCTAGCGCAGCAGTCTGAGATTGATTTGCAAGATGGCAGCCTGGCTGGGGGAGGGGCATCCACCATTGTTGAGGCTTGAGTAGGTAAACAAAGCCGTCGGGAAGCTCAAACTGGGCAGAGCCCACCATGGCTCAACAAGGCCTACTGCCTCTAGACTCCACCTCTGTGGGCAGGGAATAGCTGAACAAAAGGCAGCAGACAACTTCTGCAGACTTAAACATCCCTGTCTAGCAGCTCTTAAGAGAGCAGCAGTTCTCCTAGCATGGCATTTGAGCTCTGAGAATGAACAGACTGCCTCCTCAAGTGGGTCCCTGACTCGCGTGTAGCCTAACTAGGAGACATCTCCCAGTAGGGGCCTACAGACACCTCATATAGGCGTCTCTGGGACAAAAGGTCCAGAGAAAGGATCAGGCAGCAATATTTGCTGTTCTGCAGCCTCTGCTGGTAATACGCAGGCAAAGAGGATCTGGAGTGGAACTCCAGCAAACTCCAACAGACCTACAGCTGAGGGACCTGACTGTTAGAAGGAAAACTAAAAACCAGAAAGGAATAGCATCAACATAAACAAAAAGGTCATCAACACCAAAAGCCCATCTGTAGGTCATCAACATCAAAGACCAAAGGTAGATAAAACCACAAATATGGGGAGAAACCAGAGGAGAAAAGCTGAAAATTCTAAAAATAAGAGTGCCTCTTCTCCTCCAAAGGATCACAGCTCCTCAACAGCAATGGAACAAAGCTGGATGGAGAATGACATCAAAGAGTTGACAGAAGTAGGCTTCAGAAGGTCAGTAATAACAAACTTCTCCAAGCTAAAGGAGGATGTTCAAACCCATTGCAAAGAAGCTAAGCACCTTGAAAAAAGATTAGACAAATGGCTAACTAGTATAAACAGTGTAGAAAAGACCTTAAATGACGTGATGGAGCTGAAAATCATGGCACGAGAACTTCACGACACATGCACAAGCTTCAGTAGCCAATGTGATCAAGTGGAAGAAAGGATATCAGTGATTGAAGATCAAATTAATGAAATAAAGCGAGAAGATAAGTTTAGAGAAAAAAGAGTAAAAACAAATGAACAAAGCCTCCAAGAAATATGGGGCTATGTGAAAAGACCAAATCTAAGTCTGATTGGTGTACCTGAAAGTGACAGGGAGAATGGAACCAAGTTGGAAAACACTCTGCAGGATATTATCCAGGAGAAGTTCCCCAATCTAGCAAGGCAGGCCAACATTCAAATTCAGGAAATACAGAGAATGCCACAAAGATACTCCTCAAGAAGAGCAACTCCAACACACATAATTGTCAGATTCACCAAAGTTGAAATGAAGGAAAAATTGTTAAGGGCAGCCAGAGAGAAAGGTCGGGTTACCCACAAAGGGAAGCCCATCAGACTCACAGCTGATCTCTCGGCAGAAACTCTACAAGCCAGAAGAGAGCGGGGGCCAATATTCAACATTCTTAAAGAAAAGAATTTTCAATCAAGAATTTCATATCCAGCCAAACTAAGCTTCATAAGTGAAGGAGAAGTAAAATACTTTACAGATAAGCAAATGCTGAGAGATTTTGTCACTGCCCTACAAGAGCTCCTGAAGGAAGCACTAAACATGGAAAGGAACAACTGGTACCAGCCACTGCAAAAACATGCCAAATTGTAAAGACCTTCAAGGCTAGGAAGAAACTGCATCAACTAACGAGCAAAATAACCAGCTAACATCATAATGACAGAAACAAATTCACACATAACAATATTAACCTTAAATGTAAATGGGCTAAATGCCCCAATTAAAAGACACAGACTGGAAAATTGGATAAAGAGTCAAGACCCATCAGTGTGCTGTATTCAGGAGACCCATTTCATGTGCAAAAATGCACATAGGCTCAAAATAAAGGGCTGGAGGAAGATCTACCAAGCAAATGGAAAGCAAAAAAGAAGCAGGGGTTGCAATCCTAGTCTCTGATAAAACAGACTTTAAACCAACAAAGATCAAGAGACAAAGAAGGCCATTACATAATGGTAAAGGGATCAATTCAACAAGAAGAGCTAACTATCCTAAATATATAGGCATCCAATACAGGAGCACCCAGATTCATAAAGCAAGTCCTTAGAGACCTACAAAGAGACTTAGACTCCCACACAATAATAATGGGAGACTTTAACACCCCACTGTCAATATTAGACAGATCAATGAAACAGAAGGTTAACAAGGATATCCAGGACCTGAACTAAGCTCTGCAACAAGCAGACCTAATAGACACCTACAGAAGTCTCCACCACAAATCAACAGAATATACATTCTTCTCAGCACCACATCACACTTATTCTAAAATTGATGGCATTATTGGAAGTAAAGCACTCCTCAGCAAATGTAAAAGAACAGAAATTATAACAAACTGTCTCTCAGACCACGGTGCAATCAAATTAGAACTCAGGATTAATAAACTCACTCAAAACCACACAACTACATGGAAACTGAACAACTTGCTCCTGAATGACTGCTGGGTAAATAACGAAATTAAGGCAGAAATAAAGATGTTCTTTGAAACCAGTGAGAACAAAGACACAATGTACCAGAATCTCCAGGACACATTTAAAGCAGTGTGCAGAGGGAAATTTACAGCACTAAATGCCCACAATAGGAAAGATCTAAAATTGAAACCCTAACATCACAATTAAAAGAACTAGAGAAGCAAGAGCAAAAAAACTCAAAAACTAGCAGAAGGCAAGGAATAACTAACATAAGAGCAGAACTGAAAGAGACAGAGACACAAAAACACTTCAAAACATCAATGAATCTAGGATCTGGTTTTTTGAAAAGATCAACAAAATTGATAGACTGCTAGCAAGACTAATAAAGAAGAAAAGAGAGAAGAATCAAATAGAAATGATAAAAAATGGTAAAGGGGATCTCATCACTGCTCCCAGAGAAATACAAACTACCATTAGAGAATACTATAAACACCTCTATGCAAATAAACTAGAAAATCTAGAAGAAATGGATAAATTCCTGGATATATACAACCTCCCAAGACTAAACCAGGAAGAAGTTGAATCATTGAATAGATCAATAACAGGCTCTGAAATTGAGGCAATAATTAATAGCCTACCAACCAAAAAAACTCCAGGACCAGATGGATTCACAGCCGAATTCTACCAGAGGTACAAAGAGGAGCTGGTTCCATTCCTTCTGAAACTATTCCAATCAATAGAAAAAGAGGGAATCCTACCTAACTCATTTTATGAGGCCAACATCATCCTGATACCAAAGCCTGTCAGAGACACAACAACAAAAAAGAGAATTTTAGACCAATATCCCCAATGAACATCTATGTGAAAATCCTCAATAAAATACTGGCAAACTGAAATCAGCAGCACATCAAAAAGCTTATCCATCATGATCAAGTCAGCCTCATCCCTGGGATGCAAGGCTGGTTCAACATACACAAATCAATAAACATAATCCATCACATAAACAGAACCAATGACAAAAACGACATGATTATCTCAATAGATGCATAAAAGGCCTTCGACATAATTCAACAGCCCTTCATGCTAAAAACTCTCAATAAACTAGGTATTGATGGAACATATCTCAAAATAATAAGAGCTATTTATGATAAACCCACAGCCAATATAATACTGAATGGGCAAAAACTGGAAGCATTCTCTATGAAAACCAGGACAAGACAGGGATGCCCTCTCTCACCACTCCTATTCAACATAGTGTTGGAATTTCTGGCCAGGGCAATCAGGCCAGAGAAGGAAATAAAGGGTATTCAGTTAGGAAATGAAGAAGTCAAATTTTCCCTGTTTGCAGATGATGATTGTATATTTAGAACACCCCATCGTCTCAGCCCAAAATCTCCTTAAGCTGATAAGCAACTTCAGCAATGTCTCAAGATAGAAAATCCAGGTGCAAAAATCACAAGCAGTCCTATACACCATTAATAGACAAACAGAGAGCCAAATCATGAGTGAACTCCCATTCACAATTGCTTCAAAGAGAATAAAATACCTAGAAATACAACTTACAACAGATGTGAAGGACCTCTTCAAGGAGAACTGCAAACCACTGCTTAAGGAAATAGAAGAGGACACAAAAAAATGGAAGAATATTCCATGCTCATGGATAGGAAGAATCAATATCGTGAAAACGGCCATACTGCCCAAAGTAATTTATAGATTCAATGCCATCCCCATCAAGCTACCAATGACTTTCTTCACAGAATTGCAAAAACTACTTTAAAGTTCATATAGAACCACAAAAGAACCCACATTGCCAAGACAATCCTAAGCCAAAAGAACAAAGCTGGAGGCATCATGCTACCTGACTTCAAACTATACTACAAGGCTACAGTAACCAAAACAACATGGTACTTGTACCAAAACAGATATATAGACCAATGGAACAGAACAGAGGCTTCAGAAATAACACCACACATCTACAACCATCTGATCCTTGACAAGCCTGACAAAAACAAGCAATGGGGAAAGGATTCCCTATTTAATAAATGGTGCTGGGAAAACTGGCTAGCCATATGTAGAAAGCTGAAACTGGATCCCTTCCTTACACCTTATACAAAAATTAATTCAAGATGGATTAAAGACTTAAACATTAGACCTAAAACCATAAAAACCCTAGAAGAAAACCTAGGCATTACCATTCAGGACATAGGCATGGGCAAGGACTTCATGACTAAAACACCAAAAGCAATGGCAACAAAAGCCAAAATTGACAAATGGGATCTAATTAAACTAAAGAGCTTCTGCACAGCAAAAGAAACTACCATCAGAGTGAACAGGCAACCTATAGAATGGGAGAAAATTTTTGCAATCTAACCCATCTGACAAAGGGCTAATATCCAGAATCCACAAAAAACTCAAACAAATTTACAAGAAAAAAACAACCCCATCAAAAAGTGGGCAAAGGAAATGAACAGACACTTCTCAAAAGAAGACATTTATGCAGCCAACAGACACATAAAAAAATGTTCATCATCACTGGTCATCAGAGAAATGCAAATCAAAACCACAATGAGATACCATCTCACACCAGTTAGAATGGCAATCATTAAAAAGTCAGGAAACAACAGATGCTGGAGAGGATGTGGAGAAATAGGAATGCTTTTACACTGTTGGTGGGAGTGTAAATTAGTTCAACCATTGTGGAAGACAGTGTGGCGATTCCTCAAGGATCTAGAACTAGAAATACCCTTTGACCCAGCCATCCCATTACTTGGTATATACCCAAAGGATTATAAATCATGCTACTATAAAGACACATGCACAAGTATGTTTATTGCGGCACTATTCACAATAGCAAAGACAAGGAACCAACCCAAATGCCCATCAATGACAGACTGAATTAAGAAAATGTGGCACATATACACCATGGAATACTATGCAGCAATAAAAAAGGATGAGTTCATGTCCCTTGCAGGGACATGGATGAAGCTGGAAACCATCATTCTCAGCAAACTATCACAAGGAAAGAATACCAAACACCATGTGTTCTCACTCATAGGTGGGAACTGAACAATGAGATCACTTGGACATAGGGCGGGGAACATCACACACTGGGGCCTGTCGGGGGGTGGGTTCTGGGGGAGGGATAGCATTAGGAGAAATACCTAATGTAAATGATGAGTTGATGGGTGCAGCAAACCAACATGGCCCATATATACCTATGTATCAAACCTGCACGTTGTACACATGTACCCTAGAACTTAAAGTATAATAATAATAATAAAAGAAAGCAATGGTTCATAATTTTTTAAAAAAAGAATCTAGCAATTCCAAGAAAAGTAGCTATCCAATTTAAGAAATAATGATATTCTCTCAATCATGCAACTGCATCCAGTCATTACAAGGCCAGACACACCACAGACAGCACTGGCTGACTACTAAAGGTTTCTCTCACCCCCTCCAGATGCATAGAGGGCTGTGCAGCTCTCCAGTAAGAACTTGGGTAGAAGAGAACTTACATGCTAAAAACAGTGAAATAGTGTTTTATTCTTTCTGGCCAAACCCTCAGAGGAAGAAGGAACTATGAGAGGAATTGTGCCTGTATGAGGTAGGGGAAGTAGCGGGCAGACCTCTGTAATGCACCTTTTGTCCAAAGACAAGAATACTTTGCAGAAGTGTAAAGTCCAGCAGAACCTGCATGGTTGATTCCTCACTGGCTTTGCTTCCTGACAGAAGGAGGAGGGACGGAGAGAAAAAGAGAGAGAGAGAGAGAGAGAGAGAGAGAGAGAGAGAGACTGACCAACCCAGGAACTCTTTCTCAGGTTCATTGTTGTGCATTCTCGCAGCCTGCCAAAAATACAAAGGCTTTTGTTCACAGTAAGAATACTAACAATTCCCATTACTCAAAATACTGTTTCAAGTGGGAAAAAAGGTTTTTTCTATATTCCCTTTTAACCTTTAGGCTTCATGCTTTCTATGCATTCCCAGATACATTTAGCTGATGACAAATATGTAGGCACATAACATTGGAATAGCAACAAGTATGCCGGCAGTTGATTATTTTGCTCAAAATCTAAAATTTAGATAACACTTCATACACAATTAAACTATTGAAGTGAAACAGACTGGGGAAGGAAAAAGGGCTCTACCAAGAATAGTTGAATATTGTTCATGAAGGATTCTGTTGCTACATGAAACAACTTTTCTTGTAATTGCTATTACCAGAAAACATTAGTCACTTTCTTTCTGAGCAAAGACAGTGAAGCAAACAAAGGCAAAATGCATTTTATAGTCATATACTGAATTCATTCCAAAATAGACATAAATTTACTTAAAGACAGCATAATTAAGTTCATGCTGATTATTGTGTTTAAATTTAAAGGGAGAATATACAAAATATGTGCAAAAATATGTAATCATATTAGTTGTGCTATATTGTACATCTAGCTGAGTTAAAACAATAAACTCTTTACCATATAGTGAAAGCTATTTCAAATGGGGTGAACTTTAGATTATGCTGCTGTGAGAACACAAAATGTCTGCCTAGAAAAAAACATCAGCTTTTATCAAATGATATAAATGACTCATTTCATGCTTCACTGCTCATTGAAAATCACATCCACCAACCTCTTTCCTTCGGTCTCTAACTTTCAGAGTACCCACTGAATACTCTGAAATGTATTGTCTTGCTCTTGAAACTAACTTTCTGGGACACAATGCTGATTTATCCATAGGTTTGTTGACCACCTGGTGTTTCATGTTAGTCCCACACTAGGGATGGGAACAGTGTCTTGGCTGTCACTCTCAGCTCCTGTTGCCTTTACTGTTGCAAAATTACCTGACTAATGCATTATTCACAAACTATCCACCACTTTCAGCATTTATGATATTTTGCCATTCTTAGAAACACCAGACTCTTTCCATGAATGCAAGTGCCTTTTCATGATTTCTTGACTCATTTTGATCTCCCTCCTAGTCAACAACCGTTAAAATAAATTCTTGAACTGAATTTGTGTAATTTCTGTAGAGTTGTGGTTCTCAGCCAGCTATAATTTTGCCCCCAAGGGGAATTTATTTGGCAAAATCTGGAGACATCTTGATGTCTTTAGAGGAGAAGAAGGAAGTGCTACTGGCATCTGGTAGATGGACCCCAGGGATGCTGCTAATGTACAGGATATACAATGCACAGGGCAGCTCCCTCAAGAAAGAATTATTAGGCTCAAAATTTCCATAGTGTCAAGGTTGTGAACATGGTGGGGGTGGGGGAAGCAATAATGTTTCTGTTCAAAGTGATCAAAATAAGACAAGTCATTCGTCCAACAGTCCAACATACAACCAAGACTCACCACAAAAGCTCCTGATTGCCCGTTGGGAGCAAGATACTCCTGGAAATTACAATGGTGCAAAAGTTTTCTCTGTATCTATTAGAAATGAGAAAGGATGAACAAGCAGACATGTTGCTATGGAGAAAAATGGAAATAATGCAATGAGATGAAAATCAGTTGTGATATATAAGACTGCAAAGAAGCAAAGTGACAATAGCAAAATTAAACATTTACATTGAAAGTAAGAGATTTGGCAGGATGAATCAAAGCAAAATCTTGGCTAATGAAGTCAAACGAGATGCTTCTGAAGAATATGGAGGAAAAGGACAAAGATATTTAAATAATGACAGGGATGAAAAAAATAAAAGTCAGAGAACATAAATCTCACATGAGAATTACAGGCACACTGAAAGAAAAAGTCATTATAGTTGGAACCAAGTAATATGTAATGACATGAGTTCAGAATAGCAGACAAAATAATGAAAAGAGACTCATATCAGGACATCTCCTATAATACTGTTGAATCATAAGGATATAGGAGAAAAATCCTACAAACTCTACACAAAAAAAATAGCATTTCCTCTCTATTGCTACATATCTGAAAACTGTGAAGCACACTTACTGAATTTTGAAGACAAAATGTCTTTGTCTTTTGATGAAATAATTTGAATCCCAACTAATTTATTATTCACATGTATAAAGAAAACAAAAAGTCATTCTCTTATTTGCAAGGTCAAAGAATAGAAACCACTCACATGTCCTTATTTCTTAAAAGTGACTTGAAGTTACTCTCCAGCTAGCTAAGATAGGAATAAAAAATAAGAACTCAGTACAGAAATTATTTTTAATAAGACTAGTTAATTCCAAATTATTTATGCAATAATGGTAACAAAAACTAAATTCAAATGTTAAAATAATTTCTGAAAGAGAAGATATATAAGATAAAAACAGTAATTTTTACATGATCATTTTGAAGAAAAAACTTCAAGATATTAATAAAAGTTGGAACAATGAGGGTAATGAGAAGTTGGGATAAGTAAAAGCACACTAAATTCCTTATCTTACAAGACAAGAAAGAATTTGAATATATGTCCTTCATTTCTACAATACTAAAGATGTAGAATAAATGCATTTTCTAAAGATTTCCAAGGTAATTGGTGGCAGAATTAAAAGTGGATAACATTTTAAATCTCTGAACATGATTTTAACAGCAAAAAAACCCCAAAAGTTAGAATTTAACACATATATATAAAAAGTTGACTTTTACAATTATTAAAAATAAATATAATTTCTTCAGTGAAGATTAAGAATGTATTGAACAAAAAAAGTAATACTCAACAATAAGTAACTTAAAGGAGACATTGTAAAATTAAAGATATTTATAAATACCAGTTTGAACTTATAAAATGGATTGTTTTAAAGATTGATATAAATATTAGATAAATTATTAAAATTAATATTAGAGTTGAGAAAGGAACCCTCATAATTTTGTAAAATATTTCTGGAAATACCAGCATGCATTAAGAGCTTGATATGGGTTCATAGCCTGTGACCAGCTAAATTGAATTCCTGAGAATTATCCTAAAAATATGACCTGGAATGTAGACACATGGAAATATCTAATTAGTTTTATTATAATCTTTGAATTATAAAAACTTTAGATATTTTGTAATGTTCGATTATTAAAAGGAGATAGTTCAAATGAACCATCAATGTCCACATAACAAAATATTATTCAACCATTAAAATTATGATTGTTAAAATTATTTAATAGCACAGGTGCAAAATATGTAATAATTAAAAATAGAAGATAAAATTGTAATGTTATCTTACTTTAAACAAATGCATATAGATACACTTAAATTTTGGGAAATTTACCAAGATAGCAACATAAATCACCAAAATAATGTTTACTCAATTTTTAGTCACCAAGGATTAAATCTATATTATATTTTATTATTACTATAGTATTAAATCTCTATTGAGTATTAGCTAAGCAAGAATGAGTACTATTGATGCCAGGAGACTGTGTTTCTGGACTAGTATTTGTACCTTTTAGTTTTTTACAACCATAAGTTGCCAGAAAGCAGAGCATGAGTTCAGTTATTTTTAATGGCAATAAAGTTTTCTGGCTGAAGTATGTTCATCTGGTCATTACCTCTCCCCAAACATTGAAGACCTTTTGCTAAAGCCTAAAATGATAAAAATGGTGCACTTTCCAACTCCTGAGGCCACCAACAGAACCTACTGAAATTCCACCATATGGATTATAAATTTCAAATTATCTTTTCTTAAAAATGATATTTTATATGGATCTTTCTCAACTACTGTCTCAAGAGTTGAAGAGGAACGCAGAGCAAGCTATATAGACTATAACTATATATATAACATAGAGCAAGCTATATAGACTATAAACTATGCTCAATCTTGAAAATAATTAGCATAAATATATAATATACATTTTTCTTTTTATACAATTGCTCTTCAGTAGCTTTAGAGAGTTATTGCTAGCAAAGCAAGCTTTTTTTTTTTTTAAACCTTCCTGTTGGGCTTCTTTTTCTAGCATGTTGAAGTCTACACAAATAAAAGACTCCAGTGTCTACAAAAGTAGGTGGTAAAATGAACAGTATGGTATTGAATAATGAAGTGAAACACCTGAATCCATTCAGGTCATAATTTTGCTTCTATCTCTTGCTGGCTGTGTGGCTTTAAGCGAGTTAGTTAGCCCTCTGTAAAATGAGGATAACAATATTGACATTAAGATTGCTTGGAGAACTAACTGGGATAATGTTAAAATATCTGTCACCTGAAAGTTACATGCGGTACACAAGCTACCATTACAATGCTAAGGGGAACAAAGAATATGCTTTTTAAAAACTGACAGTTAAAAGACTTGGGAAGAAGCTCAAACTGTAGAAAATATTATTTCTTTAAATCTAAATTAAAAGGTAAGAAGCAATTCTTACCCCTCCATTTAGAAGTAATGACACTAATATTTCTTATGATAAAGCAATCTGGCATTGTGAGAGATGACTCCAATTAAATGGGGAGTTGGGGAGTGGGGAATTGGAGGGAGAGCTGGGGAATGGGAGGAAGAGCCCTCAGGTGATAACTGAGAAAGAAACTACAGGAGTGAGTAGAGCCGGTAAATTCTCATATCACTGAGCTCAGTGAGTCACACTTCTGTTCTTGAATGAACTGAGAACTAAAGTACCCCCTCAGAGAAGGAACAGAAGTTGCTGAAAAGTCAACAATGGACACATATTTTGAAGCAAGGGAAAAAGTAGAAGCTGGCTGGAGTTACTAGAGGCTGTATTGGTAAGGAAGTCTAAATGCTATAACAATAACTAAACTCTGTCATTTACAAAATACAGGTTTATTTCTGCACTGTAGTCCACTGTGGGTGAACACTGAGGTAAAGAGGGGGAAAGCTCTGATCCAAGCAGTCATTTACAGACCCAGAGTCCTTATATCCTGAGACTATGATTCTCTAGTTTACCATTGCATCTTCTGTGAACGTCTGGCTAGTTCAGGTAAGGAAGAATGTGAAGGATCTCATAGGAATGAAAGAGAGGAGAAAAGGGGTGTGGGGTAGATGAACATCGAACATGTAACATTGTCACTTCCACAAAGGCAGATGCAAAAATGATGAGCTTGCCATCAGGTACTTGGACGTGTATCAGAAGAAGCCATCCACTTAGAATAGCATGTAGAGAAACCAAAGTCAGATAAGGAAAAGGCAAACCTTAAAACTGGCTTCTGGCTGTTGCAAATCAAAGGAGTCAACCTATGCCAGGGACAGGGGCCCAGCGACTTCTAGCACTAGAAACTATCAAAAATTAGAAAGAAAGCAATACTAGGTTGTTGCAGATCAGCCTGAAACTCAGGGAGAAAAACAGGGAAAACAATGCAGGGTTGGGTTCTTCATGGGGGAAATGAAAAAAGAGAGACAGAGATAGCCAGGACATGCAACAGAGGGGGCTGTGGGCAGACACCACAGTCTCAGGCCCCAGAAAGAATTCTAGGAAATCAGCTAAGGAGGAACCTTTCAGAGCCATGAATTCTTTACAGGTTTCAGGAAGGTGACTCTGAAAGGCACCCCCAACACATGTAGTCATGCAAACACACACACACGGGGAGGACGTGGTCCCAACACGGGATCTACCTTGGTCTCAGGACTGAGGAACCTAGACCAGGATAAACCTGATGTGATCAAGTGAATTGATTTTGAAAGCAAAGACTCTGAATGGTATCATCAGTGATATGTCTACACTCTGTTTCTATCGTTTCAAAATTCTCTATAATGGGCATATAGGTGATTTCAATGCCTTTAAAAATGTCACTAATGTATGGAATTGGTTACATGATCTAAGAAAGGAAACCAAGTGACCTAGAGAAGAGGACAAATATAATCTTTTTAGGTTCCTTTACATTTCAGTAAGATCTTGAAGCAATTTTAGAATTTGTGAGCTATTCTAAGCTCTCACCAGTGTTTGTCATTTTGACCAACCCTGTTGGTTTCCCTGGTGTGACCAGCAGTAAAAACACTTACCAAAACAGCTTTTTGTTTGTTTGTTTTGCATATTTCTGAAACAGCAGGGAGTTCATTTTTGTAGCAAGGTTGGATGGAAAAGAAAGTTCAGAAAGTAAAACAAGATAATGGCATGAGAAGAGTGGCCAGTCAGGCAGCAGCCTGGGAGGAGTGGAGAGGGAGCCACAGCCCTATGTATTCCCCCAAATAGCCACACACAAAAGATTTTGGCTCAAAGAATGAACTGAGCAACCCAACCCTGACCCTTCTTTCTTCTCCTAAGATCACCAACACCATCTGTACCCATGTGTTCTATGTCAGCAAAAAGGACAGGAGAGGGGTGGCATTGAAAATAAAGGACACTGTGGATTGATTAAGGCAGTTTGAGGAATGTAAACTGGTAAATTATCTCCAGAACCATTAGACAGGATATCCCCTTTAGCCTACTAGTGTCACCACTTATAATTCGACTAAATGAATTAATCAAAAAAATGAGAAAATGTAAATATGAAGTGTTTTGGTTTTTTTTGCTATATTAGGCATATATATTTCTTTTTTCAGTAACCCATTTTTCTGGGAGCCACTCCTCACATTTGTATACTTTCCATGAGAGCAATCCTTTTGTAGATGTGGACCTACTTCTACCCCCTACTGCCAAGGGTGGGGACCTCGCCCTGCCCAGATTCCAGCTCCTATCTGTATGAGTTGGTCCAGAAATGAGCACCTGATTTCACAATGGCCCTCTTCATCCCCCCTTGCTGGATGTTTAGAACTAGAACCAAGCAAGAGGTGGTTAAAACTACAATGAGTAAAATTCTAGGATTTGTGGATAGCCAAGATTCCCGTCATTTGGTCTGAGAAGAAAATAACAGGGAATCTAGCTGAAGCAGGAGAGGAAAATTAAACAGATGCACAGAAAGAGGCAGATCAGGTGAATGGGAAAAGAAGCCTTCAAATTTCTGCAGTGGTTCTAATGCTCAGCCCCACCCTTACCCTTTTTTAAGGCTTGGTTACAGAAAGCCTTCTGAATTCTGTGAATTGGCTCAATATCCATCTCACAAGGTCGACCGATTTTAAAAAGAATTCCTGTTGATCACAAGAAACAGAACCCAAATTAATAAGCTAGATTTGTTTTGCAAGGGAAATGCATTAAAAACAACTAAAATAGATGTCAGTGGGAGAACTGTTAAGTAAAATGTGTTTTTTATAATTATGCTTCTATTACAATCATCATGAAAATAACACAGCAACATAGCTCATAACTATGAGCTCATAGCTAACACTTATATGAGAAAATCAGAACATAAAACTATATGAACATTCTCATTGCAACCATGAAAAAGCCTGTGTATCCCTAAATATTAGAAAAGAGGATGGAATAATTAAAATTTGGGATAATGTTGTTAAAATAATATTTCAGCAATCAAGATTAAGCATAATGAAAAATTAAGCAATTATATATAGTCTAATTATTATTAATCAGTTAACCAAAGTTTCAGGGATACTAGTAGAAAGAACATGTGCAATTCAAGTGGAAAACCAGACCACAGCACAATGGAAAACAATGTCCACATCTGTCCCACTATTAGCTAAGGCATGTTTGTCCAACCCGTGACCCACGGGCCACATGTGGCCCAGGACAGCTTTGAATGCAGCCCAACACAAATTCATAAACTTTCTTAAAACATTAAGATATATTTTTGGTATTCTTTTTAGCCTATCAGCTATCATTAGTGTTAGTGTATTTTATGCATGGCCCAAGACAGTTCTTTTCCTTCCAGTGTGGTCCAGGGAAGCCGAAAGATTGGACACCCCTGGGCTAAAGCATCCTAGCATATTCTGACCACTTTCAAATGCTTTCCTGTAGTCTGTCCCCCTAAGAATGTGAGAAGTGCCTGATACTTGTGGATTCCTGGCGGAAGTATTGAGTTTTATTAAAGTCAGAGAGGAAATGGCCTCAGTCTCACTGATTTGCAAGCAGGCAAGGCCAAAAAGCCATGATTCCCACCTCCAGCCCCAACTCCTATCACAACCTGAATAAGTGAAAGCATGCTGCTTCTGTGTAGGAATTAATTATCAGTGCCCACATCACAGCCAAAGGAGAAAAAACAAAGGTTTAAAATGTTGTATCCTCTAATAAGAAAAAAAGAACTCTCAATCCAGTCTAATTGAGAGTTCTTTTTTCTTATTAGAGGATACAACATTTTAAACCCTTATTTTTTCTCCTTTGGCTGTGAATATATACACCATGGAATACTATGCAGCCATAAAAAATGATGAGTTCATGTCCTTTGTAGGGACATGGATGAAGCTGGAAACCATCCTTCTCAGCAAACTATCGCAAGGACAAAAAACCAAACACTGCATGTTCTCAATCGTAGGTGGGAATTGAACAATGAGAACACTTGAACACAGGAAGGGGAACATCACACATCGAGGCCTGTTGTGGGGTGGGGGGATGAATAGCACTAGGAGATATACCTAATGTAAATGACGAGTTAATGGGTGCAACACACCAACATGGCACATGTATACATATGTAACAAACCTGCACGTTGTGCACATGTACCCTAGAACTTAAAGTATAATAAAAATACATATATATATAAAAAATAAAAAAATAAAATAAATAAAAATATGAAATAAAAAAAGAAAGAACTCTCTTAGTATTTTGGTTTGTTTTCTGAAATCCACTGAATTATCATTTCTAATGTCCATGCACACCTTAATATACCACTGTGAAAATAAAGGAAATGCCTTGCAAACATTATCCCACATAATTCTCAAGCAGTCCACTGATACAGGCATCCTTACCCCCATTTTACAGATGATGATGAAGTACCTAGTTGAAGGTCACATAGCTTCTAAGTGGAGAACCAGAATTCATAACCCAAACTTCTCTCACTGCAAAGTTGATCTATTTCTGCTAAAGTCTGACATAGCACATATTTGATTAATGATGATGATGATAATGATGATGATGATGATAATGATGATGATGATAGCAAGTTTTCCCGTAAAATTGGGATTAAACTCCATTCTGTGTAATTTTTAAGAAGCAGCTGTTCGGAGGGGCTGATGATGTCTGCTTGCCACAGAGAGGCAGTGCTTATTCAAGTCTCAGTGCCCAGAGCTGACTGAGGACAGGGTGTCTCAGAAACAGGAAGAGCCTAGTCACTATGAATATAAGCAGAGGCTGCAGCTCTCCTAAGCTGGAAGATTGAAGGGTTGGGATAATAAACGACTTTCGAAGCTCCATTTAAACCTGAGCTTGTTTGACCCTGTGATTCTGGGATTCTTTGATAATAATGGGGCAATTTTTTTTTTCTTTTTTCAGCAAGTCACTTGATTCTCTTTCTTCTGTTCTACCCAGATAGGACACCACCCAGCACTCCGCTCCCCAGGTGCTTAGGTGGGGAGCCAGGTGGAATGCTGAGCAGAGGAGACACCAAAGTCCCTATCCCTATTTTCACCATGATAGCTTTGCTTTTCTCTGTTTTTCATATTGGACCTCTGTGTAGGATTATTTTTAGAGAAAACTTTTCACTGCTTAAAAAATATTTTAAGTAGAAACAGTTTTTGAAAACACTGAACTATATGATCTCTACACTTTTTAAAAGGAAAATTCCCCCACTTCCAATAACATTTGCCTAGGTGATAACAAAATTGAATGCTTTGTTTCAACAAACTGAAGCTATTAAACAACCATGAACTTTGAGCCATCTGCCAGCCAAAGCTGATAACTGGTCAAGAACTCTGAATGCCCCAGTGTGCCAATATGCCTCCTGGACCCAACTGAAGAGTTTTTCCTAACCAGTGTGCAATGGAACTTATCTAATCCATCATGTGTAAATTCTGAACTCATTCTGTCCTATCCAGAGTACAAACTTTCCATCATTTTCTAGCACATAAACAGCCTGATTTTTTATCACTCAGTGAAAAGTTCAGTGGGTTCTGTTTCCTTCCTCGGCAAGCATATAAATTCAGCAAAAACTTTGTTATCACTGAAGTGGCCATAGCTTTCCTTTGCCAGTCTTCTTTTAATTGGTATCCTGGGAAATTCTTGTACATACTGTGGAAGCAACTTCCAGGTTTTGCACTGCTCTTTCCTGGGCCATGTGTGCAGGAGGAGTCCACCCTCAATTGGAAGGCTCTCAAAGGACAATGAACACTCACAGGTGTAGCAATGTAAGGCACATATTACTATCATGGCTGTTCTTGCAGCCTATAGATAGGATTACTTACTGAGAATTTTTTACTTTTGAATTGACTTGCTAATACAAAACCAACTAAGGAATAGAAGTGGTACTTTATTTAAGATATATGGCTAGTTTGAATTAGATTTTTAATCCAATTTTTACAATGTTCCTCTGAAAATAAATTCTTATTGAAGTTTCCTCTTTAGAAGATAAGCAGGTTTAGTAGAAAAACTGTAACAAGTTTTGAAGATTAGAAAGACCTTGCTGCTTCTCATCTCATCTCCCCCACCCCACATTTGCCAAGGTCAGACAGCTCTCTTGCCTTCATAAAAGTCAGACTGGTTCCTTTCTGTGGATTCAAATACTTTCATATGTTCTTTTTTTTTTTTTTTTTTGAGCTTGGACTCCATTAGTGGGAATTCAATAATCTGCCCTCCTTTCCACTCTGGCTATCTTCGGATCCTTTTTGTTAAACTCTTGGGCACCTACATGAGAAGAACAACCTCCACAGGAAGAGAAAGAAAACTTGTTGGTGGCAAGTAGGTCCCAGATTCTATTAATAGTGGCCAGGGGCAACTTCTGTGGATTAGTTAATGAGGAGACAATATAATGTACCAACAGTGAAATCCAGGAAATTGTTAAAGGAATCATCCCTGTAAAATGCTTTTGACTTGCTGAATGCTTGAAATTTTGTGTATAGTATTTTAGAAAAGAAATAAGTACTTGTTCTATTGCTTAATTGATAGAAACTCCAAACTGCAGATCCACCTCAGAAATAAGAATTAGGGAAGGATAGACCTACAAAAATGAACCTATGGGTTCTCACTTCCATCTAACTGCAATAAAGCTCATTCTTAGGTGTGTTGAATGATGAGGACAATCCATCTCCTCTCCAGCCACACAGTCCATTTGGCACAGTGGAAGATAAAGTGCCAGCTAGAGGCAGAACTGTGGTATTCCTCTGACCACCCTGCCCTGTACCATTTCCTCCCAGCAGGGACTCGGTGCTCTCCAGTTTCTTAAAATTTCCCCTCTAACAAAAAGTTTAAAGTTCCACACTCCATATTCTTAGAGTATCTGGTGTTTGTATCTTATATCCTTCACTTTTTATTTACATAACTAAAAGTGCTTTAGCAGCCCAACAAGTGGGTGCTAAAGATCTGTGCATCAGTGTGTTGAGCATGGGGAAGATTTTCCATAGACTTGATACCCACAAAAGCCTAAGCTGCCATAGAGCAAAGAAAGTTATAGGTCAGACCTGGAGGGCCCTTAGAGATTATACAATCCAACTGCCTAGTGTGTGCAACCCTCCAGAATAAACTTGAGCTATGAAAACCATGATAATATCCAAACTCTTTTGTGCATTGTACATTGAAGTCATAGAGTGCGAATCTGATGAACTGTCTCTTTCTCACAACCTGTTCTAGTGAGATGTGGAGTTCCACTGGGTCCTGGAGGCACTATTTAGATTATTTTCAAATAAATTATTACAGAATATAATGTTAAATATCAAAATTATCCTACATAAGGCATTGCTCCTATAAAATGAAAAAAATAAAAACAAAAATAACTTTTTGAAGAGTGTTTACTTTAGATAGGGGTTACTTTGCTGGAGAATACTTTTAACTTCTTGGAAACCTCTTGCATAATATGTGTATCAAGCTGGTTTAAAATCAGCTTAGAAAATTTTTTTTATTATACTTTAAGTTTTATGGTACATGTGCACAATGTGCAGGTTACATATGTATACATGTACCATGTTGGTGTGCTGCATGCATGAACTCTTCATGTAACATTAGGTATATTGCCTAATGCTATCCCTCCCCCCTCCCCCCACCCCACAACAGGCCCCAGTGTGTGATGTTCCCCTTCCTGTGTCCATGTGTTCTCATTGTTCAATTCCCACCTATGAATGAAAACATGTGGTGTTTGGTTTTTTGTTCTTGCGATAGTTTGCTGAGAATGATGGTTTCCAGCGTCATCTATGTCCTTACGAAGGACATGAACTCATCATTTTTTATGGCTGCATAGTATTCCACGGTGTATATGTGCGACATTTTCTTAATCCAGTCTATCATTGTTGGACATTTGGGTTGGTTCCAAGTCTTTGCTATCGTTGGAAAAGGGCAGTATTAGGGTGGGAGTGACCCGATTTTCCAGGTGCCGTCTGTCACCCCTTTCCTTGGCTAGGAAAGGGAATTCCCTGACCCCTTGTACTTCCCGGGTGAGTCGATGCCTCGCCCTGCTTTGGCTCACGCTCGGTGTGCTGCACCCACTGTCCTGCACCCACTGTCCGACCATCCCCAGTGAGATGAACCTGGTACCTCCGTTGGAAATGCAGAAATCATTTGTCTTCTGCGTTGCTAACACTGGGAACTGTAGACTGGACCAGAAAATGTTGCATCCAGGTGTTGATTCTTCCTTCCTTTAAGAAAAGTCTTAGGTCTTTTTGATTTATGGAAGATTTCATGCAAGATCCACTGAAGATTTACTTGAGTAGTAGGAAGAAGTTAATAGAAGACATACAGACCATTAAGCAGCTCCAAATAAGGTAGAAACTTACTCTACTGATGGTTTGACATTTGAAAGCCACAGCAGCAGTGGCTACACTAGCTTCATTCTGGAAGATATGGGCAGGGCTCATAAATCAGAGGGAAAAGTAACTATTCTTTGGTGTTTTTTGTTTCTTAACAGAGACCATAACATTTCTGTCTGCAACCCAGATATTGGAGTGGCTTGTTCACTCATCCATCCAGAAAGGTTAAGTAACTTGTCTGAGCTTACACAATAGGTGGCAGATTCAGGAGTATAACTTAGTCTGGCTCCAGAGTCTATGCTCAATTGCTCTGCTTCCTGCAAATGTGGTTTTAAAGTAAAAGCCCCTGACTCTGGGCAGAGTAGATTCAGAACATCCAGCCAAATTTTAATTTCTTACTCCCAGACAGTAGATGAATCTCTGTGACTGGATCAAGATGCCTTGCTCTTTTCTTTTTTTTGGGAAGAGATTCCTCCTTGGAATCCATCAGTCCCTCAATTAAACAATTTTGTGAAATTGGCTGTCCCTCCCATTATTCATGAATACCCAGACATGACAGAACTCCAACCTAAACTGAATATGAAAAATGCAGAGGAAACCTTGAAAACATAAGACCAAAGGGAAGAATCCTGTGTTTGAAGCAGTAACATGAGGGAGTTTGGGGCAGCTTAATGCAAATTGCTGAGTTATATATATTTTTGATTCCCTGATGACTCCAGACATCCCCCCAAAACAAAGTAGATAAGATGCCACACTTAGCTGTGTGATCTTGAATGTGTAATCCTTTTTATGCTTTCACTGCCTCATCTGTGAATTGGCCTCATGGGGTGGTTGTGAGGATTTAAAATGCCTATACCCCTTAAACATTTCAGATCACTTTGTTTTCTGTCACAATAAGTTCCATCCTTTCTACTAGGGAGGAGCCTACAAGAGATGTTATAGGTCTGAGAAAATATCACCGGCTGGGTGTGGTGGCTCATGCCTGTAATCTTAGCACTTTGGGAGGCCGAGGTGGGCAGATTACAAGGTCAAGAGATTGAGACCATCCTGGCCAACATGGTGAAAACCCGTCTCTACTGAAAATACAAAAATTAGCTGGGCGTGGTGGTGCATGCCTGTAGTCCCAGCTACTTGGGAGGCTGAGGCAGGAGAATCACTTGGACCTGGGAGGCAGAGGTTGCAGTGAGTAGAGATCATGCCACTGCACTCCAGCCTGGTGACAAAGCAAGACTCCATCTCAGAAAAAAAAAAAAAAAAAAAAAAAAAAAAAAAGGAAATATCACCATAATCATTTAAGGAGTAAACCTAGCCCTTCTGATACCCTGTCTGTTTACCCCTAAAGTTATGTCTCCAAGTGAAGAATGTCTTCTAGGTTATTAGCAACATTCATCCATCATCCACCCATCCATCCATCCATCCATTTATTCATATATATATATATGCATTTGTTCACCTGTTTGACAAACATCCAAGCATCTACCATACTCTGGGTAGATTTAGTAGCAGATGTAATTACTGTCTTCTTTTCTCTGGTAGAGAAGCCTCTGGATAAACTTAGCTGGGCCAATTTCTACCGTGGCCATTAAATACCAATTTGATGTTGAGAAATGTTAAAATGAAAATATTGTCTTTCTCCCAGGATTACTGTAAAAATGAAACAACATAAAATACCCCCAACACAGGGCCTGGCTCATTAGAGGCACAAAATTCTACTTAGTAATATTCTCCCTTCAGTGGTTCAGGGCATTCTTCATGGCCACCAACATGTTTTCCAAAAGTTTCACTTTTATTCTGCCTCTGATTTATTAAGAAACTGTCTCTGTTTTCTCTATCTTCTTCAGTAGTTTTACTTCTAAAATAGGTTTAGTTTCCTGGCTGAGTAATTTCTTTACAGTTTTTCTACTGGTATCAGGGCCACTGCCGGCCTATACCATGTCTTTAAAAGAATACAAAGATATTACTCCCACATTCATACTGACACAGTCCCACATCAAGCCACTCACAATTTAGCCACAAGCTTGATCTCTCAGCTAGGAGCTCTTGATCAGTGTTCAAACTGCCTGGTATGGTCTGAAGTTTCTTGCAAATATTCCTGTTTATTTAGCCATTCCATCAAAATTTATCAAACTGGCCTAGCACAATCTAGTTGCTGGGATGTAGAAATGAATGGTATAGAGTCCTAGCCTTCAAAGACATTTTAATGGTAGGTGTTATGTGATATTTGTTTACTTATCCAATACTCATGTAATCATTACACAAGGTGATACCAGAATGCAGAGGGGGGACGGGCTATCAGCTGAAGGAGAGGGAGGTTTTTTAAGAAAGGCTTCCCAAGGCCAGTGATCTTTAGGCTGAGGCAGGAGTAAAGCGTTGGAGCTCTTCAAGCAGGGAATTGGGAGAATGTCTTGGAGATCCTCAATCAGACATAAGCCCAGTTGGTTTTGTGTAGCCAGAGCCTGATGTGCCTAAAGAAGACTAAAGAAAAGCAATGCAAATAAGTATAAAGGGACCACTTGTGGAGCCCTGGTGCCTCCTCTGTCATGTATTGTATGAAGAGGCTGGGAATGGATTTTGGCAAGATGTGTAACACATTCATATTTGGATTTAGTAAAGATCACTCCACAGCTAGAAAATTACAAGAAGGTGGGGCACAACTGGAGACAGATAGGGCAATGATGGTCCTTTAACAATGGTCTTGATGATGAATGGCAAGAGTCTGAAACAAGACAGGGATCTTGGGGATGCGGAGGAAAAAAGAAATGTGTGTATATGATATCTAAAAGGTAGAAGCAACTGGATTTGGCTACTTACTGGATATGGGAACCGAGGTTCCAGTAATCATTTAGAATGACTTTCAGGTTTCTAGTTGAGATGACTAAATGAGTGATGGAAAATATGTGGGTTCTTGCTTTTAAATTTTGTTATGTTTAACATAAAGGAACATAAGCTCACTTGGAATGCCTGGGCCTGTGTGCGGGTATCCAAGGAGAGGTCTATACAAAGGTCTATGCTAAATTCAAGGAAGGCATCAGGGGCAGGTGGTCTCTGCATGGGTGGTTAGGTTAGATATAATGGGAAAGAGGTCTAAAACAGAACTGTATTAGTCTGTGTTGCTGTAAAGGAAAACCTGAGGCTGGGAAATTTATAAAGAAAAGAGGTTTATTTTGGCTCATGGTTCTGAAGGCTGTACAGGAAGCATGGCACTGGCATCTGCTCCTGGTGAGGCCTCAGGAAGCTTCCAGTTATGGCAGAAGGTGGAGGGGGAGCAGGCATATCACATGGCAAGAGAGGAAGTAAGAGAAAGATGTCAGGCTTTTTTAAACAACAAGCTTCTGTGTGAACTAACAGAGTGGGAACTCACTAGTTACCATAGGGAAGGCACCAAGCCATTCATGAAGGATCTGCACCCATGATCCGACACTTCCCACTACATTCTACCTTGAACATTGAGTATCACATTTCAACATAAGATTTGGATGGAACAAACATCCCAATTATATCAATAACCCTAAGAAAGACCACATTTAAGGGTGGACCCTAGGAAGAAGATATTGAAAGCAGAACTCAGTGAATAGTCTGAAAGGTAGGAAGAGATGACAAACTATGAAAAATGTCTTGTTCATCTAGCTACTACATATTTTGGAGGGAGTACATAGCATCATACAAACATTTAGTGGCAATTAGAAAACTGAAACATTGGCCCTAAATTTAAATAATCTAACCCATTTCATTTCCTTCCTATAGAAAAACTGACCTCTCAAAAGATATTCATAATTAGGTTACATGTTAAGAAAGGAACTTTTCACTTGTTTGCTTTAGCATTGTTGATTATAAAGGGTTAATTGCCCACAACATGTTATCTAACAATGTATAATGGTCTATGATAAATTCTGCCCATAGATGCTACTGTGAATTAATATTAATGACAAGAAAACTAACCATAGAATTATACAGCTGAAAGAGACCATTAAGATCATTCCAGCTGGGTGCAGTGGCTGATGCCTATAATCCCAGCACATTCGGAGTCTGAGGTGGAAGGATCACTTGAGGCTGGAAGTTCAAGACTAGCCTGGCCAACACAGTGAAACCCCATCTCTACCAAAAACACAAACACACACACAAAAATTAGCCAAGTGTGGTGGTGCATGCCTGTAGTCTCAGATACTCAGGAGCCTGAGGCACAAGAATTACTTGAACCTGGGAGGCAGAAGTTGCAGTGAGCCATACTCACATCACTGTACTCTAGCCTGAGCAACAAAAAGAAAAAAAAAAGATTATTCCAGACTGATGTCTTCAATGAGGTCCAGAGATCATATGAACTGTCAAAGTGGCCTTGAAAAGTCATAGTACCAGGACAGGAAAGCACTTCTGAATCTGAGCCATTATTTATTCCAACACCTAAACAACAGGTCGTATATTAAAAAGTCATCTACATGTTATGTCTGGAACACTGCTTTTCAAAGCAGGGACTATAGACTACCATTATGAAGGCTTGCTCATATTGCAGAATCCCAGGTCCCTCTCCAGACCTACTTAATTAAAATGTGCATTTAACAAGATCCCCTGGTCATTTATTTATATATTGAAGCTTGAGGACATTGCTAAAAATTCAGATTGCATTTTTTCCATAAAAATAGTGACTTATATTCAAAGATCAGTCAAAAATGGCCAGTTAAAATTATATAGAGATGCTAAGTACAGAAGATTGTTTTTCTCAAAATATGTGTTCCAGATACAGAGAGTGCAGAGGATGTGAGCTTCCCAGACAAGTTCCAAGACCAAAATCATTGTCCTCAACCCACCCTCCTGATCCCACAACAACTTCATTCTCTGTTGTCTTTGATAAGAGATGGAGATGAGAGAAATTTCTGGTAGGAGAGTTGCTAATGAAAAATAAGGCTTCAGAAAAAAAAGGAAATATTGGAGCCTCTAGAACTTTTTAGGGACAGGTGCTCCCTGACAATGGGCTAAATACACAGAACAAGGCTCTCTCATAATGACTGTTTCCACAGTGTGACAAAGGGTAGCAGCGGTATCAGGTGAAAGGGGAGATGTCTGCAGAATCTGTGCAGAAGCCAGGGTGAGGAATCTTAAGAAAGTAAAAGCCAGAGCTTTCAGCTGCTCAGAGATAAGCAATAGTTATGGCTTCTGTAGCTAGAGAGGAGCTCCTTAAGGGCTGATAAAGTCCTGGCGTGGACTGTAGACAGTGGAGTCATTCATATTTCTAACTCTTCTCTCCCAGCTACCTCCACTGTAACATCCAGTCATTTTACATATTATTATTTTATTTTCAATCTAAACTTATGTAGCAATGTGAGTGATCAAAATTTATCTAAAAATTAAGATTTTTCTTAAAATGACAACATGCTTATCACAGAACTTGCTCACAGTCATATGCAGAAGCTGTCATCTATATGTTATGTCTAGAACTTTGCTTTTCAAAGCAGGGACCATAGACTACCATTATGAAAGCTTGTTCAGTTTAGAAACATGTATAGTGGAGCCATTCCAAAAGTAAGACACCTTTAAAGCAGTTTTCTAGCTTTAGTATGCATAAAAATCACTAGCGATATTCTACTACCAATAACACTTCCCTGGCTTCTACCATGAAATATTTTGATTTTGTAACCTAGGAAAGCCCTAGAATTGAGATTTTTAGGGAATACCTACCCCACCTCACCCCACCAAAGTGGTTCTGACGTACTACACTTTAAGAAACTCCCATGTAAGAGATTTTGGGCAGAGTGTATCTCTTTTTTCTCCAGAGAAAAGACACCATGATTTAGCATTCTTGTAGAGGTGAGGTAGTTCCACAGTGATAAACACCTGGGTGGTGAGTTGCTGATAGGACATGAAATGCCCACCAATGAGAATCAGTCATGGATGATGAGACACCTAACCAGGCATGGAGGAAGGGGTTGAGTCTAAGAAAGGACATTACAAAAGTAGACATAAAAAGGTGTAGGTGTCCAAGGTCAACTTCACCCATACCCCATGGCTACCCCTGGCCAGGCTTGGAGGCAAGAATTGCTCTTTCTTGAAAATATGATTGCAGCAGGCAGCTGAAGGTTATAGTCTCTGTGAGTCACAAAGAAGGGTTTGTGTGTAGCAGATGTTCTGGATTTTAATTCCTGCAATTAAACTGAAAAGAAGCAAATTAACCTTTATCTATCCGTGCACAAATCATTTCTGATACACATTTGATATAGCATCTGGAATCTGTGGAATCCTGCTTGGTGCTTTATAATAATACTCAGTATGCCAGTGTCTGTCTCCTATAGTAGATAAGTCAGACAATCCCATTTACATCTGAGCAAAACTTATGTCATTTGTACGTATTTAAAATTTATGATAAGCTAAATATCTATTTAAAAATACACTCTCTGGCAATAAAGCTAATAATATATATATACTTCAAGTCAATAAATATGTGCTATGTGCAAAGCACTGTATTCTAGTCCCTTTCTTCTTTTGGGACCTTATAACATAGCAATGTAATTACAATAATTACATGGCAAAATATGGCAAGGGCTATGGGAGAGACACAGAATGCCACAAGAGGCAATGGAGAAAGAGCTCAGGAGAACTTCCTGAAGAAAGTTTCCTGAAGGGAGATTCCTCAAGGATGAGGTGGGGCTGGGGCCGGCATTTCAGACAGGGAACAAATACATACAGATGGTGAAATACAGGGCAATTTCAGAGGGCAGGGAGTGATATGCAACTTTTAAGGAAAGAATGAGAAAATGAAGCTGTAAATATGGATATAGTCCCAATGTTAAAGAATCTAAAATGCTAGGCTGGCCAGTAATTTCATACTTCCAGAAGCTTTGCTGAATGGAGGTGAAAAGGGCACAAGTGTAAGCTCTGCATTGAGAACATTGCTCAGGCAATAGTATGTAGAATGAAGAGTATGTATGTGGAGACTGGGAGCAGGGAGACTAATTAGGAGGTTATTTGCTCCAGTCCAAAGAGAGGTGATAAGGTTTTAATTAAGAAGGGAAGAGGTAATGGGAGTGATTGCATGAGACATTGGAGAAGTAACATCTGGGTATTAAGCCTTCAGTTTCTAAGTTGCATTGACATTTGTGATTAAATGGATTAATGTGGGGTTTACAACACACACACACACACACACACACACACACACACACAAGTTCAAAGTAAAGGAGGAAGTAGAATGAAGGAAAGAAGGAAGGCAAGATAAAGAAAATTTAATGCAGTAGATACCATTGTTGCCCTTAGCACTCACCTCCCCCTTTACTCTGCATGGATAGCTTCTTATTGCTGGTACCTGCCCTTATATGCCTGAGAGCTTCTTCTAGCTGGCACAAGTACCAGGGAGTTAATACTCTGTGGGTGGTCCCCCCAAAAATGACAGGTAGAACATGGTAAAGAAATACCCCAGAAAATGTGGTACAATATATACCATGGAATACCATGCAGCCATTAAAAAGAATGAAATCATGCCTTTTGCAGCAAAAGATAGATCAAGCTGGAAGCCATTTTTCTGATTGAAATAACTCAGAAAATCAAATACCACATATTGTCACTTATAAATGGGAGCTAAACAATGGGTACACATGAAAATACAGAGGAAAATAAGAGGCACTGGGACTTCAAAAGAGGGGAGGTCAGAAGGAAGGGTGATAAGAGGGGAGGTTAGAAGGAGGGGTGATTGAAAAATTACCTATTGTGCACAATGTTCACTATTCCAGTGATGAGCACACTAGAAGCCCAAATCTCACCATAACACAACATATACATGTAAAAAACCTGCACATGTAACCTCTGAATCTATACAGACAATAAATTAATAAAAATTTAAAAGTAAAATGTAAACAGTGCAGGGAAAACTGGATATTCATATGCAGAAGAATGAAACTAGATCTCTATCTTTCACTGTATATAAAAATTGAATCAAAACAGATAAAATATTTAAATGTAAGACCTGAAACTATAAAACTACTAAAAGTAAACACTGAGGAAACACACAAGACCTTGGTCTATGCAAAGATTTTTTTTTTTTTGGTAAGACCTCAAAAACACAGGAAACCAAAGCAAAAATAAATAAATGGGATTATATCAAGTTAAAAAGCTTCTGCACAGAAAAGGAAACAATCAGTAAAGTGAAGAGACAACCTTCAGAATGGGAGAAAGTATTTGCAAACTATTCATCTGACAAAGAATTAATAACCAGGATATATAAGGATCCCAAACAACTCAATAGAAAAAAATACAAATAATCCAATTTAAAAATGGGCAAAAGCCTTGAATAGACGTTTCTCAAAATAATACATACAAACGGCAAAAAGTTATACAAAAAAAGTTCAGCTGGGACTGATAGTCCCAACACTTTGGGAAGCTGAGATGGGAGGATTGCTTGAGCTCAGGAGTTTGAGGCCAGCTGGGACAACACAGTAAGACCTCATCTCTACTAAAAATAAAAACAATTTAAATAATCAGCCAGGCATGGTGGCACGCATCTGCAGTCCAAGCTACTCAGGAGGCTAAGGTGGGAGGAACGCTTGAGCCTGGGAGATCAAGGGTACAGTGATCCATGATCACTACACTGCACCCTGGGGAACAGAGTGACACCATGTCTCAAAAAAAAAAAAAAAAAAAAAAAGCTCAACATCATTAATCATCAGGGAATGCAAATCAAAACCATAATAAGACATCATCTCACCCCGGTTAGAATGGCTGTTATCAAGAAGACAACAAATAACAAATTATGGTGAGAATGCAGAGAAAGGAGAATACTCATACACTGCTGGTGAGAATGTAAAATATTACAACCATTATGGAAAACAGTATAGTGATTCTTCAAAAAACTAAAAATAGCCAAGTGCAGTGGCTTGCACCTGTAATTGCAGCTGTTTGAAGGGCTGAGGTGGGAGGATCACTTGAGCCCAGGAGTTTGAGAATGCAGGAAAACAAACCCCGCTTATTAAATTATTAGATTTGTCTCAGAATCTGTTTCTAAAAAAGCGAAACTTTTTGAGAAAGAATCATTTCAAGTGGTAACTTAAGGAAAATGCTAACCAATGCTTGAGGAGAGAGACTAAAAAGAGAAAGAATGAAGTCATTGGAGAAAAGTCAATATTAATGCTGAAAATGAAGGTGAGATATCAGGGACTGAATTAGTACGGGTGGCACAGAAGAAAGGGACAGAACATCTAGGCTTTGTACAAGAAGACTCGAGCAAGAAAAAAGAAAAGAATGCTACAAAGATCACACCAGCTTCACAAGAAGGAAAGAATGCTATGTGAAAACAGTTGAATCATACACTGGTCTGGTAGGACTAGATATTTTCTCACTAAATCCATTCTCTTCACTTTGCCTTACTCTCAGGACACAGTTTAGTTAGATTGTTGCTAGATTGATTTTGGTTAAATTAATGTTTTCAGATTGGTGAGTTATGTTTCCTGAGAAACACATGTGAGCCACCTAATGCTTCCTCAACCTAAAAAGTCCCTCTCTGCTTCCTTTACCTAGAAAACTCTGCTTTTCTTTCAGGAAACAGTGGAGGTTTCATTGAACCCAAGGAGCCAACCACCTTGGGTTTCCAGGCTCTCCTTATATAATTCTCTCTCCCCAAGCTTTCATCTACTTGTCTACCTTTTCCTCTAGATGGCGAGTTATTTTAGGGCACAATCAATTCATTTGTCTCTATACCCAATGCCTGGAACATAGCAGATGCCTAATAAATGTTTACACTTACAATTTGTCAAGTACTAAGCAATGGTCTTCCCAAGATGGCCTTGCTCAAACCTCACACCACCATAAAATGGGTGCTTTTATAATCAGTGTTTTTTCTGATGAAGAAATAGAAATGGAACGAACTTAAAAACTTGGCCTGAGTTATTCAGCCAATAATTGGTCGAGCCTGAAATTAAACCCAGGCAAAGGTCTCTGACTCCAGAGTCTAGTTTCTTAACCACTGACCTTTCTTTCCTTCTCTCATCTCTTCTAGACTGAAAGATGTAATGCAATTTGTTATCTGATCTTCCGTTAGAAAAAAAGAACCAATGGCCTTACAGCAAACTTTCTAGACAAGACCACAAACACTCAAGTTTTTTTTTTTCTCATTATACTTTAAATTCTGGGATACATGTGCAGAACATGGAGCTTTGTTACATAGGTATACATGTGCTATGGTGGTTTGCTGCACCCATCAACCCATCATCTACATTAGATATTTCTCCTAATGCTATGCCTCCACTAGCCTCCCACCCCCAACAGGCCCTGGTGTGTGATGTTCCCCTCCATATGTCCGTGTGTTCTCATTGTTCAACTCCTACTTATGAGTAAGAATGTGCAGTCAATGTTTGGTTTTCTGTTCCTGTGTTACTTTGTTGACAATGATGGTTTCCAGCTTCATCCATGTCCCTGAAAAAGACATGAGCACATCCTTTTTATGGCTACATAGTATTCCATGGTTTATATGTGTCACATTTTTTTTATCCACTCTATCTTTGATAGGCATTTGGGTTGGTTCCAAGTCATTGCTATTGTGAACAGTGCTGCAATAAACATGTGTGTTCATGTGTCTTTATAGGAGAATGATTTATAATCCTTTAGTTTATACTCAGTATAAACTTTGGTTGTATACCCAGTATATGGGTGTATACCCAGTAATGGGCGTGTACCCAGTATATGGGTGTATACCCAGTAATGGGCGTGTACCCAGTATATGGGTGTATACCCAGTAATGGGCGTGTACCCAGTATATGGGTGTATACCCAGTAATGGGCGTGTACCCAGTATATGGGTGTATACCCAGTAATGGGCATGTACCCAGTATATGGGTGTATACCCAGTAATGGGTGTGTACCCAGTATATGGGTGTATACCCAGTAATGGGCGTGTACCCAGTATATGGGTGTATACCCAGTAATGGGCGTGTACCCAGTATATGGGTGTATACCCAGTAATGGGTGTGTACCCATTTGGGTGTATACCCAGTAATGGGATTGCTGGTTCAAATGCTACTTCTGGTTCTAGATCCTTGAGGAATTGCCACACTGTTTTCCACAATGATTGAACTAATTTACACTCCCACCAACAGCGTAAAATCGTTCCTATTTCTCCACATCCTCTCCAGCATCTGTTGTTTCCTGACTTTTTAATGATTGCCATTCTAACTGGTGTGAGATGGTATTTCACTGTGGTTTTGATTTGCATTTCTCTAATGACCAGTCATGATTAGCTTTTATTCATATGCTTGTTGGCCGCATAAATGTCTTCTTTTGAGAAGTGTCTCTTCATATCCTTTGCCCACCTTTTGATGGGGTTGTTTTTTTCTTGTAAATTTGTTTAAGTTCTTTTTAGATTCTGGATACTAACCCTTTGTCAGAGGGATAGATTGCAAAATTTTTCTCCCATTCTGTAGGCTGCCTGTTCACTCTGATGATAGTTTCTTTTGCTGTGCAGAAGCTCTTTAGTTTAATTAGATCCCATTTGTCAATTTTGGCTTTTGTTGCCATTGCTTTGGGCGCTTTAGTCATGAAGTCCTTGCCCATGCCTATGTCCTGAATGGTATTGTTTAGGTTTTCTTCTAGGGTTTTTATGGTGTTAGGTCCTAGGTTTAAGTCTTTAATCCATCTTGAGTTAATTTTTGTATAAGGTATAACAAAGGGGTCCAGTTTCAGTATTCTGCATATGGCTAGCCAGTTTTCCCAGCACCATTTATTAAATAGGGAATCCTTTCCCAATTGCTTGTTTTTGTCAGGTTTGTCAAAGATCAGATGACTGTAGGTGTGTGGTGTCATTTCTGAGGTCTCCGTCCTCTTCCATTGATCTATATATCTGTTTTGATACCAGTACCATGCTGTTTTGCTTACTGTAGCCTTACAGTACAGTTTGAAGTCAGGTAGTGTGATGCCTCCAGGTTTGTTCTTTTTGTTTAGGATTATCTTGGCTATGCAGACTCTTTTGTTTCCGAACGGAAATTTAAAGTAGTTTTTTTTTAATTCTGTGAAGAAAGTCAATGGTAACTTGATGGGGATAGCATTGAATCTATAAATTACTTTGGGCAGTATGGCCATTTTCATGATGTCAATTCTTCCTATCCACGAGCATGGAATATTTTTTCATTTGTGTCCTCTCTTATTTCCTTGAGCAGTGGTTTGTAGTTCTCCTTGAAGACGTCCTTCACATCCCTTGTAAGTTGTATTTCTAGGTATTTTATTCTCCTTGTAGCAATGGTGAATGGTTGTTCACTCATGATTTGGCTCTCTATTATTGGTGTATAGGAATGCTTGTGATTTTTGCACATTGGTTTTGTATCCTGAGACTTTTCTGAAGTTGCTTATAAGCTTAAGGAGATTTTGGGCTGAGACGATGGGGTTTTCTAAATATACAATCATGTCATCTGCAAACAGAGACAATTTGACTTCCTCTCTTCCTATCTGAATACACTTTATTTCTTTCTATTGCCTGATTGCCCTGTCCAGAAATTCCAATACTATGTATAATAGGCGTGGTGAGAGAGGGCATCCTTGTCTTGTGCCAGTTTTCAAAGGGAATGCTTCCACCTTTTGCCCATTTAGTATGATATTGGCTGTGGGTTTGTCATAAATAGCTTTTAGTATTTTGAGATACGTTCCATCAATACCAATTTATTGAGAGTTTTTAGCATGAAGGGTTGCTGAATTTTATTTGAGTCCTTTTCTGCATCTATTGAGATAATCATGTGGTTTTGTCATTGGTTCCGTTTATGTGATGGATTACGTTTATTGATTTGCGTATGTTGAACCAGCCTTGCATCCGAGGGATGAAGCTAACTTGATCGTGGTGGATAAGCTTTTTGATGTGCTGCTGGATTCAGTTTGAGAGTGTTTTATTGAGGATATTGGCATCAATGTTCATCAGGGATATTGGCCTGAAATTTTCTTTTTTTGTTGTGTCTCTGCCAGCTTTTAGTATCAGGATGATGTTGGCCTCATAAAATGTGTTAGAGAGGAGCCCCTCTTTTTCTATTGTTTGAAATAGTTTCAGAAGGAGTGGTACCAGCCCCTCTTTGTACCTCTGTATAATTCGGCTGTGAATCTGTCTGATCCTGGGTTTTTTAGGTTAATAGGCTATTAGTTACTGCCTCCATTTTAGAACTTGTTATTGGTCTATTCAGGGATTCAACTTCTGTCTGGTTTAGTCTTGGGAGGGTGTCGGTGTCCAGGAATTTATCCATATCTTTTAGATTTTCTAGTTTATTTGTGTAGAGTTGTTTATAGTATTTTCTGACGGTAGTTTGTATTTCCATGGGATCAGCAGTGATATATCCTTTATTATTTTTTAGTGTGTCTATTTGATTCTTCTTTCTTCTTTATTAGTCTGACTAGCGATCTATCTATTTTGTTAATCTTTTCAAAAAACCAGCTCCTGGACTCTTTGATTTTTTTAAGGGGTTTTTGTGTCTCTATCTCCTTCAGTTTTGCTCTGATCTTAGTTATTTCTTGTCTTCTGCTAGCTTTTGAATTTGTTTGCTCTTGCTTCTCTGGTTCTTTTAATTGAGATGTTAGGGTGTTGATTTTAGATCTTTCCTGCTTTATCCTGTGGGAATTTAGTGCTAGAATTTTCCTATGAACACTGCTGTATCTGTGTCCCAGAGATTCTGGTATGTTGTGTCTTTTTTCTCAATGGTTTCAAAGAACTTACTTATTTCTACTCAGTGTCGTTACTTACCCAGTAGTAATTCAAGAGCAGGTTGCTCAGTTTCCATGTAGTTGTGTGGTTTTGAGTGAGTTTCTTAATCCTTAGTTCTAATTTGATTGCACAGTGGTCTGAGAGACTGTTATGATTCCTGTTTTTTTACATTTGCTGAGGAGTGTTTTACTTTCAATTATGTGGTCAATCTTAGAATAAGTGCAATGCGGTGCTGAGAAGAATGTATAATCTGTTGATTTGGGGTGGAGAGTTCTGTAGATGTCTATTAGATCCACTTGGTCCAGAACTGAGTTCAAGTCAAGTGGACCTTGTTAATTTTCTGTCTCGTTGATCTGTCTAATATTGACATCAGGGTCATAAAGTTTCCCACTATTATTGTGTGGGAGTCTAAGTCTCTTTGTAGGTCTCTAAGAACTTGCTTTATGAATCTGGGTGCTCCTGTATTGGTTGTTTATATATTTAGGATAGTTAGCTCTTCTTGTTGTATTGATCCCTTTACCATTACGTAATGCCCTTCTTTGTCTCTTTTGATTTTTGTTGGTTTAAAGTCTGTTTTATCAGAGACTAGGATTGCAAGCCCTGCTTTTTTTGGTTTCCATTTGCTTGATAAATATTCCCTCCATCCTTTTATTTTGAACCTATGTGTTCCTTTGCATGTTAGATGGGTCTCCTGAATATGCCAATGGGTCTTGACTCTATCCAATTTGCCAGTTTTTGTCTTTTAATTGGGGCATTTACCCCACTTACATTTAAGGTTAATATTGTTATGTGTGAATTTCATCCTGTCATTATGATGCTAGCTGGTTATTTTGCCTGTTAGTTGATGCAATTTCATCATAGTGTTGATGGTCTTACAACTTGGTATAATTTTGCAGTGGCTGATACTGGTTTTTCCTTTCCGTATTTAGTGTTTCGTTGAGGAGCTCTTGTAAGGCAGGCCTGATGGTGACAAAATCTCTTAGCGTTTGCTTGTCCGTAAAGGGTTTTATTTCTCCTTCGTTTATGAAGCTTAGTTTGGCTGGATATGAAATTCTGGGTTGAAAATTCTTTTCTTTAAGAATGTTGAATATTGGCCCCACTCTCTTCTGGCTTGTAGGGTTTCTGCCAAGAGATCCTCTGTTAGTCTGATGGGCTTCCCTTTGTGGGTAACCCGATATTTTACTCTGGCTGACCTTAACATATTTTCCTTCATTTCAACCTTGGTTGAATACTGGCCCCCTCTCCCTTCTGGCTTGTAGGGTTTCTGGAGAGAAATCCACTGTTAATGTAATTGGCTTCCCTTTATGGGTAACCTGACCTTTCTTCTCTCTGGCTGCCCTTAACGTTTTTTTATTTTTTTCATTTCAACCTTGGTTAGTCTGACAATTATGAGTCTTGGGGTTGCTCTTCTTGAGGAGTATCTTTGTGGTGTTCTTTGTATTTCCTGAATTTGAATGTTGGCCTGTCTTGCTAGGCTGGGGAGGTTCTCCTGGATAATATCCTGAAGAGTGTTTTCCAACTTGGTTCCATTCTCCCTGTCACTTTCAGGTACACCAGTGAAATGTAGGCTTGGTCTTTTCACATCATCCCATATTTCCTGGAGTTTTTATTTGTTCCTTTTCCTTTTTTTTCTCTAATTTTGTCTTCACGCTTCATTTCATTAAGTTGATTTTCAGTCTCTGAAGTCCTTTCTTCCTCTTGATCAATTCAGCTATTGGTACTTGTGTATGTCTCACAAAGTTCTCGTGCTGTGTTTTTCAGCTCCATCAGGTCAATTATATTTTTCTCTAAACTGGTTATTCTAGTTAGCAATTCCTCTTACCTATTTTCAAAGCTCTTAGCTTCCTTGCATTGGGTTAGAACATGCTCCTTTAGCTCAGAGGAGTTTGTTTTACCCACCTTCTGAAGCCTACTTCTTCAAACTCATTTTCCATCGAGTTTTCTCCCCTTGCTGGTGAGGAATTGTGATCCTTTGGAGAAGAAGAGGTGTCTGGTTTTTGGAATTTTCAGTCTTTGGGGGCTGGTTTTTGCTCATCTTCATGGGCTTATCTACCTGTGATCTTCAATGTTGGTGACCTTCAAATGGGGTTTCTGTGTGAACTTCTTTTTTGTTGATGTTGATGCTATTCCTTTCTGTTTGTTAGTTTTCCTTCTAATAGTCAGGCCCCTCTGCTGCAAGTCTGATGGTGTTTGCTGGAGGTCCACTCCAGACCCTGTTTTTCTGGGTATCACCAGTGGAAGCTGCAGAACAGCAAAGACTGCTGCCTGTTCCTTCCTCTAGAAGCTTCGTCCAAGAGGGGCAACCGCAAGATGCCAGCCAGCGCTCTCCTGTAATAGGTGTTTGTTGGCCCCTGCTGGGAGGTGTCTTTCAGTCAGAGGGCACGGAGGTCAGGGGCCCACTTGAGGAGGCAGTCTGTCCCTTAGCAGAGCTCGAGCACTATCCTGGGAGATCCACTGCTCTCTTCAGAGCCAGCGGGCTGGAATGTTTAAGTCTGCTGAAGCTGCGCCAATAGTCGCCCCTTCCCCCATGTGCTCTGTCCTAGGGAGATGGGAGTTTTATCTATAAGCCCATTTCTGGGGCTGCTCCCTTTCTTTCAGAGATGCCCTGCCCAGAGAGGAGGAAGCTAGAGAGGCAGTCTGGCTACAGCGGCTTTGCCAAACTGCAGTGCGCTTTGCCCAGTTTGAACTTTTCAGTGGCTTTGTTTACACTTTGAGGGGAAAACTGCCTACTCAAGCCTCAATAATGGCAGTACCCCTCTTCCCTTCAAGCTTGAGCATCTGAGATTGACTTCAGATTCCTGTGCTGACAGGGAGAATTTCAAGCCAGTAGATCTTACCTTGCTGGGCTTGGTGGGAGTGGGATCTGCTGAGCAAGATCACTTGGCTCCCTAGCTTCAGCCCCCTTTCCAGGGGAGTGAACAGTTCTGCCTCACTGGCATTCCAGGGACCACTGAGATATGAAAAAAAAAAACTCCAGCAGCTAGCTTGGTGTCTGCCCAAATAGCAGCCTAGTTTTGTGCTTGAAACCCAGGGCCCTGGTGGCATAGGCACCTGAGGGAATCTCCTGGTCTGTGGGTTGTGAAGACTGTGGAAAAAGCATAGTATCTGGGCCAGAGTGTACCATTGGCACAGTCCCTCACGGCTTCCCTTGGCTAGGAGAGGGAGCTCCCTGAACCCTTGCACTTCCTGGGTGAGGTGACTCCCCACCCTACTTTGGCTTGCCCTCGGTGGTCTGTACCCACTGTATAACCAGTCCCATTGAGATGAGCCAGGTACCTCAGTTGGAAATGCAGAAATCACCCACCTTCTGCGTTGGTCTTACTGGGAGCTGCAGACGGGAGCTGTTTCTATTCGGCCATCTTGCCAGCCACTGCCACACTCAAGTTATTTAACTGACTGGTATCATGTTTCTACAAGCTGCTAGGACTGAAGAGGAGATTTATGTTATTTAAAATTTCTACCACTGCCTCAGGAAAGAAGCTTTGGGATAAAGATGGCCTTTAAGATAGAGTGCTTTACAACAGCATTTTAAAATCCAGAGGTTGTATTACCTAACTTGCAATGCAATTCATCCTCCTTTCATTTATTAGCTATGCCATTTCCAAATAAGTGCCCTTGGAGTAGAGATGGAATTAAGTAAAGATATATAAGGCTGTTGTATCTGCCACAGATCAGTGTTGCCTAACTGGCACCTAAACATCAACAATCTAAGTATACTCAATGAGGACACATTTACATTTTTCTTATGATATAAGTAGGATCAGGACTGAATTATTTTGTTATTCTAATTAATATTTGTTAAGAGCATTAAATAAGGACCCCATTTCTGATCTGGGTTCTTTGTCTTACTGATTAAGCTTGCTAAGCTAGTCAAGAGGGTTGACTTGATCTTTTGTAAACTGGAAATTGTATCTGCTCATCCTTTCTCTCAGCTGTCCCAAAACTATAACAAGAAGATTATTTTTAGTTGAGAATTTATGCAATTCTAACTTGATAAATATGTATGTTCCAGCCATCCTTCTGAGGTTTTATTTTCCTTGACATGAAAATACATTTATATCTAAACTGTTTATTTTTTGAAATAAATATTTATGTAAAATATTTAAGCATTTATGTAAAATATTTATCTTTGGAAAGTGTTTTATGACTCAGTTCTCACTTATGTTTTGTAGGTTATTCTACTTATAAAAAAATAAAAGTCTATAAATAGATCCCAGTTCAAGTGTTTGACTAAAGACATCAGACACTTGCCCTTTCCAGAAAGAAGAACCAGAACTGCAAATACATAATTGTACCTCAAACAGAACTCTAAGAGAGAACATTCGGGTCGAACATAGAAGTCACAGGAAACCTGAGTCACAGAGAGACAAGGAAGCAAGCATCAAGCTCAACCAAGATCAGCTGGGAGCATGTAGGGACTCACTCTTGTGGGGAGGGGGTAAGTGAAAGAACTTCAGCTGTCCACATTCCCACCACAAACTGTTGCAATCTGTACCACAGGACGGTTCCTCTGCCCATATGAACCCTGACACTAGCATGGACAGTGCTCTGGAAACCCCACAAGTATTCAACGTCTCTAGTCAACCATCTTGAACTGGAATATACTTATGGAGTTCTCTGCACCAGGCTGGGAACTGTGCTGGATTACTCACACCCCTAAGGCCTAAGAGGCTGCAGAAGGGCACCATTGTGAGAGTACAGCCATCACGGGATTGCATCCTTCCCTGGCAACTACAATCCCCAAATCTCCACATCCCAGGATCCCCAAATGACATCCCTCAGTGTCCACCCAGTGGACCACAGTGGCACAGAAATGGCTGGATCCAAAGGTGCTAAAGGGTCCCCAGTACTCTAGCTCATAGCCAGTACTACTCCCCAATGAAAGGACAGTGCAGCACACCAAAACTGTGACCTCTGGGACAAAGGAAACCAAAGCATGTACTTTCCAGAGCCTGAGAGTTCCCTGCCTGCAGCTATGAGAAGCAACCCTATCCCCAGTAGTGACACAGACTCTGTGCTCAGGCTTACAAGCAGTGCGTGTGATACCCTCGCCCCCACCCACATAGTTTCATATCAGTTGCTTCCATCAGGAACCCAGGCAGAGAAGCCTAAGATCTGACTGCCTGAGGATGGGAGCAGTGACCCCACACTTCCTGGTGGAGCAGCCTGTGCTCCAGATCATGCATAAAGAACAAGACCCCCTCTCTCCCTTTACACATTGCTGCAGCCACAACTGCTGCTGCTGCCACTGGGAACTGGGGTGGGTGAACCAGAGGGCTGTCTGTCTGGGGCTGTGAGTGGCATCTCTGTCCCTAGTGGCAGTGTGGTTCCCATGCTCAGGCTCATGCATGAAGGGTAGGGTCCCATTCCTTCTTATCCCTTCTCCTCTCTGCAACACTATAGTGCTGCTGCTGCCAAGAGTAGACAAACCTGTGTCTAGGCCACAAGGGCTACAACTCCTAGGCAAGGACTAGTGTTAAACTGGGCCCAGAGACAGCGGGCTGGTGGGGCATGAGAGACACCAGCCAAAGTGGGTAAGGGAATGGTGACATCACCCCTCCCTTAGCCCCAGACTACACACCTCACAGCTCCAACAGAGACCCCTTCCCTCTGCCTGATGAGAGGAGAGGGAAGAGTGGGGAGGACTCTGTCTTGCATCCTGAATACAAGCCTAGCCACAGCAGGATAGGGCACTGGCCAGAGTCATGAGAACTTTTTACCAGGTCCTAGCTCCTGGACAACATTTCTAGACACAGCCAGGGCCAGAAGGTAACCTGCTACCTTGAAGGGAAGGATATGTTCCTGGCAGGATTTATCATCTGCTAACTGAAGAGCCCTTGGGCCCTGAATAACCAGCAGTAATAGCCAGATACTACGTCAAGGCCTTGGGTGAGACTCAGACTTTCTGGCTTCAGGTGAGTATCACCACATTCCCAGTTGTGGTGGCTACAGGGTGAGATTCCTTCTATCTGGAAAAGCAGAGGCAAAAGTAAAGGGAACTTTGTCTTGTACCTTAGGTACCAGCTTAGCCACAGTAGGGAAGAGCACCAACTGGACTCTTGGGGTCCCCAGTTCAAGGCCTTGGCTTTAGACAGAACTTCTGGACCTGCCCTGGGCCAGAGGGAGGCCCACTCCGCTGAAGAATGAGTCCCAGGTCAAGCAGCATTCACAAGCTGACTGAAGAGTGCTTGGTCCTTAAGGAAACATTGGTGGTAGTCTGGCGGTACTTCCTGTGAGCCAGTGGTGACAGTGGCCACAGAGTGAGGCTCCTCTCCCATTTGGAAAGAGAGGGAAGAGTGGTAAGGGCTGCATCTTGTGGTTTGCGTGCCAGCTCAGCTGCAGTACAACAGAACACCAGGTAGATTTCTAAGATTTTTCACTCTTGTCCCTAGCTCCCACATGACACCTCTGGACCTGCCTGGGGCCTGGAAGAACTCAGCACTCTGAAGGGAAGGACACAGATCTGGCTGCCTTCACCATCTGCTGACTGTAGAGCCAAAGTGACTTGAGAAAACATAGGCCATAGCTAGGGAGTGGTTACAGAAGATCTGGGGCAAGACCCAGTGATGTACTAACCTCAGGTCAGATCCAGCATAGTCCTAATGGTGGTGGCTCCAGGAGTGCTTGTATAACCAGTTCCAGGTGGCTCAGAACAGAGAGAGAGAGACTTCATTTGTTTGGGAGAAAGTAAAAGAGAAACAAGAGTCTCTGTCTGGTACTTCTTTTGAATCTTGTCCAAGACCATCAAGGTGGTACTTCTATGAGTCTGTAAGAACCACAGCATTACTGGGCTTGTGGTACCTCCTGAAGAAGATACAGCTTTGATTGCAACACCCAAGTATGTTCAAATATCTAGAAAGTCTTCCTAAACAGGAAGGGTACAGACAAGCCCAGACTGAGAATACTAAAATAAATAGTTAACTCTTACCTGTACAGTTACAGAAAAATATCTGCAAGTATCAAGACCATTCAGGAAAACATGATCTCACTGAGGCACCAGGAATCAATTGTGGAGAAACAGAGATATGTGACCTTTCAGACAGAGAATTCAAAATAGCTGTGTTGAGGAAACTCAAAGAAATTCAAGATAACAAAGAGAAGGAATTAATAATTCTATCAGACAAATTTGACAAAGAAATTGAAATAATTTTTAAAAATCAATCAGCAATTCTAGAGCTGAAAAATGCAATTGGCATACTGAAGAATGTACCAGAGTCCTTTAATAGTAGAATTCATCAAGCAGAAGAAAGGATTAGTGAGTTTGAAGAAATGGCTATTTGAAAATGCAAAGTCAGAGAAGGCAAAAGGAAAAAGAATAAAAAACTAGAAAGCATGCCTACAGGTTTTAAAAAATAGTCTCACAAGGGCAAATCTAAGAGTTATTGGCCATAAAGAGGAGGTAGAGAAAAAGATAGGAGTAGAAAGTTTAAAGAGATAATAACAGAGAACTTTCCAAACCTAAAGAAAGATATCAATATCCAAGTACCAGAATGTTATAGAACACCAAGCAGATTTAACCCAAAGAAGACTACCTCTCGGCATTTAATAATTAAACTCCCAGAGGTCAAGGATTTTGTTGAGGATTTTTGCATTCATGTTTATCAAGGATATTGGTCCAAAGTTTTCTTTTTTGTTGTTGTTGTGTCTTTTCCAGGTTTTGTTATCAGGATAATGCTGGCCTCATAGAATGAGTTGGAAAGGCATTGTAAACAGTTTTATTAGAAATGATACCAAGTCTTTTTTGCATGGTAGAATTTGGCTGTGGATCTTTCTGGTCCTGGGCTTTTTTGGTTGGTAGGCTATTTGTTACTGATTCAATTTTGGAGTTCATTATTTGTTTGTTAAGGGATTCAATTTCTTCCTGGCTCAGTGTGGGAGAATCCATGTGTCCAGGAATTTATAAATTTCTTCTAGGTTTTCTAGTTTGTGTGCATAGAGGTATTCATGGCAGTTTCTAATGGTTACTTTTATTTCTGTGGGGTCAGTGGTAATATTTTCTTCATCATTTCTAATTGTGTTTATTTGGATCTTCTTTCTTTCCTTTTTTATTAGTCTAGCTAATGGCTTATCTATCTTATTTCTTTAAAGCAACTTCTATATTTGTTGATATTTTGAATGGCTTTTTGTGTCTCAATCTCCTTCAGTTCAGCTCAGATTCTGGTTATTTCTTGTCTTCTGCTAGATTTAGGACTGATTTGCTCTTGCTTTTCAAATTATTTCAGTTGTGATGTTGGGTTGTTAATTTGAGATCTATCTAATTTCTATATAAGGGCATTTAGTGCTATTAATTTTCCTCTTAACACTGCTTTAGCTGTGTCCTGGAGATTCTTGTATGTTATATCCTTGTTCTCACTAGTTTCAAAGAACTTCTTGATTTCTGACTTTATTTAATTATTTACCCAAAAGTCATTCAGAAGCATGTTGTTGGCTTTTCAAAAATTTAAACAAAATTGACAAACCTTTAGCTGGACTACTTAAGAAAAAAAAGAGAAGATCCAAAAATAAAAAATAAAATCAGAAATAAAGAGAAGACATTACAGCTGTTACTGCTGAAATTCAAAGGATCATTAGTGGCTACTCTGAGCAACTATATGCCAATAAATGGAAAAATCTAGATGAAATGGACAAATTCCTAGACTTGTACAACCTATTAAGATTGAGCTATGAAGAAATCTAAAACCTGAACAGACAAATAACAAGTTACAAGATAGAAGCCATAACAAAAAGTCTCCCAGTAAAGAAAAGTCCGTGACCCGATGGCTTCCCTACTGAATTCTACCAAACATTTAAAGAAAAACTAATACCAACCCTACTCAAATGAATCCAAAAAATAGAGGAGGACATAATACTTCCAAACTCATTCTATAAGCCCAGTATTATCCCAATACCCAAACCAGACAAAGACATTTAAAAAAAAAAAAGAAATTACAGGCCAATATCTCTATTACTGATGCAAAGATCCTCAACAAGAAACTAGCAAACAGAATTCAACAATACATTAAAATGATCATTCATCATGACAAAGTGGAATTTATCTCTGGGATGGAAGGATGGTTCAACATACATAAATCAATCAATGTGATCCATCATATCAAGAGAATGAATGATAAAAACCATATGATCATTTCAATTGATGCTGACAAAGCATTTGATAAAATTTAACGTCACTTCATGATAAATACCCTCAAAGAACTGGGGATAGTAGGAAGACCCTCAACATAATAAAAGCCATATATGACAGACCAAATGTAATATGGAATGTGAAAAATCTGAAAGCCTTTCCTCTAGTATCTGGAACATGACAAAGATGTCCACTTCACCATTGTTATTTAAATAATACTGGAAGTCCTAGCTAGAGCAATCAGACAAGAGAAAGATATAAAGGGCATCCATATGGGAAAGGAAGAAGTCAAATTACCCTTTTTTGCAGATGATATAATCTCATATTTGGAAAAACTAAAGACTTAAACACACAACTATTAGAACTGATAAATTCAGTAAAGTTGTAGGATAAAAATCAAAATACAAAATTCAGTAGCATTTCTGTATGCCAACAGTGAACAATCTGAAAAAGGATTCAAAACAGTAATCCCATTGACAAAAAAAATTAATACCTAGGAATTAACTTATGCAAAATAAGTGACAGATCTCTACAAAGAAAACTATAAACACAGATGAAAGAAATTTAAGAGAACACCAAAAAATAGAAAGATATTCCATGTTCATGGATTGGAAGAATCAATATTGTTAAAATGTCCATACTATCCAAAGCAATCTACAGATTCAATGCAATCCCTACCAAAATACCAATGATATTCTTCACAGTAATAGAGAAAACAATCCTAAAATTCCTATGGGAGCACAAATACTCAGAATACCAAAACTATCCTAAGCAAAAAGAACACAACTGAAAGAATCACATTAATTGACTTCGAATTATACTACAGAGCTATAATAACCAAAAACAGCATGGTACTGGCATAACAACAGACACATAGACCAATGGAACAGAATAGAAAACCCAGAAACAAATCCACACAACTACAATGAACTCATCTTCACCTAATGTGCCAGGAACATACACTGGGGAAAAGACAGTCTTTTCAACAAACAGTGCTGGGAAAACTACATATCCATATGCAGAAGAAAACAGAACCCATCTCTTACTACTGAGTAAATACCCAACAAGGACAGGCAACTGAAGCATAAAACAAATGAGATCACATCAAATTAAAAAGCTTCTGCACAGCAAAGAATACAATCAGAAAAGTGAAGAGACAACCCACAGAATAGGAGAAAATATTTGAAGTCCACCCATCTGACAAAGGATTAATAACCAGAATATATAATGAGCTCAAACAACTTTCTAAGAAAGAAATCTAATAATCTGACTTAAAAATGGGCAAAAGATTTGAATACACATTTCTCAAATAAGACATACAAATGGCAAACAGGTATTTGAATATGTCTCAACATCATTGATCATCAAAGAAATGCAAATCAAAACTACAATGAGATTTTATATCATCCCAGTTAAAATGGCTTATATCCAAAAGACAGGCAATAACAAATGTTGGTGAGGTGTGGAAAAAAGATCCCCATTACACTGTTGGTGGGAATGCAGTTTAGTACAACCACTACAGAGAATAGTTGTAGATTCCTCAAAAAATGAAATATAGAGCTACCACATGATCCAGCAAACCCACTGCTGGGTATATACCCAAAAAGAAAGGAAATCAGTATACATTAAAAAAAAAAAAATATTCAGGCAAGATGGCTGAATAGAAACAGCTCCAGTCTGCAGCTCCCAGTGAGATCAACACAGAAGGTGGGTGATTTCTACGTTTCCAACTGAGATACTCGGCTCATCTCATTGTGACTGGTCAGACAGGGGGAGCAGTCCATGGAGCACATGCCAAAGCAGGGTGGGCATGGCCTCACCCAAAAAGTGCAAGGGTTCAGGGAATTCCCTCCCCTAGCCAAGGGAAGCCATGACGGACTGTGCCATGAGGAACGGTGCACTCCAGCCCAGATTCTACACTTTTCCCACAGTCTTCACAACCCACAGACCAGGAGATTCCCGCAGGTGCCTATGCCATTAGGGCCCTGGGTTTCAAGCACAAAACTGGGAGGCCATTTGGGCAGACACCAAGCTAGCTGCAGGAGTTTTTTTCCATATCTCAGTGGTGTCTGGAATGCTAGCGAGACAAAACCGCTCACATCCCTGGAAAGGGAGCTGAAGCCAGGGAGACAAATGGTCAAGCACAGCAGGTCCCAGCCCCACTGAGCCCAGCAAGCTAAGATCTACTGGCTTGAAATTCTCCCTGCCAGCACAGCAGTATGAAGTCGACCTGGGATGCTTGAGCTTGGTGGGGAGAAGGCTGCTCACCATTACTGAGGCTTGGGTAGGCAGTTTTCCCATCACAGTGTAAACAAAGCCACCTGGAAGTTCAAACTGGGCGGAGCTCACCTTAGCTTGGCAAAGCCACCATAGCTAGACTGCCTCTCTAGATTCCTCCTCTCTGGGCAGGGCATCTCTGAAAGTAAGGCAGCAGCCCAGGTCAGGGGCTTATAGATAAAACTCCCACTTCACTGGGACAGAACACCTGGGGGAAAGGGTGGCTGTGGGCCCAGCTTCAGCAGACTTAAATATTCCTGCCTGCCAGCTCTAAAGAGAACAGCAGATCCACCAGAACAGTGTTCGAGCTCTGCTAAGGGACAGACTGCCTCCTCAAGTGGGTCCCTGACCCCTGTGCCTTCTGACTGAAAGACAGCTCCTAGCAGGGGTCAACAGACATCTCATACAGAAGAGCTCTGACTGGCATTTTGCGGGTGCCCCTCTGAGATGAAGCTTCCAGAGGAAGGAACAGGCAGCAATCTTTGTTGTTCTGCAGCCTCTGCTGGTAATACTCATACAAACAGGGTCTGGAGTGGACCTCCAGCAAACACCAGCAGACCTGCAGCAGAGGGGCCTGACTGTTAGAAGGAAAACTAATGAACAGAAAGGAATAGCATCAACATCAAAAAAAAAAAAAAAAAAAAAAAAAAAAAGGATGTCCACACAGAAACCCCATGCAAAGGTCACCAACATCGAAGACCAAAGGTAGATAAATCCACAACAAAGGAAAAACCAGCCCAAAAAGGCTGAAAATTCCAAAAACCAGAATGCCTCTTCTCCTCCAAAGGATCACAACTCCTTGCCAGCAAGGGAACAAAACAGAACAGAGAATGAGTTTGATGAACTGACAGAAGTAGACTACAGAAGGTGGGTAATAACAAACTCCTCCAAGTGAAATAAGCATGTTCTAACCCAATGCAAGGAAGCTAAGAACTTTGAAAACACGTTAGAGGAATTGCTAACTAGAATAACCAGTTTAGAGAAGAACGTAAATGACCTGATGGAACTGAAAAACACAGCACAAGAACTTCATGAATCATACACAAGTATAAATAGCCAAATCGACCAAGGGGAAAAAAGAATATCAGACACTGAAGATCAACTAAATGAAATAAAGCATGAAGACAAGATTATCGAAAAAAGGATGAAAAGGAACAAACAAAGCCTCAAAGAAATACTGGACTAAGTGAAAAGACCAAACCTACATTTCACCGGTGTACCTGAAAGTGACAGGGAGAAAATGGAATCGAGTTGGAAAACACTCTTTGGGATATTATCCAGGAGAAACTCCCCAGTCTAGCAAGATAGGCCAACATTCAAATTCAGGAAATACAGAGAACCCACAAAGATACTCCTCGAGAAGAGCAACCCCAAGACTCATAACTGTCAGATTAACCAACATTGAAATGAAAAAAAATGTTAAGGGCAGCCAGAGAGAAAGGTCGGGTTACCCATAAAGGGAAGCCAATTATGCTAACAGTGGATTTCTCTCCAGAAATCCTACAAGCCAGAAGGGAGAGGGGGCCAATATTCAACGTAATCCGTTACATAAACAGAACCAATGACAATAGCTACATGATTATCTCAGTAGAGGCAAAAAAGGTCTTTAATAAAATTCACCAACCCTACATGCTAAAAACTATCAATAAGCTAGGTATTGATGGAATGTATTTCTAAATGATGAGAGCTATTTATGACAAACCCACAGCCAATATCAAACCAAATGGGCAAAATGTGGAAGCATTCCTTTTGAAAACCAGCACAAGACAAGGATGCCCTCTCTAGCCACTCCTATTCAACATAGTATTGGAAGTTCAGGACAAGGCAATCAGGAAAGAGAAATAAATAAAGTGTATTAAAAAAGGAAGAGAGTTATAATTTCTGTTCTTTTACATTTGCTGAGGAGTGCTTTACTTCCAACTACGTGGTCAATTTTGGAATAGGTGTGATGTGGCGATTCCTCAGGGATCTAGAACTAGAAATACCATTTGACCCAGCCATCCCATTACTGGGTATATACCCAAAGGATTATAAATCATGCTGCTATAAAGACACATGCACACGTATGTTTATTGCAGCACTATTCACAATAGCAAAGACTTGGAACCAACCCAAATGTCCAACAACGATAGACTGGATTAAGAAAATGTGGCACATATACACCATGGAATACTATGCAGCCATAAAAAATGAAGAGTTCATGTCCTTTGTAGGGACATGGATGAAACTGGAAACCATCATTCTCAGCAAACTATCGCAAGGACAAAAAACCAAACACCACATGTTCTCACTCATAGGTGGGAATTGAACAATGAGAACACATGGACACAGGAAGGGGAACATCACACTCTGGGGACTGTTGTGGGGTGGGGGGAGGGGGGAGGGATAGCATTAGGAGATATACCTAATGCTAAATGACGAGTTAATGGGTGCAGCACACCAACATGGCACATGTATATATATGTAACAAACCTGCACATTGTGCACATGTACCCTAAAACTTAAAGTATAATAATAATAATTTAAAAAAAAGAAAAAAATAGAAGAGAGGAAGTCAAATTGTCTCTGTTTGCAGAGGACATGACTGTACATTTAGAAAACTCCACTGTCTCAGCCCAAAATCTCCTTAAGCTGATAAGCAACTTCAGCAAAGTCTCAGGATACAAATTCAATGTGCAAAATCACAAGCATTCCTATACACCAATAATAGACAGACAGCCAAATCATAAGTGAATGCCCATTCATAATTGCTACACAGCGAATAAAATACCTAGGAATACAATTTACAAGGGATGTGAAGAACCACTTCAAGGAGAACTACAAACCACTGCTCAGGGAAATAAGAGAGGACACAAACAAATGCAAAAACATTTCATGCTCATGGATAAAAAGAATCAATATTGTGAAAACGGTCATACTGCCCAAAGTAATTTATAGACTCAGTACTATCCCCAGCAAGCTGCCATTGATTTTCTCCACAGAATTAGAAAAAATTACTTTAAATTTCACGTGGAACCAAAAAAGAGCCTGTATAGCCAAGGGAATCCTAAGCAAAAAGAACAAAGCTGGAGACATCATGCTACCTGACATCAAACTATACTACAAGGCTACAGTAACCAAAACAGCATGGTACTGGTACCAAAACAGATACATAGACCAATGGAACAGAAAAGAGATCTCAGAAATAATGCCACACATCTACAACCATCTGGTCTTGGACAAACTTGACAAAAATAAGCAATGGGGCAAGGATTCCCTATTTAATAAATGGTGCTGCAGAAACCGGCTAGCCATATGCAGAAAACTGAAACTGGACCCCTTCATTACACCTTATACAAAAAATAACTCAAGATGGATTAAAGACTTAAACGTTAGACCTAAAACCATAAAAACCCTAGAAGAAAACCAAGGCAATACCATTCAGGACATAGGCATGGGCAAAGACATCATGACTGAAACACAAAAAGCAATGGCAACAGAAGCCATAATTGACAAATGGGATCTAATTAAAGTAAAGAGCTTCCGCACAGCAAAAGAAACTATCATCAGAGTGAACAGGCAACTTACAAAATGGGAGAAAATTTTTGCAATCTATCTGACAAAGGGCTAATATCCAGAATCTACAAAGAACTCAAACAAATTTACAAGAAAAAGCAAACAACCCCATCAAAAAGTGGGTGAAGGATATGAACAGACATTTCTCAAAGGGAGACATTTATGCAGCCAACAAACATATGATAAAAATCTCATCATCACTGGTCATTAGAGAAATGCAAATCAAAACCACAATGGGATACCATCTCCCACCAGTTAGAATGGTGATCATTAAAAAGTCAGGCAACAACAGATGCTGGAGAGGATGTGGAGAAACAGGAACACTTTTACACTGTTGGTGAGAGTGTAAATTAGTTCAACCATTGTGGAAGACAGTGTGGTGATTCCTCAAGGAACTAGAACCAGAAATACCATTTGACCCAGAAATACCATCACTGGATATATACCGAAAGTATTATAAATCATTCTACTATAAAGACACATGCACACATATGTTTATTGTGACACTGTTCACAATAGCAAAGACTTGGAACCAACCCAAATGCCCATTGATGGTAGACTAGATAAAGAAAATCTGGCACATATACATCATGGAATACTATGCAGCCATAAAAAGGATGAGTTAATGTCCTCCGCAGTGACGTGGATGAAGCTGGGAACCATCATTCTCAGCAAACTAACACAGGAACAGAAAATCAAACACTGCATGTTCTCACTCATAAGTTGGAGTAGAACAATGGGAACACATTGACACAGGGAGGGGAACATCACACACTGGGTCCTGTCGGGGGGTGCAGGGCTAGGGGAGTGATAGCATTAAGAGAGAAACCTAATGTAGATGACAGGTTGATGAGTGAAGCAAACCACCATGGCACATGTATACCTATGTAACAAACCTGCATATTCTGCACATGTATCCCAGAACTTAAAGTATAACATAATAAAAAAATCTTCATTTCCATGTTTGTTGCAGCACTGTTCACAACAGCCAAAATTTGGGAGCAACCTAAGTGTCTATTAACAGATGAATGAATAAAGAAAATGTGGTACATATACACAATGGAGTACTATTCAGCCATAAAAAGGATGAGATCCTATCATTTACAACAACACGGATGGAACTGGAGGTCATTATGCTAAGTTAAATAAGCCAGGCACTGAAATACAGACATTGCATGTTCTCACTTATTTGTAAGACCTAAAAATCAAAGCAGTTGAACTCATGGAGATAAAGAGTTGAAAGATGGTTACCAGAGTGAGGAAGTATAGTTGGGAGCTGGCGGAGAGGTGGGAATGGTTAATGGATTCAACAATAATGGAAAGAATGAATAAGATCTAGTATTTGATAGCACAACTGGGTGACTATAATAATAATTTAATTTTACATTTTCAAATAACCAAGTGAGTGTCAGTAGACCATTTGTCATACAATGGATAAATGCAGGAGGAGATGGATACCCCATTTTACATGATGTGATTAGTATGCATTGCCTGTAGCAAAACATCTCACATACTCCATAAATACTTACCCCTATTATGTACTCACAAAAATTAAAATAATTTTTTTAACTTTAAAAATATATGCAAGAAAAAAGGAAGGAAAAAAGAACATATGAAACAACTAGGAAACAAAATGTAACAGGAACAAAGTCTCACATATCAATAGGAACTCTGAATGTAAGTAAATTAAATTCTGTACTTGAAAGATATAGATTGACTATATATACATATTTAAAAAAAAACAGTATCCAAATATATGCTGCCAGCAGGAAACACTTTACCTGTAAAGTACATATAGACTGAATATGAAGAGATGGAAAAAGATATTCCATGCCAATGGAAACCAAAAGCAAGCAAGAGTAGGTACACTTAGGTAAAACAGAATTTAAGTCAAAAACGGTTTTTAAAAAGCAAAAGTTATTTTATAATAATAAATGGATCAATTGAGCAAGGGGATATAATTCTAAATATATATGCACCCAACACTGGAGCACCCAGATTAATAAAGAAAATATCACTAGATCTAAAGAAAGATATATAATCCTCACTCTCAGCATTAGACAGATCAACTAGACACAAAATCAACATTAAACATTGGACTTAAATTAGACTTCAGACCAAATAGACCTTACAGGTATTTACAGAACATTATATCCAACAACTGCAGAATACATTTATCTCATCAGCCCATGGAACATTCTCCAGAATTGATCACATATTAGGCTGCTGAAAAAGTCTCAAAAATTTTTTAAATATCAAAATCATATCATGTATCTTCTCAGACCACAATGGAACAAAACTAAAAATCACTACCAAGGAAAACTTTGGAAACTATACAAATATATGGAAATTAAACAACATTCCTGAACAACTATTGGGTGAATAAAGAAAATGAAAATCAAAAAATTTCTTGAAATAAATGAAAATGGAAACACAACATACTAACCTGTGGGACACAGCAAAAGCTGCGCTAAGAGGGAAGTTTATAGTAATAAACACCTATATCAACAAAACAGAAAGATTTTAAATAAATAATCTAACGATGCACCTCAAGGAACTACAAAAGCAAGAACAAACCAAACCCAAAATTAACAGAAAAAAAATAAACAATAAAGATCAGAGCACAACTAAACAAAATAGAGACTTAAAAAAATACAAAAAAGAAGTGAAAAGTTGTTTTAAAGAGATAAAAATTGATAAACTTTTAACTAGACTAACAAAAAGACAAAGAAAATCAGAAATGAAAAAGGAGACACTACAATAACACAGAAACACAAAAGATCATCAGAGACTGTGATAACTATATACTAACAAATAGAAAAACCTAGAGGAAATGGATAAGTCCCTGGAAAAATAACCTACAATGATTAAATCAAAAGGGCTGGAAAACCTGACAGTCCAATAATAAGTAGCGAGACTGACTCAGTAATAAAAATTCTCCAAACAAAGAAGAGCCCAATACTGGATAGATTCAATGCTGAATTCTAGCAAATATGAAAAGAATAAATATTAATTCTCCTCCTCAAAGTATTCTAAACAATTGAAGAGGAAGGTATTCTCCCTAACTCATTCTACAAGGCCTGCATTATTCCGATACTGAAACCAGACAAGGATACAACAAAAAAGAAAACTACAGGCAAATATTTCTGATGAACATAGATGCAAAAATCCTCAACAAACTGTCAGCAAATCAAATCCAACAATACACCAAAAAGATAATACAACATAATCAAGTAGAATTTATCCCAAGGATGCAAGGAAGATTTCACATATACAAATAAAAAAAAAGTGATATATCACATCAACAGAATGAAGAACAAAAACCATATCATCATCTTAATAGACACAGAAAAAGCATTTGATAAAATTCAATACCTCGTTATGATAAAAATTCTCAACAAACTAGGCATGGTTGGACCATACCTCAAAATAATAAAGGTCATATATGACAAATCCACAGCTAACATTATGCCGAGTAGATAAAAGTTGAAAGCATTTTCTCTAAGAACTGGAACAAGACAAGTATGCTCACTTTCTTCATTCCTATTCAAGATGGTACTTGAACTCCTAGCTGAACAATCAAGCAAAAAAAAAGAAGTAAAATGCATCCGGTTGGAAAAGAGGAAATCAAATTGTCTCCTTTTGAAGATGACATAATTTTATATCTAGAAAAAACAAAAGATTCCACCAAAAAAACTCTTAGAAGTGATTAAAAAATTCAATAAATTTGCAGGATGCAAAATCAGCATACAAAAATCAGTAGCATTTTTATACACCAACAATGAAATAGCCAAAAGAGAAATCAAGAAGGCAATCCGATTTACAGTAGCTACAAATAACAATATAAGAACAAAATTTAATCAAGTAGGTGAGAGATTGCTACAATTAAAATTCAAAAAAAAATGATGAAAGATATTAAAGAGGACACACAATAAAGGACATTTCATGCTCATGGATTGGAAGAATTAATATCATTAAAATTACCATATTCCCAATAACAGTCTATGAATTCAATGCAGTCCTATAAAAACATTAATGTCATTTGTTACAAAAATAGTAAAAACAGTCCTAAATTTGTAAGGAACCAAAGAAGAGCCCAAATAGCCAAAACAATACTAAGCAGAAAGAACAAAGCTAGAGGCATCAAACTGCTTGACTTCAAAATATATTACAAGGTGATAGTAAACAAAACAGCATGCTATTGGTATAAAAATAAATGCATAGACAAAATGAAACAGAATAAAGAACCCAGAAATAAATCTACATATATACAGCCAGTCTTCAACAAAGCTGCCCCAAACAGTGTCCTTGAGGAAGGACACTCTTCAATAAATGGTGCTGGGAAAATTGGATAACTGTATACAGAATAATGAGACTGAACCCCTATCTCTCACCACATACAAAAGTCAACTCAAGATGGGTTAAAGACTTAAACATAAGACCTGAAACTATAAGACTACTAGAGGAAAATGTAGAGAAAACTCTTTAGGACATTGGTCTAGACAAAGATTTTATGGCTAAGACCTCAAAAGCACAGACAAAAAAAAAAAGACAATGGGTTTTAATTAAACTAAAATTCTTCTGTACAGCAAAAGAAACAACCGAAAGAGTGAAGGAACAACCTCTTGAATAGGAGAAAATAATTGCAATTTACTCTTACAACAGGGGACTAATATCCAGAATATACAAGTCTAACTCAAACAACTCAAGAGTAATAAAACAAATAATCTCATTTAAAAATGGGCCAATGACATGAATAGACGTATCTTAAAAGAAGACATACAAATGGCCAACATGTATATAAAAAATGCTCATTATCACTAATCATTAGTGAAATGCAAATCAAAACCACAATGAGATATCATCTTATCTCAGTCAGAATGGCTGTGATTAAGAAGACAAATAATAACAGATACTAATGAGGATGTGGAGAAAAGCTCTTACATGCTGTTGGTGCAAATGTGAATTAGTACATCACTATGGAAAATGGTATGGAGATTTCTCAAGAAAAGTAAAAATAGAACTACCATATAATCCAGCAATCTCACTACTGGGCAGCTATCCGAAGGAAAAGAAATCAGCTATATCAAAGGGATGCCTGCACTGACATGTTTATTGCAGCATTATTCACAGTAGCCAAGATTTGGAAGCAACCTAAGCGCTCACCAACAGACTAATGGATGAAGAAAATGTGGTATATATACACAATGGAATACTATTAAGCCATTAAAAAAAATAAATCATGTCATTTTCAGCAACATGGATGAAACTAGAGGTTATGTTAAGTAAAATAAGTCAGGCACAGAAAGACAAATATCATATCTTCTCACTCATATGTGAAGGCTAGAAAATTTGATCTTGTGGACATAGAGAATAGAATGATAGATACCAGAGACTGGGAAGAGTAGATGAGGAAAGGGGAATGAAGAGAAACTGGTTATGAGTACTAACATACAGTTAGACAGAAGAAGTTCTAATATTTAATAGCAGACTATGGTGACTATACTTAGCAACAATATTACATATATTTCAAAGTAACTAGAAGAGAGAACTTAAAATCATACCAATAAATAAAAATCATAAACACTCAAGGTGATGGCAACCCCAAAATCATGACTTGATGATTACATATTCTATGCATGTAATGAACACATGTACTCCATAAATATGAAAATATTATATATCAATAAAAGAGAAAAAATCCAAAAATAAATTCACTCCATGTATTTTATTTAGTGGACTTTATCAGGAAATGAGACACCTTACATATGTGAATTTTCTACAAAATTGAAGCTTAAGTGCTAATCATTAAAATTTTGATCATATTGATGAAAATGTTTCTAAAATATATCATCCTACCAATTTTAAATTAGAGTTTTGAACACATTCACCGTCTTGCCCTAGGTTATGTGAAATTTTCCTGCTCTCTGCTTGTAATATAGTCTACAGAACTTTTGGTCAGCCGAGCAAGCTGCTACATGTCCCACTGATGCACATACTGATGACATCATGCCAACTGGACCTGGGGAACTAGGAATGGCAAGTGCTCTGGATGCCCTGAGAAAATACATAAGTACCAGAATAAAACTGACCCTCCATATTTAGTATAACAATTATTTTAGAGCATTTACATTGTATCAGGTATTATAAGTAATACCTGATAGAGCAGAGGGTATTACTTACACACAAAAACTCTTTCCCAACTCCTGCAGACACAAAAACTCTTTCCCAACTCCTGTAAATACTCTTTTTACATTTATTTTCTTTTACAGTTCACTACTGAATAGTGGGGTTGTGCCTTTCATTTTGAAGACCCCCTCAGCTCAAATGATTGAGCGGGATCAGGTTGGAGTCCTGGTACCAGGAAGCATAATGGACTACTTAGACTAGCTCTTCCCTAATGTTTAAAGAAAGGAGGCAAAAGGATTTCTGAAGGGTATTTGTTCCTCAGCTCCATCTCATTATGGAAAGCAAGTATATTAGCAATTATAGGCAGTGAGCCATAGCTAACAATAAATACTGCATTTATCCAGAACCTCCCAGCTGCATTCTATCTAAACATTGCAAAGAAACAAGCATCTGACAAACCACAATTGTAGCAGCCTATCAATCCCTTTAGTTGTTGCCCGGTCCCTCTCCATGGCTATCATTTATTCCTTGAGTCATGGCAAGCAGGCCCCCAGATAGCACTTCAGGCACATTGTTAGAGAAGCAGCAGAACATAGGGTACAAAAATTTAACCTTGGAGTCAAACACTCCTGAGTTTAAATTCCAGTACCTATATAGTCATGGAGCATTTTCATATTTTGGCTAACAATTCCTTTACACTGATAAATGTTTTATTTCCTGGTCAGGAACCAAGCATCTTCTATGCAGAAATATTTAATGCTACCAAATCTGGAGAAGTCATAAAAATGGGAGCCAGGATGAGGAATGCTATACACATCCAAAGAGACCCAACTTTGTCAGGTGTCCTGGAACATGCTGCCCAAGCTCTGTCTTTATCTTGTTTCTTTCAGGAGGTCAAGGTAAACCCCAGTTCCAGTGCTTTCTAAGTGCTAAATATTTTTCTGTCTTCATTGTCAACCTTTGAAGTGGTCTTGATGCTTGACTTTTTTCAATTTTTTGGAATCTAGGGATTGATGATCATAAGTTAAATGTTGGGTGGTGAAAAACTACTATTGTCCTTTAGCTTTGGAAAAACATTTTACTGTCAACTTGGAGCACATAAGTTTTAATTATTTAAAGACTAGTAGCCTAAATATGATGCCCAGTGAGAATGGTATCAATATAACACTAGAGAAAGGTATATAGTATAGAAGAAAAATTAGTACTTTGGACAGGAAAATGTGAAAAACAGGTGCCTTTGTCTACATAGACAAATAGCTCTACATAGCTCTCTCATTACACAAAGTGCAATAGTGAGAATTATCATCAAGCAATGTAAATGATAGCTTTTCTGGGAGAAACCCATCATGAACAATTACTGTATTAATAACAACAAAAACACCTTATGATTGCTGTAAAAGCAGCAGGTCAACAGACATTAAGAAATGTAAAAGTTGTCATTTTATAGCAGGTACAGTTATGCAAACAATTTTCCAAATGGTACCCCAAAGGAAAATTTATATTGCAAAATTAAACCTCACCTGCACCTTGTGAAAAAATCCAGTAATATCTATCTCTAACCATTTTTATAGTGACAGCTTCTCTGCCAGTTGTGTTATGAGTTTTAGAAAAGGGAGAAGAAAAAGGATTGACATAGCCTCACAACTGCAGAGACACTGAGCTTCTGATCTTCCATACGTGCATACTTTAATCTATCACTTTTTAAATGGGTTTCATGTTCAACCATGGGGTTTAGCATTTGATTTCCTAGGTTACTGAGCAGTAGGCACTCTCTCTATGTTGTTGGATAAATCGTCTCAGGATCAGACTATACCGGTTCCTTCTCTAAAATGCATTGTCAGTCACTCAATAAGAAATGCTTCTGACCCTCTGCTAAAGCCTCCACCTCAGCCAGGGCCACTAGGTGTCTGGTTCTTCCTTAGGTTTCACTCTCAAGAAGCACTGATAGAAAGTGTCTTCAAAATATAATCAATATACTTAATAATAGTATCAAACTTTTGCCCAATGTTGTAATCTGGTTAGAGGCTCATTCTCTAGTTCTGAAGGTGAAAGAGCTGGTTCTTTTTTCTACCCAAGTGATCCCACACAGAGAGAAGACAGACTTACAGACTTGCCTCCCTGCCTTCTCAGAAAATGGGAAAATGGATTTTAAGGAAGAAAGGAAGTATGAAAATGTGGTTGGAAATGTATTTGCACTTACCAGGTATGCAATGAGAGTTTTTGGATAGGGCAGTAATGCTAACACTTGACAGAATAGAACAATTGTTTGGCCGTATTTTGGGGGATCTGATGTTGCCTTTCTTAGCCCCATGAGCTCTGAGAATCCACTTTTCTTCTCTAGTGACAACTTTTAGTCCAAAATTCCATGTCAGATTGTATAGGAGTACAACCACCTCCTAGAAGTCACCTGTGATCTCCTGTGGGATGGTTTCTATAAGGTCTATACCGACAAACTCACCCAGTGAAACTGAGTTCTACAGCTCTGGTTCAAAGCTCTGTCCTCACACATTATAGCAGGCACCTGATATTCAAACTCTCACTACCTTCTGCTTGTTTAGTTCCAAATGAAAAGACACTCACCCACCAGTGCTCCTTGTCTGGGTCCACTCCAGCAGCTTGGAACCCTTCTTTCTTTTGGGATGACACAGTAACTTTAGTATAAAATAAGATATGGGTCACATATTCCTTGCTTTGAAACACCACAGACACACACACACCTTTTTGTCTGTTTATTTTTTTTTAGGAGTGATGCATGGATTAGACTTTTCTAGGCAAAATCCTGAAGATTTTTAAGATGTGGAATGCATAGAGTTCTCAAATGCTTGGTCATTTGAAAACTTCATCTCTGATGTCCTGGCTATTTGGTCAGACTCTTATCTTTGAAATGTAGCTTAATCATCATAAGGACCTTTGATGGATACTGCTGAGAGCTTTTTTTGCGTATGCATAAGAAAAGATACATTTCTCTTATCACAATGAAACTGCATCGCTTCAAAAAGATGAACTAATCAGAAGCAGCTGGAATGAATTAGATACACTGACAACTCAGAAATGAGACATAAGTGATCCTGTGGGGGAAAAGCACTTTTAAATTGTTTAAATGTGCTTGTCTAACATGTCACTAAAAGCTGTAATCTTCCATTTTCCATTAACAACTCCATCAATTTTCCTCTAATGTTTTAAATTAACTGTCTTCTCTCAAACATGATGCTGTTCAACATTTGAAGAAAATGGTCCCTGTTTTTTTTTTAATTCCAGATTTAGAAAACTGAAATATGCAGCTCATTTTGATAAAAGTTTATTCATGTTAGAGGTTGGCATGTTTCCCATCATTTGAAATTTTAGAGCATTGCCCCCAAGTAAATGTGCCTATTCTTTTATAAATTTTATGATACCTGTTATGGCAGAATTATAACTCTGCCAAACAGGAGAAAATTTTTTTATAAAAATTTTTTTTATAAATTTTTTTAATAAAATTTCCAAGAGATGACCCTGTTTTCACTTAACTAATTTTAAGCTTGCATCCCTGTTCTCTTCTGACAATGACTTTTCTAGGAGAATGAAAAACAAAAAGATAATATGAAAATGTTTTAGCACCCTATATTGATGGGAGTAAGTGTACATCTATTAGAAGAGAGAAATCACCCCACCCCAATTAGTTGATATAGCACATTTGGCTAATGGGTAAAAGAAATGTCTTGTTCACAGATCAGAGAAAAATTGAATTTCTATATCAATCTACCAAGAAACCACTAATTAAATGTTGAGTAGATTTCAGACATGTCCTATAGGCCCTACTGTGGCTGTGATGTTTTGGTTTTTACTTTAGAATGTTTACTGATTCATTTCAATTTAACAGATATTTACTATCACTTTATGCAGGCATGAAGCTAGGCACTGGGATGCAAAGAGTAATTAAATATGGGACAAGGTGTGCTGAAGAAGACTACTGGTCCTGTGAGATTGGCTGTATGTGAGAATCCACATGAGAGGCTAAGAATATTGTACACAAAGATCCTTGATGTTCTTGAGCAAATCCCTAAAAATGCAGCATATAAAAAGTGTACAGAACAGATTACAAATGAGAAGCTAGCTATGCTTAAAGTAGAACCAGATGTTAAAAAATTAGAAGACCAACTTCAAGATGGCCAAATAGAAGAGGTGATTCATCAGGCTGAAAATGAACTAAATGTGGTGAGAAAAACGATGCAGTGGAAACCATGGGGGGCAATAGTGGAAGAGCCTCCTGCCAATCAGTGAAAACAGCCAATATAATTATTAAATGACTTTGGTGGGTTGAGGGAAACAGATGTAATTAAATATTCTGTTACATTAAGAGTGTGTTCATATTATTGACATTTTATAATCAAGAAAACTGATACAGAAAATACTTAGGAGACTTGTTAAATGAGTGATTATGGTAATATCATCTTGTGAGTTAATTTTTGATTTGTAAATTTTTCACACAAATTATTTCCAAGACAATATTTCTTTGAATAAAGAGGTTGTGGGAAGATTTGAAAATTAGAAAAATTCCTACCAATCTTCAATGCAGAGACTATAATCAAAAAGTCATTTCTTTAGTAGTATCTTCAATACATCATTTAATATTCTTATTATCCTAAAGAAGAAAAAGCCCTTAATTATTGTCTAAACAAATTTATAGATCACTGTTTGAAGCAAACAGAATGATTATTATTTTCAAATGTGAAAAGCACAAGTGGCTGGTACAAAAATGTGAAATTATGGTTAACCTCCTTGGCTGTGATCTTATGTATATAAAGCAAATTTAAATATATAATAATATAATAAAGCAAAAACATGAGCCATACTCACAAGGAGCTTGAAATTGTGAGGGGAAGGTAAAAATCATGTTCTATGATTTTTATGTTATGTTATAACATAACATTATGTTATTATTATGTTATAATGTGATGACATTGGATAGAAAAACTCTTATTATTTTAAATCACGGGAGCACAGCAGAGTGATTAATTGTTCTTGACTTGGATGAGAGGAGGGATGGGGAAGACTTGAAGGAGGAGAGAACTTTTGAACTGGGTGTGGAATTATTAGAATAATAGAAGAATAGAAGAAAGAATAAGTGTCTTTCCCTCAGGCTTACATTAAGGCAAAAGACATGGACATGTACAAAATGTTCAGGGAAACATTGGGTAAATAACTTGCCTTATATAAAAATCTTAATTTTTCATGTGAAGAGTGATGACAGAAACATGGGAAAGACACCTGGATTCAGCCTGGGAGTGATCTGACACACCATTCTTAGGACTGTGGACCTTAAACCCTCATTATGAGAAATGATTGAAAAATTTAAACAAAGTGTGATGACCAATATTAAATATTAGGAAGATTATTTTATCATGATTTCTTCACAGAGCTTCATTGTGTTTTGGTGCCTAGATTTGCTGCTTCAAAATCCAGTACCACACTGATACCCAACCTGAACTTTTGATGGTGACTTCATTTCTCATTTTGGTACCTAAAGGAGCTCTTATTTACTCTTGGTGTTTTGAAGTTTCATGATATATGCCTTAGAGTTTTTTATTATCTATTTTAGACTCAGTAATTTCATCATTGAAAATGCCTTACATCACTTGTTTGATAATTTCCATAATTTTACCTGTTCCATCTTTCCAAAATTCCAGTTAGTCAGTACTTGAATACCTGTTCGTCTTTCTTTTAGTTCTATTTTCTTTTTTTTATTATTATTATACTTTAAGTTTTAGGGTACATGTGCACAATGTGCAGATTAGTTACATATGTATACATGGGCCATGCTGGTGCGCTGCACCCACTAACTCGTCATCTAGCATTAGGTAGATCTCCCAATGCTATCCCTCCTCCCTCCCCCTACCCCACAACAGTCCCCAGAGTGTGATGTTCCCCTTCCTGTGTCCATGTGTTCTCATTGTTCAATTCCCACCTATGAGTGAGAATATGCGGTGTTTGGTTTTTTGTTCTTGCCATAGTTTGCTGAGAATGATGATTTCCAATTTCATCCATGTCCCTACAAAGGACATGAACTCATCATTTTTTATGGCTGCATGGTATTCCATGGTGTATATGTGCCACATTTTCTTAATCCAGTCTATCATTGTTGGACATTTGGGTTGGTTCCAAGTCTTTGCTATTGTGAATAATGCCGCAATAAACATACGTGTGCATGTGTCTTTACAGCAGCATGATTTATAGTCCTTTGGGTATATACCCAGTAATGGGATGGCTGGGTCAAATGGTATTTCTAGTTCTAGATCCCTGAGGAATCGCCACACTGACTTCCACAATGGTTGAACTAGTTTACAGTCCCACCAACAGTGTAAAAGTGTTCCTATTTCTCCACATCCTCTCCAGCACCTGTTGTTTCCTGACTTTTTAATGATTGCCATTCTAACTGGTGTGAGATGGTATCTCATTGTGGTTTTGATTTGCATTTCTCTGATGGCCAGTGATGGTGAGCATTTTTTCATGTGTTTTTTGGCTGCATGAATGTCTTCTTTTGAGAAGTGTCTGTTCATGTCCTTCGCCCACTTTTTGATGGGGTTGTTTGTTTTTTTCTTGTAAATTTCTTTGAGTTCATTGTAGATTCTGGATATTAGCCCTTTGTCAGATGAGTAGGTTGCAAAAATTTTCTCGCATTTTGTAGGTTGCCTGTTCACTCTGATGGTAGTTTCTTTTGCTGTGCAGAAGCTCTTTAGTTTAATTAGATCCCATTTGTCAATTTTGTCTTTTGTTGCCATAGCTTTTGGTGTTTTAGACATGAAGTCCTTGCCCATGCCTATGTCCTGAATGGTAATGCCTAGGTTTGCTTCTAGTGTTTTTATGGTTTTAGGTCTAACATTTAAGACTTTAATCCATCTTGAATTGATTTTTGTATAAGGTGTAAGGAAGGGATCCAGTTTCAGCTTTCTACATATGGCTAGCCAGTTTTCCCAGCACCATTTATTAAATAGGGAATCCTTTCCACATTGCTTGTTTTTCTCAGGTTTGTCAAAGATCAGATAGTTGTAGATATGTGGCATTATTTCTGAGGGCTCTGTTCTGTTCCATTGATCTATATCTCTGTTTTGGTGCCAGTACCATGATGTTTTGGTTACTGTAGCCTTGTAGTATAGTTTGAAGTCAGGTAGTGTGATGCCTCCAGCTTTGTTCTTTTGGCTGAGGATTGACTTGGCGATGCGGGCTCTTTTTTGATTCCATATGAACTTTAAAGTAGTTTTTTCCAATTCTGTGAAGAAAGTCATTGGTAGCTTGATGGGGATGGCATTGAATCTATAAATTACCTTGGGCAATGTGGCCATTTTCACGATATTGATTCTTCCTACCCAAGATCATGGAATATTCTTCCATTTATTTGTATCCTCTTTTATTCCTTGAGCAGTGGTTTGTAGATCTCCTTGAAGAGGTCCTTCACATCCCTTGTAAGTTGGATTCCTAGGTATTTTATTCTCTTTGAAGCAATTGTGAATGGGAGTTCACTCATGATTTGGCTCTCTGTTTGTCTGTTGTTGGTGTATAAGAATGCTTGAGTTCTATTTTCTAAGCAATTTCTTTGACATTATCTTCTAATCCTTTTTTAAAAAGTGTTTGTTTGTTATTTGGAGGAAAAGCTTTTTCTTGAGAATAATTTTGATTATCTTTTTCTGTATAAATCAGGTCCTGTTTCACAGAAGTAATATCTTTTTTTCATAAAGTTTACTCTGCTCTCAAATTTATCTGTTTTTTATTATACGCTGTATTAAGTTATTAGGTAAGCTAGTTTGCTAGTTAGTTGCCTTTGTGCTTTTCATATGAGAAGCTTTCTCAAAATGTGAGATAATTCTTGTCTGTCTGGTCTTATTTCCAACTAAGGCATAGAAAGCTGATTGAAAGGAGCAGAGCTTTGGAACATCTATAAAAGGCAACAAACCAGGCTGTTTTGGTTTTTTGTTTGTTTTGGTTTGGTTTTGAGACAGACTCTTGCTCTGTCACCCAGGCCTGAGTACAGTGGTGTGATTATAGCTCATTGCAGCCTCAAACTCCTAGGCTCAAGCAATCCTCCTACTTCAGCCTTCCACCCCCCAACAGGCCCTGGTGTGTGTTGTTTCCCTCCCTGCATCCATGTGTTCTCATTGTTCAACTCCCACTTATAAGTGAGAAAATGCGGTGTTTGGTTTTCTGTTCCTGTGTTTGCAGAGAATGATGGCTTCCAGCTTAATCCGTGTCCCTGAAAAGGATGTGATCTCATTCTTTTTTATGACTGCCTCTTTTTAAATGAGGTTTTATTTGAACACAGCCATGCTCATTCATTTATGTAATGTCTAAGGCTACTTTCATGCTACAACAGCAAAATTGCATAGCCGACCATGTTGTCCACAAAGCTGAAAGTATTTATTCTCTGGCCCTTTACAGAAAGTTTGCTGACCCTTGTTCTCATTTAAAGCCTATTATAATTTAATTAGAGAAGACTTTATAAAATACACTCAGACTTTTCATACTCTACATTTCCAGTTGAAGTTTCCAAAAAGTACACACTGACATGACAAAAGGAGAGAAAAGAGTCCTAGACAGAACCATCACAATCCAAGACAAACCATCACAATCCTAGACAAACTTCTCCCAAGATAAGTAGTGTCTATTTTTCAATCTACTGAAGTATATAATATACGCCAAGTACTATGCTAGTCACTGGGAGTACAAAGATGAATACCTGACCTTACCCTCAATGAGCCTAGAATCCAGCAAGGAATGAAGGAAAACATGTAAACAGACATTTATATAATGTCGTGTAGCATATACTCTAAAGGGGTTGTAAATATCACTTAGAAAGCTCAGATGAATAATTATAAACTTTAGCAAAATATGTTAAACTAAACATATGCATTTATTCACTGCTACCTCCCAAAATGCCACTAAAATTAGAGTAAAAGAACTATATGTCTATACACAAATATACATATACTCCTAGATACACATATACACTAATACTGCGAAGTATGCATACACGGAGACATGTATATATAGGTAAGGCAAGCCTTACCTATATATGGACAAAATATTCATAATGTGCATGTTTTACAAAGGACTTGTACCCAGAATATATACAACCTAATAATAATAAGACAGCAACTGAATAAAAATGGGCACAAGATTTGAATAGATACTTCACAAATGAAAGTATATGAAGGACAAATAAGTACAGAAAAGGTGCTCAATATAATTAGTTATCAGTAAAATGCCAATTAAAACCACAGTAAGATACTACTACATACTCACTAGAATGGCTTATAGTAAAAACACTGACTTTACCAAGTGTTAGGATCTGAAGCAACTGAAACTCTCATATATTATTGATACTATGTGTGATGGTTAATTTTATGTGTCAATTTGAATGGGCCACAGGGTGCCAGATATTTTGTCAAATATTATATGGGTGTGTCTGTGAAAGTGTTTTTGAATGAGATTAACATTTGGATTGTAGACCAAGTAAAGCAGATTGCCCTCCTTAATGTGGGTTGGCTCCATAAAATCAATTGAGGGCTTGAATAAATACAACAAAAAGGCTGACCTTCCCAAGAGTGACAATGAGCTCCTACTGCCTGACAGTTTTGAGCAGGAACATCAGCCTGCCTGTCTTTGGATCCCAACATCAGCTCTTTTTGGGTCTCAAGCTTGCTGGCTTTCATACAGGAAATGTTCATACTAGAACCATCAGCTCTCCTGGGTCTCCATCTTCATATATATATATATATATATATATATATAATATATATAAATATATATATATAAAATATATATAGCTATATATACTATATATAAATATATAGTATATATAAATATATAATATATAAATATATATAGCAAAATATGTATATATGTATATATATAGCTATATATGTATATATACACACACACACACACACAGACATCCTATTACTTCTGTTTCTCTGGAGAACCCAGACTAATACATACTTTGGAAACAAGAGTAGTCCTAGAGAAATAGAATTTTAAGGATGAGTTATCAAAACTGACGCTAGTGTTTCTGTGATTGGACCTATAATCTGATTAAAGACACTAATGACTCTAAATTTAGTAGAAAAGAGAGCATTAATAGCCTGTGGTGTGATCTGGCAATAGAGACATGCAAAATATCTTCATTTGTTATTCCTAATCAATCACTTATAAGAAGCAAAGAGCTGGGAGACTATGTATATAATATTTTTAACATATTTGGCAAACTAACACAGGTAATGAGTCTAATTATAGATCTAGAAGCAAAGATGGGTGGTGGATCTAGAAGCAAAGGCAGGTAATGTTACTACATAAAAATGGGAAAAGAAAAGCTCAGGCAAACTCAGAAATTCACACTGCCAGTTCATGCACCTCATAAATGACCTGAAAGCTTCTATGTGAGCTCTGAAGAAGAACCATCTCTCCTATGGCCTCAGGACCAAAATTGCTGAAAAATCAAACTCAAAACGGCCTTCTACAACTGGCTGAATTACAATGTAAGTTGAACACCGAGCCTCATAAAATGTCTACTTTTAAAGTAAGGGCATTGATTAGGAAGAAATGAGATCATGATAATACGAGTAAGTGTAAGAAACCCCTAATAAAGCTGCAGATATTGACCCCCTAAATTCTGATGAATCTTTGCCAGTGGAAGAGGCCTCCCCATCCCCAAGAGGAGATGGCTCTGCACCCGTAGTGGGAGCAATCACCCCACCTTCAATGACAGTGGCCTCTCTATCCTGGTCTGGGAGGATTAACCCTGCATTTCCAGAGGAACTTGTAATGGCCTCCCCTGAGGCAGTTGCCATGCAAGATAGAGCTGAGTCTCCTCGGAACCAAACGCCACCATCCATCTTTGCTTCTAGATCTGTAATTAGACTCAAGTTCCAGCAAGAACCTAAAGGTAGGTGAGGTAGAAAATGCAACTCATGACAAGATGTGCTATACTCCAAAAGAATGACTTAAGTTTTCTAATTTATACAGATATAGGTTAGGTAACATATGTGGGAGTGGATATTAAAGATGTGGGATAATGGTAGAGAAACATAAAGTTGGATCAGGATGAATTTATTGAAATGGGCTCACAAAGCAGAGATTCTGTATTTAGTGCTCTAGCTCAGGGAATTAGAAAGGGTTCTAACAGTTTATTTGTTTGGTGGGCTGAAGCATGAATCAAAAGGTGGCCCACAGTGAGTGAGTTGAAAATGCTGGACCTGCCTTTGTTTAATGTAGAGGAAAGCATTCAAAGGTGTAGAAAGATTGGAATGTCAGCCTTGATTTGTCATTTAAGATCTAATCATCCACCCTGGATGGGTCCAGAAGACATATCTTTCATCACTATTGTGAAAAATAAATTTGTGAGAGAAGGCCCAGTATCCTAGAAGAGCTCTATGATCACATTTTCTGTAGGCCAGACCTTACAAGTGAGAACTGTGGTCATTAGATTGGGAAATTTAAATGTAATAAGAGAGTAGTTGGATCTCAGAATGTCTGGGGCCATGTGTTGGTACTCAATCACCAAAGGCAAAGTAGGTATGGTTACCATAATGGACAGCAATCAGAATAGTTGACATGGTGTCTCTAGGAGTGAAATAGATTGTATGCCTACTAAATTTTTACTTGATCTATATAAGCTGAAAAGTTCTAGGGCAAATGAACAAAGTCTAACCTGAATCATGAAAACTGAGAGTCATGAACCTTCAATCAATTTCTAGACTTGAACCAGTTTACAGACTCAAAACCCTTTGAATGAGGAAGAGGACAGGCTCCCTTGAGGAAGGATCCTGCTGTACTACCACAATTTATACTGTTAGTTTTGATCCCAGCCTTCCTTAAAGCACCGGAGGGTCTTTTACCAGGGTAACTGACCATTGAGGAATGGGAAACAGGTATTTTAAAAAATAACTACTGAATACTGGCTTTGAATTGACACTATCCCCAAGACAAAAAAAAAAAAAAAGTCATTGTGGTATACCAATCAGAGTAGGAATTTATGAGATCAGGTGATCAATGGAGTTTTAGCTCAGGTCCATCTCACAGTGGCCCAGTGGGTCCTTGAACCAATCCTGTGGTTATTTCTCTGCAGAAAGCTGGCAAAGGGATTGTAACCAACTCAGCATTCCACTGAGGCTATATGATCAAACAGCAAACTGTTTATCATGAATGCAGGATGTGGGCAAACTCACGACTGTACCTGCCACCAGAAGGTTTGCTGAGGGCAATCACTCCCTGGCGCCATGCTCCTTGAGGTTATCTACTGGGGCATTGAGAGCCTACTGTTGGAAGAATGCAGTCTTGCAAGCCTGCTGTAAATCAGACTGCCCATCAACAACCGCTGCCGCCGCCCCCTCCCGACCCCGCCCTCACTATCTCTTTTACCTAATAAATATGGAGGGCTATGAAAGCTCAGGGACGGTGTTCACTAGAAGCAATGAGCCCCCTGACCCCTTCTTCTAAATATACTCTTTTGTCTTTATTCCTGCGTTCGTCATCCTTTGTTCAGTTCAACAAAGATAGGGTCCGCAGGATTTCTCCAGTTCTGGAATGCATAATTAGAATAGATATACTCAGCAGCCGGCAGAATCCTCACATCTCTACCAGTCACTATTATTTATTATTCTCTCTGTGATTCAGGTAATACTGCCATTTTCCTACAGCTACAATTTTCTTTCTATCTGGAAATATTTAGGATTCTCATCTGTGGTTCATTAAATTTCATTTCTGTGAAAATGTGTGTACTTGCCCGTACCTATTCTGTTGCTCATTCTTTGGACGCCTTCAAGCTGAAGTACTCTTTTAATTTTGGCAAGTTTATTGTCATTATTTCCTCAAATAAACTCATGTAAATAAACTTCTGCTTGCTTTTCTCTTGTTAATCTGTCTTTTGTAACAGGAGGCCCTGTTCCAACTAAGAACCTACAGGGGTTATTGTTTTTCCCTACAACCATCTCCATGTTAAAAAAAAAAACAAAAAACTTACTATTCAGGTGGAAATGGAAGGCATATTGGTTCAAATCATTTTAATAAATAAGCATTAAGAACCTGAATAATGAGAATAATTCAGATTTTTGGAGAGAAAGGAAAGAATATTTATTCAGGAAAAAGTTTAAAATATCTTTTTTTTTTTTATTATACTTTAAGTTTTAGGGTACATGTGCACATTGTGCAGGTTAGTTACATATGTATACATGTGCCGTGCTGGTGCGCTGCACCCACTAACTCGTCATCTAGCATTAGGTATATCTCCCAATGCTATGCCTCCCCCCTCCCCCCACCCCACCACAGTCCCCAGAGTGTGATATTCCCCTTCCTGTGTCCATGTGATCTCATTGTTCAATTCCCACCTATAAGTGAGAATATGCGGTGTTTGGTTTTTTGTTCTTGCGATAGTTTACTGAGAATGATGGTTTCCAATTTCATCCATGTCCCTACAAAGGACATGAACTCATCATTTGTTATGGCTGCATAGTATTCCATGGTGTATATGTGCCATAATGGATTCCCTAATTATACCAACTTCATAATGAAAATATATTTTTGAGTTCTGTGTGATAACATTTTGGAATTACTAATCGGTAGTTAATGTGAAAGAAAAATAAACGACAAGATTGTGAAGTAGTTTCTCTGTTTGAACCATCATATTAATAACATATCTTGAAAAGATCCTCTTATTAATATGATGGTTCAAATAGAGAAACTACTTCACAATCTTGTCATTTATTTTTCTTTCACATTAACTACCGATTAATAATTCCAAAATGTTATCACACAGAACTCAAAAATACATTTTCATTATGAAGTTGGTATAATTAGGGAATCCATTATATTATAAACAAGCATTTTTTCAACCTAGAGAAAATGGTACGTTTACCATTTTGGGGCTTTTATATGAGTAAGAAAATTCCTTGAATAACAAATACATGTTTAATTCTAAACTTTAATTAAACACATTGTTTTCTCCTATCCCTTGTTGGTGGTGTTATCTTATTTTTACATTTTTGTTATAGAAACACCAAATATACAAAAGTAGGGAGAATAGTTCAATGAACCTCCAAGTCCTCATCACCCAGCTTCAATAATTATCAATCCATGGCCAATCTTGTTTCCTCTACATACCTCCACTTCCTCACCTGCATTATTTTGTAGCAAATTTCATATATTATATCACTTCACCTGTAAGTATTTTAGTTTGTATCTTCCAAAGACATATAACAACCACAATACCATCATATCTCCCAAATTAAAAATAATTTTTGACATTGTATTGTTGATGTTAAGAATTGTCTTAACTATGGTTTTTATTCCTTACTTTCTCTTTTACCATTTATTTGAATGAAGAGTAAATAAGGTTTATACATGCTAATTGTTTAACATTTCTCTTAAATCTCTTTTAATCTATAGGTTCTCCCTACCATATTCTTTCTTATAATTTGATAATGTTTGTGAAAGCAATGGGTTATTTTTCCTCTAGAGCATCCCACAGTTTGGATTATTTTTCAGTTCCATTCTCATCATAACATTTGACATGTTCCTTTGTCCTTTGCATTTCCTATAAATTGGTAGTTAGATATAGATGAGGGATTGGATTCAGATTCAATTAGGGGGGCAAGACAATTTCTTATGTGGTAGTGAGTTCTTGCATCTGATTGTCTCTTTCTATGATGTTTGCAGCTGTTGAAGAGTATTTCCTGTATTCATAAATTAATGGTTGCAAAATGGTGATATTCTGATTCTATTATTCCTCCTTTATTTACTGGCTGGACTATTTCTAGAAAGAAAAACTTCCCTCATCAACCATTTGATTACCCTAGGGTACAGTTTGAATAGAAAAGACAGGGGAAATACTTGATTCTCTCCCTTAAAGAGGGTTGCTTTTGCCAATGTTCTGTTTATCTTGGACTAAATAATCCACAAAAGAGAAAATAGCCAGAAAGGCATAATTCTAGGCCTTCTTTTTCTGATCTTTTCAGCTGGATTCAGGCACAAGCTACATAACCCAAGGCTTGTAGAGAATTTAAATGCTCTGAAACTGCCAGAGGCTCCCCCAAATTCTCATTTCCAGGATTCCTATTTTTATTTTTTAGTCTCATCCAACCTGTTATTTACATTCACCACTATGTTTTCAGTTTGTCTCTTCACAGGAACCATTCAAAGACAGAAACTATGCAAATTTGTTTGTCTTTTGCAACTGACTTCCTCTTTATTCCACACACCTGAAGGGCACTCTACCATGAGACAGCCCAGTGGAAAGAGTATGTGTTTCTCTTTCTGCCTTTAAGCCTCTTTCAGCTTAAAGCTTCAGCCTCAGTCCAGGGGGGGATTCCACAGTTTCTGTAATTGGTACTTGACAGGACAGTTCTTTTCTTCCACTGAGTAGTGTCTCAGAGCGCGATGAACCCACACACGGCAATCCTCACATTTGCTTTGTAAATCATGTTAAGCTGACTGCTTTGGTCTTTGGTGCTTAGAAGAAAATTAGAGTGGAACATTGGTCAGGAAAAAAAATTCCTCTGAAACTAAAATACCACCAAATGTGACCAAAGCCAAATTCTATTCTTAATAGAAACAAATTTGTTTCTCAAAGTGGTAGTAACTTTTATTTTCCAATTTCTAGGAATCTAACCTGACTTTGTGGAAGTTGGACTCAGACTCTTGTGCATAGCAGGGAGGTTTAAAAGATAATTATTCAGAGTGAGGAATTCTGAAGGGTTCATAGATTAACCTTCTATTGGCCAGACAATGCAATTCGTGTTCCCAGAGATAGGCATGCAAGGCAGACACTAGAAATTAAAAGGAAAGTTCTGGAATTAAAGAAGCAAAGTATTTTTAAACTCTAAATATATGCCTTTGTTACTCATACATTTTAAAAATTTCTAGTTTATCTCCAATTGGATTGTTGAGATATAGTTCACATACCCTATAATTCTCCCAAGTACAAGTCAATGTTTTCAATATATTCACAGATATATGTTTGGGCCACAGTCAATCTTAAAACATTTTCATCACCTCAAAAAGAAACTTTACCCTTTACCTACCATCCTGTATTTCTCCGTTGCCCTCAGCCATAAGTAACAACTAATCTAATCTTTCTGTCTCTATTGATTTGCCTGTTCACGGAATTTCATATCATAGAATCATACAATGTGTTACCTCTTGTGTCTGGCTACTTTGACTTCATCTAGTGTTTTCAAAGTTCAGCCATGTTGTAGCATGTTTGGTACCTCATTTGTTTTAATAACAATATTATTTTATTGTATATATATACCACATTTTGTCTATTCATTTGTTAGTTGATGAACATTTGAGTTGTTTTCATCTTTTGGCTATTGAAAAATGCTGCTATATACATTCTTATACAAGTCTTTCTGTGGACATGTGTTTTCATTTCTCTTGGATATACACATAGGAATGTAATTGCTAGATAAAATGGTAACTATGTATTTAGCAGTTTGAAAAATTGCAGACTGCTTTCCAAAGTAGTTGTACCATTTTCCATTCCCACCAGCAGTGTATGAGGGTTCTGATTTCTCCACATTTTTGCCCAAACTAGTTTTTAGTCTCACTTTTTAATTTTAACCATCAGTGGATGAGAAGTAATATTTCTCTCTGGTATGATTTGCATTTCCCTGATAACTAATGTTGAATCTGCTTTCATGTGCTTATTGGCCATTTGTATATCTTAGAGAAATATCTCCTCAGATCCATTGAATGTTTGTTAACTGAGTTGTCTTCTTATTATTGAGTTGTAAGAGTTCTTCAGTTTATTACAGGTATATAATTTGTAAATGTTCCCCCTTTCTGTAGGCTGTTTTTTCACTTTCTTGATAATGTCCTTTGAAGAACAAAACATTTTTAATTTTAATAAAGTCCAGCGTATCCATTTTTCTTTTATTGCCTGTGCTTTTAATGTCATCTCAGAATCATTGCCAAATCTGAGATCACAAAGATTTACCCCTATATTTTCTTCTAATAGTTTTATAGTTTTGGATCTTACATTTAGATTCTTGATTCACTTAGAATTAATTTTGTTTATAGCATGAGGTAAGAGTTCAACCTCATTCTTTTGCCTGTGGCTATTTGGGTATCCCAGTAACATTTGTTGGAAAGACTATTCTCTACTCCATTTGATGATCTTAGAAAAAAAATAGCTGACCATAGACATGTGGACTTATTTCTGGACTTTCAATCTATTGCATTGATCTCTATTTTTAACTTTGTGCCACACTATCTTAATTACTGTCACTTTGCAGTAAGTTTTGAAATCAGGAAGTGTGAGTCATTAAGTTTTGTTCTTCTTTTTCAATATTGCTTTGTTTTTTCTAGATATTAACTTGTCCATTACTGCAAAACAGCAGTTGGATTTTGAGAAAGGATTGCATTGAATCTATAGACAAATTTGGGTATTAATGACTTGTGTTAGTCCATTTTCACACTGCTGATAAAGACATACCTGAGCCTGGGCAATTTACGAAAGAAAGAGGCTGGGGAAGTCTCATAATCCTGGCAAAAGGCATGGGGAAGTCTCACAATCATGGCTGGGGAAGTCTCACAATCATGGCAGAAGGCTAGGAGGAGCAAAGTCACGTCTTATATGGATGGCAGCAGGCCGAAAGAGAGCTTGTGCAGGGAAACTCCCCTTTTTAAAACCATCAGATTCTGTGAGACTTATTCACTATTATAAGAATAGCATTGAAAAGACCTGCTCCCATGATTTAATTAACTCCTACCAGGTCCCTCCCACAACATGTGTATTTATTTTATGTGACGTTTATTGAGTTTCCTGAATGTGTAGATTGTTTTTTAATAAATTTGGAAATTTTCTGCTATCATTTTTATAAATATTTTTTCTGCTTCTTTCACTCTCTCCTTTCCTTCTGGTACTCTCATTATGTGTATGTTGGTGCACTTGACGTCTCATATTTCTGTGAAGCTCTGTTCATTTTTATGCATCTTTTTTTCTCTCTACTTTAGATTGCATAATCTTCATCAATCTATTTTCAAGTTTGCTAATTATTTCTTCTTCCAATTCAAACCCAAATGAGATTTGGGTGGGGACACAGCCAAACCATATCATGTCTTAACAATATTAAGTCAATATCTGAACACAAGATTTCCTTCCATTTACTTAGGTCTTTAATTTCTATCAATGATGTTATGTAGTTTTCATTGCATAAGTCTTGCACTCCCTTGTTTAAATTTATTACTCCATTGTTTGTTATTCTACTTTAACACTTATTTTGCAGTAGTAAATGTCTTCAAATATAGCATGTAATTTTTTAAATAATCTCTACTATGCATATTTTAGTTTAGTTGCTCTAGAGCTTACCATATACATTTTATCAGATTTATACAAACTTAATTCCAGTGAACCATAGAAACATTTCTGTATAGTTCCATTCCCTTTTACCCCTTTTTCTGATATTGTTATAAATACTACATCTATAAATGTTACAAAACCAACAGTAAATTGTTATAGTTATTATTTTATATAATTTTATATCTTTGAAAGAAGAAAGGACAAGTATATATTTATGGCTTTTGTTATATTTATTTTCTTTTTAATCATTTTTGGATCTCATTTTTTCGTGTGGATTCAAATTACCATTTGAGGTTATTTCCTTAGACCAATATAGCCTTGTTCCTACCTAGCTCTTTTGTGCTGTTATTGGAAAATATATATTAGAAATACATATGGATTTGGGACCTATATATTATATTAATCAGGGACCCTCCAAATATCTAACCTAATGTTGAAATTTGAAGGGTCCCAATAAATTATCACCTCCATTCTCTAAGTTTTTTTGCCAAATGAACTATACAAGTGCAAGGCAGATAGAGGAGGAAATATATTATCTTTATTACTGGTCAAGTGATATTCAAGAATATGGCTTTCATCTGTAGTGCAAGCCTCAGAATTAGGCAAGGCCACATATCTGTCACCAGTGGTTTCCATGTATGGCACCTACATCTTTAAAATTTTATGTGTGATACCTGCATCTGTACACTCCACAAGTGGTGCTTGCATTCGTAAAATTGTATGTATCATGCCTGCATCTTTAAAACTCCAGTATGGTGCTTGCATCTGTAAAACTTGCAGTCTGAAGAAGCAGAGCAAGGCACAGTCTTTGTGAGGACAGCAGCTCTCAAGATGAGGAAGCAAGAGGAAATATCTGGACTACACTCTCCCAGTTTTTCCTTCCAAACTCTACAATCAAATTAAGGCACTTACCCTCCTATGTTGTCTAAGCCAGTCATGCAGAGTTTAACAAAGTGACTGAGTTTCTATCCCAATGTTTTTCACAACTTCTTCAAGATCTGTAATCTATGACCCTCCCTAAAAGTACATCCTTTGCAATTCTCAACAAGAGAATGCAGCCTTCCTTCCTGTCTTTGGTGATAAAAATAGATTTTTTTAAGTATTATAAACACTACTATTGTTAGCATGTTCTATACTATTTGACAAAATGTTCTTGTTTTCTTCAAGTGGAGGTTTTTCCTAGTGAGAGCTATGTTTGGTCATGTTCCTCTCTCAGGTGCCTCAGCAACCTGAACTCCTCCTTCAAGATGCATTCTATGTGGCTTGGCAAAATAGAATTAGCATAGAATTTGAAATTCTCAATTTAAATTTCACCTGTGCAAGTTTCTAACTGTGTTTAAACATGTTATATGCACTTTGTAAATCTGTTTCTTCATGAATAAAGTATAGATAATAACAAAAAACAAATCTCAAGGGATAGTATCTATAGGATCAGATGAGATAATAAATTTTAGAAAGTGATAAGCACGGCCGGGCATGGTGGCTCACGCCTGTAATCCCAGCACTTTGGGAGGCTGAGGCGGGCGGATCACGAGGTCAGGAGATGGAGACCATCCTGGCTAACACGGTGAAACCCTGTCTCTACTAAAAATACAAAAAATTAGCCAGGTGCAGTGGCGGGCATCTGTAGTCCCTGCTACTCGGGAGGCTGAGGCAGGAGAATGGCGTGAACCCAGGAGGCAGAGCTTGCAGTGACCCCAGATTATGCCACTGTACTCCAGCCTGGGCAACAGAGCCAGACTCCATCTCAAAAAAAAAAAAAAAAAAAAAAGAAAGTGATAAGTACTATATAAGTCACAATTACCTAGCCCTGAATAACACTAATACTTGTTTTTGCCATTATTGCTATTGGATTCATAAAAATATGACTCGCTATTGCTAGATTTAGGAATACTCTTAGCCAAGTCACATTTCTGAAATATAACAACTACACCTAGAAATATTACTTGTTATTATTAGAAATGAAAATAGTAGCAGTAAGCCTAAAAAGGTCTTGTGTTAGGCAAAGTAACCTAAATAATTTATTTAAAATTTTTAACTCTTAAATCTTGCCCAATTAAAGAGCTGTGTTGTGTTTATAGAAACTGTTTTTGTAAAGTCCAATATATATAAAGCTTTGTGCAACTGTATTTCTACAGAAGATGGGCATGAAATTATTTGTCTTTTCATGAATTCAAGTTTGTTTTGTTTAAGAGTTTCTCATAGTACCCAATATTCTACCTGATACCTGACTTTAAAAGGAAAGTTTGCAGGAAAGAGAACAGGTTAGAAAGTCTTTGTATGTCACCCATAATACTTATTTTTAACAGATTGGAGTCTGATTTGGTAGAATATTCTGGATATATAGAGCTAAATGGTGAATAATTAATTACTCCATTCCTCTAGGACTATTCTACTTCCAGAGTTAGCAATGCAGTTCTTCTGAGATCACACTAATTGGCATTTAATTCTAGATTGAAAGCACAAAATGCTCTCAGAAGCTGTCTTAACCCATTTTGTGCTTCTATAACAGAATACCACAGACTGGGGGCAATTTATGAACAATAGTTCATATGGTTCATGATTCTGGAGGCTGAGAAGTCCAAGACTGAGGGACTGCCTCTGGTGAGTGCTTTCATGCTGCATCATCCCATAACAGAAGGCAGAAGACAAGCAAAAGGATGTGAGACAGCAAAAGATCTAACTCACAACCTCAAAACTTTTTGTAATCAGCATTAATCTATTCATAAAGGTTGAGCCCCTATGACCTAAACACATCCCATTAGGCCTCACCTTTCAACACTGTCACACTGGGGAGTAAGTGTCCAACACATGAACTTTAGGGGACACATTCAAACCACAGCACAAGCCATCCCCCCTCATTGTGATTCTCATTTATGAAAGCCAAAATAAAAGATTCTAATGCCCAATTTTTGTATCATACTGAGCACCTCAAGGGAATTGCCAAGAAGTCTGACTTGTCATTGCACCAGAGGAAAATATAAATTGCTCATGTGAGCTAAGCAAAACACAAATCTGTATATTAGGTAGTGGTTTATCATGTAGGAACTCAGATGTTCCACAGCAATTCTGAATTGTATGGTTTGTGATTTTTCAGTCTGGAAGTAAGACGGAACACTCATATCTACCTATCTATCTATCTATTATCACAGATATACTCCACCAAAAAAAGATGACAATAAAAATGATTCTTTACGACTTGTATTTCTTTTCCCTATACAAGTCTGAGAACAGAGGGAATTTAGTCATCCTCTGGTATTTACCCGGCTCAACAGCTCAGACATAGACATTGGCCCTTGTTGCATAATAACTTAATGCTTCTTCACAGAGAACCAGATAGTCATTCAGCGAAAGTCTACTTTCTCCCCCAGCCTCTCACATACTTAAAATCACCATCATGTAGCCCACAAACTTTCCCTTCTCCAGGCTTAGCATCCCAGTTTCTTATAGTTCTCATCTTGTGGCATGTTCTCAAGCTTCCTTCGCCATCTTTATTGCTATCTTCTGGACCTCATTAAATTTGTTGATGTTAAAGCATGCTACACAGGAAATTTAGACAATGCTTTTGGCATGATCTGGTCATCATGGGGTGCAATAATTAATAATAATAAAACTTCCTTTGCTTGAGACATCATCTATTTCTTTCAATGTAAATAGTATATCAGCTTTGTTATAGCTATCTCCCACCATTAACTTACATAAAACTTAATCTCAACTAAAACTTTTTTCCCAGGTGCTGCCTTATTTAAATTTTTATTTTTAATTGACAAGTAATAATTGCATAGCCCAGGCATGGTGACCCACGCCTGTAATTGCAGCACTTTGGGAGGCTATGGTGGGAGGATCACTTGAGGTCAGGAGTTTGAAATCAGCCTGGCCAAGATGGTGAAACCTGTTTCTACCAAAAATACAAAAATTAGCTGGGTTTGGTGGCAAGCGCCTGTAATCCCAGCTACTTGGCAGGCTGAGGCAGGAGAATCACTTGAACCCAGGAGGTGGAGGTTGCAGTGGGCCAAGATTGCACCACTACACTCCAGCCTGGGTGACAGAGTGAGACTGTCTCAATAAATAAATACATAAATAAATAATTAATAAATAAATAAAAATAATTCCATATATTTATGAACTACAACATGATGTTTTCATATGTATATACTTGTGGAATAATTAAATCAAGCTAATTTACATATCCATCCCTCATATACTTTTGATTTTTTTATAGTGAGAATATTTAAAATCTATTATTTTAGCAACTTTGAAATATAAAATACATTATTATTAACTATGGTTAGTCTGCTGTGCATAGATCTTGAAATCTTATTCCTCCTGTTTAACTGGAATTTTGTACCCTTTGGTCAACTTCTCCTCAGCAGGCCTCTAGTAACAACCATTCTACTTTCTACTTTAATAAGTTTGACTTTTTGAATGTGGAATCCAAAAAGTCACTTTCACTTACTGCATAAGTGAATTGTGCAGTATTTGTATTTGTGTGCCTGGCTTATTTCACTTAACATAATGTTCTCCAGGTTCATCCATATCATTGAAATGACAAGGTTTTCTTTTCTAAGACTGAATAGTATTCTGCTGTGTAAATGTGTCACATTTTTAAAAATTCATTCATACATTTTTGGACCCTTAGGTTGATTTGATATCTTGGCTATTGTGAATAATATTGCAATAAACACGGCATTTAGATAGCTCTTTAACATACTGATTACCATTCTTTTGGATATATAGCCAGAAGTGAGATGGCTGGATCATATGGTAATTGTGTTTTTGTTTTTTTGAGGGGCCTCCATACTTTTCTCCATAATGACTGTAATAATTTATATACCTACCAACAGGGTACAGGGTTCCCTTTTCTCCACATATGCACCAACACTTATTATCTTTTATCTTTTTTATCTTAGCCACTCTAACAGGTGTGAGGTGATAGCTCATTGTGATTTTAATAAGCATTTCCCTGACAATTTGTCATGTTCTGCATTTTTTTAATATACCCTTTGGCCATTTGTTTGTCTTCTTATAAGAAATGTCTCTTCTATTCCTTTGCCCATGTTTTAATTGGTTATTTGTTTCCGCACCATTGAGTTGTTTGAGTTCCTTACATACTTTAGATATTTACTCTCTATTAGCTGAATGGTTTGCAAATACATTCTCCCATTTCATAGAGTGTCCCTTCACTCTGTTGATTGAATCCTTTGCTGTGCAGAAACTTTAGTTTGATGCCATCTCATTTATCTATTTTTGTTTTTGTTGCCTGTGCTTTGGAGTTATATGCAAGAAATCATTCCCCAGACCAGTGTTGTGGAAATTTTCCCCTATGTTGTTTTCTAGTAGTGTTACAGTTTCAGATGTTACATTTAGGTCTTTAATTCATTTTGAGTTTATTTTCATATATTGTGTGAGATATACCCTTAAAATTTAAGTACAGCCCTTAAAATTATTCCTATTAAAATTTATCTTTTCTGAAATACTGAGAATGCTATAAAGTCAGGATACCTGTCTGCCTGGTTACCACTGAATCATCTCTTAATTCCTGGCATATACTAAGTACTAAATACATTTAAAAAAAATAAATGGCTGAATAAATAAACCTGTCCCATTATCTCAGGCTACTCAGATCCTTTTAGATTTTGGTTTTAATGACAAATGTATTATGTTTTGTTTTTAAATTGTGTAATCTACAAATCTGATCAATATTGTCTCTAAGTTCTTACTCAAGCGACTAGCAATAAACTCCACCACTACCTAGTCAAAGACAGAGCCTTCAGATACATTTTTAAAAACCTCCCTCAGACCATTAATTAACAACTGAAATGAGATAAATGAGATTTCCCTTTGAGAGTTAAACCATAAATCAATATCCATATGCAGAGCAGGTACAGCAAAGTTGCCTTTAAAAAAACAAAGAAAATGTTTCAGACCTGTATCACATGCCTGAAACCTGGTTGAATGTATTAACTTAAGAATATGTCAGTCAGAAGTGAACTGGAGAAAATAGAATGTATTGAAGATCCCATCTAGCCTTTGTCCAGGTTCTAGGGCCTAGTCAGACCAACTACAGAATGTCTGCTTTGGAGATGGAAAACATCAGCCTTTAAGAGCTTAATGCCGTTAAACATTGGCACCATCTAACTAACTCTCACTGCTCTGATTCCATCATCACCAAGACACCTGCTTCACCACCTGTTCACTGTGTTACTTTGGGTAATTATATTAGCTTTGTGTTTTGTTAGTTCGCCCTCTGTAAAATAGAAATACTCATAATGCCTACTTCATATGATTGGGAATTAAATGGCGGTAAATATATACATAAAGCTCAGCTATAATAACCACTCTGAAAATAGAAGAGAAAGTGTGTGCTTGATCTATTTGATCATCCAGGCTACTCGACTGATATTTCACATTGTAAATTAACAAAATGGTATGAAGAACTTTGTTGACATGAGGCAGATTCCTTTAGTTAAAACTGAATATGGCAAATAGTACATTTAGAAATTTCTTAGGCCTGCATATTCAAAGTCTCTGGATACCCAGTGAATAGGGTCCTCTCTGGCAGCCCTTTCCCTTACTGGACACCTTTCTTTTCAAATTTCTACAGAGTAGAGATTAATTTTGTGTTTTGACACAATCTAAGAATCTTTGTATTTCTGAGGGATTAACTCAGGGATTAACTATCAAAATTTCTGAGGGATTAACTATCAAAATTAATCTAGTATTAATTATATGGGATTACTTTATGTTTTCTGACTTTTATGATTTCTTACTATTTTGTTATGTCTTTCCCTATATAGAGCATGGTTTCCTGGTTTGTTTTTGTTTGTGTTCAAGTCATTTAAAATATAAGTGATACTGTTTTAAGTTCTACTAGATTTTTATTTGGATAAGTATGGGGAAAGATTTAGTTTCTTTAATACTTAAACAAGGAGCAATCTACTGAGGCCTGATGTTTGCCAGCAAACAGGTGGGAGCTTCTCCTTGGTGCCCACACTGTCATTTGTTTATTGGTAAGATCCCAGAAAAAGCCTTTTATTTTATTCTTGCACAAATAGTGCATGACAAACAAGAACCCCTAGAGTGCCTCCAGTCTTCATTTCTCCCTGGGACTGGTCTTTCATCTCACCCTTAATGTTTTCTGCTACCCCATTGACCATATTGCATTATTAGGCTGGAGTCTCCAAAGAATTGTAGAAAGAACAGAGAAGGGGGTAGAAAAAATGTGGAATAGCCCTGACCACCTCAAAATGCAACTCAAATGTAGGGAGATAACTTTCTTCCATTAGCCTACAAATGTACTATATCTTCTGGGCAGAAATACCCCTGCCATTTCACGACTTCTACTACTTATTCTAGATCTACTTCAAGTCATGCAAATACTTCTTAAGAGGTGGCAAGTGATCGACCATATACCCAATTTTTATCATGGCTAGTTTTTTGCATCTCTTTCCTCATTTCATAAGTTTTGCAATAGGAAGATAATGAGGGGAAAATTATAAGAGGCGCAATAGGTGCCTCTTATAAGGAGGCACCTATTGTGAATTGCCTAATTCCTTTTTGCTTTCTGCTGTTTCTGAGGACATTGTCTGGTGAAAACCGAGTAGTTTCTTATTAGTCCATGAGCAGTGCCTTCAACTGTTTTGTGTTGCTATAAAGGAATACCTAAGACTGAGTAATTTATAAAGAAAGTAGGTTAATTTAACTCACAGTTCTGCTGACTGGAAGGTTCAAGATTGGTCATCTAATGAGGGCCTCAGGTTGATTCCACTCTTGGAAGAAGGTGAAAGGCAATGAGCATGTGACGAGATCACATGGCGAGAGTGGAAGTAAGAGAAAGGTGGGTGGAGGTGCCAGGTTCTTTTTAACCACTAGGTGTCAGAATAACTAATAGAGTAAGAAGTCACTACCCCAAGGATGGCACCAAGATATTCACGAGGGATCTGCTCACATGACCCAAACACCTTCCATTAGGCCCCACCTCCAACATAGGGGATCATATTTCAACATGAGGTTTGGAGCAGATGAATATCTAAATCCTAGCAGGCAGCAACATGACATAGTGGTAAAAAGCATATGTTTTAGAATCAGACAAGAACTGGCTCAAATTCTAGACATTGAGATGTATGATCTCCAGCAACTCAAGTCACTTCTATGAGTCTCAGTTCATTCACCTGTAAAACGGACCTCATAATGCCTAATTCATAGGATTTTGTAAGTAATAGAGAAAACATTTGTAAAGGGTTTATATATAAAAGTCATTCAAAAAACAGTATTTACAAAAATAGTATTAATAGTTTCTTCAAAATGCTGTGAGTAGTTCTAGGGGTTCCCCAACACCCCTCTCTCTGGTCAGCAAGAGATCTGGGAAGATATGGAATAAACAGAGCTCAGCCCTCCTGCTCCCACTTTAATCAAAGAAGCTCTGCTTCTATCTGTTCTGCTTCTATATGAAGTTTCTTCTAAACAAATTTCTCCTTAGTTAAAACAAATTTTAAAATCACAATTGGACAACCGTGACTTGCATAGACTGGGAAACCAAGAAATTGATGGAGGCTTTATTACTTGAGTCACAGCCTACCCACTCATGCTGGCACTGTCATCTTACAGTCTTCTACCCACCAAGAAAAGGATGGCACCTTTCTTCCCCATCCCTATGCAACTATTAAGCCCATAGCCCATAAACCAGTTGCTTCCTCATTTTACTATATCTTCCTCATTTTATTATTTAATGTTATTTTTTCTAGAAAATTGGAAAAATTACATGAAAATAGAAAACTATTTTAAGCTCATTTCTGATCCCATCATCCAAACATAACCAGTATAATGTGTTTTTACAGGGACTTATACATAGATTTTGGTTTCATTGCTTTAACTGAGTTACGACTGCACATCTTATACCACTTTTTATTATATTGTTGTTCTGTAGTATCCTAGATATTTTTTCTATATTTTTACACTCTCTTTTAAATGATAGTGTATTATTACATCCAGTGGGTGTCCTATAGTTACTTAGCCTTTCCTCTATAGTTGGACATTGATGTTGCTTCTAATTTTTTTATATCCTAATTAACATTATGATAAATATCATTGTACGCGGAGTGATTACAAATTATTTTAGGGTGATTTCTTTTACATACATTCATAAAGCAAATCACTGCATCAAATAGTATGAACAATTCAAATATGTCAGTATACATTGCTTTCTAAAAGACTAACATAAATTGTCACTATCACCCTTATAGTGTGCAACCTTCTTGCCCTCACCAGCTTTGGTAGCCCATAATATATTTTCTTAGGACTAAAAAATAAAACCCAAAGAAGAATAGAAAAAAACACAAACTACCTTCAGATTTTCTTTACATTTGTAATAATATCACCCTTTATAAGGTAAAATTAGATAATGAACATAAGAGTAACTCTGAATGTGATTACATTGTTGGGAATTTTAGCTTCTCTGTGTAAAAAGCTAATGAAGATTTATCTACTGTTTAAACATAAGTGGTTTGAGGAAAATGACCATATTACCCACATTACAAACCAGTGCTCTGTAACCTCTTGCCATTTTCTTATATTGGAGCACGTTGAAAAAATGAAGACTCAAAAGATTATGTACAATAATATTGACTTTCACTCAAAGGTTATGCTTTTAAGATTACATCTATAAAGCAGTGAAAAAGCTCCAAGGGTTTAAATAGCAATATATGAACCACCTAAAATGTGGACTAAAAAGTAAGTGTTAAGGAACATTGCTGCATTATTCTTTATTTCTAATGGAATATAAATAATTTCTAATTTTCTTCAGAACAAGACTTGAGCTTAGCTGGCAGCTAATTGCTATGAAAGAGTAATAAAAGTTTCTTTTACTCTTTACTCTAGAATATTTTTAATTGCTAAGTCTTTCCTCCCACTATGAGAATACTCCAATGACATCAGAACTTTTTCCACCCAAAGTACTCAGGTAGAAAAGAGTTGTACATGCAAGGAGAACACATGGACACAGGGAGGGGAATATCACACACACACGGGCCAGTCGGGGGGTGTGGGGGAAAGGGAGGGAGAGCGTTAGGACAAATACCTAATGCATGTGGGGCTTAAAACCTAGATGACAGGTTGACGGGTGCAGCAATCCACCATGGCACATGTATACCTCTGTAACAAACCTGCACATTCTGCACATGTATCCCAGAACTTAAAAGAAAAAAAAGACAAGAGTTGTACATGAAAGCAAAAATGTAAAACATCAGATCCAAGCTTCCTACCCATATAGTGAAAAGGAGAGTGCCATAGCAGTCACCAAAATCTCAGCTACTGTGCCAACAATTTCCAGTGATGTTCAAAGGAGAGTTCATCTTAATTTATTTAATTTAAATCAAGTCTATGCTATGCAGCACCTTTGAGACCAGGATTGGTGGGACAGGTAATGATATCAAACAAACATCTATTGGGTATTTTTAATTCTAAAAAGATGAAGAATTGCTGCTTTATGGTTTCAATTGTAAACTAAGTTGGAAGATGATAAACCATAACAAAGCTATCCTATCCATCATGTTTGTTCAAAGTATAGGTCAATCAAATTCATACCCTATCTTCCAATCTCAATTAAGTCAATAGTTTCTAATTTTGGCCACTCAAACATTTTACTCAAACAAGCAGCAAAATAGACTCTTCTGACTTTATTCGCTTATCTTCTTTTAAAGGAGCTGAAGAAAATAAAATGTCCCAAAGGCAGACCACCAAAGAGAAAGAGACAAGAAAGAAAGAGGCTGGGTAATTCATAAGCTGAAGGATCAGAGGTAGGAAAACCAAGAAACAAAACAAGATGAACAAGATATAGCTTTCTCTTTTATCTTCTTTTCGATACCTTTGATCATTATTGGTGATTTTAGAATCTTGTTCAATAGGCTGTGTCCCATTTAAATGGACACAGATGTTATAAAAGAGGGTTTTCTGAGAACTACAAAAAATGAGCTAAAGTCCTCACTACAGCAGTTCATAGCCTTGGCTATGCATTAGAATCACCTGGGGAGCTTTTGTAAACAATGTCTCAACCCAGTTTAATCAGAATCTCTGGGAGGGAGGCCTGGGCATCAGCATATTTTTAAGCTCCCCTGGCATTGAACTACGCCACCAGAGTTAGAAGCACAGCATTCCTATGGCATAGGTAAAGTGACAATCTCATAAGACTTTTATTGGTTAAAGTTGTTTACGTCTAGATTGGAAAAAAAAAGAGAAAAACCTAATTTCTCTTCTTCATTTGAAGTGTTAGTAGGAAGTCACTTTTTCTGTAATATGCAAATTCTAATGATTTTGTAACCATCCATGCACTTTGAAGTTTATTTACCACATTTCTCTTTCCCCAGACAATGCTCACATGTTCCCCAAGTCCACTGTTCATATTTTCCTGAAGTCTCTTTCCACCTCAGCTGGGCATTTGGCTTTAGTCTGCTTGTCTTGCTTTTCCTATGGGCAGTCCCCTCCAAATAATCCCTATTGTTTTCAAAAGTTTCCCCCATCTCCAACACAGCCTCAGTCTTTATATTTTCCATCTGAAATGTTCAACACAATTTCAGTGATGATTTGGACTCAGAGTAGACCTACAACAGAAAAGTAAACTATCATTGCTACTTGAGAGGCCACCATGGAAAGCCAAGCACCTCCCCCTTCAGCCCCTTCATTCCCTCTGTTCTTTCTCCTCTGGTGCCTCTTATCATGTCGTGGCATGAGAGAAGTTACTGGTTCCTAGCCATTATCCCCCCTCTACATTGGCTAATGCTCATAGTCTGGATCATCTTCCCCGCCACTCATGTCCTCTCACCTAGTCTGTGAAGACCCTTTAGTTCTACCAGCTGTGTCCTTTGAGATTATTTCCAGTCACTAGGGCACTATGGTAGTCTGAGGACTGCCTCCAGCCCTGTGTGTCTAGACACTCTAGGCAGCACGTCATTCTGCCGATGCAGTGCAAGGATCTCTAGAGCCTCAGTTTGTTTGTCTGGGCCACATCCAGATATCAAGCACAGATCCCCTCTGACCTCAGGCCATCAAAATTACATAAGATTGGCCAAGGGATGGTGACAGAGAGGGCAGGTCACAAGCTAATTTTCAGCAGTCCATTGTCTTTTATCTGCTCTCTATCTCTCTTCTGTCTTCAACTCATTACACTTGGACAAATTTAGTTCAGGAAACTGACTCTGAAATCATCATGCTTCCCAAATGTATTATTTATACCACAAACTTTGACTTTTGCAGCTTAAAAACATTCTTCTTCTACTTTTGAGTTGGGTTGTTCAAAAGTCTATTTAGAAGCTCAAAAAGCTGCCTTCCTTTTCCTCGTGTACGCCTGCTATAACTACACCTGATGGGGTATGCCAAAGTCAAAGCCTCCCTTAAATGGTGGGGGAAGGAAAAGGAAATTAACAGAAAAAACTCTCAGTAATTAATATTGAGACATCTTTTCACACCCTGGAAAGGGCGGAAATACTCTGCCAAAGAAAGGACAAGAAGTTGATAGGCCCAGGAAGATGTAAAGGATGCAGGTAAGATTTGGAGAAATGTGAGATACGGCAGCTGACCCCTCAAAAGAGAGACTTGGGAGAGGAGACTAGCCCATAAAGATGTTGTGGTGAGCTACAGCATGTTTTGTCCTCCCATAACCACCAGGAAATCCTCCTTGCTAAATTTCTTAGAGTGAATGCAAAAATTGTGTTTTGCATTAAGGTTGGTGTGAGGAGGAAAATGAAATAGAAATAGATCATAGTTAGAAAACAACTTGTCCTAAAGGAAAATAATTGGCAGCCATGCCAGTCTGCATTAACTATTGGTTATATTTCCTAAGGTAACAGATTAACTCATTGGAACTACATCTCCAATATCTTCATCCATGCAAAGGCCCATTTATTCAAAACTCCATGATCTTAATGACAAAATCTATCCAAACTATTCAACCTTAAAGGGATGTTTATTGGAAGAGTAACAGAGGCATTTATTTCACATGAGGACTGGAATCAGGATCTGGAAAATCAGGACCCCAAGTAATTTTCTCTATTTGTTTAGGACCATATGACTCTTATCTCTTCTTCTTTCTATGCACAGAAACACAAGGAGCATAATGAATTTGGGGGACTCCATAGTGCCATATAACTGTAGGGGAGGGCATCAGCTGAGGAGTAGACTAGAGATGAGATTGAAGAAATAGGCATGGCCTGGCCTATTGGAGGCACCCCATCAATGTACATGAAATACATGCTTGATGACTTTTCTTTTGGAGATGTTGTGGGTCATTTGAGTGTAAAACACCAGGAAATTGATTGGTAAATTTGAAGAACAGGAGAAACTTCTGCCAGGCAAAGGAGATATACATTACCAGCCTTAAGTACAGTCATTGTTTACACATGGAATGAATAAATCACCCAGAGAGACTGTGTAAAGAAAATAAAAAAGGAGACTAAGGACATAAGCCTGGGGGCCACTGGCATTTAAAGGATGAGCAATGAAAGAGGAGCTTTAGAAGGAGAATGAACAGGACTAGTCAGAACAGTAAGAGGAAAATAGAGCGAGTAGCACTGAACCAACAATGGTGAAGGGATCTTCAAGAAGGAGGGATTGGAGAAAAGAAACAAAGGCTTTCTGAAATCAGTGTTGGTAACCAAGAAGCTCACTCTCTGTTCTTGATGAACCTGGTTTCTAGGGATCGGCTTGGCAGAGGCAAGGGTGTAATAGCCTGAGGAGCAAATGTGCCATGAGGGTGCAGGCAGTGGGGAGGACCACTCCTTAGCAGGTGCCCTACTTGCTGTTTTTATACAATCTGCTTTATCTAATCTTCACAGCCATCCTGTGAATCAGGGATCATTCTCCCTACTTTACAGATAAGACAAAAAAGGACTCAGAAAAACATTTAAGAACCCAACTTCCATTTCTGATAATATAGCAGACAGATAATCTGAACAACCCTTGTGTGGCAAATCAACTAACAGTGTTCATTTTATCATACTATTTTATGTCATTCACATATGTTAGTTATAAATATTTTTATATAGTTTATATTAGCTTTTTAAAATTAAATTAAATTCACAGAGCTAAAGGAGGCATTGCCTATATTCAAACTACAATCTGTCAAACCAAAAATTTGCATTTTTTGCTAATTATTTGCTTTGAGTGGGACTGTTTTAAAAACTAAAATAGTAAAAGTAGCAATTTAAAATGCCAGAATATGTCAGACTTTTCTTCTCTGGACCTATTTCATGTCATTTTTCAAGTGTTGAAATCACAACTGAACACTGTTCTCTAACCATAATCTGAACAACATCAATTACAGTTGCTCCAGATGACTGCAAATCTACTGTGAGTCTTTTTGTCTAGCATCTTTTGGGAAGCTAAGTGAGCCAATTCCTTAATGCTCAGGGTCTGTATAACTATAAGATTGAGGCTACAGTTGCACTGAAAAGTTGACGTGAAGCTCAACTAACTTCACTCTCTGAGAAGTCGTACTCTCAATTAATGGTGGGGCTCTCAAATCTCTGTATCTTTGCAATAGCTATGCATAATTAGGATAGGCCTAAAGGTTGCATAGGCATCCCAGAAAATTTTATTTTGGTTCAAACTACAGGTTGTAGGGGGCCATGTATTGATTAAAACATTTGTAAAGGAGTACAGAAAAAGAGAGAATGACTCTTTACCTCATTTACACAACATAGAAAGATGCTGGTTAAGATACAACAGATTTCACCCAAAGCATTGGCCATGACTGCCTGCTAACTACCTAAACTATAATTAATCCAGAACCTGCCTGCCTAGTCATACCCTGGCCAGGGAGCAAGGTCCTGGAATTTGTCAGAGCTATGTTATTGTGAGAGAATAAAATAAATAAATGGAAATTTCCTTTGCTACGTTTGGAAATAATCACTTCTTACTGCTTGCCACTCCATCTAAGCATAAAGAATGAATGTCAAAAATTTCAAGCCTGCCTCAGGAAGAGCAGAACAAAAGGCTTTATTCTGAAGCAGACTAACATTTAGTACAGCTCTATAACAAAACCATTTTTCAAATTCCCCACTATGTATTTTATAGAAAGGCTATGATATTGAGCATCATCATAAAATTTTACCAAACTAATGTAAGTACTAATCACTAGCATTAGTAAGGTGTGGAATAGGTGTATTATCAGATTTTTTCAGTAAAGAGACTGAATTTGTAAACTCACTTCTTATTTACAAAATATGATTTAAAACTTTACATACAATATTTTAAAACTATTAGAATAAACACACATAGAAGGAGAAAAACATACCAAATGAAAATGAATATTTAGGGGTAGTAAAATAATAGATTATTTTTAGTTTATCATTTATATATCTCTATCTTCCAAATACTAAACAATAGGCATGTTGTTTTTACAATCACTACAAATTAAATTTTTAATCTTCATGTTTCACATTCATTATTTGCATCAATAGGCTATAGGGGATTATTATGGTGGATGGGAAGCAGGACTAGATTGCAGCTCTGACTGGGAAGGACAGAGCAGCATGTGGAGGCTCGCATTGTAAATTTTCGCTCCAGAACCACTGCAAGAACAAACCAGCAATTCCAAGAGAACCCATAGGCCCTCTGAAGGAAGCAGACTGCTCCTTCAGGGACCTGGGAGACACCCTAAATACTGTGAGTGCCCCATTTGCAGAAGTGGGAAAGGGAGATCCTCGTATCCCAAACACATACCCCCTCTAAAGAAACTGAAGGTCTGTTTGCGGGAGAAGTTTCCAACCTTACCTGGAGCTGAGTCAGTTTAGACAGCCGAGCAAAATACAGGGGTATAGGAAGCAGCGAGAAAGGATCCGGGAGGTTGCTGGGTCCCCAAGTAGGCCATTCCTGCCTGGCACCATGGGGTCCCATTGGGAGGGGAGCCAGAGAAGCGGGGAAAAAAAACACAGGAAGAAGGAAATCTCCAGCTGAACTTCGTAACAACTTGAACCAGGCAAGAACACTCCTGGCCAAAACTCGGGGGAGGGCATGAATCTGGTGTGCAGACTCCACAGGCAGAGGAAGAACCAAACCCTTTTCATTCACAGCTGGGATGTGGGTAGCCTGGAGAAAGTTCTCAAGCCCAGCTCACCTACCATCTGGAAACAAACTCAGGGCTGTTAGTGGGGGCACAATGAGAGTGAGACCGGCTTTTTGGTTTCCGTGGGAGCCAGGTGAGGCCTGTGACTGCCGGCTTTCCTCCACTTCCCTGACAACTTGCATGACTCAGCAGGGGCAGCCATAATCCTCCTAGGTACACAACTCCATTGACTTGAGAAACTCAACCCCATCTCCCACAGCACCAGCATCAAGATCTACCCAAGGAGAGTCTGAGCTCAGACACCACTAGCCTTTCCCCAACTTGATGGACCATCCCTAACCACCCTGGTAGCAGAAGACAAAGGGCACATAATTTTCGGAGTCATAGGGCCCTGCCCACTGCCGAACCCTCTCCACAATACCACAGCTGATGCTCGCTGTAAAATGCCACCTCCTGGCAGGAGGCCAACCAGCACAAAATAGAGCATTAAACCACCAAAGCTAAGAAACCTCACAGAGTCCATTTCACCCTCCTGTCATCTCCACCAGAAAGGCTCTGTATCCACAGCTGAACGACCGATAGATGGTTCACTTCACAGGACTCTGTGCAGACAACCCCCAGTACCAGCCCAGAGCCAGGTAGACTCACTGGGTGGCTAGACCCAGAAAAAAGACAACAATCACTGCAGTTTGGCTCACAGGAAGCCACGTCCATAGGAAAGCGGGGAGAGTACTACATCAAGGGAACACCCTGTGGGACAAAAGAATCTGAACAACAGCCTTCAGCCCTAGACCTTCCCTCTGACAGAGTCTATCCAAATAAGAAGGAACCAGAAACCCAACTCTGGTAAAATCACAAAACAAGGCTCTTCAACACCCCCAGAAAATCACACTAGTATAACCAGCAATGGATCCAAACCAAGAAGAAATCCCTGGTTTACCTGAAAAAGAATTCAGGAACTTAGTTATTAAGCCAATCAGGGAGACACCAGAGAAATGCAAAGCCCAATGCAAGGGAATCCAAAAAATGATACGAGGTGAAAAAAGAAATATTCAAGGAAATAGACAGCATAAAGGAAAAACAATCAAAACCTCAGGAAACATTGCAAACACTTAGAGAAATGCAAAATGTTCTGGAAAGTCTCAGCTATAGAATTTAACAAGTAGAAGAAAGAAATTCAGAGCTTGAAGACAAGGTCTTTGAATTAAACCAATCCAACAAAGACAAAGAAAAAAAATAAGAAAATATGAGCAAAGGCTACAAGAAGTCTGGGATTATGTTAAATGACCAAACATAAGTATAATCCATGTTCCTGAGGAAGAAGAGAAAACTAAAATTTGGAAAACATATTTGGGGGAATAATCAAGGAAAACTTCTCCACCCTTGCTAGACACCTAGAAATCCAAATACAAGAAGCATAAAGAAAACCTGGGAAATTCATTGCAAAAGATCATTACCTAAGCACTTTGTCATCAGGTTATCTAAAGTTAAGACAAAGGAAAGAATATAAAGAGCTGTGAGACAGAGGTACCAGGTAACATATAAAGGGAAACCTAGCAGATTAACAGCAGATTTCTCAGCAGAAACCCTACAGGCTAGAATGGATTAGTGCCCTATCTTCAGCCTCCTCAGACAAAACAATTATCAGCCAAGAATTTTGTATCCAGCAAAACTAAGCATCTTATATGAGGGAAAGATACAGTATTTTCAGACAAACAAATGCTGAGAAAATTCACCATTACCAAGCCATCACTACAAGAACTGCTAAGAAGGAGTTCTAAATCTTGAAACAAGTCCTCGAAACACATCAAAACAGTACCTCTTTAAAGCATAAATCATGCAGAACCTATAAAACAAAAATGCAACTTAAAAGCAAAAACAAAAAACAAAGTTCATAGGCAACAAATAGCATGATGAATGCAAGGGTACCTCACATTTTAATACAAATAATGAATGTAAATGGCCTAAATGTTCCACTTAAAAGACACAGAACTGCAGAATGGATAAAAACTCACCAAACAACTATCTGCTGCCTTCAGAAGACTCACCTAACACATAAGGACTCACATAAACTTAAAGTAGAGGGATGGAAAAAGGCATCTCATGCAAATGGACACCAAAATTGATCAGGGATAGCTATTCTTATACCAGACAAAACAAACTTTAAAGCAACAGCAGTTAAAAGAGACAAAGGGGACATTTTATAATGGTAAAAGGCCTTGTCCAACAGGAAAATATCACAATCCTAAACATATATCCACCTAACACTGGAGCTTCCAAATTTATAAAACAATTACTAATAGACCTAAGACATGAGACAGACAGCAACACAATAATAGTGTGGGACTTCAGTACTCCACTGACAGCACTACACAGGTCGTCAAGACAGAAAGTCAAGAAAGAAACAATGGATTTAAACTATACATTGGAACAAATGGACTTAACAGATATATAGATATATAAAGAAGATTTCATCCAACAACCATAGAATACACATTCTATTCAACAGTGCATGGAACTTTCTCCAAAATAGACCATATGATAGGCTATAAAACAAGCCTTAATACATTTAAGAAAATTGAAATTATATCAAGCACTATCTCAGACCACAGTGGAATAAAACAAAATCAACTCCAAAAGGAAGCTTCAAAACCATGCAAATATTAGGAAATTAAATAATCTGCTCCTGAATGAGCACTGGGTCAAAAACAAAATCAAGATGGAAATTAAAAACTTCTTCAAACTGAATGACAATAGACAACCCATCAAAACCTCTGGGATACGGCAATGACATTGCTAAGAGGAAAGTTCATAGCCCTAAACGCCTACATCAAAGAGACTGAAAGAGCACAAACTAACATTCTAAGGTCACATCTCAAAGAACTAGAGAAAGAAAAACAAATCAAACCTAAACCCAACAGAAGAAAGGAAATAACCAAGATCAGAGCAGAACTAAATGAAATTGAAACAATAACAACAACAACAAAAACACAAAAGATAAATGAAACAAAAAGCTGTTTATTTAAAAAGATACATAAAATTGATAGAGCATTGGCAAGATGAACCAAGAAAAGAAGACAAAAATTCCAAATAACTTAAGAAATGAAACAGGAGATATTACAACTGACACCACTGAAATAGAAAAGATCATTCAAGGCTACTACAAACACCTTTACCCACATAAACTAAACAGCCTGGAAGAGATGGATAAATTCCTTGAAAACTACAACCCTCTTAGCTTAAATCAGGAACAATTAGATGCCCTTAACAGACCAATAAGAAGCAGTGAGATTGAAACGGTAATAAAAAATCACCAACAAAAAAACTCCAGGGCCAGACAGATTCACAGCAGAATTCTACCAGACATTCAAAGAAGAATTAATACCAATCCTTTTGACACTATTCCATAAGATAGAGAAAGAAGGCACCCTCCCTAATTCATTCTATGATGCCATTACCACCCTAATACCCAAACCAGGAAAGGACATAACCAAAAAAGAAAATTACAGACCTATATCCTTGATGAACATAGATACTAAAATCCTAAACAAAATACTAGCAAACCAAATCTAACGACATATCAAAAAGGTAATCTACCATGATCAAGTAGGTTTCATACCAGGAATGCAGGGCTGATTTAACATATGCAAATTAATAAATGTGACACACTACATAAACAGAATTAAAAACAAAAATCATGTGATAATCTCTATAGGTGCAGGAAAAGCATTGAACAAAATCCAGCATTCCTTTAAGATTAAAACTCTCAGCAAAATTGGCATACAAGAAACATCCCTCAATGTAATAAAAGCCATCTACGAAAAACTCACAGCCAACATAATACTGAATGGGAAAAAGTTGAAAGCACTCCCTCTGAGAACTGAAACAAGACAAGGATGCCCACTCTCACCGCTCCCCTTCAACATAGTACTGGAAGTCCTAGCCAGAGCAATCAGATGCGAGAAAGAAATAAAAGGCAACCAAATCAGTAAAGAGGAACTCAAACTGTCACTGTTTGCTGATGATATGATCGCTTACCTTGAAAACCCTAAAGATTTCCAGAAAGCTCCTAGAATTGATTAAAGAATTTGGCAAAGTTTCCAGATACAAGATTAATGTATACAAATCAGTAGCTCTTCTATACACCAGCAGCAACCAAGTGGAGAATCAAATCACGAACTCAACCCCTTTTACAATAGCTGCAAGAAAAATAAACTATTTAGTAATATGCCTAACCAAGGAGGCAAAAGACCTCTACAAGGAAAACTACAAAACACTGTGAAAGAAAGCACAGATGACACAAACAAATGGAAACACATCCCAGTCTCATGGATGCATACAATAAATATTGTGAAATGACCATACTGCCAAAAGCAATATACAAATTCAATGCAATCCCCATCAAAATTCCACCATCATTCTTCACAGAATTAGAAAAAAACAATTCCAAAATTCAGATGGAACCAAAAAAGAGCCCACATAGCCAAAGTAAGACTAAGCAAAAAGAGTAACAAATCTGGAGGCATTACATTACCTGATTTCAAACTATCCTATAAGGACATAGTCACCAAAACAGCACGGTACTGGTATAGAAACAGGCACATTGATCAATGGAATAGAATAGAGAACCCAGAAATAAACCCAAATACTTACAGCCAACTGATCTTTGACCAAGCAAACAGAAACATAAAATGGGGAAAGGACACCCTTTTCCACAAATGGTGCTGGGATAATTGGCTAGCCACATGTAGGAGAATGAAACTGGATCCTCATCTCTCACCTTATACAAAAATCAACTCAAGATGGATTAAGGACTTAAATCTAAGACCTAAAACTATAAAAATTCTAGAAGATAACATTAGAAAAACTTCTAGACATTGGCTTAGGCAAGGATTTCATTACCAAAAACCCAAAAGCAAATGCAATGAAAACAAAGATAAATAACTGGGACCTAATTAAAAGAGCTTTTGCATAGCAAAGGGAACCATCAGCAGAGTAAACAGACAACCCACAGAGTGGGAGAAAATCTTCACAATCTATACATCTGACAAAGGACTAATATCCAGAACCTATATCAAACTCAAACAAATCAGTTAAAAAAAGAAAAAAAAACACACATCAAAAAGTGGGCTAAAGACATGAATAGACAATTCTCAACCAAAAATATACAAATGGCCAACAAACATATGAAAAAAGCTCAACTTCACTAATTATCAGGGAAACAGACATCAAAACCACAATGCGATATCACCTTACTCCTTCAAGAATGACCATAATCAAAAAATTAAAAAACGGTAGATGTTGGCATGGATGCGGTGAAGAGGGAACACCTCTGTGCTGCTGGTGGAAATGTAAACTAGTACAATCTTTATGGAAAACATTGTGGAGATTCCTTAAAGAACTACAGGTAGAACTACCATTTGATCAAGCAATCCTACTACTGGGTATCTACCCAGACAAAAAGAAATCATTATATGAAAAAAGATACTTGCACACGCATGTTTATAGCAGCACAATTAGCCATTGCAAAATCATGGAACCAACCCAAATGCCTATAAATCAATGAGTGGATAAGAAACTGTGGTATATTTATACAATGGAATACTACTGAGCCATGAAAAGGAATAAATTAACTGCATTTGCAGTGACCTGGATGAGATTAGAGACTATTATTCTCAGTAACGTAACTCAGGAATGGAAAACCAAACATTGTACGTTCTCACTGATATGTGGGAGCTAAGCTATGGGGATGCAAAGGCATAAGAATGATACAATGGACCTTGGGGCTTGGGGGAAAGGGTGGGCAGGAGGTAAGGGATAAAAGACTACAAATATGGGGCAGTGTATAATGCTCGAGTGGTGGGTGCACCAAAATCTCACATCACAACTAAAGAACTTACTCATGTAAACAAATACCACCTGTATTTCAATAACTTATGGCAAAATATAAAATAAATAAAATTAAAATAAATAATTATTGCTAAAAAGCTTTAAAAAAGGCTCTAATGCTATAAAAAGGGTTAGACGTAATGTGTGTGATTCAATGAGAACTGAGACTAGTAATAATTTCAGAAGATAGATCTGGGATCAGTAGAATGCTAAAGTTCCTAATATGAAAAGCTTTTTATAAACAGCAAAATATACCTTGGGAAACCCAGTCTCTTTTCCCACTACTCCCTTTCCATGCCCACAAATGGAGAGAGGATGGAGATGCTGCAGCCAGGAGCTAGCATGATACAGAGAACCCCCATTTAGAGGACCTGCAGCAAGAAAAGGTATCCCTATGTTCATAGAGAATTAGTAGCAGGTATTTTATACATGGGAGAATATGGGAGAAAATAACACTCATTAGCAATGCAATGCATTAGAATTATTCTAATGTGAACTTTAAACATTTGCAGATTATATTTTAAAAATCAGTAAATAGTAGAAAGAGCATGAATTATGAAAGCAATACTTCTGCCTGAAAACCCATGACAAGAACGATATGGAGTAAAAGAAGAAAGTTGGCAAAGTCTGGACAATACAGCAAAGAAAGTCATCCTGGGCTATGGTAGAGGTAACCTGGTTGAGCATTTCCACTGATTTTTTCAGTGGGAATAAACTGGAAGTTAATATCAGAACTCCAACATGTGATTGATAAATGTAAAGTCTGCTGAAGCAAATGCTTTAGTAAAAACATGTTAAACTTCTGGTCCTTATTGCAGTTGTGGTCATTCTCCACAAATCTTTTATTTTCAAAATGCTAAATAATCATTATAGGAAGCTTCATAGACAACTATCCAAATTGCATAGATTGAGATTCTGGTCAATACACTGGGGGAAAAAACAAAACAAACAAAATAAAACAAAGGATAGAATTGGAAAAAAAATATGCTTCCCAAAATGTCTGTTTCTGACTCAAGGCACAAGTTAGATTACGTTTAGTAAAATATCAATCATACTTTTGAAAACTCCAGTAAAGAACATTTCAGACCATGACTTTAGAAGATATTATTTTTAAAATGGCATTTCTGGGTGAGTTAGTACATGATCTTGACACTTGTTTAAAAAAGAGAAATCAACAACCTATTCAATCACAGTGTTCAACAGTCAGCGGTTTCTAATGGCCCCTGGAATACTGAAAACTCTGTTTACAAACTTAATGCACATTTCTAATTCATTGACACATTTGCCTAATAGGATAGATGTAGGACTTAACCGGGTTTCTGCATAACGGTGCTCAGTTATACTTCCACATATAACAGTGCTCTTACTGATCCTGAAAGCCTGAAACAGATTTCATGATATATCAGCTCTCTCCAATTACCTACCCAGATGCTCTGAAAATCTCAGAGGTTTTCAAAATGAAAGTTATTTTAAAGCAATTTATTTTGTAAAGATACACATCTCTTAAGAGTTTTTTTTAATCTGACACTTGCAAGAAAATTTCACAATTTGAGAAAGACTGAGAGTCACCTTTTAAAAGTTTCACACCACTAAAGTTTAATTAACCTTGTGCCATGCATATGATGGAATTTTAAACAGATAAGCACTTTCTGCCTTGAAGATGCCAACCTCTCTGGGGCAATTGGACACCATGTCACCGGGAGCTCATGGACCACTCTGTGGTAGACTACAGTGTCAACTGCATGTGGCAGATGACCACTAGAAGGATGCAGTCTCAGCCTCAGATGAGAAACAGCCTTTCAGAATGCTGATAGATTTTTTTTAGTTCAACTAACTTCTCTAGGAAATAATTACGTAGAATCAATAACTTTAAATTAAAGAATAAAGGTTGTGAGCAAAATTCTACAGAGGAAACTCCTGCCACACCATTGCTTTGTAAAACATTTTTATTTTAGGATATTTTGGGGTGGACAAGAGAGAGTGAGTGGAGAAAGGATACACATTTAAAATTCAAGTGTCCTATCCCTTGCTGCAAGGTTCTGAACTTTCTAAGAACACTTTCTAAATATAGGAAGATTTGACATGTTTATAACTACATATTTTCTAGGGAAAAAGTATAAGGTTAATTACACTCTCAAAAATATTAATATTCCACAAATGTCAATAACCACTGCAATGTGTGGTCTAATTTGTGATTTCAAGGTTTGCAAAGTGTAATTCTGCTCAATGAGAAAGACTATTTTTTAAAAAAAGCAGAAAGACACGCTTATGATCAATGTGACACAGGCACTTGGTCCCAGAAAAATGTGCTCATCTTGTAGATCAACTACATATTTCAGGCTTCTGCAAGTGTGGACAGTAAAGGTTTTGAGGTTATGTCAGAGGCTAGCCCATGGCCAGACATTCCTTTTCTTGGTACAGGGTAACAGCACAACAGTACCCAGATGCCCTGAGAGATTCTCCAACAAAATGCTTTTCACAAGCATGGTGCCACAGCTCTGAGCAGAGCAATCTCATTGACTCAACCCTTCACATAGTAGAAAACATTTTCTGGTTGTCCTTCCTCGTGCAACTCATGGATCCTCAAATGTGGGCGGCAAGCCACCCAGGCACTGAGGCAAGAGACAGAGGACACGAGCTGTTCCAGTACAATAAAATATAAAACAAGAATAGTTATACCAGATATAGATCTTAGATATGATTATATATGAATATCATTAATCATTAGTTTGTAGCAATTACTTTTTATTCCAATATTATAATAATCCTCGCTCTATAATCATAGCCTAGGAAAAACCAGGCCATAAAGAGATAGGAGCTGAGGGGACATAGTGAGGTGTGACCAGAAGACAAGAGTGTGAGCCTTCTGTTATGTGGGGACAGGGCCACCAGAGGGCTCCTTGGTCTAGCGGTGATGCCAGCGTCTGGGAAGACAACCGTTGCCAGGTGGACCATGGTCTAGCGGTAGCGTAAGTGTCAAGGGAAAACACCCGCTACTTAGAAGACCGGGAAAGGGAGTCTCCTTTTCCCCGGAAGAGTTTAGAGAAGACTCTGCTCCTCCACCTCTTGTGGAGGGCCTGACATCAATCAGGCTTGCCCACAGTTATCCAGAGACCTAATCATCTCCCTGTGATGCTGTGCTTCAGTGGTCACACTCCTAGTCCACCTTCATGTTCCATCCTGTACACCTGGCTCTGCCTTCTAGATAGCAGTAGTAAATTAGTGAAAGTACTAATAGTCCCTGATATGCAGAAATAATGACGTAGCTGTCTTTCTCTCTGTCTCCTCTCCCTCTCTGCCTTGGCTGCCAGGCAGGGAAGGGCTCCCTGTCCAGTGGACACGTGACCCACATGACCTTACCTATCATTGGAGATGACTCACATTCTTTACCCTGCCCCTTCTGCCTTGTATCCAATAAATAACAGCGCAGCCAGACATTCGTGGTCACTACCAGTCTCCGCGCATTGGTGGTAGTGGTCCACCGGGCCCAGCTGCCTTTTCTTTTACCTCTTTGTCTTGTGTCTTTATTTCTACACTGTCTCATCGCCACACACAGGGAGAGACCCACCGACCCTGTGGGGCTGGTCCCTACACTCAAAAGCATTTTTTGAGCACTTAATGAGATCATTGATGGGTCATTGTTTGGAAAAGTTGAAAGTGCTGAAGAAATGTCAACAATCAGTCCACCAGTCAGATGGTAAAAACAGAAGGTTTACAATACACAGAATGAGGCTCAAATTTCACCTCAGCCTCTTACTAAATGTGTGAACCTGGGTTCCTTAAAATTTCCATTTCCTCATCTTCAAAGTAAGTCTCATAGCTTCCTTGTCATGCTTCCAGATTTATTCAATAAATAATCATTTTTATTAGTGCTCTTCATATAAATGGACTTTCTACCTGTTCTGCAAATGACCTGTTCTGCATTGAAGCCAGTAACCAGCCACCCAAAGGCCTAGAAGTCAGGCTTCCCTGAGCCAATAGGTTTACATGTGACCATTCATCAGAAAACGATGGACAGGCAGAAGAGGACAGGAAGAAAATAATGCTATAGATACACTTAAAAGTTACACTCATTTAGAAAGGCTTGGCTAAGAATGAAATCTCCTTTCATAATAGTGAATTTAAAAGAAAATTTGCTTTCATTTATAAACTCCAGACTAATAGATGCCCTTACAAAAATAGTATTGGACATTTAAAAACTATTACAGCTTTTGTTAATGAAATCAGGTTTCTTTGTATAACAGAGATAACACAGTGCCAGTCTGATAGGGAGCCAGTTAGAAGGCAAGTCTTATTCTTGCTCTCTTCAGTCCCATCCAAGCATAGATGGAGGTAGGGGTCTTTGTCTTACACACACACAACCTAGACTCCACTGTTTATCTCAGGTGGTTTGGAAAGTCCTGAGATATTAAAGAGTAATAACTACTCTCTTCTCTTAAGTATTCATCCATTCCAAAGTATTTATTGACCATTCACTGTATGTGAGACACTGCTCCAGATGTTTGGATACATTTGTGAATAAAGCAGAAATCCCTTCCCCTGTGGAGCTTGTAATCTATTAGAGGGAGAGAAACAATAAACAACAGACCTAATACATGAGTAAAGCACATGATTTGTTAGAGTATGGTAAGAGTTATGGGAAACAGAACAAGGTGAGCAGGGTAGGAGGGGTCAGGTGTGTCAGGCATGGGTTGGGGCTGGGCTGCAATTTCAGGCAGAACAGTCAGTGAAGATCTCTTTGAGAAGTCACATTTGAAAAAAGACAGGTAATTTCTGGGAGTAGAGCCCCTCTGGGCATGAGAAACAGCCAGTGCAAAGGCAATGTGCCTGGGATTCCCAAGGAAGAGCAAGAAGCCAGTGTGACTGCAGTATAGTGAGCAAGCAGGAAGCTGTAGGCAATGAGGTCAGAGAAGTAGTAAAGGCTGAACCTTCAGGACCCTGTAGGCCACTGGAATGGACTTGTGACTCAGAGAGCATCCTTGCAGATCTTATGGCACAAATGGGTCCAGATACCTCTGCATAATCAGTAGTGACCCACTGGGGCTGATGTGGAAGGATAGCCTCACCTGAACAGACAGGAAGTATAAAAAATACAGGTCTTGTGTAGGCAAGACATGACTGGAGGTTGCACAAGACCAGCTAGGTGTCTGGATTCTGGTGCTGCTCCTACCCAGCCTGTTCCTCCCGGAACCTGGTCACTGGTCTCACCAGCCCAGAGAATCCCTTCTAATCTCAGCAGTGGGGAAGAAGCTGGCTGTTTCTCATGAGGCTTTTCTTCTATGCATCAAGATCTCTCCTCTTCCCCCTTCTTCAGGTATAGGTTTTGTGAAACTCAGAAGGCAAAATATTGACTCAGGATTTTTTTCCCCCTATTTCCCTGTGTTACCCCATCTCCAAATAAGTGAAGACAATAAATGCAGAACATCTGGCTAAGTTGAGAAAGGGAAGAGCCATAGGTTAGAAATATATATCAATAACAAAAGACTCAATTAACATTTTTCAACACTCTCTGTATTAGATCTCTAGAGGGACAGGACTAATAGGATAGATGGATATATAAAAGGGAGTTTATTAAGGAGTATTGACTCACACGATAACAAGGTGAAGTTCCACAATAAGCCAACTGCAAGCCGAGGAGCAAGGGAGCCAGCCTGAGTCCCAAAACCTCAAAAGTAGAGAAGCTGACAGTATAGCCTTCAGTCTGTGGCTAAAGGACCGAGAGCCCCTGGCAAACCACTGGTGAAAGTCCAAGAGTCCAAAAGCTGAAGAACTTGGCATCCGATGTTCAAGGGCAGGAAGCACCCAGCATGGGAGAACGATGAAGGCTGGAAGACTCAGCAAGTCTAGTCCTTCCACATTCCTCTGCCTGCTTTATTCTAGCCATGCTGGCAGCTGATTAGATGGTGCCCACCCAGATTGAGGGTGGGTCTGCCTCTCCCAGTCCACTGACTCAAATGTTAATCTCCTTCGGCAACACAGTCACAAATACACCCAGGAACAATACTTTGCATCCTTCAATCCGATCAAGTTAACACTCAAAATTAATCATCACAAGCTCCAATCCTACTTGTTTCAGACTGAGCACTTGTTCAATGAACATTTACTGAGCACTTTCCATGAGCCAAGAAATTTGCTAAGTGTGAAGAGACAGCTAAGATGGGAGCTTAATCCCTACTGCCCAGGACACACAGGCTGGTAGAAAAGGAAGACAGGTAACACTAAGAAACAGCCATGTAAATGTCAGGGAATAAAATGGAGCGTGCACACACAGAACCTTGTCTCATGAAGATAGCATGGGGTAAGATGCATTGACAGCTTAATTTTTCCCTTTCCAGGGACTCCTAGTGCTGCTTATAGGGGTGAAGGGAAAGAGAAGAGATTTAAGAAAGAGGCACTTAGGCAGTTCTAACCAAAATAGAAAAGTGCTATATTTTCACCACTAAAGTGTGGAATATCACATTTCTCAGGGACTCAGATCTGTGACATGAATACGCTCTCTTTATGCTCTAAATGGAGACTAAAAAAATTGTTTTTTCATGAAACTCTTTCAACATGCATCTATCTAGTGCAAATTTTGCTCCTAAAGTGAGGAAGAAATCTGTACGGAATTGGAAAGTCAGTTAAGATTTTGGATTTTTGCTGGTGTGCTGCACCCACTAACTCGTCATCTAGCATTAGGTATATCTCCCAATGCTATCCCTCCCCCCTCCCCCCACCCCACAACAGGCCCCAGAGTGTGATGTTCCCCTTCCTGTGTCCATGTGATCTCATTGTTCAATTCCCACCTGTGAGTGAGAATATGCGGTGTTTGGTTTTTTGTTCTTGCGATAGTTTACTGAGAATGATGGTTTCCAATTTCATCCATGTCCCTTCAAAGGACACGAACTCATCATTTTTTATGGCTGCATAGTATTCCATGGTGTATATGTGCCAGCACATGTATATGTATGTAACTAACCTGCACAATGTGCACATGTACCCTAAAACTTAAAGTATAATAATAATAAAAAAAAAAGATTTTGGATTTTTGGGTGGAAGCAGTAGCTGAGTGGCAACAGCTGCCAAGTGATTGTGTTGTAGGGAACAGAGTGGGGAAAGATGTTTGCTCTCTCAGAACAGCCTATCTCATTCCTTTCCTTTGGTTACACATAACCTAGAGTCATGGTGGTGCAGGCAGCAGCTGCAATGACATTACCAGCAGAAATCTCTAATATGTTTAATTACTCAAGTTACTTCTTATTGGCAACTCTGGGGCTAGAAAGTCTTGCTTCCTTCTTAGGTTTGCAGGTGAAACATGTAATACATATACAGAAAACTACATCAGCACAATAAGTGGGAATTTCAAAATAAGAACTGTAATATTATATGGCAAAATAATCAAGCTTCAACTAGGGGACACAACAGGCCAGGAAAGATTTTCATCACCTCCAGTTATTACACAGGAGCCTAAGGCTGTATGATATGACAGATCAGGAGTCCTTCGATAATGTCAAATAGTGGTTGCAGGAAATTGATCACTAGGCCAGTGAAAATGTCAACAAATTGTTGGTAGGAAACAAATGTGATTGCCCACAAAGAAAGTAGACTACACAACAACAAAGGAATTTGCTGATTCCCTTGGAATTCCATTTTTGGAAACTGGTGCTAAGAACACAGCAAATGTAGAACAGACTTTCATGAAAATGGCATCTGAGATTAAAAAGCAAATGGGACTAGAGCAACAGCTGGTGATGCAGAGAAGTCTAATTTTAAAATTTAGACCACTTTGGTCAAGCAGTCAGGTGAAGGTTGATGCTAAAATTTGCTTCCATCCTTTTCTCACACAATAAATTTGCAATCTAAACCCAAATGAAAAAACAAAATTGCCTGAATTTTACTGTATGTAGCTGCACTATAACAGATTCTTACCATCTCCACAAACGTCAGAGGTTGCAAATAGTCAATACTGACATTTTTTTATTACCTTGACTCAAGATAGCTAATTTCAGTTTCAGAAAACTTTGAAACTTTTGTGTGCTGCTTTACAAAATACTGCATGTAATCCTTGCCACTTTCCTGGTACCAGATTACGTCCCATGATTTCTTTTGTAAAGTTAGAATATATATTTTTGATGTTTACATTGGCATGTTTAGATGTCAGGTTTAATCTTCTGAAGATGAAGTTCAGCCACTTTTGTATCAAACAGCAAAAGCAGTCTGTCACTTCCATGTATACAGCTGTTACATGTAAGATCTGATTTGCTAGTTCTTCCTTTAGAGTTATAAATGGAAAGATTATACCATTTAATTAATGGTTTCTTCACACTCTGCATATAATTTGTGGCTGCAGGATGTTATGATTTGTTGCATACTACATACAAAACAACTAAAGATATGTTTAACAAATAATGTACTTACAATGGGATCTAATTAAACCAAAGAGCTTCTGCTCAGGAAAATAAACTAGCAACAGAGTGAATAGACAACCAACAAAATGGAAGAAAACTTTTGCAAACTATGCATCTGACAAAGGTCTAATATCCAGCATCTATAAGGAGCTTAAACAAATTTACAAAAAACACATTAAAAAGTGGGCAAAGGACATAAATAGACATTTTTCAAGAGGACATGCATGATGCCAATAAGCATATGAGAAAAAGCTCAACATCACTAATCATTAGAGAAACACAAATCAAAACCACAATGAGATACCATCTCACACCAGTCAGAATGGCTATTACTAAAAAGTCAAAAAATAACTGATGCTGACAAGTTTGGAAAGAAAAAGGAACGCTTATACACTGTTGGTGGGAGTATAAATTAGTTCAGCCATTATGGAAAGCAGTGTGACAATCCTCAAGGACCTAAAGACAGAACTACCGTTCAACCCAGTAATCCCATTACTGGGTATATACCCAAAGGAATATAAATCATTCTATTATAAAGACACATGCATGTGAATGTCCACTGCAGCACTATTCACATATAGAGGGCAGAATTCAATATTTTCTCTCTAGATAAAATACCCAATAAATGACCTAAAGAGGCTTTGATGCTGTGTTGGGATTTAACCAACCTTAGTAGTTCTGGGAGCTCAAATTGTATGGAACACAAATTTAGGATGTATGCTAACTAGCCTATTATTTCTGATCTTTCTGAACACCATTCGTTAATCAACAGTTCATCAATGCATCTGTGGTAGAGGTGGAAAGCAGCACACTTTTCCTAATTAGCAAATAGACTAACTTGTGTGCTAATGTTTTTCTTTCATGCTCTCTGTAAAATTCAATTATTTTATCCTTCACAATTGTATTACTTACATTGGAGGAGAGTTTAAGCACTGAGGTAGAAAGCAGGAAATTTGATTGTCCTAAGTTTAGAAATTATACCCCTAAAAATTAACTGAAAACATAAATACTGGGTGGTAATGATAAATGAAGAAAATGTATTTATTTCAGTGAAATTTTGCATGTATAAAGATTTTGTTAAATAGGATCTTCAAGATCCTAGGGGTTTTGTGTGTGGAAAATGTAATATTCTGTTAATACCAGCATTTTAAGGTGACTGAGGTCAAAGTTGTTTCCTTAGGTTGAAGTAGCAGCCAAAACATTCTTCACACAAAGGGTTGAGATATAGCTGCTGGCAACACAATTTATTGTAGGGTCCTTAATTTAATTTAAAAATTTTTAAGCTAAAAACAAGCCAAAAATTAATAGGTTTTTACATTTTTCACTAAGAGACAACTGAAATACATGGTACAAAAATAAGTGGTAAGATTACTGTAAAATAAAATGTACAAAATAAACACTAATTTTTTTTTTTTTTGAGACAGGGTCTTACTCTGTTGCCCAGGCTGGAGTGCAGTGGCATGATCTCTGCTCACTGCAACATCCACCTCCTGAGTTAAAGTGATTCTCCTGCCTCAGCCTTTCGAGTAGAAGGGATTATAGGCACCCACAACCATGCCTGGCTAATTTTTGCATTTTTAGTAGAGATGGGTTTTCACCAGACTGGTCTTGAACTCCTGGCCTCAAGTGACCCACCCGCCTTGGCTTCCCCAGGTTCTGGGATTACAGGCGTGAGCCACCTTGCCTGGCCTTAATTTTTCATCTATGAGAATTTCACAACAAAATTGTAGTTTACTTTGTAAAAGGAAAAAAATAAAAGGAAAAAAAAGAGAAAAAAATATTTGGTGGAAGAATATACACAGGAAGTAGAAAACTGCCAATGGAAATGCCAGGAGAATATCAGCATGCTTGTCAGCTCTTTGGAATTTAAGTCATCACCATCTCAAAGGCCAAGATTCTATACTTCTAGGGTTCATCATATACGTAGTTATTTATTTATTTTTATTTTTTCATAAGTTATTGGGGTACAGGTGGTATTTAGTTACATAGGTAATTCTTTAGTGCTGATTTATGAGATTTTGGTGCACCCATCACTCAAGCAGTATACACTGCACCATATTTGTAGTCTTTTACCCTCGCCCTGCTCTCACTCTTCCCCTCAAGTCCCTAAAGTCTATTGTATCATTCTTATGCCTTTGCATCCTCGTAGCTTTTCTGCCACATATCAGTAAGAACATACGATGTTTGGTTTTCCATTTCTGAGTTACCTCACATAGAATAATAATCTCCAATCTCATCCAGGTCACAGCAAATGTCATTAATTCATTCCTTTTTATGGCTGCACTGTATTCCATCGTGTATATATAATATATACATCATTATTATATTATATTATATATATTACATATAATATATACATCATTATTATATTATATGATATATAATATATAATATATAAAGAAACTGATATATAAATATATATCAGTTTCTATATTATATATTAATAAACTATGATATATATATATAATATATAATTACATATATTATTTATATATATTTATTATAATAATAAATATATATTAGTATATATAATATATATTATATATTTATATATTACATATTATATCATATATATCATATATTATATATCATATATATGATATAATATATATCATAGTTTATATATTATATATAATATATTATTATATATTATATATATATATCATAGTTTCTTAATCCACCCATTGATTGATGGCCATTTGGTTGGCTCCACAATTCTGCAATTGTGAATTGCGCTGCTGTAAACATGCGTGTGCAAGTGTCTTTTTTGAATAATGACTTCTTTTCCTCTGGGTAGATACCCAGTAGTGGGATTGGTGGATCAAATGGTAGTTCTACTTGTAGTTCTTTACGGAATCTCCATACTGTTTTCCATAGTGGCTGTAGTAGTTTACATTCCCACCAGCAACGTAGAAGTGCTCCCTGTTCACCGCATTCATGCCAACATCTACTGTTTTTTTTATTTTTTGGTAATAGCCATTCTTGTAGGAGTAAGGTGGTATCCCATTGTGGTTTTGATTTCCATTTCCCTGTTCATTAGTGATGCTGAGCATTTTTCATATGTTTGTTGGCCATTTGTATATCTTTGGTTGAGAATTGTCTATTCATGTCTTTAGCCCACTTTTTGATTTTTTTTTTCTTTTTTTTACTGATTTGTTTGAGTTTGATATAGGTTCTGGATATTAGTCCTTTGTCAGATGTATAGATTGTGTGAAGGTTTTCTCCCACTCTGTGGGTTGTCTGTTTACTCTGCTGACTGTTCCTTTTACTGTGCAAAAGCTCTCTTGTTTAATTAGGTCCCAGCTATTTATCTCTGTTTTTATTACATTTACTTTTGGGTTCTTCGTCTGGTCATGAAATCCTTGCCTAAGCCAATGTCTAGAAGTGCTTTCCTAATGTTATCTTCCAGAATTTTTATAGTTTCAGGTCTTAGATTTAAGTCCTTAATCCATATTGAGTTGATTTTTGTAAGGTGAGAGATGAGGATCCAGTTTCATTCTCCTACATGTGGCTAGCCAATTATCCCAGCACTGTTTGTGGAAAGGGTGTCTTTTCCCCACTTTATGTTTTGTTTGCTTTGTTGAAGATCAGTTGGTTGTTATTATTTGGGTTTATTTCTGGGTTCTCTATTCTGTTCCATTGGTCAATGTGCCTATTTCTATACCAGTACCATGCTGTTTTGGTGACTTATTCTATAGTTTGAAATCAGGTAATGTGATGCCTCCAGATTTGTTCTTTTTGCTTAGTCTTGCTTTGGCTATGCAGACTCTTTTTTGGTTCCATATGAATTTTGGAATTGTTTTTTTCTAATTCCGTGAAGAATGATGGTGGTATTTTGATGGGGATTGCATTGAATTTGTATATTGCTTTTGACAGTATGGTCATTTTCACAATATTGACTCTATGCATCCATGAGAATGGGATGTGTTTCCATTTGTTTATGTTGCCTATGATTTCTTTCAGCAGTGTTTTGTAGTTTTCCTTGTAGAGTTCTAGCTATTCCTTGGTTAGGTTTTTAATAAGTATTATATTTTTTATTTTTTTTGTAGTTATTGTAAAAGTGGTTGGGTTCTTGATTTGATTCTCCACTCGGTCACTGGTGGTGTATAGAAGAGCTACTGATTTGTGTACATTAATCTTGTATCAGGAGACTTTGCTGAATTCTTGTTCAAGGTAAACAATCATATTGTCAGCAAACAGTGACAGTTTGACTTCCTCTTTACTGATTTGGATGCCTTTTATTTCTTTCTCTTGCCTGATTGCTCTAGCTAGAATGTCCAATACTGTGTTGAAGAGGTGCAGTGAGAGTAGGCATCCTTGTCTTGTTCCAGTTCTCAGAGAGAATGCACTCAACTTTTCCCATTTCAGTATTATATTGGCTGTGAATTTGTCATAGATGGCTTTTATTAAATTGAGGAATGTCCCTTGTATGCCAGTTTTGCTGAGAGTTTTAATCATAAAGGAATGCTGGAGTTTGTCAGAAGCTTTTTCTATATCTGTTGAAATGATCATGTGATTTTTGTTTTTAATTCTGTTTACATGGTGTATCACATCTATTGACTTGCCTATGTTAAACCATCCCTGCATTCCTGGTATGAAACCCACTTGATCATGGTGGACTATCTTTTTGATATATTGCTGGATTCAGTTAGCTAGCAGATTGTTAAGGATCTTAGCATCTATGTTCATCAAGGATATCAGTCTGTAGTTTTCACTTTTGGCTATGTCCTTTCCTGGTTTTGGTATTAGGGTGATGCTTGTCTCACAGAATGAATTAGGGGGGATTCCTTCTTTCTCTATCTTTTGAAATAGTGTCAAAAGTATTGGTATTAATTCTTCTTTGAATGTCTGGTAGAATTCTGCTGTGAATCCATCTGGTCCTGGACTTATTTTGTTGGTAATTTTTATTACTATTTCAATCTCACTGCTTGTTATTGGTCTGTACAGGGCATCTAATTCTTCCTTATTTAAGCTAGGAGGGTTGTATTTTTCAAGGAATGTATCCATCTCCTCTAGGTTTTCTAGTTTATGTGCATAAAGGTGTTCATAGTAGCCTTGAATGATCTTTTACATTTCAGTGGTGTCAGTTGTAATATTTCCTGTTGCATTTCTTAGTGAGGTTATTTGAATTTTCTTCTTTTCTTGGTTCATATTGCCAATGGCCTATCAATTTTATTTATCTTTTCAAATAACCAGCTTTTTGTTTATCTTTTGTGGTTTTTTGTTTGTTTCAGCTTCATTTAGTTCTGCTCTGATGTTTGTTGTTTCCTTTCTTCTGCTGGGTTTTTGGGTTTGGTTTGTTCTTTTTTCTCTAGTTCCTTGAGGTGTGACCTTAGAGTGTCAGTTTGTGCTCTTTGTCTTTTTCATGTAGGCCTTTAGGGCTATGAACTTTCCTCTTAGTGTTGCCTTTGCTGTATCCCAGAGGTTTGGGTTGGTTGTGTCATGATTGTCGTTCAATTCAAAGAACTTTTTAATTTTCATCTTGATTCCATTTTTGATGAAATGATCATTCACGAGCAGGTTATTTAATTTCCATGTGTTTTCATGGTTTTGAAGGTTCGTTTTGGAGTTGATTTTCAGTTTTATTCCACTGTGGTCTGAGAGAGTGCTTGATACAATTTCAATTTTCTTAAATTTATTAAGGCTTGTTTTATGGTCTATCTTGAGAAAGTTCCATGTGTGTTGAATAGAATGTGTATTCTGCAGTTGTTGGATGAACTGTTCTGTATATATCTGTTAAGTTCATTTGTTACAAGGTATAGTTTAAATCTATTGTTTCTTTGTTGACTTTGTCTTGGTGACCTGTGTAGGGCTGCCAGTGTTTTGAAGTCCCACACTATTATTGTGTTGCTGTTTATCTCATTTCTTAGGTCTATTAGTAATAGTTTTATAAATTTGGGAGCTCCAGTGTTAGGTGCATATATGTTAGGAGTATAATATTTTCCTGTTGGACAAAGCCTTTTACCATTATGTAATATCTGTCTTTGTCCCTTTTAATTTGCTCTTGCTTTAAAGTTTGTTTTCTCTAATATAAGAATAGCTGTCCCTGCTCACTTTTGGTGTCCATTTGCATGAAATGCCTTTCCCCACCCCTATACTTTAAGTTTATGTGAGTTCTTATGTGTTAGGAGAGTCTCCTGAAGGCAGCAGATAGTTCGTTGATAAGTTCTTGTCCATTGTGCAGTTCTGTATCTTTTAAGTGGAGCATATAGGACATTTACATTTATTGTTAGTATTGAAATGTGAGGGCCTGTTGCATTCATCATGCTCTTTGTTGTCTGTGTACTTTGGTGTTTTTGTTTTTGTCTTTGCTTTTAACTTGTAATGGAGAATTTTCTCAGCATTTTTTTGTCTGGAAAAGATCATATCTTTCCTTCATATATGATGTTTAGTCTCGCTGGATACAAAATTCTTAGCTGATAATTTTTTTGTTTGAGGAGGCTAAAGATAGCCCCAATCCCTTCTAGCCTGTAAGGTTTCTGCTGAGAAATCTGTTAATCTTATGGGTTTTCCTTTATAAGTTACCTGGTGCTTCTGTCTCAAAACCCTTAAGATTCTTTCCTTTGTCTGAACTTTGGAGAATCTGATGAAAATGTGCCCAGATGAAGATCTTTCTTTGAATTTCCCAGGTGTTCTTCATGCTTCTTGCATTTGGATGTCTATGTCTCCAGAAAGGTCAGGCAAGTTTTCTTCAATTATTCCCCCAAATATGTTTTCCAAGCTTTTAGAATTCTCTTTTTCCTCAAGAACATCGATTATTCTTAGGTTTGGTCATTTAACACAATTCCCAAGTTCTTGGAGGCTTTGTTTGTATTTTCTTATTATTTTTTGTCTTTGTTTTATTGGGTTAATTCAAAGACCTTGTCTTTGAGCTCTGAATTTCTTGCTTCTACTTGTTCAATTCTGTTGCTGAGACTTTCCAGAGCATTTCACATTTTTAAAAGTGTGTCCAAAGTTTCCCAAAGTTTTGTTTTTTCTTTAAGCTAGCTATTTCCTTGAATATTTCTCCCCTCACTTCTTGTATCATTTTTTAAATTTCCTTGCACTGGGCTTCACCTTTCTCTGGTCCCCTCTCTGATTAGCTTAATAACTACCCTAACTGGTATGGTAAGGCAATAGTTCTGGTCCCCATCTATGTGACCCATGCCTCTCTTGCCACCCCTCCCTGACTTCTACACAGAGATGCCTGCTTTCTTCCTCCTCCTCCTTCTTACTGGTCCAAAACATCTGTCTTTGCTAATGAGTTTTCCTAAAGTATAATATTTAAGTACTGAATTCTTATCAAGCAACTCCTTTGGTTTTAGTTATCTTCCCCTACAGTAAGCTCCGTCTCTTCTTGGCAACTGAAGACTGGCTGTACGATGCTGCAGCTCTCTGCTTTTTTGCTATGACTTCCCATCTATTGGCTGATGAGCCTCAGCCAAAAAAAAAAAAAAAAAACAAAAACAAAACAAAACAAAAAAAAAAAACAAAAAAAAAAAACAAAAAAAATTTTCCTTTTCTGCATTGATAAGATAAAGGACATAAACTTTTTTTTCTTGTGAAAAGGCACTTCCTGACTGGAGTCTGATTCTGAAAATAAACTTGCATTGCATACCCTAACCCTCTCTTTGGAAATAGGTGCTTGGTGCCTTACTGCTAATCATGTAATTTTTTATATCCAGGTGGTTGCTTGGAGACATAGGTAGCCTCATAAAAAACACTCTAAGAGGGCACAGAGGGAATCATTTAAATAAAGGATCAGCTAAGTATGTCCCAAGAGAAGAATCTTGAGCTGAGTTTTGAGAAATGGGAATGTGCTTTCATTAGAAGGGTATGAGACCAAAAAATAATAATAATTGAAGTGTAAAAAGCTTCCAAGACTGCTGAAAGATGTTAGTGAGGGGTCAGACATCAAATAAGAAAAGTAAATATTACAATAATATAATACAGCAGGAGTTTATAAGCTGTATTTGTGTTGGGATAACTACACAGATTGTTAAAGATTTGAGGAAGAAGTGAGGGGATGACCAAAAAGATGGAGTTTATCCAGAGAGCAGTTTGGTTATACATGCTGAAATTCCATCATTTTAAAAGTTCTATTTGAAAAACAAAAGGAGGATTTTGTTACTTAAAAAATATATATATATTTAGAAAACAAAATGTTGAAAAATTTATTCTTGGGCTTTAAAAAATACAGCACAGTGGTAAGCCATAGAGATATTTGCTCTGTGAATATTGTACTGTGAAAAGGAATTCATATCTCTACACCCTGACCTCACATTGTGGCTCTGTCATTCTTTGGTTCTTCTGTGGAATATAAAACTCCTGAGCCCAAACAGAAAGTGTGTGAGATTCAAGGAATGGGAAGGGAAGGCAGTGAACAGTCAGACTGAGATGTGCATGGGTGGTTAGTGCCTGGCACAGTTTGTTCAGGCCCGTTTCCACTAGCCAAGGTATATTAGCAATGAATGCCCACCCCAACCTTCCTTCCCCCTCTGTTGTGACTTCATGTTAGTTAACATTTAGATCTAATGTTAGCCAAAGACTCTCTAGATTGTACTTGGCATTTCTATGAGCCAAGCTGTAGAGTCCATATGACAAAGAATTTGAACTTTCTTGATGATTGAAGTTTCTCCTTGAAAAGATATGTTCTCACCTCACAGGGGGCCTTTTTAAAAAAATATGCACAACTGAAGTAACACCCTTTTGATTCCTAAAATATGCCCCATAATCATCAGATCAGTGATGTTTCCTGAATACTAAAGGAATTTCTAAATAAAAAGAGATTCTGCTGAAAAGCCTTAAAAAATAAAAAACTATTTCTCAGTGATAAAACTGGAAAATGAGGTGTCCTGCCTTTCTCCATCGAAAACAAATGCAAGGCACAGGACTTGGACTGGTATAAGGAATGTGTTATTTTCAGGAACATTAATCAAAATGCATTCTAAATGTCATCCTTACCAAGTAAATATTAATGTACACGAGTCTCCTCAGAGGCAATAGAGGTCTATTTCAGCTTGGTGCAATGTGATTATTCTTACCACAGTAATGTTAGTGCTGAACTTAGAAATCAATTAAATTGTAAGATTTAGAGATGAGAAGGTAGATCTAGGTCTTCCTAGAATCCCAAAGTAGATTTTAGGAAAAGGAACTTCAGTTCAACCCTGTTGTTCTACAGTTAAGGAAACCAGAAGGGCTTAGCAGCTTGCCCATGATCACCAGCACATTTCTGCTCCTTAGACCTTGTCTGTCAAATAGTAACACTTCTGGCCAAAAATGAATTCAAACCAAGGGACAGCTGGAACTAGAACCTGGTCTGGAGTTCTTTCTACCATTCTACACAAGACACAAAAGTAGAAGAATGTGAGACCTACCAGGAAAGTAAGAGTTCAGGAAGTCATGTGAGAATTCAAGTTACGTTTATATTTCTAGTGATTTCCCTAATAATAGAAGTGTTTAATCTGAGGTCAGTGACAGTGAGTCACAAGTGTAGAAGTGAGAATTCCAGCATCAAATCAAACAAGTGAGCCCAAAACTACTATTCCTAAGTGTTATTATGTGAGCATGCCAGGATGACTGTATAAGAACTCCTTATACTATCCCAAGGCCCCACAGAGGAGATTCTGATACAGGAGATTTAGAGTGGGTCTCAAAAATTTGTGTTTTGTCAGTTGCATAGTTTGCAAAAATTTTCTTCCATTCTGTAGGTTGTCTGTTTACTCTGTTGGTAGTTTCTTTTGCTGTACAGAAGCTCTTAAGTTTACTTAGATAACAATTGTCAATTTCTGCTTTTGCTGTAATTGCTTTTGGTGTCTTTGTCATGAAATCTTTGCCTGTGCCTATGTTCTAAATGGTATTGACTAAGTTTTCTTCTACAGTTTTTATAGTTTTGGGTTTTACATTGAAGTCTTTAATCCATCTTGAATTGATTTTTGTATATGATGCAAGGAAGGGGTCCGGTTTCAGTTTCCTGCATATGGCTAGCCAGTTCTCCTAGTACCATTTATTGAACAGGGAATCCTTTCCCCATTGCTTGTTTTTGTCAGTTTGTTGAAGATTAGATGGCTGTATGTGTGCAGTCTAATTTCTGGGTTCTTTATTCTGTTCCATTGTTCTGTGTGTCTGTTCTTATACCAGTACCACGCTGTTTTGGTTACTTTAGCCCTGATGTATAATTTGAAGTTGGGTAGCATAATGCCTCTAGCTTTGTTCTTTTTGCTTAGGATTGCCTTACAAAGTTCTTGGGTGCAGAGGGCAGTTCAGAACCATTGAGGTACCTTCTCATGCTGCCCCTTCATTAAAGAGCCCTTCCTGTAAGCTAGCAGAAGGATTATCTCACATAGGGAATTGGGAAAGATATAAAGAGAAAGATGTAAAGAGTCTCCGTGTTTGAGTTGTGGCTGCTTGTCTGTTTTTATGTAACCATCTGTGACTGGCCACATTGCCCATTTAATGATGATGACAACAAAGGCAATAACAATAACCATGGAGAAACTGTCTTCTGAAACTTGAATGTGCATGGGAATCTTACTGAAATGCAGATTCTGATGCAGTGGGTCTGGGATGGGGCCTGAGTTTTACATTCCTAACAAGTTTCCAAGTGATATCAATGTTGCTGATCAATAAATCACATTTTCAGTAGCAAGGCACTATACTTTTTAACCTGGCTATTTGAGGAGAACAGAGTCTATTCTGAAACTACGTAAAGATTTAACACCTGAAGAGGCAAATAAGCAGGAATAGTGTCTCCTGAAAACAACACTAAAGCCAATAGAGACAGCCAGGTTATCACTGGGCAATGACTCATGCAAGCCATGGGCCAAGCAAAGTGAAATGGCCTATGTGCAACACACACACATACACACCCTCAGGCCCTTGAGTAGCTTCACCCCAAAATCCCAGGTCACAGAGGTGTTTGCTTGTTCATAAGGTGAGGAAGATCTGCCATTCCTTTGGGTCACAACCACATGGTTTGTCCCAACTCCATGAGCTCCACTGTTTGTTGTTACTCTAAGTAAATGTGCAGCTATTTTAAATAAGTTACAGAAGCAATACAAGCATTCTAAGCATTCTGTCTCATCTGGATCTTCCAGCTCCTTTACAAATCCCACATTATAAACATAACACAGTGAAAACAGTCCCCTTCCAGGTATTCTTCTATGGAAGAAACTCCTTGCATGCAAAGTTAATGCATTACTTCAACAATTGAGTAAGCCCTAATCAGAGCCTCAGAAAAATTTGAAAGCCATTCTCAACCAGAATAAGGGGAGAGAATATTTATATTTATATTCTCTATTATTTATTTTGTGGTTTCTATGCCTTGCTTTATCGAACTAGCAAAGAGAATCAAGCATAACGCTGAGCTCATTAGTGCTTAATAAATAAAAATTGATGAAATTATTTATTGATATTCAGGTTAAAATTTCTTAAGACTTATTTTTTATTTTATATGTTCAACTTTTATTTATATTCAGGGGATATATGTACAGGTTTGGTATATAGGTATATCGTGTCTCACTGGGGTTTGGGATATGACTGAACCTGTCACCCAGGTAGTGAGCCTAATACCCAAACTTTACTTTTTAATCCTTGCCCCCCTCTCTCCTTCCTCTAATAGTGTCCAGTATCTATTGTTACCGTCTTCATGTCCATGAGTACCCAATGTTTAACTCCTACTTACAAGGGAGAACATGCAGTATTTCATTTTCTGTTCCTACATTAATTCTCTTAGGATAGTAGCCTCTAGCTGAATCCATGTTATACAAAGGACATGATTTCATTTTTATGGCTACAGAGTATCCCATGATGTATATGTACCACATTTTCTTTATCCAATACACTGGTGATGGTCACCTCACTGATTCCATAAGACCTTTTTTTCATTTGTTCCCCAAAAACGTTTTCAATAAAAAGAAGCAAAAATAGGGAGAAGTAAAAATCAGTAAAGATTCAATGTATTATATGCAGCAGTTATTATCAACTGCCCACCAAAGGTATCCTTCCTTTTTCCTGACTAGGAAATTCTAATTTAATTCAGGATTCAGTAGAGATCATTTGATTTCCAGGAAGATGGTCGTCCTACTGCAGGGGATAAATCAGATTAAGCCAGACAGAACTCTCATGTCCTCTTGTCAGTAACTGTTCTAAGGATGGGCATGTGGTCCCATGATAGCTAACAGGATCTGAGGTAAAGTTTTCTGGGGGCTTCTGGGAAAGATTTTCATCTATCAAAAATCTGTGTCCTCCTCCTCTTTCCTGCTTAAGCTGCTGCCATTGAGGACATGAGATTTGGAGTTGATGCCACAGTCTTTGCAACAATAAGGCAAAAGACTTATTCAAACGTTTTGACATCATCATTGAACACTGAGCCAGCCATGGAATAGGCTGCCTCTTAGTTTCTTGGTTACAGAGGAAAGACAAACACCAATTGTTTAAGCCACCTTAACTGGTGCATTCCACTAGTGGCAGCTGAGAGTATATTACTAATATAGTATGCCTCTCCTTATTTGTATATATATACTTTAAAATCTAATATAAACTTCCCAAAAAGAACAACTAAATTGATGGTGATAATCACTTACTGGTGTAGATAAACTTTGTGTTATAAATTGAGACATATGAAAGTGTTAGCTGAACCTAGATATCTACCATGAAATGTAGGGAAAAACTTGAACAGGATTCAATAGAGGTAATTATTTGCTAATTCATTCATTCAACAAAGATTTATCTGGTGTATCCTAGGTAAAGGAGCTATGGTAGGTACTGGAAAGAGTTGTGCACAGTCAGATAAATTCCTTTCCTTCATGAAGCTTACATTCTAGGGGGGCGGAGAGAAAATGAACGTGAATATTAATAACGAGGAGAAAAAAGAATGATATGTAAGAGTAACTATAGTGATATCTTTAAATAAGGTAGTTGGGGAGGCTGAGACGTAGGAGGATAAAAATCCAGTGGGCTGTTATCAATACAAAGGGATATCCAGAATAATAATTATCAATAAACCCAATTGTTGAGGGACAAAGAATGTCTCAGCTTATACTACCATAACAAATTATCATAGAGTGAGTGGCTTAAACAACAAGTGTTTATTTCTCCTGGTTCTGGAGGCTGGAAGTCTAATATCAGGGTGCGAACATGGTTGGATTCTTGATAAGGGCTCTCTTCCTGGTTATGTCTTCACAAAGATTTTCCCTTGGTGCATGCACAAGAGAAAGAGATCTTGAGTCTCTTCCTCTTCCTACAAAGGCAGTAATCCCATCATGGAGCTCCACTCTCATGACCTAATCTAACCCTAATTACTTCCTAAAGGCCCCACCTGCAAATACTATCTCACTGAGGATTAGGGTTTCAATGTATGAATTTTTAGGGAACATATTCAGTCCATAGCAGAGAAATCTGGGGCTGATTAAGGACAAAACACATGACCACAAGAGGCAGTAACCACAACAAGCCTTGCTGGGTGGCATTTGGACAGGGTTGCAGGAGGAAGAATGTCTCTCACAGCGCGATTATTTCCAGAAGTTCTGGTATAGGGATCCTACACCTGGGTCGTACCCCTGCACCATAAAGAAAACAGGAGGATGGCTAAGGAACTCCCAGGAGACAAGGGGATCAGAGAAGTATATGTGTCAAGGTAATGTCACTCAGCAGCATGACAGCAACTCACTGGATCAGCTCGGGCCTTATAACTGCTAGGCCCTATGCTATAATAAATAACAGCTATTGGGTGAGGTTTTGCAGGGTATACAAAGCAGGCAATTTCTAAATGGCTAAAAAATATGCTCATTTGAGATCAATCTGAGTTTGGTGCCAGCAGGCTTTTGAGCTAATGAGTCAGCCTTCAGTGAAGAAATAAACAACTTAGGGGTTTAACACACAGAGGCCATCTTTATCTCATTTATATAACACCAACCTATTTTTTCCAGGGCAGGGCTGGTAAATAATAACTGAAACTTGTCATACAGCTTCTGAATAAACCCAGGCATGTCTTAAGGAATAATGTTTATCAACTAAAATGGATAGAGCCCTAAAAACTTTCCTGATTGTACAAGAAAACAAGATGAAGAAACATAAAATTGCCTAGCTTCTCAAGTTTTCTATTTAGCTACTAAAGGATGTGAGAAAACCAGTGGAAGTCAGGCACTTTCATCTCCAGATGTGGCAGAAACAGCATGTTTAAAGGAACAAATGTTTAATCCACAAAGTACACTTTCAGCAAGGTTCTTAGAGAATTTCGCTTTTAATTAAGGCTTGGATAGTAAGGAACAATAAGCAATGAAAACAACTTCTTATCCAAGTGATTCCACTCAACAGAGAGGTAAAAGGAACCTTGGAGAATATGTATCAGTGAGAAACTGAGGCTCAGAAAGGCATATGACTTGTCCAAGATCACACTGTTAATTAGGGAAAGCCTGACCTTCCACTCCTTGGGTTCCCAGTCTAAGGTTCATCCCTTTATATTACAGCATTCCCCAACAAACCTTTGTTGATTATACCATATACTCTACTAACTTCTGGGTTTATTAGAGAGGTTAAAGTGCATCAGGTGCCATTTTTGAGTTGTAAATCTTTCTAAAGAGAAGCTTTAGATATTTAACTTTTATACGATTTTTTCTAAAGCTAACAATTAATATAGAGTTAATTTCTTAAGAATCATGGTTATATTTTTGAATGTTTTTTATAAATGCCCATTTCTTGAAAAAAGCAAGGATAGCTCAGTTATCAGAGAGACAGATGCTGTTCTGGAAGCCATTTAATAGCAAAACAGAGCTTTTGCTCTTAGCTTGAGAGTCTGGGACTAAGCACTCTGTAAGAACAAATATTTACAAGACAACTAGAGCATGTGTTTCATGTTTTAAATTTTCTCATGACCACAAATGAGCTCAAGGTAAACCATAAGACAATTCTCCACCTTTAAAAGTTAATCCTTAAAAATACAGTTGTTAAGTACAATTCTATTAGAAGAATGCATTAATTTTTCTGATTAGAGCACAACTTCCTTTTGAAAAGTTTGGTTCATTTTTACTGTTTATAGACACAAATCTCACATTGAGACCTTGGTCATAAGACAGGGCAAGTCCTTCCACATCTAAATTACAGCAGATTAGTTAAGGCAGTTCTAGCTGCTATAAAGGTAAATCCCCAAAATCTCAATCCCTAGCACAATCGAATTTACTCTAGTAAAATCTAATAGGGCATGCAGTGGATAGTTTTTCACAAAGTGATACAGCAATCCAAGATCCTTCCATTCACCATCCCCTTTAATACGCATCATCAAACTTTTGCTGTGAAGAAGAGCTAGAAATATTTTAGGCATAATGAGCCAGTCCATGCCTGTTGAAACTACTCGAGTTTGCTGTTGTCATTTGAAAATAGTCATAGATAATACCTAAATTAACAAGCAGAACTATGTTTCAGGATAAGTGTATTTATGAAAGCAGGTGGTAAATTGGATTTCACCCACAGGCTACAGTTTGCCAACCACCACCCTAGAACCTCAGAGTGCTTTGCTTCTAACTAACTGGAAAGGAAAGAGACAGCATAGATGTGTGTGTGTGTGTGTATGTGTGTGTACCAGGTGGACCTGGACCCAGCCTGGAAGAGGCAGACATAATGTGGCCAGACTTCAGTCACACAGCCATACAAAGCAGCAGTGGAAAATGTAGACTTGCTGCTTGCCAAGAGATATATACAAGTAATGACACTGTTAACACATAACAATTATTCATGGTCCATCCTTCTGGTCACCAAATGTCTATTTTATACTTTCTCTTAACTATAGAACACATTTACCAGCACCCCATTCCCCCAGCTGAAAGGTACATCCAAAGCCCCCTGAAGTCACCACATCCAGTTTCAAAAGCAAACTCTCCACTTGATGCAGTCTGTCGGGTCCAAAGGTGGCTCCTTATAGCCTGGTAGCTAGGATATAAAACAACTACTGATTTTAGAATGAAATATCAAGTTATCTTTCTACCTTTCACAAATATCCAATATATAATGGTGATGTAGGAACAGGATAATTATAATAAAATATTCTATTCAAAACAGGAAAGACTATAAGGCACATAAGCAGCCCCTGGTCAATAGAAATGATGCAGTCCTGGCGGGTGGCCTCTGTGAAGGCTCCACCCAGGGGAGTTGCGAAGTACTTTGCTTACATACTGATTTTGCTATCCAGAAGGTACCTGTTTGTCCATTAGTTTCCATGGCCACAGATACTACGTTCTGAGAGTTTCTTCCTTGTTCATTAACCTCCAAGGCCATATCCAAAATGGACATTTGCAGGCTTTTTGCAGCACATTCCCTGCCAAAGCTTCTTTTAAGATCTCTAAATGGTCCCAAACTTATAGCAGTTTCATACTTACCCTGGCAATAGATTTCCCCCAATATTTTTCAGGACAAAAGCCACTCCCAGTCAGTTGCAAGTGCCAATAACCACATCCAAAATTCTTTTTCAGACATAGTTTCTAAATTTGTTTTCCTTCTTAACGTCTTTACTCCATGCCCCTGTCTGTGTATCTGTCTCTCTCTCTCTCCCCAGCCCCGCCCCTTCCTCTCAATTTTACTGTGGCTGCTTTGATGCTGTCTGAAACAAGAGAATTTGATGGAATGGTAACACTGTTAATCTGAGTTATTGTGTTTTGCTGAGAGATTTTATTCATCTTTTCCAATCCAGCCTTTTAAGTCTTAAATCTCACTACTCAGAGTCCAGAAGTGGTTGACTTTTTCCAACCCGTAAGGCCCTTGAAATCGAGAAATTCTTTGTTCCCTTTATCCTCTGCTCAAAAACTGGCCAAACCTTTATCTCTTTATTATAATACTTTTCTCAAAACAGCAATAACAGTCAACATAATCACAGTGACTGTCATTCTGGTAGAGCTGACACAGGAATGCTGGTAAAGGAAGAGCATGGTCCCTTTAAATGATATGGAATGGGGGAAGGAAAGTGTGGGTTAGAGAAGGGCATGGTCCCCACGTACCTAGGTGAGGACAGGCATTTCCTGCCCAAATGCTGCATTTCCTAAGAGCACCCTGGTGTGCCACACCCCCATCCTGGGCCTATAGAAACCTGAGAACCTAGCAGGCAGACACACAAGCAGCTGGACATTCTGAGGAACACATGAGTGGAATAAGACGTAAGCGGTTGGTCATTGAGAGGATGTTGAGAGGAGCATTCCAGCAAAAGAGCACACCCACAGAGATGGGCATGCCAGCAGGCCATCGATCTGCTAGATGAGGCAGAGTTTGGCTGGGGCAGCTGGGGGAGACCTAGGGCCACTGAGTGGCCCAACTGCAGGGGAAAACCATCTGCCATTTGGTTCCCCATCAGCTGACAGCTACTTCCACTCAATAAAACTTGGCACTTATTCTCCAAATCCACGTATGATCTGATTTTTCTACTACACCAAGGCAAAAACCTGGGCTACAGAAATCCCTCTGTCCTTGTGATAAGGAAGGGGTTTAATTGAACTGGTTAACACAATCCACCTATAGGCAAACTAAAAGAGCATCCTGTAACCCACAACGACTGGGGCTTCAGGGCCTGTAAACACTCACCCCTAGACACTGCCATGGGTGGGTTGAAGCCCCACAGCCTGTGCATCTGTATGCTCCCCTACAGGTTTGAGCAGTGGGGTACTGAAGAACAAGCCACACCCCCATCACATGCCCTGGGAGGGGGACAAAGGAACCTTTCAACTGGGCCTAGCCCGAGATCTGGGAACGTGAGTGTGAATGAATGCAAAACTGTCGGGTCTGCCTCTCTTCCAAATCCCTGCCATCTCTCTCTTTCCTGTGAGTAAGAGTCTCTGTTTCACTTCACAGAGTTTTAAACCTCCATAACTGGGCCTGTCAAAACCCCCAGACTTTGTCTCTTCTCTCACAGGGTTTGAAATGGCTCTTATCTCTTTCTTTATAATGTTAACAGTTTTGCTACAGACTACAGGAATGTTACTAAGTAAAATGAACATTTGCCTCAGTCACCAATTTTTGTCATTCTGGTAGAGCTGATACAAGAATGCTGGTAAAGGAAGAGCATGGTCCCTTTAAATGATATGGAATGGGGGAAGGAAAGTGTGGGACCAATCAGACCAATTTTTCCTAGAGGTGGCATGTATGCCTCCATCTCAACAACTGCAGGCATGCATGGCTCAGGGCACATTTCCTTACCCTTTCCCCTCCCAGCTCAGGCACTTAGGCATGCCTGCAGCAGGCAAAGGCTGCATCCAACAGACATGAAGTCGGGTGGGAGAAATCCACGGTGGTAGCCTAGATTCCACAGGGCTAATGGATGGGCACTTCTTGCCCACTACCCCAGTGGATCCTTTCTTTCCCTGGCCAAGGAATTAAACCTGGTCTGAATTGGGGGAAGGATATAAGGATTGGGGCGGCCCACTTGCACTAAGCAAGGTATTCTTCCCCTGGAATCTTCCCCTCTTTGCCCCTTATACTGTTTTTCTCTCTTTTTTTTTTCCTTTTCTTAGTGAGAGGGCCCCCCTACCAACTCTCTTTCTGATAGGGAAGTTAATGGAGGAATGGACCCTTCTGGCTGAGAACTGCAAATTCAACAGAGCACATTTGAGACACTGTACATGGATATAAACAGCCTCTTAAATGCCTTTTCAGTCCCAAACTCAATTCCAAACTTCAGGCAAAGGCCTTAGAAAGAAAAGCCAGGTCTGAGGGATCCAAAGCCAGGCAACAGGCACTACGTAAATGGGCAGGACCAATTCCTGCTGACTAAACCCTCCACCCCATGGAAGGAGGCCATGCTCCATGGCATAAACAGGCCCAGGAAGTTTGCTGACAGCAGGAAGAAATGGAGGCATGGGTGAGGGTGGTTAATTCCTATTCTCCAGGTTTTCCCTGCTTCGGGTACATACTACAGTAGTACCTATGGCCGGAGATAAAGGGTGGAAAGTGAAAGAAGAACACTTGCTTTCTCTCTCCATCACACCCTGAGTTTTCACTGAAAGAAGGAAGGGAATAAGGGACACCTCTATACCCTGTCTTTCAGAATGGGCAGCCAGTTCTCTTCACCACCCCCAGCCTATGCTCCTTTGGAGTGTATCTTGTACCATTGGGACTGCTTTGACCTTCAGAATCTGGAGGAAAAACACCACATAGCTCTCTGCACAAAGGTTTGGTCAAATTATGAAGGACTGGCTTGGCCTCAGGAAGAAACCATTTATTTCAATACCATCTGGCAATTGGAACTTTTCTGTAGATGTGAGGACAGATGGTCTGGGGCCCCATATGTGCAGGCTTTCTATACTTTGCAAGATAATCCAGACCTTTGGTGACAATATAAGATTGATCCAGCCCCCCTGTTTGCCATCTCAGGCAAGGGGCAAGCCCAGGAAAGTAAACATATGAGTCCCAGAAGCACTTCTAGCAGAGGATCCAGCTCCCTCAAGCCCTTCTCCTCCAGGTCCACCCCAACTTCCCTATACAGCTTCAGCCTCTCACTTGCTCCCTCCTAAAAATCTTCCATCTAAACAAGTCCCAGTCTCACTCCTGCCCCTCCAACAAATACCCAGTGAAACTGGGTCCAGTGAGGTCCAGGTCCTCTTCTCCCTACAGGATATAAAGCAAATTATGGGGGATCTTGGCAAGTTTTCAGATGACCCTGATAGACATATAGAAGCGTTCCAGAATTTCACCCAGATATTTGAACTCTCCTGAAGAGATGCTATGTTACCTTTGAATCAGACCCTGATGGACACTGAGAAGCAGGTTGCTCTGCAAGCAGCAGAGAGATTTGGGGATGAGCTTTGTATCACACATAGTGCCAGGGAAGGGGGTGAATATTATCCAACCAGAAGAGAAGCAGTATCAATGGATGACCCTAAATGGGATCCCAATGGTTTAGTGGAAGACTGGAGGAGAACACACTTTCAGGTGTGCTTAATGGAAAGCTTACGTAGAACTAGGACCAAGCCTCTCAATTATACTAAGTTGTCCATGATCCACAAGGGATTTCATGAAAATCCCACTGCCTTCCTGGAAAGTCAAAGACAGGCCTTGGTAAAAGCATACCTCTCTATCTCCTGATTTAGCTGAAGGACAACTAATCCTAAAGGATAAATTTATTACCCAGACAGCTCCTGACATAAGGAGGAAACTACAAAAACAGGCCCTGGGACCAGAAAGTACATTAGAGGACATCCTGAAAGTGGCTACCTCAGTCTTTTATAATAGAGAGAGGGAGTCCCAAGAAAGAAAGAGGAAATACAGGAAAGAAACAGAAGTTTAATGGCAATCAGGATTCCAGAATTCCCAAGTGCACCTGTTAACTGCTAAAGATATGGCAAGAACAGCTATCTCTCTTCCAAAAGTTTATTTGCTCCAACACAAGGTTTAATTTCTTTCACCAGGGTGAAACAGTTTGGGGTACAATATTACTGTTAGTGTATTTCACTTCTTATCTCTGTAATCTTTGGCACTAAATTATTTCCTTATATAACATACATGTTTAACCCATGCATACTTAACCTTATAAAACTTGTTTCTCTCACACCTAGAAGCCATCAAACTCCAAATGGTCAGACAACCAGAGCCTCAGATAATGACTCCCCTTTTCTAGGAACCCTTAGATAGACCTCTGGGAGGAATCTGACTGCTGTTTTCCCCAAAACAATGCCCCCTATCAGCAGGAAACAGCTAAGACTGGTCATCATCCATATTTTAAAGGCAGTTAGATGTACCTCTTCAAAGGGGAAAAATGATACAAGAGTACTGGGAAGAGTGTGTTCCCTTTAAATGATACAGAATTGGGGAAGGGAAGTTCTGGGTAGAGGAGGGCATGGTCCCTGGCTAGTGCTCCACCCCCATAGACCTAGGTGATGACAGGCATTTCCTGCCCAAATGCTGCATTTCCCAAAACCACCCTGGCCTGCCATGCCCCTATCCTGGGCCTATATAAACCTGAGACCCTAGTGGGCAGACACACGAGCAGCTGGATGTCATGAGGAACACATCGGCAGAAGAAGATGTAAGTGGCTGGTCATAGAGAGGACGTCGAGAGGAGCACTCCAGCAAAAGAGCACACCAACAGAGATGGCACGCCAGCAAGCCATGGACCTGTGAGATAAGGCGGTGCTTGGCTGGGACAGTTGGAAGAGAGCCAGGGCCACCGAGTGGCCCAACTCCAGGGAAAAACCACCTCCCTTCTGGCTCCCTCATTGGCTGAGAGCTACTTCCACTCAATAAAACTTTGCACTCATTCTCCAAGGCCACATATGATCCAATCTTTCCAGTATACCAAGGCAAGAACCCAGGCTACAGAAATCCCTCTGTCTTTGTGATAAGGAAGGGGGTCTAATTGAGCTGATTAACACAAGCTCCCTATAGGCAAACTAAAAGAACACCCTGTGGCTGGGCGTGGTGGCTCATGCCTGTAATCCCAGCACTTTGGAATGCTGAGGCAGGCAGATCACCTGAGGTCAGGAGTTTGAGACCAGCCTGACCAACAGGGTGAAACCCTGTCTCTACTAAAAATACAAAATTAGCCAGGCGTGGTGGCGCATGCCTGTAATTCCACCTACTTGGGAGGCTGAGGCAGGAGAATCACTTAAACCCAGGATGCGGAGGTTGCGATGAGCAGAGATCATGCCATTACACTCCAGCCTGCGCAACAAAAGTGAAACTCCATCTCAAAAAAAAAAAAAAAAAAGAAAAGAAAAGAAAAGAAAAAGAAAGAACACCTTGTAACACACACCCACTGGGGCTTCAGGAGCTGTAAACACTCACTCCTAGACACTGCCATGGGGTTAGAGCCCCATAGCCTGCCCATCTCTATGCTCCCCTAGAGGTTTTGAGCAGCAGGACACTGAAGAAGCGAGCTACACCCCCATCGCATGTTCTGCGAGGTGGATGAGAGAACCTTTCCCGTTTCAGAGCTACAGGGTCCTGGGCTTATACATGTATGTTTTATAAGTTGTCACAGATGATATTTTCACCAAATATTTTGGCATGGTACAACAGAGCTCTTCAGTCTTCTATATAGCTAGGTGGGTATTTTGTTTGTTTTCTACCACCTGATCACCAAGACAATGATGCATATGTTTACTTTCTGTATTATGACAGCACTCCATTCTGGTACCAGCTGCGGTAAAAGATAATCTCAGTGGACTTATAGAAGTTTATTTCTACACTTACATGTAGTCTAATCACATGTTTACCAGGTGAACTTCCATACAGAGATTCTCTCCTTCTACCTTGTGTCCCCTCTATTACCTAGGACCAGGAAGTCCCTAGCTTCTAGCCAAAAGCCAGGAAAAGACAAAGACATGGTTACGTGGAAGTGGTTTTAAATCAGACTTTAAAGCTCCCACATTCTGCCCACATTCCAGAGGCCTAAACTCAGTCACCTGCTGGTACCTGCTATGTACCAGGAGATAAAGGAAATGAGTTTTGGTAAACACATAGCAGCCTGTCATACACAACTCTTACATTGCTCCCGCTATGTAATTAGAAGAATATAAATTCCGTTATCCTATTAAATAAAACATCAATGAGCTTGTTAGGATATTGGGGTGATCAGACCCAACACCAGGCCATGGGGTCTACAATGTCCAGCAGAGTCAAAGGAATGAGACAAGACAAGAGTGTGTAAAGTGGGACCAGGGGGTCAATGCTAGTATGGAGGCTGCAAAGGCCCTGAGCCCTGGAAGCCCACACTATCTATTGGTGATCAAACACAGAAGCAGGTGGTGAGGATGTGGGGGTTGAAAGAAAGCGGTGTATCAAGTGCATGAGCTATAGCTGTGACAGTTTAGCATTTCCTTTGAAGCATATGGAACATGTTCTGCTACTTGAAATAATGGGAAACATGTTCTTCTAGTTTAAGATACAATCGATTTATGAGCCTGGGAGTGCTAGAAGCAAGGAGACAGCAAGTCTAGACACATTCCAGAAGCCACGAGGGGTTTTATACCCTGAGCCCTGGATTCCATCCAAGCCATGAGGGGTTTTATGCCCTGGGCTTAGATTCTGGTGTGGCCAGGAAGCCTTCCACACTTTGACACAGAGCTTGGTGTTCCAAAGGCCATGAGGGGTTTTAGACCCTGGACTCTGGACATGTTCCAAGACTCTTTTACATTATGTCAGACATGCAAGCCCTGCCTCAGCTTTTTTCCCAACACTCAGCTTTTCCCCAGCATTAGGAGAAGACAGATTGGGAGATTCTGGCATAATCAGAAATCAGCAATTTGATGTTTAGGACCTTATAATATTAGAGGTAGCAAGGGGAACCTCAAAGATCAGCTAGTCTTACTATCTCATGTTACAGGCTAATAAACTGAGGCTCAGATGGGCATAAGGAATCAGTGGTAGACATGGAACTGGAATACTGGTCTCCTCTCACTTAGGTCAGGGCTTTTTGCTATATGCCTCCCTGGCCTTAATTATTCCTAAATCTGTAAAGTTGCTATATTCTGATAAACCCAAAAAGAATTAAAAAAAAAAATTTACATGTAACTTTTAGTGAATACAGGAAATAAAACAGCATCCAATTAGAAGACAAATAAAAATCTTTGGTCAGAATTGCAGTGGGAATAAGTTATACGGTTTATGTGATCCTAAAGGAGATCTATTTTTTTACTCCAAATATGGGATAAATTTCAACTGAATGTTGTTTCTCAGACCTTTTCAAACTGCTTGAATCTGGAGGATCAATCAGATCAAAGTAGAGAAAAACTATCACTTTTGTAAAACTAAACAAAAATGAAATAGAGAAATGTTTGCAAAAAGTTCAGAAAGCAACAATGGGTGATGAGTAGGATACAAATTAATTGTTGAAAGAAACAGGAACCAGTTATACCTTTCCACTATGAGTTTTTGTCCTTGGGATAGGTGATTATCCTCTTGAGATCTAGAAATAATGGTTTCTTCTCTGCCTCATTTCTGAGGTTGCAGTCAAGACAAAATGAGATCAGGTATACAAAAGCAACTTGCAAGTTAGAAATCACTATCAAAGAGAATATTGTTACCATCTTCAAATAATCAGCAATGAATATACTTTATCCTGTAAATAGCTATTAAAATCTATTGTAGTCTATGCACTCCTCATAGAGCAATATGAATATAAGTAATTTACTACATTAATTGTTACTCTGTTTCATAATTATTTTTTGCTGTAAAACTGTACCTACACTAAATTTCCAATGCTTTCTTCATTTATGCAATTATGTGGAAAACATCATCAGAAATTAAAAATACAAAACATAGTTTTAGAAAGGCATTTACAAAATGCAAAATTTAGTGAGCTGTTATAAGTTTCTTTTAACAACTAACAAGGTTAATTAAATACTAATAAACTGATAATGAGAAAGATTATTTAAGAATGAAGTCTTTGTAAGTCAAATACTGAGGAAAGAAATATTTGATGATAAATGTCCAAGAGTAGGAGAGGGGAGGTGATAACCTGGCATAAAGTGTCAAATACAATAATGGGTAGAATCAACGAAAGTAAACTAAGATAATAGCAATTTCTTTTATTGGGAATTGTGTGGGTGCAGAAAATAACTCCTCTAGAGAATTACTCTACATGTCTGTATGGATTGGGTTTCTTCTTTTCAGTAGATCATAGAAAATGCTAAAGAGTATTCTGGAGAACTGACTTTCATTATTGGAGGCACATTTTACGTAGTTTTAAAGGTCTTTATCCTCTATTGCAGATTTTATAATAAAGCAAAATTTATTATGTAGAAATGGATTCCATTTACAGACTGACTCAGAAGGGCTAAGAAGAAACCTAATACTGGCAAGTCTCCTACTTTTTCTCCAGTAAGGCAACCTCCATCTGCACCTCCATTCCTTCCTTCCTGTAATCCAAAACCTAGAGAGTTTTCTGAGTTTCTAGACTTCCAACCTGGAAGAATCCGGTGCCCTGATATATGCACAGATATAAGGCGTAAGTTTCCGCAGAAAGATTGGCCGTGGTAATGCTGGTGACCTGTGGAGACACCCTCCTGAACTGTGGCTCCTGAAGTCAGGCTGCTTATTTTTATTTCAGAGAAATAGTAGATAGCTACAACTCAAAATAATTTTCAAGGTCTCTAAAAAAGTAGGGCCTCAATGTAATTGGAATACTAACATATGAATGCATTTTTCTTAAAAAATGAAAGTGATGAAGGACCAATTAGCATTATGAATATTTCCACCTAGTTCCCCAATCATTGGTGGGCCTCCAGTTGTCCATTCACTAGCCTCTTTGTGTGCCTACTAGTGAGCCATTTGCTAATTCCTTTTGGTAATATTACTTGGAACTCTGAATGACATTTTTAGTATGACAATTATTGCCAAAGCTTCTAGAAAATAACACGAGATCATACTTGTTACACCTAAAAGATAAAGGAAAGACAGAAAAAAACAAGCCTATTGAGATAGAATTCCCATTTCATCAAGGATTCAGACCAAAATGATACAATTTTGCACAACTTTTGTTCAAGGTATATTCTGACATTTCAGCAGTCTTCCAATTCAATGATTTGAGGGAAAAAACATAAACAGGCTCAGTTCTGGCTCAAACTGGTTCTTTTTTCAGGAAGAAAACTGATGTTTTTAATTTGATACAAGATTAATATTTCAGTTCAGTTCAAGATTCAGAAAATTAGTATGGTTAATTCCAGTTTAAAGTTTGATTCAGGTCTCTAACTGCTCATTGTATCAGTCATGGCTCAAAGAAAAAGAAAAATATATTTTTTTAATTTTATAAATATATAAATATATATATTAGGTAGTGCCAGAGAAAAATAGAATCATATCATTAATGGCTTTGAAAAGAACCAAGAATCTCATTATAGTTAAAACTAAGCACAGATTTTATGTTGTCACATGAGTTAGAATATACAAATATACCTATTTCTAAGAATAATCCCTTAGAATAAAACCCAGACATCTTTTTACTAAATATTAACTCTATCCCTCTTTTCCCAGAGCAACCAAAAAATATCTAATATTTTCTAGAAAATTCTAAATTAAAAATTCTAAATCTTCATTCCTTTTTATTAATGTGATGCATAATTTTATAAATTTTGTATATAGTAATATATAGTAATTTGACAAACACATACATACACACACATGCATACACATATAAAGGGTTGTAGATAAGGAGTTTATAGTTCACTGGAGAGCAAGAGAAAGGCAAGAACTAAATCAACAAAAACTGATCAATCCAACAGTTGAGAGTCTCTAAGATTCTTTTCTGGATCAAAACACTCAGATTAGAAATTATTATTCTGTAAGTACATTTGACAGGATGATTTATTGAGCTATTAATGTGTGATTTGTTCAAACAGAATTTTCCCTCCTCCATTCCAAGTAGGCCTCTTCTTATAATTTTGAGATGAATAAAGAGATCTTATCCTGAAATGAGAACAGTGGGAAGAGGTAGAATTGGAGAGGGGAAAATGGAAAAGTATCATTGTAGATTCATAGAGCAGTGCCTGTTCCAAGCAATACCTGAGAGATGAGGCAAAGGGCAATGGGCCCATAGAACAATCCCAGGCCCACCTTATGCCCCTGTTTAGAAAGAAAATACCGGAACAAAAAGCTTCAAGATACTGAAAGCCCGTATTAGTTTCCCTATTGCTGCTATAACAAATTACCACAAACTTGGTAGTTTAAAAGACAAATATCAGCCAGGAGCGGTGTCTCATGCCTGTAATCCCAGCACTTTCCGAAGCTGAGGAGGACAGATCACTTGAGGTCAGGAGTTTGAAACTAGCCTGCCCAACATGGTGAAACCCTGTCTCTATGAAAAAATCCAAAAATTACCTGGGCGTAATGACATGCACTTGTAATCTCAGCTACTTGGGAGGCTGAGGTGGAAGAATTGCTTAACATCGGGAGGTGGAGGTTGCAGTGAGCCAAGATCACACCACTGCACTCCAGCCTGGGTGACAGAGTGAGACTCTTTCTCAAAACATACACATGTGTGTGTGCGTGCACACACCCACATATTATGTTACAGTTCTGGAGATCGGAAATTCAAAACAGGTTTTACTTGCCTCAAATCAAGGTGTTGTCGGGAAAGGAATGCATTTTTTTTCTGGAGGCTCTAGAAGAGAAATCTATTTCCTTGCCCTTTCCAGCTATTAAATGTCATCTCTATTCCTTGGCTCTTGGCCCCCTCCTCCTTGGCTCATGGCCCCTTCCTCCATATTCAAAGCTAGCAGCATAGCATTCTCAATCCTCCCTCTTTCTCCAACCTCTGCTTCCCTTGTCACATCTCCCCACCTAACTCCAACCTTCTTGCCTCTCTTATAAGGACGCTTCTGATAACATTTCACTCATCTGGACAATCCAGTCTTGCAAATGAGGGCATCAGGGGTTATCCTGATGAACTGGAGATTCGAGATCCTTCCTCCAATCTCCATACATCTAGTAAGTCAAGGGATTCTTATGTAGCACCAAAAGAGGATGGAAGCCACATTAATAGCTAAGAACTGAACTCATAGTCCAAATTATCTTGATATTAAGAAAAATTCAAAATATGGCATTTGCTGCAAGACCAGGTATGAAAGGGAAAAAAAAAGAAAAAAATTTAATTTGACATTTCTTTTGTGTGGAGTAATTTTTGTGCCTATAACATATAGCTTTGTTTTGCTTTCCTAAATGCATTACCCCTGAGTCATCACCATTGAAACTGCTCTACCAAAGTCACACGGACAATTAACAAGTATTAACACTAAGCACCTCTTATGTGTAGAGCACTGTACTAGAAACTGCAGGTAATATGAAAGAAATAGAAAACAGGCCCCTCTCCTTAGGTAGAAATTTGTACGAAATCCATAGATGAGACTACTTATGGGAAAAAGAAGATAACAAGGGTATGTACCACACTAAAGTATATTTTAAAAATAATAAGTTTTTCAGTCACCCAGATTCTTCCTACATTTTATCCTCACTGATTCGGTATCATTTCCTCACAGAATTGCTTTACAGAATCCTCATAAGAAACTCTATAAAAGGGAGCTTTTCTTGTCAAAGAAGCTTAGGAATATACTACCACCTCATTTTTTATTATTGTAGCAATGGCTCAGAGAAGTTTGACACCAAATAAATTATTTTTACTTTAACTCAGTGTTTCCAAACTTATTTTGCCTATAGCCATTTTCCTCATAATTCATACTACTATCCCTCTTTATCAAATGCTGATTTATTGAAATGATCACCTTTTTATTCAGACCACTTATTAAAGGCAGAAACAGAAAACCAAATACTGCATGTTCTCACTTACAAGTGGGAGCTAAATGATAAGAACTCAGGAACACAAAGAAGGGAACCATAGACACTGGGGTCTACTCGAGAGTGGAGGGTGAGAGGAGGGAGAGGAGCAGGAAAGATAACAATTGGGTACTGGGCTTAATATGTGGGTAATGAAATAATCTGTACAACAAACCCCCATGACACGAGTTTGCATGTACCCTTAAATATAAAATAGAAGTTAAAAAAATAAATTTTAAAAAATGTTTCTATTTAAAAAGCCCAGCTACGACATGGCCTACTGGACATTTAATAGATATCTACTAAATAATGTAAATATTTACTATGATAAATGTCCATCTCTCTATCTTTTAATTCCTGTATTTTTTAGTTATTTATTACAATAAAACTAACCCCCTGAAGCTCTATGTTTTAGTAACTTTAGGATTAAAAGTTGACAATCACTTTTTGGAAGTCTGAATAGATTACATCCACCAGTCCTCCTTATTCATCAGTGTGTTTAGAGGTAGCATATTATGGAAGGGTAAGTGGTTGCAACCTCTTCTCAACTCTGCCTGTAACCAGCAGTGTGGCCCCTTGCAAAGCCCATGGCCTCCTAGCACCCAATGCACTCACTGGAAAAGACAAGAGGATGAACTAGATGATCTTCAAGGCTCCATGCAACTCTGTTATTTATGTACATTCTTTATCTAGGTATTCATTTCTTCAAAGGATGTCAATATATTAGATAATGATTTATCCTGAAGAAACCATGCTATCTTCCAACCCCACTACTATCCCAATAGTTCATTTGTTTATGTTCAGTGACTATCCTTTATTATAGATTCTACAAGCACTCCTAGTCTGGCTGCAAAGGAAATATATATTCTTGGTGCAGCTTATAATCTTACAGAGTATTATGGACTGAATTGGTTCCCCCCGAAAAAACATATATATTGAAGCCCTAATCCCCAATATGACTGCATTTGGAGATGGGGCCTTTTAGAAGGTAGTTAAAGTAAAACAAGGTTATAAGAGTGAAGCCTTAATCCAATAGAAGTTGTCCATATGGGAAGAAGTGACACCAGGATTGGGCACACACATATAAAGGGCTATATGAGGATACAATGAAAATGCAACCATCCACAAGCCAAGGAGAGAGAACTCAGGAAACCAGGAGTGGAGCAACCAAGCCTGCTGACACCTTGATCTTGGACTTCCAGTTTGTAGAACTGTGAGAAAGTAAATTTCTGTTGTTTAGACCACACAATCTGTAGTACTTTGTTATGGCAGACCTAGCAGACTGATATACTAAGAAAATATAATCTATATGTAGACACAAGAAACAAAGGGTAAACAATAAGTGACTGGATATAATCAAATGAAAATATGCATACTTTCAACAGGGACTACAGTCAGCAATAAGTTGTGGTACCTTTTAGAATAACTGAGGAAGTATAATTGGAATGTTCCTACCACAAAGAAATGATGAATGCTTGAGGTGATGGATACCCAATTTGCCCTGATGTGATTGTTACATATTGTATGCCTGTATTAAAATATCTTATGTACCCCATAAATATATACACTACTATGAACACATAAAAATTAAAAATTAGGGGGAAAAAGCGAGTTTTAGCTCAGTAACTTCCAAATAAAACTAGTTTGATTGTCTTGTATTTTTAAATATTGGAACTTTGAAAGAGATTTTACTAGGTCAGTATTTTCCAGGATTTTTAATAAATTTTTATTTCCATAGGTTTTTGGGGAACAGGTGGTGTTTGATTATGTGTGTAACTTCTTTAGTGGTGATTTGTGAGATTTTCATGCACCTATCACCCAAGCAGTATACACTGAACCCAATTTGTGGTCTTTTATCCCTCACTCTCTTCCCACCCTTTCCCCCTGATTCCCCGAAGTCCATTGTGTCATTCTTATGCCTTTGCATCCTCATAGTTTAGCTCCCACTTATGAGTGAGAACATATGGTGTTTGGTTTTCCATTCCTGAGTTACTTCACTTAGAATAATAGTCTCCAATCTCATTCAGGTTGCTGTGAATACCATTAACTTATTCCTTTTTATGACTGAGTAGTATTCCATTATATATATACACACACACATATATCTCACAGTTTCTTTATCCACTCATTGATTAATAGGCATTTGGGTTGGCTACCCAATTTTGCAATTGTGAATTGTGCTGCTGTAAACATGCATGTGCGAGTATCTTTTTCATATAATGACTTCTTTTCCTCTCGGTAAACACCAAGTAGTGGGATTGCTGGATCAAATGGTAGTTCTACTTGTAGTTCTTTAAGGAATCTCCACACTGTTTCCCATACTGGTTGTACTACTTTGCTTTCCCACCAGCAGTGTAGAAGTGTTCTCTTTTCACCACATTTGTGCCAACATCTATTACTTTTTGATTTTTTGATTATGGCCATTCTTGTGGGAGTAAGGTGGTATCACATTGTGGTTTTAATTTGCATTTCCCTGATTATTAGTGATGTTCAGCATTTTTTCATATGTTTGTTGGTCTTTATACCTTCCATTGAGAATTGTCTATTCATGTTCTTAGCACACTTTTGGATAGGATTGTTTGTTTTTTTTCTTGCTAATTTGTTTGAGTTTATTGTAGATTCTGGATATTAGTCCCTTGTCATATGTGTAGATTGTGAACATTTTCTCCCACTCTGTGGGTGGTGTGTTTACTCTGTTGACTGTTACTTTTGCTGTGCAAAAGCTCTTTTGTTTAGTTGAGTCCCAGCTATTTATCTTTGTTTTTATTGCATTTGCTTTTGGGTTCTTGGTCATGACATTCTTGCCTAAGCCAATGTCTAAAAGAAACTTTTTTTATGTTATCTTCTAGCATTTGTATAGTTTCAGTCTTAGACTTAGTCTTTGATTCATCTTGAGTTGGTTTTTGTATAAGGCAAGAGATGAAAATCCAGTTTCATTCTCTTACATGTTGCTAGCCACTTATCCCAGCACCATTTATTGAAAAGGGTTTCCTTTCTCCACTTCCAATCATGGCAGAAGGCAAAGGGGAGCACAGTGTCTCACATGGCAGAAGCAGGAGGAAGATAGAGGAGGGGGTGCTATATACTTTTAAGCAGCCAAATCTCATGCGAGCTCTCTCACTCTCATGGGAACAGCACCAAGAAGATTGTGCTAAACCATTCATGAGAAACGCCTTCATAATCCAATCACCTCCCACCAGGCTCTGCCTCCAACATTGGAGATCACAATTTGATATAAGATTTCGGTGGGGATACAGATCGAAAGCTTATTAGTCATTTTTACAATATTAAATTCTTCCAATCTATGAGCACAAAATATCTTTCCATTTTTTTGTATGTTCCTCAATTTGTTTCATCAGTGTTTTGTAGTTTTCATCGTAGATATCTTTCACCTCCTTTGTTAAATTTATTCCTGGATGGGTTTTTTTTCTTTTTTTGGATGGGTTTTTTAATAGCTATTGTAAATGGAGTCACTTTCTTGATTTCTTTTTCAGCTTGGTGTGCAGAAATACTACTGATTTTTACATATTAATTTTGTATCCTTCAAATTTACTGAATTTGCTTATCATTTTTGATAGACTCTTTAGGTTTTTCTCTATACAAGATCATGTCACCTGCAAAGAGGAACAATTTGAGATTCTCTTTTGAAATTTGTATGTCTTTTGTTTTTTTTCTCTTGCCTAATTGTTTTGGCTAGGATATCAGGTACTGTGTTAAATAAGAGTGATACAAGTGGGCAGCCTGGTCTTTTTCCAGTTTTTACAGGAAATACTTTCCACTTTTTCCCATTAAGTATGATGTTAGCTGTGGGCTTTTTATTTATGGCCTTTGTTGTGTTGAGGTACATTTCTTCTATATCTAATTTGTTCAGATCTTTTATCACAAAGAGATGTTGGATTTTATCAAATACTTTTCCTGCATATATTGAAATGATTATAGGGCATTTGTCCTCATTCTGTTAAGGTGATTTATCACATTCATTGATTTGCATGTGTTGAACCATCATGCATTCCTGGGATAAATCTCATTTTTTCATGGTGTATTATCTTTTTGATATGTTGTTGGAGTCATATTGCTAGTATTTTGTTGAGGATTTTTGCATTTATTTTCATCAGGAATATTGGCCTGTAGTTGTGTGTGTGTGTGTGTGTGTGTGTGTGTGTGTGTGTATCTTTGTCTAATCTTGGTATCTTGGTAATGCTAGCCTGGCAAAATGAGTCAGACAGAATTCTCTCCTCTTCAATTTTTGGAATAGTTTAAGAAGAATTGGTATCAGTTCTTTAAATGTTTGTTAAAATTTAGTAGTATAGCCATCTAATCCTGGGCTCTTCGTTGACGAAAGAATTTTTATTACTGATTCAATCTCATTAATCATTACAGGTTTGTTTAGGTTTTGTATTTCTTCTTGGTTAAATCTTGGTAGATCATTTGTGTTCAGAAACATTCATTTCCTCTAGATTTTTCAATTTGCTGGCATATAGTTGCTCATAAGAGTCTCAAATGATTCTTCCTATTTCTGTGGTATCAGTTGTATCGTCTCCTTATTCATTTCTGATTTTATTTATTTGAATCTTCCCTATTTTTTCTTAGACTAGGAAAGGGTTTTTTATTTTGTTTATTGTGTTAGAAAATCACTTTTTATTTCATTATCTTTTGTATTTTTTAGTCTCTATTTTGTTTATGCCTGCCCTGATCTTTGTTATTTCTTTCTTTCTACTAATGTAGGGGTTAGTTTGTTCTTGCCTTCTAGCTCCTTGAGGTGAATTGTTAAGTCATTTATTTGAAATCTTTCTACTATTAGGATACAGTCATTTATTGCTATAAACTTTCCTCCTAGTACTGCTTTTGCTGTAACCCACAGGTTTTGGAATGTTGTGTTTACAATTCCATTCATTTCCAGAAATATTTTTTATTTCTCTCTTAATTTCTTCATTGATCCAGTGGTTGTTCAGGGGCATGTTATTTAATTTTTCATGTATTTGTACAGTTTCTAGAGTTCCCTTTGTTATAAATGTATAGTTTTATTCAATTGTGGTCTAAGAAGATACTTAAGTTGATTTGAATTTTTTTATCATTGTTGAGATTTGTTTTGTGCCCTAACATATTGTTCATCTTGGAGAATGTTCCATGTGCCGATGAGAAAAATTGTATTTTGGAGCTGTTGGCTGAAATGTTCTGTAAATATCTGTTAGGTCTACTTGGTCTGTAGTGCAGTTTCAGTCTGATGTTTCTGTGTTGATTTTCTGCCTCGATTATTTATTCAATGCTGAAAGTGGGATGTTGAAGTCCCTGCTGTAATTTGAATGTTTGTCCTCTCCAAAACTCGTGTTGCTACTTAATTCTTAATATGGCAGTATTGAAAGGTGCAGCCTTTATAAAGTGATTGAGTCATGGAGGTTCTGTTGTCATTATGAATTCATCCATTCTTGGATTAATAGCTAATGGATTAATGGATTTTAACTGACATGGGACTATTGACTTTACAACAAGAGGAAGAAAAACCTGAGTAGCATGCTCAGTCCCTACACCATATGATACCCTGCATCCCTATGGGACCCTGCAGAGAGTCCCCACCAGCAAGAAGGCCTTCACTAGATTCTGCCCTCAACCTTGGATGCCCTCACCTCCAGAAATAAATTTTCTGGCCAGGTGCAGTGGCTCACGCCACCCCAAAGTGGGATTCCAGCACTTTGGGAGGCTGAGGTGGGTGGATCACCTGAGGTTGGGAGTTTGAGACTAGCCTGGCCAACACAGCAAAACCCTGTCTCTACTAAAAGTACAAAAATTAGCAGGTGTGGTGGCATGTGCTTGTAATCCCAGCTACTAGTAGGGCTGAGGCAGGAGGATTGATTGAGGAGCGATCCTCTGGGAGGCAGAGGTTGCAGTGAGCCAAGATCGTGCCACTGCACTCCAGCCTGGGCAACAGAGCAAGACTCCATCAGAAATAAAAAAAAAGAAAGAAAAGAAAAGAGGAAGGAAGGAAGGAAGGAAAGAATTTTTCTTTACAAATTATTCAGTTTTACGTATCCTGGAAAAAAAAAGGAAATAAATGAAGACAGTCCCCAACTCTTTTTATATTGATGTCTATCTCTCTCATTAGCTCTGATAATATTTGCTTTATATATCTAAGTGCTCCAGTGTTGGGTGCATATATGTTGGCAATTATTAAATCCTCTTGCTGAATCATATCCTTTATCATTATATAACTTTTTTGCCAATTCTTATGTTTTTGCCCTTAAAATCTATCTTATCTGAGGTAAGTATAGCAACACCTGCATGCTTTAGGTTTTCATTTGTGTGGAATAACTTTTTCCATTCCTTCACTTTCAGCCAATGTGTGTCATTACAGGCAAAGTGAGTTTCTTGTACACAGTTTATAGTTGGGTCTTATTTTTTATCCATGTAGCCAGTGTTGTGTGTTGTGTGTGTGTGTGTCTGTGTGTGTATTTTATAGATGGGGTCTCACCATATTGCCCAGGCTACATAGTGCAGTGGCTATTCTCAGGCACAATCATAAAGCACTGCATGCCAGCATTCCTAGGCACAAGTGGTATAACTTGTGTAACCACAGGTGTACACCACCACATCCAGCTATTATCTTGTTACACTGGGGGATTTAAACTGTTTACATTCAAAATTGCTACTGATAGGTGAGGACTTACTCCTGTCATTTTCTTAACTGGTTTATGATTGTTTTGAATATCCTTTGTTACTTTCTTTTTCTCTTATTGGTTATCTTTGTGGCTTGCTGATTTTCTATAATAACAACATTTGATTCCTTTCTCTTTCTCATTTGTGTATCTGCTCTACCAGTGAGTTTTATACTTACATGTGTTTTCATAATGGTACATATTATCCTTTTGCTTCCAGATGTAGAATTCCCTTAAGCATGTTTGTAGAGTCCACGTAGTAGGTGAAGTTTTTCCATTTTCGCTTGTCTGGGAAAGACTTTATTTCTCCTTCATTTCCAAAGGATAGCTTTGCTGGGTGCAGTATTCTTGAGTGAAAAGTTTATTTTTCTTTCAGCACTTTGAGTATATTATCTCATTCTCTTCTGGCCTGTAAGGTTTCTGCTCAGAAATCTGCTGTTAGACTGGTAGGAATTCCTTTATATGTGACTTGATGCCTTTCTCCTGCTATATTTAGAATTCTGTGTTTGTCTTTGACTTCCGGCAGTTTGACTATAATGTGCCTCAAAGAGGATCTTTTTGGGTTGAATCTATTAGGTCTCTTTGAGCTTCCTGAGTCTGACTGACTCTATTTCTTTAAAGACTTGGGGAGTTCTCAGCTATTATTTATTATTATGTTTTTTATGCTGTGATGGTTAATATTAAGTGTTAACTTGATTGGATTGAAGGATATGATGTATTGTTTCTGGGTGTGTCTGTGAGGGTGTTGCCAGAGAAAATTGACATTTGAGTCAGTTGACTAGAAAAGAAAGACCCACCCTCAATGTGGGTGGGCACCATCCAATTAGCTTCTAGCATGGCTAGAAAAAGCAGATGGAAGAAGTGGAATAAACTGGCTTGCTGAGTTTTCTGGCCTTCATCTTTCTCCCATGGTGGATGCTTCCTGCCTTTGAACATCAGATTCCAGATTTTTCAGCCTTCGGACTCTTGAACTTACACCAGTGGTTTGCCAGGGACTCTCAGGCCTTTGGCCACAGACTGATGGCTGAACTGTCAGCTTCCCTACTTTTGAGGCTTTGGGACTCAAACTGAGCCACTACTGGCTTCCTTGCTCCTCAGCTTTCAGATGACCTATTATGGGACTTCACCTTGTGATCATGTGAGTCAATTCTCCTTAATAAACTCCCTTTCATATATACATATATCCTATCAGTTCTGTCACTCTAAAGAACCCTGACTAATACATATGCCTTTTTCCATCTTTTCTCCTTCTGGAACTCTCAATATATTAATATTTCTTCACTGATGGTGTCCCATGTCTCACTGGTTTTCTTCATTCTTCTTTCTTCTTCTTCTTTCTTTCTTTCTTTCTTTTTTAAATCTGACTTGGTTATTCAAAAGACCTCTCTTTAAGTTCAGAAATTCTTTCTTCTGTTGGGTATAGTCTACTGTTAAAGCTCTCAATTGTATTCATTCATTGAATTATTTATTTCCAGGATTTTTTATTTGGTCCTTTTTTATATCTATATCTTTGTTGAATTTCTCATTTAGATCATAAATTATTTTCTTGATTTCTTTGTATTGTCCATATGTGTTCTTTTGTATTTTCTGGTTTCCTTAAGATCATTATTTAACACAATCAGAAATGACAAAGGGGATATTATTACTGACCCTGCAGAAGCACAACCAACCATAAGAGAGTACTGTGAACATCTCTATGCATATAAACTAGAAAATTTAGAAGAAATTCATAAATTCCTGGATATATACACCCTCCAAAGACTAAACCACAACAAAATTAAATCCCTGAGTAGACCAATAACAAGTTCTGAATTTGAGGATGTAATAAATAGCCTTCCAACCAAAAAAACGACCATGCAGATTGACAGCTGAATTCTTCCAAATGTACAAAAAAGAGTTTGTACCATTTCTACTGAAACTACTCCAAAAATTGAGGAGAAGTGACTTCTTCCTAACTCATTCTATGAAGCCAGCATCATTCTGATACCAAAACCTGGCAGAATTACAAAAAAAGAAAACTTCAGGCCAATATCCTGGGTGAACATCAATGTAAAAATCCTCAACAAGATACTAGAAAACCAAATCCTGCAGCACATCAAATATTTTATCTACCATGATCAAGTAAGTTTTATCTCTGGGATGCAAGGTTGGTTCATCATAGGCAAATCAATCAATGTGATTCATCACATAAACAGAACTAAAGACAAAAACCACATGATTATCTCAATAGATGTAGAAAAGTCTTTTGATAAAATTCAGCATCTATTTATGTTAAAAACTTTCATTAAACTAGGTATTGAAGGAACATACCTCAAAATAATAAGAGCCATATATGAAAAACCCACAGCCAACATCATACTAAATGGGCAAAAGCTGAACTATTCCCCTTGAAAACCCACACAAACAAGGATGCCCACTCTCACCACTTTCATTCAACGTAGTATTGGAAGTTCTGACAAGACCAATCAGGCAAGAGAAAGACATAAAGGACATTCAAATAGGAAGAGAGGAAGTAAAACTATTCCTGTTTGCAGATGACATGATCCTGTGTCTGGAAAACCCCATAGTCTCAGCCCAAAAGCTTCTTAAGCTGATAAACAACTTCAGCAAAATCTCAGGATACAAAATCAGTGTGCAAAAATCACTAGGATTCCTATACACCTACAACAATCAACTTGAGAGCCAAATCAGGAAAAAACTCCCATTTACAATAGTTACAAAAAGAATAAAATACCTAGGAATACAGCTAATTATGGAGGCAAAAGATCCCTGCAAAGAGAACTACAAACCACTGCTCACAGAAATCAGAGATGGCACAAACAAACAGAAAAGCATTCGATGTTCATGGATAGAAGAATCAGTATCATTAAAATGGTCATACTGGCCAATGAATATATAGATTAAATGCTATTCTTATTAAACTACCATTGATATTTTTCACAGAACTAGAAGAAACTATTTTAAAATTCTTATGGAACCAAAAGTGAGTCCAAGTAGCCAAGGTACTCCTGAGCAAAAAGAACAAAGCTGGAGGCATCACACTACCCAGCTTCAAACTATAGTACAGCACTACAGTAACCAAAACAGCATGGTACTCATAAGAAAACAGACACATAGACCAATGGAACAGAATAAAGAACTCAGAAATAAGACCACACACCTACAACTATTTGATCTTTCACAAACATGACAAAAACAAGCAATGGGGAAAGAATTTTCTACTGGATAAATGGTGCTGGGATAACTGGCTAGCCATATGCAAAAGATTAAAACTGGACCCCTTCCTTACACCATATACAAAAATTATTGCAAGATGGGTTACAGACTTAAATGCAAAAACCAGAAACTGTAAAAACACTGGAAGAAAACCTAGGCCATATCATTCAGAACGTAGGCATAAGCAAAGATTTCAAGATAAAAATGCCAAAAGCAATTGCAACAAAATCAAAAATTGGCAAATGGGACGTAATTAGACTAAAGAGCTTCTACACAGCAAAAGAAACTATCAACAGAGTAAACAGACAACCTACAGAAGGGGAGAAATTTTTAACAAACTATGCATCTGACAAAGGTCTAATATTCAACATCTATAAGGAACTTTAAAAAATTACAAGAAAAAACAACCCCATTAAAAAGTGGGCAAAGGACATGAATAAACAATTTTCAAAAGAAGACATGCATATAGCAAACATACAAAAAACAAAGAGCTCAACATCACTGATCATTAGATAAATACAAATCAAAAGAACAACGAGATACCACCTTATATCAGTCATAATGGCTATTACTAAAAAGTCAAAAAATAACAGATGCTGGCAAGCTTGCAAAGTAAAGGAAATGCTTATACACAGTTGGTAGGAGTGTAAATTAGTTCAACCTTTATGGAAGACAGTGTGGCAATTCCTCAAATAGCTAAAAACAGAAATACTGTTTGACCCAGCAAACTCATTACTGGGTATATACCCAAAGGAATATAAATCATTCTATTATAAAGACACATACATGCAGATATTCATTGCATCCATATTCACAATAACAAAGACATGAAATCAATCTAAACATCAATTAATGATAGACTGAATAAAGAAAATGTGGTTACATATACACCATGGAATACTATGCAGCCATAAAAAAGAACAAGATCATGTCCTTTGCAGGGACATGGATGGAGCCGGAGGTTGTTCTCATTAGCAAACTAATGCAGGAACAGAAAAAAAAATACTGTGTGTTTTCATTTATAAGTGGGAGATAAATGAAGAAAACACATGGACACATAGAGAGGAAAATTATACATTGAGCCCTATCAGAGGGTAGAGGGTGAGAGGAGAGAGGAGGATGAGGAAAAATAACTAATGGATACTAGACTTAATACCTGGGTGATGAAATAATCTGCACAACAAACTTACATGACACAAGTTTACCTATGTAACAAACCTGCACATGTACTCCTAAAAGTAAAAAAAGATCATTATATTGAATTCCTTTTCGGGTTTTTCATAGATTTTCTTTTGTGAGGGAGGTCTGTTATTGGAGAATTATTATGTGCCTTTGGAGGTGTCATGTTTCCTTGCTTTTTCATGTTTCTAATATCCTCACATTGATATCTGTGTATCTGGTCTAACAGGCACTTCTTCCATATGTATGTAGTAGCTTTCACAGGGGAAGACTATTTCCTGTAGATGTATATTTAGTGTTAGTTGGGTAGGGTACTTCGGTCTTGGTTCTGGGTGGGTATCATAGTGTAATCTCTGTATGGTGTCTTTAGTAGTAATCAACATTGGCAGTGCCTATGTGTTGTTCAGTGGCTTCAACTGTGGTTTTTTATGGAGGCTGTGGTGAGGCTTTGCTGGGGATTGTGGTGCTGGGTGGGTTGGTCCTGTAGCCACTGGGTGGTGTGCATGGGTACCAGCTGTGGTGACAGTTGGCCTAAAGTGGACTGGTTCTTGGTGCCCCAGGTGGTGCACATGGTGCCAATGGTAGCAGTCACAGCTCTGGGTGGACAAGTCTTTGGGTGCCCAGATGCCATGTGCAGGCACCAGAAGTGGCAGTGGAAGGCTGGGAAGGCTGGTATTTGGGTCCCCAGACAACACACACAGGCCGTGGTAGTGGCAATGGCAGTCGCAGACATTCAGAGGCCTTCATGGTGGTGGCAGTGGGGCCTAAGAGAACCAATCCCTGGATTCCCAAGCAGCTCGTGCAGATACCTGTGGTGGCAGCAGCAGCCTGGGCAGGTCTTCAGGTGTCATGCTTCAGAGTGCAGTGGCCCCATTGCTAAAGAGGGCAAGATGTCTGTATGTGGTGGTGGACCGAGGCAGAAAGCTCTCAGGCTTTAGGGAGTGCATGCTTCAGTTTCCTATATCTTAGGGCAGCCTCCTAATGTGCTGGACTGCCTGTTTTCTGAGTTGTAGGGCACTCAGGTGCCAGGGATGTGCCCGTCTTCTGAATTCAACTGGTGTATCAATGCTGCAGCCTTTGCGGTGGATCTGGGGGATGTCTGCACCTTAGGTATGTGCGGATACAGGGGTTTTTCAGCCCCCGGAAGGGATGCAACCTGCTTTTGGTTCTTTTCTCAAAATGGTACTGTCCTGCAGCAGCTTGGGTCCTAGAAAGTGGATGGGATTCACCATAAAATCCCTTTCTGGGACAATGTAGTCACATGGACTCCGGGCAGCTTTCTGTATTAGGCTCAGGGCCTGTAAGAGCAGAGAGGTTCTCCTGTTGCTAGGATTGCAGGCATCTGTGGTGGGAATGCGGATTGCTGGAGATCTCTGTCTTTCCCTTTCCCTACAACGAGGAGTCCCTCCTGGCTCCAAACCAACCCCATCTGGCTATTTCACTTCTCTCTATTCTGCCGTCTCAAGTTTCCATGACTTAGAGGATCCCTGTCTCTGTTCTGCTGAATTCTACTGCACTCCTTTATATGCTCTATTTGACATGTGGTTATTTACTCACTGTTTTTGTCCTTCTTCGTGGAGGAGGTAAGTGCTGGGCACCTCTAGTCAGTCATCTGAATGGCATCTCTGAGACTCTAAACCTCCTTTTTTTAATCAAGCTGACTCTCCAGATAATTTTATACTTCATACCAATTCCTAGTCTTTTATTCTCTGAGTGTGTCTGGCTCCTTTCAGGAAGTTTTACTAATACTAATTTACTTTTAATTATGTAACTTCCACGAAGAGTTTTAAAATTTTAGATAAATTTACAACTTTACTTAAAGGAGAGGAACACGAATAAAAATATTGTGTTCCCTCTAATCTCAAGCACCCTTAAGATACTGCTCAATCCATTCTACCTCCTTAATTCACAGGCATAGAGTATGCACGCATTTTAGCCATTAGAGATCAGATCACAATTCTGAATATAGGCTGCTAGAAAGGTCTAGTGGCACATTACACTTAGTTCACCTCAGAGGGATGATGACTCACTAATTTAATGCATTGCCATTAAATTTAACAGGATCAGTTTCTGCTTGCAATATATAAAAGAAAAGCTAACATTGACCTAAATGTGCTCTTAAATAAAACTCTCAGAGATTGCACCTAACAGCTTGTACGTTATTTTTGGCTCACAAATCAGAAACCTACAACTATCAATGTACAAACCTCATCTATTTAGTCAAGAGGTCCCTTATAGCTGAAGAGTCAACACTGAAGACTGAATGGTGCAGCGAGAACCCTTTTATCTCTCAAACATACCGACTGCTGAGCTGACTCTGTAAAGCAAATGCCAGACCAACACTGTCCAATGGGAACATAATGCAAGCCACAAATTTGAGTCCATATGTAACGTTAAAATTTCTAGTAGCTTTGTTTAAAAACAAGAAAGAGTGAAATAGTTCTAATAATGTATTTTATTCAACACAATATATTCAAAGTATTATTTCAATGTGTAGTCAATATAAAAAATTATTAATGAGACATATTACATCCTTTTTTGTACTTAGTGTTCGCAATTCAAAAGAGCATGTCTCAGACTAGGACAGCCTAGGCTCTACACCCTGGAGGGCTTTCTTGTTCCTTTCCTGTAATCAAAGAGATCTCAGAGCAGGCTGTTTCACAAAGTTATAGCCTTATGCTCCTGAACATCCAATTACTCTGCCTTATGAGGATAAGAAGTACAACATTTCACTTGTACAGAACGTCTTAACTTTCCTTGAGCTCATAGGTAAGGGTCACAGGATTCTACTACAGCTATAAGGGTCACCATTTCAGCTCCTATGCCAAGAGCAAAATGCAAAGTCCAGCAGCCAGCAAGGGGAAGAAATCTAACTGCCTCAGTTACTCATTCTTAGAGTGTACAAATCCCAAGACTTGCTTCTCTAACTAGTCCTGCCTTACCTTTCTCTGTTGGCCAACTGGCTTGCTTGCTTGCTAAAAAGAACTTAATATTTATTATATGTTTAATGTGCAAGATTTAACTTGTTCAGTCTTTTTAATAAGACTTCTTCTGTGCTATTATTAACCTTATTTGATAGATATGCAAAGACTACTTATGCCCATTGAGTGACTTGGCCAAGGTCACACATACAGGATGAAGCTGGGATTCAGTTCCAGCTCAGAAGCACTATAATCTATATTGACCTGCTCTCTGGCTTCTGGATTCCCCTGTTTTCTGTGTGAGCCACATTTTGTCTTGACTTCTCAACTTCAGTTCATTCTGGCTAGCAAATGACCAGCAACTTCCCATGGAGATAAACTATAGATCTTATCTGCTATGGCTCTGTTCTTGGCAGTTTATAAGAACTTTACAGGTCTGTCTCCTATATATGCCTTAATCAGTATTTCCCAGCACCTGCAAGACTCAGAGTTCTCACTAGCTCTAAATACTGACTGAAAATCCTTGGCCATCCATCTACACATCAGAAAATTTTTAAAAAGTACACAGAGCAGCACTTAATTTAACAGTTAGGTATTGAGCACTTTTTGCATGCTGAGAAAGATTCTAAAAGATCAGGCTGTGGCAGGAAATCAGACAAACTCTCTGCCTTCAGAGAGCTTATATGCTAGAGAAAGAGAGAAAGACAATAAGCAAATGAAATCAAAAACTAAAGATGCTTTCATATAATGATAAGTACTATGAAAAAATAAAATAGGGGATTATGGCAGATCCTCAAGAAAATCATCTGCATGTGCCTAGAACCCCTAATACCATGCATGTAATAGTCTCCTTATATATCCTAGAAAATTGGTGGGCTTAACAAACTGCAATCATTTTTTATTGCTCCTAAGCAAAGAAGGTTAAAATAGGCTATCCATCTGCCCCAAAGAAAGCCCCAGCTTACAGCTTTTTTGTTTCAAGAGCTTTCTTCCTTGATATATATGTCTATTAATAATTATGAAAAAAACATTTCTCTTTGTAACCCTACTAAGGAAAGGAAAATGGAGGCTACATGTTCCCATAGGCTCATAACTTCTATTCTGGGCTATATGAAATGGTTTGTATAGGTAAGATGGCCCAGAAACAAACACTGATATGGAGATTTGTATACACAAATTATTTGACATGCTCTTGGATATAGCATCTATGAGGGAGTGAAGGAAGTAGAAGTGGGCAGAGGGAGTTTAACTGCAATGTAGTTGCCTAGCCCACAAAGAGTGGTGAAGCTGATGCTCTTTTAGAGAAGTCCCAAATTGAGGCAATGAAATAAGATCTTTGTAACTCCCAAGCTCTAACAATCAATCTTTGAATTAGGGCTCCCATGATTGGGGTGAGTATATTTGAGCAAAGCAGCTGCCTTTGGTGGAGGACAGTTTTTGGGAAAGAGTCTGCCATGACTGTTGGCAGTAGACCTTCCAGCAGCTGAGAGAATGAAGGTTAGGTACTGAAGGGTAGAGCTGTGTGGCACCCTCTGGCATCTACTACAGGTTCAGAGCATCTACATTTTTCCTTTGAATAGTTGCTGAGTTTTCTCACAGAGTCTTGAATATGAGCTGTGCCTGGTATCCTAACCTGTCACTAAGTGAACCACCTAGAAATAATCCTAGTCCAGGACTGATTATTCAGAATATCAAAAAATCCAACCTTGACAGCAAATGGTGAATGAAACCCTTTAATTATTTTCTGTCTCTGAGTACCATGCAATTTCTATGTCATTACAGTCTATTCCAGGAAAGAGGGGGCATCTCTAATTTTTTTGTCATACCTAAATACAGAGATAATATAATAGAGAGTGAAAGCAATGGAGGGAGGTCAGGGTAGGCAATCTGAGAAGGCAGCACTTGAGATGAGAACTGAATGGTAAGAAAAAGCCAGTCATGCAAATATATTGGGAAGTGAGTTCCTTTTAGAAATAACAGCAAGTGCAAAGGCCCTGAGGCAGAAGTATTTCATATGTTCTGGGGGGAGTTGGGGGGGGAAGAAAGGCAAGTATGGCTACAGGTTCATTAATTGAGAATAGTATGAAATGAATTTAAAAAGGTAAATAAAGAACAGCTCTATTATCTATTCAACAGTGATTTATTGACTGCCTATTATGTGCTGGGCACTGTACTAAACTCTGGAGAGTATCATGATACAGATACAAAGAGAACAAAGTGTTTCAAGAAAAAAAAAAGAAGTGCTTACTGTATGGAATGCTTCTGAACATTTGTTAAGATAAGAAACAAATGGACACTGAATGTCACAAGATAGGGGTGACAAGGGCAAGATCCCTTTCATCGGCAGAAGGAATGGAAATCAGATTAAAGTGAGTTGAAGAGAATAGCAGGAGAGGACATGGGAACTGTGAATACAAACAGATCTGTCCAGTTGGTTTACTGCAAAGGAGAACAGAGAAACGGGCCAGTAGCTGCAGAGGGTTATGGTATGGGAACAGAGAGAGCAAACAGCTTCTGACCCAGGGCAGAAGGGCATAGTTCTAATATCTTGGTTTATCCTCTTTTGCTCCACTTACTTGAGTGGACTTTCCTTAAGACCACACTCTTCTTCTCTATGTGATACCACAATCTCCCATCATTTCTGCTCCTTTTCTAGTAGCACAGCATAGTCATCAAAAGCCCAGACCATTGAGCCAGAATCTTAGTCCTAATACTTACTAGCTGTGTGGCTATGGGAAAGTAACTTAACCTGTCAGTGCCTTTCACTTTTCATTTATAAAATAGAGTTAATAATTATATAGTAGTGTCATCCACAGAGTTTAATTATAGAGATTAAATCAGTTAACAGATGTCAAGTGGTTACAATAGCACGTGGCATATAACAAGTGCCATATGACTATTGGTAAAATAAATAAATTTATACTTTACAGGAAAATTATTTATTTTACTAGAATTTCAGGTAGTGTGCAACATTGAAACTAGTTTAGAGAACAGGCTGGCATTTTGGTGGATGAAATTAGCTCTGCCCAGGGCATGTGTTGTAGTAGTATAGGTATTATCTGGTTTAGAATTTCAAACCACTTAATGTAAAGCGGCTCCTGGGCTTCAACAAATCCTATATGTCTTACAAACTGATTTTACCATAATAATATTTAATTCCTGAAAATCAACTGGCATGAGGCAATTTTAAATGTCTTATAATATCACTGTAGCCTCATTGCTGAGGCTTAAAATGGACACTGTGTTTATTACTTCTTTATTCATACTACATAGTAAAATACTCTTAAGTATCTTGTTCTGCAAGATACTTTATCAAGGTTCTGTTACCAAGAGTTTACCTCCCTTTTTCTATTTATAATATTTTATGACTCTTGATACATTTACATGTGTATAAATCTGTTACCTGTGTTTAGTCTCAAAATACACCAAAATAAAATCTTATTTCTTGTTTTCCCTATGCTATTAATGAAGCCAAAGTTCAAAGAAGTACACCAATTCATAACTACATGAAATATTTTAATCCAGATGCCTTATCCTGAATCACGCTGTTATGGTCTGAATTGTGTCCTCTCAAAATTCATATTGAGGTACAGTAACTCAGATTGTGATTGCATTTAGAAATAGAATTTTAAAGAGATAATTGAGGTAAAATGAGGTCATTGGGGTGAGCCCTAGTCCAATATGACTAGTATTGTTAGAAGAAGAGATTAGGACACAGACACACATGGAGGAAAGAGCAAGAAAAGACATAAGGAGAAGATGGCATTAACAAGCCAAGGAGAAAAGCCTGCAATGAATCCTTCCCCCACAGCCCTCATAGGAAACCAACCCTGCTAACACATTGATCTTGGACTTCTAACCTCCAGAATTGTGAAAAGATAAATTTCTGTTGTTCAAACAACCCAGTCTGTGACACTTTGTTATGGAAGCCTTAATAAATTAATATATGCATGATAGGATGCAACTGCAAGTAGGTACAAGTTATGACTTAGACATTAGGAAGCCTAAATAGCATACCCAAGACAAAACCTTGACTCAAAGACTTGATTTTTAAGTAGTTCCAATATGCTGATGAGAAGTTCCTTGCTCATTACTAATATGATTCTCACCAAAAACTGAAGAACTGTCAAAAATTAGTAATTTCAAGAAAGCGCTCTTCTATGTCACTAGAAGCCCAGCTAACACTACTCCTATATTTTGAAGGATGAGAATTCACGTCTGTTAAGAGTGACATTGTAGGATAAATTTAATCATCTTTAGAACATAAAGCAGGCACTTGTTACAGGTTATCTTCTCTCTAAAATGAAGGAAACTATCTAATAATACTAAAATAATAGCACCCTGAAGAAAATATATGCATTGAGCATTCTGATGTATCATGAATTCCATGTGTTTTTTCCAGTGGCTATGCAGCATCTCCCCAGACTGTCCGAATATAATGGGCCACTTATCATTCAAATTGAACCCAGATTGGATGTTGATAGTTTCTAAGTGCTCACATACAAATTTTCCTGCACCGCCCCCAGAAAATGTTTGACTCCAATCCAGCTTGCTGAGGAAACATCAGGCTAGAAAACATTTAAAACTGGAATCTTTCATCCAACTTATAGATTCAACCCTGTTCTCTTGGCAACACTCAGGTGAGCTCAGGAAGGCACTGCCTTCTTCCTCGCTTTCTGGTTTTATCTTTAGCTATGTCCTAAATGAAGAGGATTGTCCTTCAGCCTAACCTATCCAAGAAGTAAGGCTGCTGCCATAGGAATGGACAGGCAATAAAGCCAAACTTTTCCTCATTTGCACCACCACAGGATTAGTGTAGACAACAAAAGTGCTCAATCTAAATATCTAATCCATTATTCTCAAAGTTCCCTCCCTTTACTCTTACCCCAAACTCACACATAAAGGGTAAGGACAGGCACCGCATGTCATTTATGTTTGTGTCCCTAGCACAAAGCACAAAGCCTGGCACATGAGAGGAACTCCATAAATATGTGCTGAATAAAAGAATATTGAACCAATATTTATCAAACTGAACTGAATCCACACCACATGCCTGTGGCCACTCACATACAACAAAGCAACCTTTGCCTATTTTTCCATAAAGAGAAAAAAAAATAACTTTAAGGCAAGAGAAGAGAGAACATAAGAAGGGATAAAACAGAAATATTTTAAAAGTGCTGTCTAATCTAAACTTTTTTTTATCTGAAATCATATTTTTAAATAAAATCTTTATGGAATCCTAGTGCCTAAGATGAATGAAAGCAATGTCACTCTGATCTAAGGTGGTGGAGGATTCATCAAGCTCAACCTTCCTTTCAGACACTCTCCCTTTTCATTTCCCCATTACCACACAACACACTGCCTGTTGTGACAGCCCAAGGCACTTCAGTGGAATGTGGTTTGAAAATGACAAGATGTAGCAGAAAGAGCTTTAGATCAGTCAGAAGACCTACTTGTCAGTTATGGGGCCTTAACAACATCTGTTAACATCTCCTTCCTTACCTTCATCATCAGCAAAGCAAAAAACAAACAAAACAAAACAAATGAACAAAAACAGTATCTGGGTCACTTGCTGTATTGGTCCATTCTCACATTGCTAAAAAGAAATACTGAGACTAGGTAATTCATAAAGAAAAGAGGTTTAATTGCCTCATGATTCTGATTCTGCAGGTTTTATAGGAAGCACAATACTGACATCTACTTGGCTTCTGGGGAGGCCTCAGGAATCTTACAATCATGGTGGAAGGTGAAGGGAAGCACACACATCACATGGCTGGAGTAAGAGAAGAGAGAGAGAGGGAGGGGGTGCTATACACTTTTAAACAACCAGGTCTCACAAGAACTCACTATCATGAGGATACCACCAAGGGGATGGCACTATACCATTCATGAGAAACCATCCCCATGATCCAATCCCATCACACCAGGCCCCATCTGCAACATTGGGGATTACGATTTAACATGAGATTTGGGCAGGAACACAGATCCAAACCATATTACTAGCCAAAAGTTAATATCATAGTACATGGTACAATAGCTAGACCCTGGTTAAACCAATTAGTTGTCAAAACAAAGAAACATATTATAGTTTGTCCTTCACCTAGACACATAAAATCTTCTTCTTAATTCTGAATTTTTTTTTTTTGTCCTGGAGACAAATACTATATGTCTTAGTCCATTTTGTGTTGCTATAAAGGAATACCTGAGGTTAGGTCATTTATAAAGAAAAGAGGTTTGTTTATTTGGCTCACAGTTCCGCAGGCTGTACAAGAAGCATGGCACTGGCATCTGCTTCTGGTAAGGACCTCAGGAAGTTTCCAATTATGGCAGAAGGCAATGAGGAAGCAGGTGTGTCACATGTTTAGAGACAGAGCAAAAGAGAGAGGAGAGGAAGGTACCAGGCTCTATTTAATAATGACATGTCAGGGGAACTAATAGAATGAGAACTCATTCATCATCATAAGGCCAGCACCAAGCCATTTATGTGGTGACATAATGACATAAACATAATGACATAAAAGCCCCTATGACATAAACACCTCCTATTAGGCCCCACCCCAACACTGGGATCAAATTTTAAGATAAGATTTGGAGGGGACAAATATCTAAACTATATCACCATTATATATGAATCAATATAAAAGAGAAGCCAAATACTTTAAATATAATTTAAAGCACCTGTCTTTATCAGGAAATACCCAGGGCTACAAAACATAGTATTTCCAAATTCCAGTGATCCAATCTCATATTTATATTGAATAAAGAATTGTTTGTTAGTTTTGGGTTTTTTTTGTTTGTTTGTTTGTTTGTTTTAATCTCAGAGCCAGAAACTTGTTCTGAGAAAACAAACAAAAGCAAAAACATAGCCACGGAAGACATTGGCTAGGTCAGGAACAGTTAACTATAAAATCTATCTTTTTATTTTATAATAACCGTTGAGTCTATGATGATAAAACCTAATTTTTTCTTTCTTTTTTGAGACGAAGTTTCACTCTTGTTGCCCAGGCTGGAGTGCAATGGCGCTATCTCAGCTCACGGCAACCTCCGCCTCCCAGGTTCAAGCAATTCTGCCTCAGCCTCCCAAGTAGCTGGGATTACAGGTGCCCACCACCATGCCCAGCTAATTTTTTTGTATTTTTAGTAGAGACGGGGTTTCTCCATGTTGGTCAGGCTGCTCTCGAACTCCTGACCTCAGGTGATCCACCCACCTCAGCCTTCCAAAGTGCTGGGATTACAGGCATGAGCCACCATGCAGGGCCCTGATAAAACCTAATTTCTGACCAGAAACATACTGTCAGTGAGAAGAATAAGATGTTCTCTGCATTTTCAAAGAGCTTTTTTCCTGACCCACTGAACCTCTTAACAAGTTTCCTCATTTACATGAGAAATCACACAGCATTGATCCAAATGCAGAATTTGGACTTTTTATCTGTGCATCAAATTCTCAAGCTGAGCTACTAAATATTTTTTCAGGCCGGTAACTACATAGCAATGATGTGTGCTATAGAGCTGAGTAATTTAAAGTGGAGTTTATAGCTTTGATTTCTTTGGTAGCTCATGAAGAGGATTAAAAATGACCTTTTGCTTATTTTATAATTCACATTGATAGAATTTCCCAAGGTCTCTCTCAGCACAAGTAACAGACCTTGATTTGTTAATATTTGAATGTGTCAAGCAAGCTATAACATATTATAAACAGAACAAAAGGAATGACATCTCATTGAGAGTATCAGTGCCATAGTGGTAAGGCACAACACTCTGAGGGACCTAAATATTGGAAATTATCTCATGACTCTAACACAAACCATTTATAGGCAAAGGCTCTACCTTGAACTTTATGGTGGGCTTGGGGTAGATAGGAAAATAATCATATTAAATTATAAGGCCTTATTGAAATTACTTTGTTTTTGATTAAGTTTCATAAATATTAATGTTTATATCAGTCAGAATTCATGCCTTACAAATTTCTGAGAAGGCTGAAGAAACAAACTCAAGATTGAACATTCACCCCCAAAGCCATATCACAGAGTAGTATCCACCAAAGAGCTTCTGACTCTTCTAGAGTCATGAAGCTCCAGCTCCAGAACCACATCCAGCTGCCATGATCACAAAACCATTGTTGCCAAAAGAGCCACTGCCACTATTGTCAGCTCCTGAATGAGCTGTGCTCACCATGATTCATGGAAGCACAATGGATGCCCATGCCCTCAATTTTGAAGAAAGCTGGTGACTGGCCACTGGAACTTCTGCTAACACAACCTCAGAAAAACAAAAACCTTCACAACTGGGTTTATCAGTAGAAATACTAGAAGCATCAGTGATTCAGTTTCACCTCTGAGCTTCAACCCCTCTTCTGCCTTTCAAATCTCATGTAACCAGCCAAACCCAAATTACATTCCTTAAGATAGCTGCAAGGGACTTTGCATAATGCAACTTCTGGCTTTCCAGCCTCTGCAGTTCAGGAGGTGGAATGTCTATTAAGCTCCAATTTTTGGTATTCACAAAGCTGCTATTTTGGCTAAACTATTGTTAGAATTCTAAGCCAAGGTGAACATAAGGACCCACTTTGAAACATGGCCACAGATGTGAACGGGATTTAAATAATCACCAGTGTATTTTTTTCAGTTTACAAACTAAAAACAATAGATGCATATTAGTTTGCTTAATAACACAGAACCAATTAGTAGCAGAACAAAAAAAAAGAAATCCTATTGTCTGATTCTTAGTCCAGTCCTCTTTTTATCACTCCAGGGCTCCCTCAAGAAATAAGTAGTAAAGAGTATGACAATATTATTTCAACATCTGATTTGGCCATATATACTATATATATAGATAAATAATACATGATAAGGGCAATGGTAAGTATAACCCTTCCTAAGTTTTACATGGAACATGAAATATTCATTTGGCATATTTATTGTCTCCTAAACATTAGATACTGTGTTCTGTATTGGAGAAGTACTGATGACCAAAAACGTCATGAAATATGTCTAGCAAAGAAAATAGACAATTCACTAATCATTAACAATAAAAGGCAATGAATATAATGACAAGAGAACTATAGAAAATAGAAGAATTCACCTAGTATAGGCTTTGGGGAAGACCTCTGAAGAGAAAATCATGTTTAGTTGAGATCTTCAGGGTAAGGAGGATGCAGAAAGATGACAACAGCTGGTCAGTAATGAAAGGAGAGAAAACACCATCTGTCAGCTCCTCAAAGTAGAGGAACACAGAACCTGAGAGAAGCTCAGTAAGGCTGAGCATAAAGTGCAAAGGGAACAATGGCAAGAGGGTTAACTGGAAAAGTCATCATCAGTCCCTTGATGGAGATACTTTTAAACCACACTGAAAACTTTAAGCTTTACCCTAAGGCAGTGTTTCCTCAATTCTAATCATTCACATTCCCAATTTATCATGTGGCCTTGTCCGTATATTATTTTCCTCAAATTGCCTTAACAAAGTACCATAACTGGATGGCTTGAAACAACAAACCTTTATTCTTTCTTACCTCCAGAGGCTAGAAATCTAAAATAAAAGTGTTAGCAGGGAGGATACTTCCTTGCCTCTTCTTAGCTTCCATTGGCTGCTGGAAATGGCTTTCCTACATTTTTAGAGGTGTCACTCCAGTCTCTGGTTTTTATCAATCACGTGGCATTCCTCTTGTGTCTCTGTCTTTCTTCTCCTCTTCTCATAAGAACATACTGAATTTTAAGTCTTTGTTGGATTAAAGGCTCACCCTCCTCCAGTAAGATCTCATCTTAGCCAGTTACATATGCATTGTTTCTAAATAGGGTCACATCCTGAAATTTTGGGGAGGACATAAATTTGGGGGAAGGAAATTATCCAGTACAACCATTTATATTATTAGGTTGGTGCAAAAGTAATTGTGTTTTTTGCCATTAACAGTAATTTAATTAAAAGTAATGGCAAAAACCTCAATTACTTTTGTACCAACCTAGTATTTGTCACTTAATACTTTCTTTAAACCAACTCACTTTTAAATCAATTCCTAGGCAATACTATCCATTAAATAACATTCTTGAAAAGCTGGTGGTAGTTTTTCTAACACATACCAAAATAAACAAATATATAACAAAATAAACAAAATTATGAAAATCAAAACATCATTTCCATGTACTAATAATGACATCTGTACCAACTTCAAGAAAACTCTCCAAAGTGACAGCCTAAGAGAAGCTCTTACGATAAAGCCCTCAGCTGTTTTCACCCAGGTACAGAAGCTGGAGATAATCCAGACTTATACAGGTTTGGCTTTGTGATATATCACATTACTGATTCGCAACACCAGACACAATTTAAAATCACTCCCAGTCCAATAAAACCACACTGAGGCTAGATTTGAAAGTTGTCCATGTAATTCCAATGGGCAGCCAGGGTTCAGAACAAATAAGTACATGATTATTTTCAAGAGAAGGTTTTTTTTTTTTTAACTACATTTATATGATTGTCTTTAGCAGTAATCTAGGGAAAAAATGAACAAGAATTGCATCACGTGTTAACTGAGTATCTGCTGAGGATAATCCTATTACCTGGACTTTCTTCAGGAAGTTTGCTAAATATTTATTTGTTAGAACACACATTATCACAATAAAGGGGGTGTGCCAAATGTATTAGCCTTGACAGAGAGAGGCAGAGCAAGATGGCCAAATAGAAGTCTCCACCAATCATCTTCCCTACATAAACATCAACTTAACAACTCTCTGCAGACACACACACACACACAAAGCAGTTCAAAAGAATAAAAAATCAGGTGAGCACTCACAGTACCTGGTTTTAACTTCATATTGCTGAAAGATACAATGGAAGAGGGTAGGAAACACAGTCTTGAATCATGGACATCACCTCTCCATCATCCTCTGGCAGTGACCATGTTGTACAGAGAGAATCTGTGTGCTTGAGAGAGGAACAGCACAAGGATTGTGGGAACTTAGTTCTGGCCTATCGCAGCAGAAAGCAGAACCAGGATGAACTCAGCTGATGTCTGCCCACAGAGGAAGTATTTAAACCAGCCCTAACCAGAAGAGAATTGCCCATCCCAGTGGTCAGAACTTGAGTTTTGGCAAGCCTCACCACCATGGGCCAACGTGCTCTGGGGCCTTAAATAAACTTGAAAGGCAGTCTAGGCCACAAGGACTGCAACTCCTAGGTGAGTCCTACTGCTAAACTGGGCTAAGAGTCAGTAGACTTCGGGGGCATTCAGCCTGCTGAGTTACTAGCTGGGTGTCTAAGGGACTGCTTGCACCACCCCTCCCCCAACCACAGACTGCACAGCTCATGGATTCAAAAGAGACCCCTTCCTTTCACTTGAGAGGAGAGGGAAGCACGAGGAGGATTTTTTCTTGCATCTTGGATACCAGCTCCACCACAACAGGATAGAGCAACAGTCAGAGTAATGAGACTGCCTTTCCAAGCCCTAGTTCCCAGATGATATTTCCAGACACACCTTGCATTGAAGGGAACCCAATTTCCTAAAAGGAAGAACCCAGTCCTGGCAGGACCCATCACCTGCTGACTAAAGAGCACTTACGTATAATACCCAGGTAGTATACTGTGGCTCTTCAGTGAAACTCTGAGACTTGCTGACGTTAGGTGAGCCTCAGCACATTCCCAGCTATGGTAGCTATATAGAGAGATTCCTTCTGCTTGAGAAAAGCAGAGAGAAAAGAAAAGGGGAATTTGTCTTGCATCTTAGGTACTAGCTCAGCTACAGGAGGGTAGAGCACCAAGTGAGCTCTTGGGGTCCCTGATTCCAGGCCTTGGCTCTTGAACAGCATTTCTGGACCTGTTCTGGTCCAGAGGGGAGCACACTGCCCTGAAGGTTGAGCTCCACTTCAGGCATCATTTGCCACAAAATGACTGAAGAGCCTTTGTGCTTTAAAGGAACATCAGTGGTAGCCTAACAGTATTCCACATGAGACTCTGCTAGTGGGGGCCATGGGGAGAGGCTCCTCTGCCTGTGGAAAGGGGAGGAAAGAGTGGGAAGTACTGCATCTCATAGTTAGAGTGACAGTTCAGCTGAAGTGTAAGAGAACACCAGGTAAATTTCTAAGGTATTTGACTACAGTCTCTGGCTCCTGGATGGTACTTCTGAATCTGCCCAGAGCCTGAGGGAACTCATCATTCTGAAGGGAAGGACACAAGCCTGGCTGGCTTTGCTGTCTGCTGATTGTAGAGCACCAGGACCTTGAGAGAACATAGGCAGTAGCCAGGTGGTGGTTACAGTGGGCCTTGGGTAACACTCAGTGTTGTGTTAGCTTCAGGTCTGACCCAGCACACTCCCAGTGGTGGTGGCCACAGGGGTGCTAGTATCACCCCACTCCCAGCTCCAGGTGACTCAGAACACAGAGACTTCATTTGCTTGGGTGAAAGTAAGGGAAGAGAATGAGTCTTTTTCTGGTAATCCAGAGAATTCTCCCAGTTCTTGTCCAAGACCATCAAGGCAGTATCTCTACAAATCTGCAATAACCACAGCATTACTGGGCTTGGAGTGCCCTATAATGCAGATAAGACACATATCAGAACACCTAAGTCCTTTCAAATACCTGGAAAGCCTTCCCAAGAAAGAGGGGCACAAACAAGCCCAGACTGCCAACACTACAATAAATAATGAACTCTTCATGCTCAGACACAGACAAACATCCACAAGCATCAGACCCATCCAGGAAAACATGACCTCACCAAATAAGTAAGTCACCATGGACCAATCCTGGAGAAACAGGTATGTGTAACCTTTCAGACATAGAATTCAAAATAGCTGTTTTGAGAAAAGTCAAAGAAATTCAAGATAACACAGAGAAGGAATTCATAATTCTACAGATGAATTTAACAAATAGATTGAGATAATTTAAAAGGATCAAGCAGAAATTCTGGAGCTGAAAAAATGCAACTGACATACTGAGAATGCATTAGAGTCTTTATAGCAGAACTGATCAAGCAGAAAAAGGAAATAGTGAGCTTGAAGAAAGGCTATTTGAAAATACATAGCCAGAGGAGACAAAAGAAAAAAGAATAAAAAATAATTAAGCATCCCTACAGGATCTAGAAAATAGCCTCAAAGGAGAAAATCTAAGAGTTATTTGCCTTAAAGCAGAGGTAGAGAGGAGAAAGGAGTAGAAAGTTTATTCAAAGGGATAACAACAGAAAACTTCCACAACCTAGAGAAGGATATCAATTTCCAAGTACAATAAGGTTATAGAACACCAAGCAGATTTAACTCAAAGAAGACTATCTCAAGGCATTTAATAGTGAAACTCTCAAAGGTCAAGGATAAACAAAGGAACCTAGAAGCAGCAAGAAAAAAGAAATGAATAACGTACAATGGAGTTCCAATACATCCGGCAGCAGACTTTTCAGTGGAAATATTACAGGCCAGGAGAGAGTGGTATGACATATTTAAAGTGCTGAACAAAAAACACATTTACCCTAGAATAGTATATCCAGCAAAAATACCCTTCAAACATAAAGGAGGAATAAAGACCTTCCCAGACAAACAAAAGCTTAGGGATTTCATCAACATCAGACCTGTCCTGCAAGAAATGTTAAAGGGAGTAATTCAATCAGAAAGAACTGAATATTATGAGCAATAAAATATTACCAAAAAGTACAAAACTCACTGGTAATTGGTAATAGTAAGTACATATAAAAACACCAAATAGTATAACACCATAACTACGGTGTGTAAACTACTCTTATCTTAATTAAAATCACTTAGTACCAAACAAATCAAAAATAATAACCACAACTTTTCAAGACATGGACAGTACAATCATATATAAATAGAAACAGCAAAAATTTTAAAAGTGAGGGCACAAAGTTAAGGTGTACACTTTTATTAGTTTTCTTTTTGCTTGTTTGTTTACACAAACAGTGTTAAGCTGTAATCAGCTTAAACTAATGTAATATAAGATAGTATTTGCAAACCTCCTGGTAACTTCAAATCAAAAAAGGTACAACAGATATTTTTAAAAAGCAATAAATTAAAGCATATCACCAGAGACAATTACCTCTACTCAAAGGAATACAAGAACAAAGGAAAGAAGGAAGAGAAGACCACAAAACAACCAGAAAATAAATAACAAATGACAGAAGTAAATTCTTACTTATCAATAGGAACACTGCATTAAAATGAACAATACTATTCAATCAAAAGACAGAGTGGCTATATGAATACAAAAACAAGACCCAATGACCTGTTGCCTACAAGAAGTATACTTCACCTATAAAGACACACATAGACTGAAAATAAAGAGATGGAAAAAGGTATTCCATATCAATGGAAACCAAAAACTATAAGCAGAGACAAAGCAGGTCAGTATATAATGATAAAGGAGCCAATTCAACTAGAGGCTCTAACAATTTTAAACATATATGAACTCAACACTGTAGAACCCATATATATATATATAAACAAAATAGTATTAAACTAAAGAGATATTAAAAAAAGTTGGAGACCAGGCACAGTGGCTCACACCTGTAATCCCAGCACTTTGGGAGGCCAAGGCGGGTGGATCATGAGGTCAGGAGATTGAGACCATCCTGGCTAACACGGTGAAACCCCATCTGTACTAAAAATCCAAAAAATTAGCCGGGCATGGTTGGGGGGTGCTTGTAGTCCCAGCTACTCAGGAGGCTGAGGCAGGAGAATGGCATGAACCTGGGAGGCGGAGCTTGCAGTGAGCCGAGATCATGCCACTGCACTCCAGCCTGGGCAACAGAGCAAGACTCCATCTCAAAAAAAAAAAAAAAAAAAAAAAAGTTGGAGATTTCAGCATCCCACTTTCAGTATTGGACAGATATTCCAGAGAGAAAATCAAAAAGGAAACATTCAATGTAATCTTCATTACAGGCCAATGGACCTAATAGATATTTACAGAAGATTTTATCCAGTGACTGCTGAATACACATTCCTTTCCTAAGCACATGGATCATTCTCAAGGATAGATCATACATTAGGACACAAAACAAATCTTTAAAAATTTAAAACATTGAAATAATATCAAGTATCTTCTCTGACCACAATGGAATAAAATTAGAAATAACTAACAAGAGAAATTTTGGAAACTATGCAAACACATGGAAGTTAATATGTTCCTGAATGACAAGTAGGTCAATGAAGAAATTAAAAAGAAAATTGAAAATTTTCTTGAAGCAAATTATGATGAAAATATGACATGCCAAAATCAATGGGATACAGCAAAAGCGGTACTAAGAAGAAAATTTATAGCTGTAAGTGACTACATTTAAAAATAATTAAAATAACAACCTGAGAATGTATTTTAAAGACCTAGTAAAGCAAGAGCAAATCAAACCCAAAATTAGTAGAAGGAAGTAAGTCATAATAATTCAGAGCAGAAATAAATAAATTTGAAGTGAAGAAAGCAATACAAAAGATCAATGAAACAAAAAAGTTGGCTTTCTGAAAAGATAAAATGACAAACATTTAGCTAGGCTAAGAAAAGAAGAGAGAAGACTCTAATAAATAAAATCAGAGATTAAAAAGAGGACCTTATAATCGATACTCTGCAGAAATTCAAAGGATCATTAGTGGCTACTATGAGCAAACATATGCCAATAAATTGGAAAATTGAATAGAAATAGATACATTCCCAGAAACATAAAACCTACCAGGATTGAACCATGAAAAACTAGAAAATCTGAACAGACCAGTAACAAGTAATGACATTGAAGCCATAAGAAGAAGTCTCCCAGTAAAGAAAAGCTTGGAACCCAATGGCTTCACTGCTGAATTCTACCAAACATTTAAAGAACTAATACCAATACTACTCAAACTGTTCCAAAAAATAGAATAGGAGGAAATGCTTCCAAACTCATTTCACAAATCCAGTACTACCCTGATGATAAAACCAGACAAATACACATCAAAAAACCCCACAAAATCTACAGGCCAATAAATATTGATGCAAAAATTCTCAACAAAACACTAGCAAACTGAATTCAACAACACATTAAAAAGATAATCCATCATAACCAAGTAAGATTTATTCCAGGGATGCAAGGATGGTTTGACATACACAAATCAATTAACATTATACATTATATGAACAGAATGAAGAGCAAAGCCATGTGATAATTTCAATTGATAGTAACAATGTGTTTGATAAAATTCAACATCCTTTCATAATAAAAGTCCTCAAAAAAACCCTAAATATAGATGGAACATACCACAACATAATAAAAGTCTTATATGACAGACATATAATTAATATCATACTGAATGGAAAAAACCTGAAAGCCCTTCCTGTAAGATCAGAAACAACAAAGATGCCCACTTTCATCACTGTTATTTAACATAGTACTGGAAGTCCTAGCTAGGGCTATCAGAGAAGAGAAAGAAATAAAGGTTATCCAAATTGGAAAGGAGGATGTCAAATTATCCTTGTTTGCACATGGTATGATCTTATATTTGGTGAAATCTAAAGGATTTACCAAAAAAAAAAAAAACCTGTTAAAACATTTAAAAATTCAGTAAAGTTGCAGGATACAAAGTCAACATACAAAACTCAGGAGCATTTTTATATGCCAACAGTCAACCATCTGAAAGAGAAATTAAGAAAATAATTCTATTTACAATAGCTATAAAATATTTAAATACCTGAAAATTAACCAAAGAAGTGAAAGTTCTCCACAATGAAAACTGTAAAACATTGATATAAGAAATTGAAGAAGACAGATAAAAATGGAAAAGTAGTCCATGTTCATGAATTAGAAAAATCAATATTGTTAAAATGTCCATACAACCTAAAGCAATCTACAGATGTAATGCAATCCCTATCAAAATACCAATTACATTCTTCACAAAAATAGAAAACTGTAAAATTTATGTGGAACCACAAAAGACCCAGAATAGCTAAAGCTATCCTATGCAAAAACAACAAAAATGGAAGAATCACATTTGCTGACTCCAAATTATACTACAGAGCTATAGTAACCAAAACAGCATGGTACAGGCATAAAAACAGACACATAGATCAGTGGAACAGAATAGATAACCCAGAGATAAATCCATACATCTACAGTGAACTTATTTTTGACAAAGGTTCCAAGAAAACATATTGGGGAAAGGACAATTTCTTCAATAAAGAGTTCTGGGAAAACTGGATATCGATATGCAGAAGAATGAAACTAGACTCCTACCTCTCACCATATACAAAGTTATATCAAAATGTATTAAAGACTTAAACATAAGGCCTCAAGTTATGAAACTTCTCAAAGAAAATATTGGTGAAAATCTCTAGGACATTGGAGCGGGCAAAGATTTCTTGAGTAATGCCCCAAAAGCAAAGGTAACCAAAGCAAAAATGGACAAATAAAATCACATCAAATTAAAAAGCTTCAGCACAGCAAAAGAAACAACAAAGTAGAGAGAACCCACAAATTGGGAGAAAATGTTTGCAAACTATGCATCTGACAAGGGATTAATAAGCAGAATTTATAAGGGACTCAAACAACTCAACAGGAAAAAATCTAATAGTTTGATTTTAAAATGGGCAAAACATCTGAATAGACATTTCTCAGCAGAAGATGTACAAATGGCAAATAGGTGTAGGAGAAGGTGCTCAATATCATTGATCATCAAAGAAATGCAAATCAAAACTACAATGAGATATCATCTCACTCCAGTTAAAATGGCTGTTATCAAAAAGTCAGGCAATAATAAATGCTGGTGAGGATGCAGAAAAAAGGGAACCCCTGTACACTGTTTTGGGGAATGTAAATTACTACAACCACTATGAAGAACAGTTTGGAGGTTCCTCAAAAACAAAAAATAGAGCTACCATATGATCCAGCAATCCCACTGCTAGGTATATACCCCAAAGAAAGGAAATCAGTACATCAAAGATATATCTGCACTCCTGTATTTATTGCAGCACTATTCACAATAGACAAGATTTGAAAACAACCTACATGTGCGTCATCCACAGATGAATGAATTAAAAAAATGTGCTACATGTACACAATGGAGTACTATTCAACCACAAAAAAAGAATGAGATCTTATCATTTGCAACAACATGGATGGAACTGGAGGTCATTATTTTAAGTGAAATAAGCCAGGCACAGAAAGACAATCATCTCATGTTCTCATATATTTGTGGGAGCTAAATATTAAAACAATTGAACTCCTGGAGATAATGAGTAGGATTGTAACCAGAGGCTGGGAAATGTAACAGGTAAGAGGGGGTGGGAGCTGTGGGAAGGATTAATGGGTACAAAAAAAATAGAAAGAATGAGACCTAGTATTTGCTAGCACAACAGGGTGACTATAGTAAAAAATAATTTAATTATGCATTTTAGAATAAATAAAAGAGTACAATTGGATTGCTTATAACACAAAGGATAAATGCTTGAGGTGATGAATATCCCATTTTACATAATGTGATTATTACACATTGCATGCCTGTATCAAAATATCTCATGTAACCCATAAATATATATACCTACTATTTACCCACAAAAACTAAAAATAAAAATAAAAATTTAACAATTATTATCCCTATTTTCTTCTGTACCCATCCACCTAGAATTGCACTGGTATGGTACACTGGTATGGTGCAATGGTACTGGTATGGTATAGAATTGCACTTGTATGGTACATACAAGAATTCAGTTCTTGTATACAGTTGCTGTACTACTATTATATGCTTAAAAGTTATTGCATGCTTACAATATGCTGGGCACTCTTCAAAGAAAATTACTTGTGTATTATCTAATGTAATTATTATAACCACCCTATTTGGGTATTCATTTTATCACCCTCATTTTACAGAATAGGAAACTGAAAACGGCAGTTAAATAACTTGCTCTGGGCTTACTGTTAGTGTATATCAGAGCTGCGATTCAAACAGAGGCAGCATGGCTAGGCATGAGTGTGCCTAACCACTCTGTTCTCCCACTTTCTACCTGGTGCAGATCAGAATCACAGTGATCTGCAAATCCAGCACCACTCCTTCTGCTCTCATTTAAGAGAAACAGCAAAATGGATTGAATCAAAGTAATCATTTGTTTAGGGGTATATCTGTATTCCTAATGGAGCAACAATTAATCCTGCATTAAAATCATGGTAAAAACTTCAATTGTTGATTTCTCTTATGACCAAAAAAAAGACATTTCTAATTATTTCCTGTACTCATTATTATGTTTTCCAGATTTAAAAAAATCTTGAATTTCTAGTAGGAAAGTTAATATCCAAGGACTCTAACCAGCAGTCTACAGACAAAAACATATTAAGGGCCACCAAATAATATGTATGTATTAAATTTGAATCAAGAATAGCATAATGGCACATTTTTTGGCTTTCATAACCAAGCTAAATCAAAATATTATTAAAAACAAAATAATACAATGGAACATGACAATTTCTGGCAATGTAAGCCATCAAAAGGAATAGTGAGTAAAGCTAATTATTTGCACATAAAGCAGTGCGTTAACTGAAAACTCAAGTGTCTATCAAAGCTATTCAGGCACAGCTGGGTGCTGTAAGCCATCTGCACTGAATAAGCCTTCCAACTAAGATATTTCTAGCCATTGGGAAATCACAGGTCTTTCTAAATACAGGGGTCTGGTTCCAGTGGGCTGCTGACTGCTTACCCCACAGTTTTCTTTCAGACTCTTCCTGAGGTTTATAAAACGCAGCTACTTTTCATTAAAACCTGCTTCTAGGCTGTGTGTGGTGGCTCACACCTGTAATCCCAACACTTTGGGAGGCCGACGAGGGCAGATCACCTGAGGTCAGGAGTTCGAGACCAGCCTAGCCAACATGGTGAAACCCCGTCTCTACAAAAATACAAAAATTAGCCGTGCCTAGTGGCTCAGACCTGTAATCCCAGCTACTTGGGAGGCTGAGGCAGGAGAATTGCTTGAACCCGGGAGGCAGAGGTTGCAGTGAGCCAAGATTGTGCCATTGCACTCCAGCCTGGGTGACTGAGTGAGAGTCTGTCAAAAACAAAAACAGAACAAAAAAAAACCCTGTTTCTATTACCTAATATCGAATACATTCTTCATTTCCCCCTAATGCCTCAAATGCTTCACATATTGGGGAGAAAGGACCCATGGCAACTGATAAAATAGTCCAGAACCTGAGATGTCTATTTCAAGAAGCATAGAACTAGAAAGAAAGTAGAGAGCAGTCTAGATAAACTTTGAAAGCAATCTGAGACAGCGAAGACTTCTGGACATGGAAAAAGCATTTATTGGATACAGGCCCACAAAGTACTAGATGCTATTGCCTTTGGTTAGAAGTAACCATCATTCTCAACAAACTAACATGAACAGAAAACCAAACACCACATGTTCTCACTCATAAGTGGGAGTCGAACAATTAGAACACATGAACACAGGAAGGGGAATATCACACACCAGGGCCTGTCAGTGTGTGGGGGGTTAGGGAAAGGACAGCATTAGGAGAAATACCTAATGTAGATGATGGGTTGATGGGTGCAGCAAACCACCATGGCACGTGTATACCTATGTAACAAACCTGCATGTTCTGCACATGTACTGCAGAACTTAAAGTATAATAATAATAAATAAAAAGTAGGCACCTAGAAATCAGCTAATCAACTAATCATACTCATTTATTCAATCTGCCACTAGGTTCAGTGCAGAAGCTAAACTGATTTATCCATTCCATTCTACTATGTAGGCTCTGGAGTAGAGCTGCCTGGACTTGAATTCCAGCTCTCCTTGCTACTTATGAGACATTTCACTTTGAACTCTTTATGTAATCACTCAGCCTATTTCTCACCTATAAATTAAGGATAATAAAATGACCTACTTCATAGATTATTATAGAGGTTAACTGAGATTTAAAATGTATGTTATGCACCAGTATATGGTAATTATACAATAACTGTTAGCTTAGCTATTAGATGACCAAAAAACCTCTATCTTATGTCTTAGGTGATCAACGTGCAAATGGTCTTAATCTTCAATATGCACAGTAATTTAAAGCAGTTTTTTTCATACTGTTTTTGAAGCCCAAATAGGTCTAGAAATAACAAAATGAATTCTGCATGCTTGCATTACCCTTTACTGCATCTAGTCACTATATAAAGATCAACAGAACTTCAGTTGCCTGAATGAGCTACTCCTTTCTAACAATATAAAGAAAGGAAAACAAAGCAACTAGAGGCCACATTGTGCATTTAATTTTTTTACCAGAGTAGACAGAACACTAACTTTATGGTGATTAATAAATGCCTTGACTAACTCTGAGAAAAATATAGGGACAATTAACGTAAGTCCTGGGGAGTACAACCCTTGTTCTCATATACTTCATTACTACTATTGTCTCTATAGTACTAGGCATTAGTAGCCAAAGCAAAGATTTTTTTATCATTGCACTGGATGTACAGTTCCATTCAGTCTGTCTTTTTATTACAGGTAAAGATGGAATAATTACCATCCATTGATATGACCATAGACCAGAACAAACTAAAAAGAAGAAGAAAGATAAAAGATTGTACAATTGCTCTCTGGTGTCAACAATAATCATTGGAGAACATACTATTTTGGGGCCTGGTATTTAATAGCTACATGGACAAGAATGAAATAAAGTCTACTTATTTCTATTTCACATTGTTGGGTCATATAATAGCATGACCTAGGGTTAATAGGGACCTTAGATTAATCTATGGCTCCATGATAATTCACCTAAATCAATCTACTGACTCACAAAAAACAAAGCACCAAGAATATATATTTACAAACCTCTTGTAAAGAGCAAAAACTGCCTTGTTGTTTAGAAAAAGTTATGGACCATTGATATATTTAAGAATGACAGTAAAATAAAATAAAAGCAAGGCCCACAATAATCTGGAAAAGCAAAGATGAAAAGAGAGAAAAGGACACCACTGTGTAACAAGACAGAAACATGGACTCATCATAATTCCACTTAGGATAAGACCTTATGTGTTCAGAAGAAATGCCTTGCTGAGCCATTGGATACTGAGGGTAAGAATCCAGGATAATCTCAACTAACCAAAAACAATTTATTAATTTGCAAAGGGAAGTGAGTGAAACCCCAGGATATGAGAGAGGCAGACAGTCTCCCACTGTGATTCACCTTTCCACTATGGATTTATACAACCCAAGCCATAGGAGAGCACCTAGCTTCTCCAAAGCCTTAGAGCTACCTTAGGGAGAGGCAGAAATATAGTGAGAGTGAAACATACTGGGAAAAGATACAGGCATTTTATACATATATATATATATATATGTATACATATATATGTATACATATATATATATGTATACCTATATATGTATACATACATATATTATATATATATATATATATATACACTTTAAGTTCTAGAGTACATGTGAACAACATGCAGGTTTGTTACATATGATACAGGCATTTTCACAGGCCAGGGATGAAGAAGAGAATGACACTTTCCATCCAGGGTCATAAAAAGTAAGTCATTGTTTTGGGAACCTGGGAGTGGTGGCCACCTTAGGCATTTTAGTCTTGGGCCAGAGTTGGAGAAATTGCTCTAGAAAAGAGACCCTCTCAGCCAGAATTGAGTGGAGAGTATAGAACATGCTGGGATTGGGCTGGCAGTGGGTCCTCTCTCGTCACAGGGCTGGAGTGGGAAGAGAGCTGCTGGAGCCATGGTTTCTCTCGGGTGGTGAGATTTGCAGCCAGGTCTAGCTTGGCAACCTGGGACCAGTTTACATGTGGCATTGTTGAATGGCCCCAGCTGCTACTTTGGTAAGTCAGGGGAGTGAGCTGAACTGGCTCTGAGGAGCAATAGGGTGGCAGATATCACTCTTGCTCACCTAGATTGGGACTCTGGGCCACACCTTCCTTCCCTTGCAAAGAACTTGTTTCAGTGGTGCTTCCTTTGTTCCGTGCCTACACATATTTCCAGTCATTTAACACATTTGCTCACCTGGATTAGAAGCCTGAGCTACCCCTTCCTTTTCACATAGATAAGTTGGTGCAGTGATGCACTCTCCACTCATATCCAGAAATATTTTTAGGGATTTGGAGCACCCATGGGTCTAGATTAGGAGGATAGGCTGCCCCTCCCTTCCTGTGCAGAGAATTGTGGAAGTAGAAGTTTCTCCACTCCATGCTCAGACACATCACTGAGTACTTGGTGCCTTACCACTAAAACTTCCACTGGAGCTGATGCTTGCACTTTCCATTAGGGAACCTGTGGGCAGGCCTATTCTACCTGGCCCTCCCAGCTTGTTCCCCACATCCTGAGATGAGCAGAGAGCTGAGAGTAGATTCTGAACATCACCCCATTGCTTGAGGCAACAGAGAGCTGCTCCTGGTAAATAAACATCAAGTGTATACCCATCTGAGTCTGCTGAAGCAGACTTATCTGTAAACATCACCTACTTGCCTGAGGATTGATCTGCAAAAGCCCATAGAAAATGTGCTGACACAAGTGAACAGCACTGGGGAAATGATATAAGCTTCCTGAGACTTCAAATGTTTACCCCTCCTCACAAGAGCCAGTAAGCCTGCTTACATTTCCAGTGCATCACTATTACAACTAGCATTTGAGAAAGATAAAATACAGAGGGTACATATAACCAAGGAATTTATAAAAAATATTTTCCACTGAAAACACCTAGAACTAGAGCCAAAGGACCCTGTACAACATACACTTTTCCCTCCCCAAGGAGGGAAAGGAAATTCCATCTAAACAACTGTCACTTAAAAAAGAAGAAGAAAAGATAGCATACCCAGATGAGAAGAAATCACAGAAACAATTCTGGAAAAACAGAGTATTACAACACACCCAAAGGATCATACTAACTCTCTAGAAATGGATTCTAATCAAAATGAAATCTTTGAAATATCAGAAAAAAAATTCAAAATATTAATTTTAAAGAAGTTCAATGATATCCAAGAGAAACTTGAAAATATAATATGTCAGAAAAACTATTAGAAAATTAACAAACAGATGGCTATTATTTGAAAACAGCAAAACTAAACAACTTCTGGAAATAAAAAAATTATTTAATTACAAAATACAACTGAGAACTTTCACAATATGCTGGACTAAGCAGAAGAAAGAATTTGAGAACTGAAAGACAGATCCTTCAAATTATCTGAGTCAGAAAAAAAGAAAAAAGAATTTTTAGAAATAAACAAAGCCTTTGAGAAATGTGGTATTACATAAAGCATCCAAACGTACAAGTTGTACGTATTCCAGAGAGAGAAAAAGAAAAAGGAAAAAGTGTGGAAAACCTATTTGAGAGAATAATTCAGAAAAACCTCCCTAGTCTTGCTAGAGATTTAGACATTTAAATACAAGAAGCTCAGAGAACTCCTGAAAGACACATTGCAAGAAACCTCACCATGGCGTATAATTATCAGACAATTCAAAGTCAACATGAAGGAAAAATTCTAAAAGCAGAGAGAGAAGCACCTAATAATCTGAAAAGGAAATGTTATCAGACTAACAGCAGACTTCTCAGAAAAAAACTTATAAGCTGGAAGAGATTGAGGTCCTGTTTTTAGTTTTCTTAAATTAAAAAAAAAAAAATGCCAGCCAAGAATGTTGTATCCTGCTAAACTAAGCTTCATAAATGAATAGAAAATTATGTCTTTCACAGACAAGGAAACAAAAAGGGAATATGTCACCACTAGACTAGTTCTACAAAAACTGCTCAACAGAGATCTAAACATGAAATCAAAAGGGCGATATTCATCATCATAAAAATACGTGAAAGTATAAAACTTGCAAATCTTATAAAGCAATTACATAATCAAGAATGTAAAGCAGCTAGTAATAATTAGCATTATGACAGGAAAAAAACCAGCATATCAATACAAACCTTGAACATAAATGAACTAACTGCCCCACTTAAAAGATACAGACTGAAGGAATGGATTAAAAAAACAAAATCCAATCATGTGATTTATACAAGAAACCAGCCCAAGTGGTAAAAACATATAGAGTCTCAATGTTAAAAGGTGGAAAAGGATTTTTCCATTCAAATGAAAACCAAAATCAAGTGGGAATAGTTATACTTACATCAGATGAAACAGACTTTAAGTCAACCATGTTAAATAAAATTCGAAACATATATGTACCCAATACTGGAGCACCCAGCTTCATAAAATAAATATGATTAGACCTAAGAAAAAAGTTAGACAACAAAACAATACACCACACTGACAGAGCAGGAAATCAACAAAAAAATTCTGGATTTAAATTGAACTCTAAACCAAATGGCCCCAAAAGACATTAACAGAACATTTATTCAACAATGGCAGAGCATACATTCTCTTCTCTTGTACACATAGGACATTCTCAAAAAGAGACCATATGCTAGGCCACAAAGCAAGTCTCAATAAATTTTAAAAAATCAAAATCATATCAAGTATCTTCTCAGACTACAGTGGATTATAACTAGACATCAATACCTAGAGGAACCCTAAAACCTATACAAATAAAGGGAAATTAAACAACCTGCTCCTGAATGACCACTGGGTCAATAATGAAATTAAAGCTTCAATTTAAAAAATTTTGGAAACAAATGAAAATAAGACACTAAATACCAAAACTTCTGGGATACAACAAAAGCAATGCTAAAGGGAAGTTTACAGCATTAAAAGTGTACATCAAAAATATACAAAGATTACAAATTAACAACCTTATGTTGCTCCTCAAGGAACAAGAAAAACAACAAACCACACCCAAGGGCAGCAGAAGAAAAGAAATAGCAAGGATCAGAGCAGAAATAAAAGAAATTGAGACCAAAGAAACAATAAAAGGATCAATGAAGTAAAAAGTTGGTTTCTGAAAAGATAAACAAAATTGATAGACCACCAGCTAGAAAAAAGATTCAAATAAGCATGATCAGAAATAATAAGGGTGACATTATAACTGATATCACAGAAACACAAAAGATCACCAGCAAGTCCTATGAGCACCTCTATGCACATAAACTAGAAAACCTAGAGAAAATAAATTCCTGTAAATATACACCTCCCAAGACTGAACAAGAAAGAAATAAAAATCTTGAACAGATCAATGGTGACTAGTAAGATTGAATCAGTAATAAAAAAAGTCTATCCCCAACAAAAGTTCAAATCCAGACTGATTGACAGCGAAATTCTACCAGATGTACAAGGAAGGACTGATACCAATCCTATTGAGACTGTTCCAAAAATAAAGGAATCTAATTCTTCCTAACTCATTCTATGAAGCCAGCATCACCCTGATACCAAAGACTAGCAAGGAAACAATAAAAAAAGAATATTACAGGCCAATATCCCTGAGGAATATAAATGCAAGAATTCTCAACAAAATACTAGCCAAAAAAAAAAAAAAAAAAATCAGCAGCATATCAAAAAGATAATATACCACAATCAAGTGGATTTTTTCCAAGGAATGCAGGGATGGTTCACCATATGCAAATTCATAAATGTAACACACCTCATAATTTTAAAAAATGATATGATCATTTCAATAGATGCAGAAGTCTTTTGATAAAGTTCATTATTCCTTTATGATTAAAACATGCAACAAACTAGACATAGAAGGAACATTTCTAAAAATAATAATAGCCATATTGACAGACTCATAGCCAATATCATACTAAACAGGGAAAAATAGAAACCATCCCCCTAGGAACTGAAACAAAACAAGGATGCTCACTCTCACACCACTTCTGTTCAACACAGTATTAAAAGTGCTAGCTAAAGCAATCAGGCAATGGAAATAAATAAAAGGCATTCAAATTGGAAAAGAGAAAGTTAATTTTTCTCTATTCATAGATGATATAATCATATACCTAGAAAAGTCTAGTGATTCTTCCAAAAGACTCCTAGATTTAATAAATAATTTTGGTGAAATTTCAAGAAACAATATCAACATGAGAAAATCAGAAGTAGTATTTTCATACAGCAATAACAATCAAAGTGATAACTAAATCAGAAACTCAATCTCTCTTCTAATGGCTACAAAAAAGTCCAGAAATACATGTAACCAAGGTGGTGAAAGATCTCCACAAGAAGTACTACAAAATACTGATGAAAGAAATCACAGATGTCACAAACACATGGAAAAAAGAGTCCCATGCAATAGATCAAAAGAACCAATATTTTTAAAATAAGTGTACTACACAAACCAATCTATAAATTCAGTGCAATTATCAAAGTACCAATGTGTTTTTTCACAGAATTAGAAGAAAACAGTGCTAGAATTTTTATAAAACCAAGTATGTATATGAATAACCAAAGTAATTCTAAGCAAAAAGAACAAAACTGGAGCCATCACTTATCTGAATTCAAATTATGCTACATGGCTGTAATAACCAAAGCAGCATGGCACTGGTGTAAAAATGTACATAAAAACCAATAAGACAGAATAAATGACCCAGAAATAAAGCCATGTATTTACAACCAATTTATCTGTGACAAAGTTGACAAAAATATAAACTGGGAAAACGACAGCCTATTCAATAAATAGTGCTGGGAAAATTGGATTGTCATATGCAGAAGAATGAAACTAGACCTCTATCTCTCACTATATGCAAAAGCTAATGCAAGATGAATTAAGAATTCAAATGTAAGACCTCAAACTATAAAATCCTAGAAGAAAACCTTGAAAAAATGTTTCTGGACTTTGGCCAAGACAAAAAAAATAAAATCATGTTTAACCCTTCAAAAGGAAATGAAACAAAAACAAAAATTCACAAATGGGATGTAGTTAAACTAAAAAGCTTCTGAACAGTGAAAGAAATAATCAACAGAGTAAAGACAACCTACGGAATGGGAAAGATATCCGCAAACAATGCATCTGACAAAAAAACCAATATGTAGAATCTACAAGGAACTCAATAAGAAAAAATCAAATAACCTCATCAAAAAGTGGGTAAAGTACATGAACAAACATTTTTCAAAAGAAGACAAAAGCAGCCAAAAAACATATGAAAAGAATGCTCAACACCATGAATTATCATAGAAATGCAAAATAAAACCACAGTGAGATACTATCTTATACCAATCATAATTACTATTATTAAAATGTCTAAAAATAACATGTTGGTGAGGATGTGGAAAAAAGGGAACACGTATACACTGTTGGTGGGAATGTAATTTAGTACAACTTCTATGAAAAACTGTGTAAAGATATCTCAAGGAACTAAACATAAAACCACTATTTAATCCAGCAATCCTGCTACTGTTTTCCTACCCAAAGGAAAATAAATTATTATATAAAAAATACACCTGCACTCATATGTTTATCAGAACACTATTCACATTAGCAAAGTCATGGAATCAACCTAAGTGTTCATCAACAGATGACTGAATTAAAAATGTGATACACACACACACACACACACACACACACCATGGAAAACTACTCCACCATAAAAAAAGAAATAAATCAATACTCTTGCAGCAACATGGATGGAACTAGAGGCTATTCTAACTGAAATGACTCAGGAATGGAAAGTCAAAAGCCACATGTTCTCACTTATAAGTGGAAGCTAAATAACTGCTACCCATGGACATACAGAGTGTAATAACAGGCATTAGAGACTATAATAGGTGAAAATGTGGAAAAGGGTGTAGAACAAAATATTACATATTGGGTACAATGTACACTACTCAAGTGATCGATACACTAAAAGTCCAGACCTTGCCATTATGTAATATATCCATGGTACACAACTTCACGTGAACCCATATATTTTTAAGAAAAGAAATAACTATATCTCACAATATAGTGTGTTATAGCAGTGTCTAGTACTATAATTTGTATAGCTTAAATGCATGTTTAAAAAACTTAAAATGGAGATAACTTGAAGAAAATGGTGGATAGGAGACAGTACTAATGGGTAGTTCCCACTTGGATGGACAGACAGTGTGAGGAGGCTCACTTTGTGAACTTTTGCTCCAAGAACCACCACAGGAACATACCAGAAAAAAAAAAAAAAAAAAAATTCACAGACCTTTGAAAGAAGTAGCCTGCTGCTGCAAACTCCACAAGAAAGCTGAGAAACTGTGATTCCCAGAGTGTGAATGGAAGTTCAATCTTGATTTGGTTCTCTGCTTATCTAAGTTGGTGTAAAGTAATGCTTGTGATTTTTGCACATTGGTTTTGTATCCTGAGACTTTGCTGAAATTGCTTATCAGCTTAAGGAGTTTTTGGGCTGAGATGATGGTGTTTTCTAAATACAAAATCATGTCATCTGTAAAAAGAAACAATTTGATTTCCTCTCTTCCTATTTGAATACACTTTACTTCTTTCTCTTGCCTGATTGCCCTGGCCAGAACTTCCAATACTATGTTGAATAGGAGTGGTGAGAGAGGGCATCCTTGTCTTGTGCCTGTTTTCAAAGGGAATGCTTCCAGCTTTTGCCCATTCAGTATGATATTAGCTACAGGTTTGTCATAAATAGCTCTTATTATTTTGAGATATGGTCCATCAACTCCTAGTTTATTGAGAGCTTTTAACATGAAGGGATGTTAAATTATATTAAAGGCCTTTTCTGCATCTGTTGTGATGACCCAGTGGTTTTTGTCTTGGGTGCCGTTTATGCGATGGATTGCGTTTATTGATTTGCATATGTTGAACCAGCCTTGCATCCCAGGGATGCAGCCAACTTGATCGTGGTGGATAAGTTTTTTGATGTGCTGCTGGATTTTGTTTGCCAGTATTTTGCTGAAGATTTTCCCATCAAATGTTCATCAGAGATATTGGCCTGGAGTTTTCTTTTATGGTTGTGTCTTTGCCCAGTTTGGGTATCAAGATGATGCTGGCTTCATAAAATGAGTTAGGGAGGATTCCCTCCTTCTCAATTGTTTGGAATAGTTTCAGAAGGAATCGTACCAGCTGCTCTTTGTACTTCTGGTAGAATTCAGCAGTGAATCTGTCTGGTCCTGGGCTTTTATCTTATTTTTTGGTTGGTAGGCTACTAATTGCTGCCTCAACTTCAGAACTTGTTATTGGTCTATTCAGGGATTCAAATTCCTCCTTTAGTCTTGGGAGGCTGTATGTGTCCAGGAATCTATCCATTTCTTCTAGATTTTCTAGGTTATTTGTGTAGAGGTGTTTATAGTATTCTCTGATGGTAGTTTGCATTTCTGTGGAGTCTGTGGAGTCCGTGGTCATATCCCCTTTATCATTTTTAATTGTGTCTACTTGATTCTTTTTTCTTTTCTTCTTTATGACTCTAGCTAGTTGTCTATTTTCTTATTTTTTTCAAAAAAAAAACAGCTCCTGGATTCATTGATTTTTTAGAGGATTTTTCATGTCTCCATCTCCTCCTATTTTACTCTGATCTTAGTTATTTCTTGTCTTCTGCTAGCTTTTGAATTAGTTTGTTCTTGCCTCTCTAGCTCTTTTAATTGTTACGTTAGGGGGTCAATTTGAGATCTTTCTAGCTTTCTGATGTGGGCATTTGGTGCTATAAATTTCTGTCTTAACACTACTTTAGCTGTGTCCCAGAGATTTTGGTATGTTTTCTCTTTGTTCTCATTGGTTTCAAAGAACTTATTTATTTCTGCCTTAATTTCATTATTTAGCCAGGAGTCATTCAGGAGCAGCTGTTCAATGTCCATGTAATTGTGTGGTTTTGAGTGAGTTTCTTAGTCCTGAGTTCTAATTTAATTCCACTGTGGTCTGAGAGACTGATTGTTATGATTTCAGTCCTTTTTCATTGGTGAGGAGTGTTTTACTTTCAATTATGTGGTTGATTTTAGATTAAGTGCCATATGGCACTGAGAAGAATGTATACTCTGTTGATTTGGGGTGGAGAGTTCTGTAGATGTCTCTTACGTCCACTTGAACCAGAGCTAAGTTCAAGTCCTGAATATCCTTGTAATTTTCTGTCTCATTGATCTAATAGTGACAGTGGGGTGTTAAAGTCTCCCACTATTATTGTACGGGAGTCTAGGTCTCTTTGTAGGTCTCTAAGAATTTGTTTTATGAATCTGGGTGCTACTGTATTGGGTAGATATATATGTAGAATATTGAGCTTTTTTATTGAATTATTCCCTTTACTATTATGTAATGCCCTTGTCTTTTTTGATCTTCATTAAAGTCTGTTTTTTCAGAGACTAGGAGCTTGGTAAATTTCCTCCATCCCTTTACTTTTAGCCTATGTGTGTCTTTGCACATGAGATGGGTCTCCTGAATACAAGACACTGAAGGGTCTTAACTCTTTATCCAATTGCTAGTCTGTCTTTTTTAAATGGGGCATTTAGCCCATTTACATTTAAGGTTGTATTGCTATGTGTAAATTTGATCCTGTCATCATGATGCTATCTGGTTATTTTGTACACTAGTTGATGCAGTTTCTTCATAGCTTCATTGGTCTTTATCTTTTGTTGTGTTTTTGTGTGGCTGGTACCAGTTTTTCCTTTCCATATTTAGTGCTTCTTTCAGGAGCTCCTGTAAGGCAGGCATGGTGGTGACAAAATCCCTCAGCATTTGCTTGTCTGGAAAGGATTTTATTCCTCCTTGGCTTATGAAGCTTAGTTGGTTGAATATGAAATTCTGGTTTGAAAATTATTTTCTTTAAGAATGTTGAATATTGGCCCCTGGTCTCTTCTGTCTTGCAGGGTTTCTGCTGAGAGATCCGCTGTTAGTCTGATGGGTTTCCCTTTGAGGGTGACCTGGCCTTTCTCTCTGGCTGTCCTTAACATTTTTTCCTTCACTTCAACCTTGGAGAATCTGATGATTATGTGCCTTGGGGTTAATCTTTTTGTAGAGTATTATAGTCGTGTTCTCTGTATTTCCTGAATTTGCATGTTGGCTTGTCTTGCTAGGTGGAGGAAGTTCTCCTGGATAATATACTGAAGTGTGTTTTCCAGCTTGTTTCCATTCTCCCCATCTCCTTCAGGTACACCAATCAATTGGAGGTTCAGTCTTTTTACAAAGTCCCTTGTTTCTTGGAGGCTTTGTTCATTCCTTTTCATCCTTTTTTCTAATCTTGCCTGCATGCCTGATTTCAGCAGGGTGGTCTTCAAACTCTGATATCCTTTCTTCTGCTTAGTCGATTTGGCTATTAATACATGTGTATGCTTCATGAAGTTCTCATGCTGTGTTTTTCAGCTCCATCAAGTCATTTATCTTCTTCTCTAAACTGGTTATTCTAGTTAGCAATTCCTCTAATGTGTTTTCAAAGTTCTTAGCTTCTTTGCATTGGATTAGAACATGCTCCTTTAGCTCGGTGTAGTTTTTTATTACCCATCTTCTGAAGCCCACTTCTGTCAATTTGTCCACCTAATCCCATGTCCAGTTTTGTGCCTTTGCTGGAGAGGCATTGCAATAATTTGGAGGAGAAGAGGCACTCTGGCCTTTTGGGTTTTCAGCATTTTTTTCATTGATTCTTTCTCATCTTTGTGAGTTTGTCTAATTTCTATATTTGAGGCTGCTGACCCTTGGATGGGGTTTTTGTGGGAACATTTTTGTTGTTTTTGAGGCTGTTGTTGTTGCTTTCCACTTGTTTGCTTTTCTTTCAATGGTTAGGTCTCTCTTCTGTAGGGGTGCTGCAGTTTGCTGGGGGTTCACTTCAGGTCCTATTCATCTGGTTCACTCCCATGCCTACAGACATCACTCAGGGAGGCTGTAGAACAGCAAAGGTGGTTGCCTGCTCCTTCTTCTGGGATCTGAAAACTCAAGGGGCACCAACCTGATTCCAGTAGGATTGCTCCTGTATCAGGTGTCTGACAACCCTTGTTGGAGGGTCTCACCCAGCTGGCTGGCATGGGGAACAGGACCCATTTAATGAAGCACTTTTTCCCTTGTTGGATGGGGTGTGCTTTGCTGGGGGGAAACCCACTCATCTGGACTGCCCAGATTCCTCAGTACTACCAGGATGAAAGGCTAAGTTTGCTGGTTCACAGAGACTCTGACCAACCCTCGCCCAGGGGCTTAGGCCCAGGGAAATCCAGATTCTGTCCCTGAGCCTCTGGCTGGAGTTGAAGTTCTGCCTCCCTTGGCTGGGGGTTGGGAGCTCTCATGCCCTGTGTGGCCCTCAGGTGGGCCACCACACCACACTGCTCTTCCTTCCTCTCCACGGATTATGCCAGCCACCTAGTTAGTTCTGATGAAAGAACCTGGATACCTTGGTTGCCAGTGAAGTATTCACATGCTAATTATGGTTCTTTTTGATGGGAGCCTCCAATTGCCACTGTTTCTAGTCAGCCATCTTGGCCATGTCCCCCAAAGACAAGGCTTTCAAATGAACTCAATTCAACTAAGAAAAAGAAAAAATAAATAAAGGCCTACAAAAAGTTTGAGATATATTAAATAATGAAACTTAAGAATATTTGGTGTTCCCAGAGAAGATGAGAAATCTAAATATTTGGAAAACTTATTTGAGAGAATAATCAAGTAAAACTTATCTGATTTTGCTACAGATCTAGACATCCAAATAGAAAAGGCTTAAAGAATACCTGGGAATTCATTTCAAAAAGATCATCACCTAGACACCTAGTCATCAGGTTATCTAAAGTCAAGATGAAGGAAAGAATCTTAAGAGCTGTAAGGAAAAAACATCAGGTAACCTATATATATATAAAAAAACCTATCAGATTAACAGCAGATTTCTCAGCAGAAACCCTACAAGCTAGAAGGGAGTGGGGTCCTATATTTAGCCTTCTTAAACAATTATCAGCCAAAAATCTCGTATCCCATGAAACTGAGCTTTATAGATGAAGGAAAGATACAGTCTTTTTCAAACAAACAAATCCTGAGATTATTTACTACAACCAAGCTGGCACTATAAGAACTGCTAAAAGGAGTTCTAAATCTTAAAACAAAGCCTTGAAGTACAATAAAATAGAACCTCCAAAAAGCATAAATCCCACAGGGGTTATAAAATAGTAACACAATGAAAAAAAAAGAAAGGTATTCAGGCAACAACTAGAATGTTGAACAGAATAGTACCTCACATCTCAATATTAATATTTAATGTAAATGGCATAAATGCACTACTTAAAAGGTACAGAATGGAAGAATGAATAAAAGTTCACCAACCAAGTATCTGCTGTTTTTAAGAAACTCACCTAACACATAAGCACTCACATAAGCTTAAAATAAAGGGGTGAAAAAAGATATTTCATATAAATAGACACCAAAATTGAGCCAGAGTAGCTATTCTTGTCTCAGAAGAAACAGACTTTAAAGTAACAGCAGTTAAAAAAAAAACAAAGTACAACATTAAATAATTATAAAAGGCCTTGTCCAACAGGAAAATATCACAAACCTAAATATATATACACCCAACACTGGAGATCCCAAATTTATAAAACAATTACTATTAGACCTAAGAAATGAGATAGAAGGCAACACAATAATAGTGAGAGACTTCAATACTCCACTGACAGCACTAGAGAGGTTTTCAGGACAGAAACTCAACAAAGAAACAATGGACTTAAACTATACCAGAGAACAAATGGACTTAACAGATATTTACAGAACATTCTACCCAACAACTGCAGAATATGCATTCTATTCATCAGCACGGGGAACATTCTCCAAGACAGATCATATGACAGGCCACAAAACAAGTCTCAACAAATTTAAGAAATTCAAAATATATCAAGTACTCTGTCAGACCAGAGTGGAATAAAATTGGAAATCAACTCCAAAAGGGAACCCTTAAAACCATGCAAATGCATTAAAAATTAAGTAACCTGCTCCAGAATAATCATTGGGTCGAAAATGAAATCAAGATTTCCTTGAACTGAATAATAATAGTGAGACAGCCTATCAAAGCCTCTGGGATATGTCAAAAGCAGTGCTAAAAGGAAAGTTTATAGCATTAAATGATTAGATCAAAAAGTCTAAAAAAGCATTAACAAACAATCTAATGTCACACCTGAAGGAACTAAAGAAACAAGAACAAACCAACCCCAAACTCAGCAGAAGAAAAGAAGTAATAAAGATCAGAGCAGAACTAAATGAAATCGAAACAAAAAAAAATACAAAAGATAAATGAAACAAAAAGCTAGTTATTTGAAAAGATCAACAAAATTGATAGACCATTAGCAAGATGATCCAAGAAAATAAGATAGAGGATCCAAATAAGATCAATCAGAAATGAAATGGGAGATACTACAACCAATATCACAGAAATACAAAAGATCCTTCAAGGCTACTATGAAAACCTGTATGCACACAAATTAGAAAACCTAGAAAAGATGGACAAATTCCTGAAAATATACAACCCTCCTATATTAAACAGGAAGAAATAGGAACTCTGAATAGACCAATAACTAGCAGGAAGATTAAAATCGTAATAAAAGAATTGCCAACAAAAAAAGTCCAAGACCAGATGAATTCACAGCTGAATTCTATCAAGCATTCAAAGAAGTGGTACTAATCCTATTAACACTATTCCAAAAGATAGAGAAAGACAGGGAATTCTCCCTAAATCATTTATGAAGCCAGTATTATTCTTATACCAAAACCAGGAAATGGCATAACAACAACAACAACAACAACAAAAACCTGCAGACCAATATCTTTGATGAACATAGATGCAAATATCCTCAACAAAATACTAGGTAACTGAATCCATTAGCATATCAAAATGATAATCCACCATGATCAAGTGGGTTTTATACCAGGAATGCAGGGATGGTTTAACATATGCAAGTCAACAAATATGATACATCACATAAGCAGAATTAAAAACTAAGAGAAATGCAAATCAAAACCACAATGAGATACCATCTCACACCAGTTAGAATGGCGATCATTAAAAAGTCAGGAAACAACAGTTGCTGGAGAGAATGTAGAGAAATAGGAACACTTTTACACTGAGGCAATTCCTCAGGGCAACGGCAATGCCTTTTTACACTGAGGCAATGCCTCAGGGATCTAGAACTAGAAATACCATTTGACCCAGCCATCCCATTACTGGGTATATACCCAAAGGATTATAAATCATGCTGCTATAAAGACATATGCACACATATGTTTATTGCGGCACTATTCACAATAGCAAAGACTTGGAAACAACCCAAATGTCCAACAATGATAGACTGGATTAAGAAAATGTGGCACATATACACCATGGAATACTTTGCAGCCATAAAAAAGGATTACTTCATGTCCTTTGTAGGACATGGATGAAGCTGGAAACCATCATTCTCAGCAAACTATCACAAGGACAAAAAAACAAACACCGTATGTTCTCACTCATAGGTGGGAACTGAACAATGAGAACACATGGACACAGGAAGGGGAATATCACACACCGGGGCCTGTTTTGGGGTGGGGGGAGGGGGGAGGGATAGCATTAGGAGATATACCTAACGTTAAATGACGAGTTAATGGGTGCAGCACACGAACATGGCACATGTATACATATGTAACAAACCTGCACGTTGTGCACATGTACCCTAAAACTTAAAGCATGATAAAAAAAAACAAAATTACATGATCATTTCAATAGGCACAGGAAAAACATTTGACAAAATCCAGTATCCCTTTATGATTAAAACCCTCAGCAAAATCAGCATATAAGAAACGTACTTAAGGTTATAAAAGCCCTCTATGACAAACCCACAACCAATATTACACTGAATGGGGAAAAGTTGAAGGCATTCCCCCTGAGAACTGGAAGAAAACAAGGATTTCCACTTTCACTACTTCTATTCAACAAAGTATTGGAAGTCCTAGCCAGAGCAATCAGACAAGAGAAAGAAATGAAGGGCATTTAAATTGGTAAAGAGGAAGTCAAACTGTCACTGTTTCCTAATGATCTGATTGTATACCTAAAAAACACTAAAGACTCATCCAAAAAGCTCTTAGATCTGATAAATAAATTCAGTAAAGTTTCAGGATACAAAATTAAGTTACACAAATCAGTAGCACTGCTATACACCAACAGCGACCAAGCTAAGAATCAAATCAAGAACTCCACTCATTTTCCAACAGCTGCAAAAATAAAAGAAAATACTTAGAATATAACTAACCAAAGAGGTAAAATATCTCTGCAAGGAAAACTACAAAACACTGCTGAAAGAACTTAGAGATGACAGAAATGGAAATACATCCTATGCTCGTGGATGGGTAGAGTCAATATTGTAAAAATGACCATGCTACTAAAAGAAATCTATAAATTCAATGCAATTCCCATCAAAATATCACCATAATTCTTCACAGAACTAGAAGAAACAATCCTCAAATTTATATGGAATCAAAAAAGAGCCTGCATATCCAAAGCAAGAGTGAATACAAACGATAAATCTGGAGGCATCACATTACCTGACTTCAAACTATACAACGAGGCTATAGTTGCCAAAACAACATGGTACTGGTATAAAAGCAGGCACATAGACCAAGAGAAGAGAAGAGAAGAGAAGAGAAGAGAAGAGAAGAGAAGAGAAGAGAAGAGAAAAGAGAAGAGTAAAGTAAGGCCAAATACAGCCAACTGATTTTCAACAAAGCAAACAAAAACACAAAGTCAGGAAAGGACAAACTCTTCAACAAATGGTGCTGGGATAATTGGCAAGCCACATGTAAGAGAATAAAACTGTATCCTCATCTCTTTTATCTTACACAAAAATCAACTAAAGATGGATCAAAGACTTAAATCCAGGACCAGAAACAACAAAAATTCTAGAAAACAACATTGGAAAAACTCTTCTAGACATTGGCTTAGGCAAAGAATTCATGACCAAGGACCTAAAAGCAAATGCAACAAAAGCAAAGATAAGTAAATACAACTTAATTAAACTAAAAAGCTTATTGACGGCAAAAGAAATAATCAGCAGAGTTAACAGACAACCCACAGAGGGGGAGAAAATATTCACAAACTATGCTTCCCACAAAGGACTAACATCCAGAATCTAGAATGAACTAAAAAAAATTACCAAGAAAAAATAATAATAATAATAATCCCATCAAAAAGTGGGCTAAGGACATCAATAGACAATTCTCAAAAAAAAAATATATATATATACAAGTGACCAACAGACATATGAAAAATGCTTAATATCACCAACTATCAAGGAAATGCAAATCAAAACCACAATGCAGTACCACCTTACTCCTGCAAGAATGGCCATAATCAAAAAATCAAAATTAAAAGATGTTGGCACGGATGTGGTAAAAAGAAATGGAACTGTCTATTTGATCTAGCAATTCCACTCTGGTAACTACCCAGAGGAAAAGAAGTAATTATATGAAAAGGACACTTGCACACACATGTTTATAGCAGCACAATTTGCAATTGCAAAAATGTGGAACCAGCCTAAATGTCCATCAACCAATGAGTGAATAGATAAAATGTAATATATATAAATATAATATGTATACCAATTATATATATTATATATATATATAAATATACACATACCATGAAATACTACTGAGCCATAAAAAGGAACAAAATAATGGCAATTGAAGCAACCTGGATGGAGCTGAATATCATTACTCTGAGTAACTCAAGAATAAAAAACCAAACATCACATGTTCTCACTTATAAGTCAGAGACAAGTAAGCTATGAGGATGCAATGGCATAAGAATGATATAATGGACTCTGGAGACTCCAGATGTGTGGTGGGGGGTGGGGGATAAATGATTACAAATTGGGTGCAGTGTACACCACTTGGTGATGGGCGTGCCAAAATCTCAGAAATCACCATTAAAGAACTTATCCATATAACCATACACAACCTGTTCCCCCAAAACTATTGAAATAATTTTTTAAAAATAACATTTAAAAAAATGCCATCAACTCAAAAAAAATTACAGTATAATTATGTGTTCTATAATGGTATACATAAAACAAAAATAATTAGCCAACAGTTGAAAGTAGTTGCCTCTAGAAGAACTTTGGGTAAAGTGTTTAGAGGTCTTCTGTTTTTCCTAAGTGCAGTAGAAATACCCGACTCTTTAAAAAATAAACACGTATAATCTTGATTAAAATGAAAGCTGAATTCTTAAGAGGAAAATTTATTCTATATATAGAGAGAATATCTCAATAATCAAAGAAGTATAAAACTGGAATTCAATGGCAAAATAAAAAATAGTAGTGATTCTTTCAGTCACCGAAAAATTGGAGAGGGGAAAAGGCTTTTTAAATTTAGGGATTAGGTTAAATTATTTTTATTTGTATGTTTTTCATAGACAGGGTCTCACTCCATCGCCCAGTGGTGTAATCACAGTTCACTGCAGATTCAAACTCTTGGGCTCAAGTGAACTTCCTGCCTCGGCGTCCTGAGTAGCTACTACTACAGGTGCACACCACTACACCCAACTATTTTTTTCTTTGTAGAAATGGGATCTTAGTATATTTCCCAAGCTTGTCTCAAACTCCTGGCCTCAAGTAATCCTTTCACACTGGCTGTTAGGCACAGGGATTATAGTCATGAGCGACTGTGCCTGGACTTAAATTAGCTGCTACCTTGCTGTTGGCACACATGTACACAGAACCCACCACTGCCCTATCATTAGTGCGCACAGAAATCAGAAACCTCTGCCACCCTGCAAAAGTGCTTTTGTCAGCACCCTCCAACAGAGTGTTGTTGCCAGTGGACTTGCAACACCTTGGTCCCTGCAGCACAGCAAGTGTTTAACCTTCAGGGGCCACAAAAATAGCTATGGGCTTTGTCCCAGTCCTCTAGGGTTAGATCATGAGCCCAGGAGTGCTTAGCTGAGCCTTGGATCCCTGAAATTATCCAGAAATGAAGCCAGTTGACTACACACAACTTATATCATATTCAAACCCTCAAGGGCACCAAAGAACGTAAAAGCAAAAGGCCCCACCTAAAGGACAGCAACTTCAAGATTAAAGGAACAGCAACACACACAAATAGAAAAAGAACCAGTGCAAGAATTCTGGCAACTTTAAAAGCCAGAGTATCTTCTTATTTTCACTAGCTCCCAAGCAATGATTCTTAACCAAGCTGAAATGGCTAAAATGACAGATACGGAATTCAGAATCTGGATGACAATGAAGATGATTGAGATTCAGGAGAAATTTAAAACCCAATCCAAGCAATCTAATGAATCCAATAAAATGATACAAGAGCTGAAAGATAAAGACATTTTAAGACAGAACCAGACTGATCTTCTGGAGCTGAAAAAAATCACTACAAGAACTTTATAATACAATCAGAAATATTAACAGCAGAATAGACCAAACAGAGGAAAGAATCTCAGAGCTTAAAGACCACTTTTTTGAATCAATGCATGCAGAAAAAAAAATAAAGCAAAAAGAATGTTTTAAATAAACAAAACCTCTAAGAAGTACGGAATTATGTAAAGAGATCAAGCCTATGACATATAGGCATTCCAGAAATAGAGGACGAGAGATCAGTGACTTGGAAAACATATTTGAGGATATTGTTTACAAAAATTTTCCAACCTTGCTAGAGAGGTTGACATACAAATTTAGGAAACTCAGAGAATCCCAGTGAGACACTATATAGAATGACCATCTCCAACTCACATAATTATCAGATTCTCCAAAGTCAACACAAAACAAAAAATATTAAAAAGAGCTCTTTTTCTGGCTGTAACCATGGAGGGTGTAGAAGAGTAGAAGAAGGATCCTTCTGTGCCAGAAACCCTTAAGAAAAAGCAAAGGAATTTCACAGAGCTAAAGATCCAGTGCCTGAGTAAGAAGTTTGCCCAGAAGATGCTTCAAACAGCAAGGAGGAAGCTTATCTATGAAAAAGTGAAGCACTGTCATAAGGAATATAGGAAAATGTACAGAACTGAAATTCGAATGGCAAGGATGGCAACAAAAGCTGGCAACTTCTATGTACCTGCAGAACCCAAATTGGCATTTGTCATCAGGATCAGAGGTATCAATGGTGTGAGCCCAAAGGTCCGAAAGGTGTTGCAGCTTTTTCTCCTTTATCAAATCTTCAATGGAGCTTTTGTGAAGCTGAACAAGGCTTCAATTAATATGCTGAGGATTGTAGAGCCATATATTGCATGAGGTACCCAAATCTGAAGTCAGTAAATGAACTAATCTACAAGTGTGGTTATGGCAAAATCAATAAGAAGTGAATTGCTTTGACAGATAATGCTTTGACAGCTCGATCTCTTGGTAAATATGGGATCATCTGCAGGGAGGATCTGATTCATGAGATCTATACTGTTGGAAAATGCTTCAAAGAAGCAAATAACTTTCTGTGGCCCTTCAGTATCTTCTCCACGAGGTGGGATGAAGAAAAAGACCACCCATTTTGTAGAAGGTGGAGATGCTGGCAAAAGGGAGGTCCAGATCAACAGGCTTATTAGAAGAATGAACTAAGGTGTCTATCATGATTATTTTTCTGAGCTGGTCAGCTAATAAACAGTACCTGCTCTCAGATTTAAAAAAAATTAAAAGCAACTAGAGAAAAAAGTTTAGAACACATTCAAAGGGAACCCCATTAGGCTAACAGTGGAAGTTTTAGCAGAAAGCTTATATGTGAGAAGAGATTAGGGGCCTATATTCGGCATCCTTAAAAAAAAAAAGAAATTCCATTCAAGAATTTCATATCCAGCAAAAGTAAGTTTCATAAGTAAAGGAGAATTAAAATTCTTTTCATACATGAAATGCTAAGAGAAATCACTATCACAAAACCTACAACAGGTCCTTAAAGGAGTGCTAAACATAGAAACAAAAGATCATTACCTGCCACCATGAAAACACACTGAAGTACAGAGCCCATTGATATTATACAATCAAGTGTATATAACAACCAGGTAACAACACAATGACAGGACCAAATCCTCACATATCAATATTAACCTTGAACATAAATGGGCTAAATGCTCCACATAAAAGGCACAGAGTGGCAAGTTATTGATAGATAAAGAAGGAAGACTCAATGTATGTTGTCTACAAGAGACCAATTTCACACATAATGACACCAATAGACTCAAAGAAAGGGATGGAATCTATCAAGCACACAGAAAACAAAAAAAGAGCACGGGGTACTATTCTGACTTTAGAGAAAAAAAATACACTTTAAACCAACAACAATCAAAAAGGACAAAGAAACATTACACAATAATAAAGGGTTCAATTCAACTAGAGAGTTTATCCTAAATATATATGTACCCAACACTGGAGCACACAGATTCATAAAACAAGCTCTCAGAGGCCTATAAAGAGACCTAGATAACTACACAATAATGGTGAGAGACTTCAACACCTCACTAGCAGGGTCAGACAGATCATCAAGACAGAAAACTAACAAATACATTTGAAACCTAGACATGATACTTCACTAAATGGACACAACAGACATCTGTAGAACACTTCACAAACAACAACAGAATATACGTTCTTCTCACCTGCACGTGGCACATACTCTAAGATTGATCATATGTTTGGCCATAAAGGAATTCTCAACAAATTTTAAAAACCAGAATCATACCAACCATACTCTTGGACCACAGTGGAAAAAAAAGAAAAGAAATTAATACCAAGCAATATCTTAAACAATACAAATACATGGAAATCAAATAATCTGCTCCTGAATGACTTTAGATAAGAATGAAATTAAGGAAGAAATCAAGAAATTTCTTGAAATTAACGAAAACAAAGATACAATATACCAAAATCTCTGAAACACAGCTAAAGCAGTATTAAGAGGAAAGTTTATAATAGTAAATATCTACATCAAAAATTAGAAAGTTGGCAGGATGTAGGTTTTAAGAAAAGAAGGCCGAGCACAGTGGTTCACGCCTGTAATCCTAGCACTTTGGGAGGCCGAGGCAGGTGGATCATGAGGTCAGGAGACTGAGACCACGGTGAAACCCCGTTTCTACTAAAAATACAAAAAATTAGCCGGGCGCAGTGGCGGGCACCTGTAGTCCCAGCTACTCGGGAGGCTGAGGCAGGAGAATGGCGTGAACCCGGGAGGCGGAGCTTGCAGTGAGCCGAGATCGCACCACTGCACTCCAGCCTGGGTGACAGAGTGAGACTCCGTCTCAAAAAAAAAAGAAAAGAAAAAAAAGAGAATCTCAAGTTAAAAACCTAACATCACGCCCAGAAGAACTAGAAAAACAAAAGGAAACAAATTGCAGAGCTAACAGAAAAAAAGAAATAACCAAAATCAAAGTTGAAATGAGTGAAATTGAGACACAAAAATCCATACAAAAGACAAACTAACCAAAAGTTGGTTATTTGAAAGAACCAATAGGATTGATAGACTGCTAGCTAGACTAATAAAGAAAAAATAAAAAAAGATTCAAATAAAAATAATTTAAAATGACAAAGGAGACATTACCACTGGTCCCACAGAGCTACAAAAATCCTTCAAAGACTATTATAAACACCTCTGTGCACACAAACTAGAAAACCTAGATGAAATTGATAAATTTCTAGAATCAGACAACCTCCCAGGACTGGAATAGGAAGAAAATGAATACTTGAACGACCAATAATGAGTTCCAAAATTGAATCAGTAACAAAAAGTCTACCAACCAGAAAAAACCATGGAACACAAAGATTCACAGCTAAATTCTGCCACATATGCTAGTAAGAGTTGGTTCTAATCCTACTGAAACTATTCCAAAGAATTAAGGAGAAAGGACTCCTCCCTAACTCATTCTATGAGGCAGCATCATTCTGATACAAAACCTGGTGAAGATACAGAAAAAGAAAACTTCACGCCCATATCCCTGATGAACTTAGATACATAAGTCTTGAACAGAATACTATCAAATCAAATGCAGCAGCAAATAAAAAAGCTAATCCAATATGATCAAGTAGGATTTATGTTGATGATGCAAGGTTGGTTCAATATACACAAATCAATAAATGTAACTCTACATATGATAGCTTTAGCAAAGTTTCAGTATACAAAATACATGTACAAAAATCAGTGGCATTTATATACAACAAGATGTCCAAGCTAAGAGCTAAATCAATAGCACAATCCTATTCACAATAGCCACAAAAAGAATAAAATATCTAGAAATACAGTTAACCAGGAATCACATAAGCAGAAATAAACCCAAAAAGCACATGATCATCTCAATAAATGCAGAAAAGCCTTTTGATAAAATTCAACATCTCTTCATGCTAAAAACCTTCAACAAACTAGGCATTGAAGGTACATAATTTAAATTAAAAAGAGCCTTCTATGACAAACCCACAGGCAACATCATACTGAATGTGCAAAATCTGGAAGTAACAAAAAAAGCATGGTGCTTATACAAAAACAGACTCGTAGACCAATGCGACAGGTTAGAGAACCCAAAAATAAAGCTACACACCTACAACCATCTGATCTTTGACAATATCAACAATAACAAGCAATGGGAAATAAATTTCTATTCAGTAAATGGTGCTGGGATAACTAGCTAGCCATATGCAGAAGACTAAAACTGGACCACTTCCTTTCATCATATATAAAAATCAACTTAAGACAGATTAAAGAGTTAAACATGAAACCTAAAACTATAAAACCCCTAGAAGAAAACCTAGGAAATACCATTCTGGACATAAGCCTTGCCAAATATTTCATGACAAAGACTCCAAAAGCAATTGTGACAAAAACACAAATTAACAAGTAAGACCTGAATAAAGAGCTTCTGCACAGCAAAATAAACTATCAGTAGAGAAAACAGATGATCTAAAGAATAGGAGAAAATGCACAAACTATGCATCTGACAAAGGTCTGATATTAAGAATCTACAAGAAACTTATATCAACAAGCAAAAAACAACCTATCTACTGTGGATGGTGAGAAAAAAAAGATGTTTTTTAAAAATGTTAAATATGTAAAGACCACAAACAGACACTTCTCAAAAGAAGACATACCAGCAGCCAATGATCATATGGGAAAATTATCAACATCACTGATCATTAAAGAAATGCAAATCAAAATCACAATGAGATACCATGTGACACCAGTCAGAATGGTTATTATTAAAAAGTCAAAAAAACTACAGATGCTGCCGAGGCTATGGACACAAGTGAAAGTTTATACACTGCTTCTAGGAATGTAAATTAGTTCATGCATGTGAAAAGCACTTTGGTGATTTCTCAAAGAATTTAAAACCAGTACCATTCAACCCAGCAATCCCAGTGCTGAGTATATACCCAAAGGAATATTAATTGCTCTACCACAAATACATTTGCATGTATATGTTCATCACAGCACTATTCACAATAGCAAAGACATAAAATCAACCTCAGTGCCCATCAACTATGGACTGGATATTGAAAATGTGGTACATATAAACCATGGAATACCACACAACCATAAAAAAGAATGAAATCATGTTCTTTGCAGCAACATGCATAGAGCTGGAAGCCATTATCCTAAGCAAATTAATGTAGGAATAAAAAACCAAATATTTCATGCTCTCATCTATAAGTGGAGGTTAAACATTGAGTACACATGGACACAAAGAGAAATAATAAACACCAGAGCTTACTTGAGGGTGGAGAATGGGAGGAGGATGAGGACTGAAAATCTACCTATAGTATATTATGCTCACTACCTATGTGACAAAATCATTTGTACTGTGTACCTCCGCAACACACATTTACCCATGTAACGAACCTGCATGCCCCCTGAACCCCAAATAAAAGTTGGAAGGTAAAAGAAGAGCATAAACAAATCATTCCTGGAAAAGACATAAAATAATTCCTCAAACTAAGTGCTATGGTCTACTGTGAAAGTAATTCTTTTCAGATTATCTCAGGTTCACAGAAGTGTTACTAAGCTCACGCTTTTGCACAGAGCAGTTAGATGAAATAGAAGGTATTCCTTCTCTCCAAGCATTTAACCAAATCAAATAAGTTGTATGATGTACTTCAGGAATTTAACCGTAGTCACATAACTATCTTCTTCATTTTTGCCCATTACCTTCAGTTGTTATGCAGCACTTATTGTGTTATAATGCCTTGATCAAAACTTCAATCATAATATTCCATTATACTTCTAATATTGAACTGTTAAGTGTCATGTTTGATTTTGGCATTTGTAGATATCCTTTATCAGGGTAAAAAAATGATCCTCCTTTTTTATTTCATATATATGAGAGAAGTATTTTTATTTCATATATATGTGTATATATATGAAAGAAGAGGCATTGCCTATATATATATGTATATATATATGAAAGAAGAGACATTGCCTATATATATAATATATACGAGATGAGAAAAGGAGGATAGATTACCTTTATACATGGCTTGATTCAATTTAGTAAAATTTTTAAGAATTTTTGACACATATTTATGTCTCAGTGTCTTTACCTTGATTTGGTATCAAGGTAATATTAGCTATATAAAATGATTTGGAGCATGTGGCACAGTTTTTGTTCTCTCTTTCTTCTAAGGTAATAGAAATCCCTGAACATCTGAATAATAAAGCCTCCAGACACCTGGATGCCCAAAATAAGACTATATTTTTCAGCCTCCCTTGCAAATTTGTGTGACCATGTAACTAAGCTTTGATTTATGGGATATAAGGCAACTTTAGGGTTGTGGTTTTTGAGAAAGAGGTCCCCTGAGACCCTCTGAAGGAAGCAGATTGCTCTTACAGGACTCAGTAGACAACCCAATACTGTGAGTGTGCAAACTATAGAAGTGAGAAAGGGGGATTGTCCACCCACATATACACACCCTCACTGGGGAAGCTAAAGGTTTAGATCACAGGAGAAGAGTCTGACCTTACCTGGGATTCAGTCAATTTAGAGAGCTGAACAAAATACATGGGTAGAGAAAGCAATGGAAAAAGCCCTGTGGGCTTGTTGGGTATCCTAGCAAGCCGTTTCTCCCTTGCCTCACGGGATCCTTGGGGAGGTCTGCCAGAGGCACTAGAAAAAGGCCACAGGAAGAAAAATCCTCTAGCTGAACTTTGTAACAATTGGAAGTGATCGAGATGTCTACTGGCCAGAACTTGGGGAAGGGTATGAATCTGGTGTGCAGACTTCACGGGGTGGGTGGCTGGGGGAGCAAGAAAGCCTTACTTGCTTTCACAGCTGGGAGACGGGTAGCTGGGGCAAGTTCTCAGCCCTACTCACCCACTGCCTGGAAACAGACTCAGTACTGTTGGATGGGGCATGGTGAGAGTGACACCAGACCTTTGGGTTGCATGGGAGCTGTGTGAGGTCTATGGTGGCCGGCTTTCCCCCACTTACCTGACAACCTGCATGACACAGTAGAGATGGCCATAATCCTCTTAGGAAAATAACTCCATTGACCTGGGAACCACACCGCCATCCCCCAAGGATGAGTCTAAGCTCAGACATGCCTAGCCCTGACCCCATCTAATGGTCATTCCCTACCCACCTTGGTAGTTGAGGACAAAGGGTATATAATCTTGGAAGTTCTAGGGCTCTGCCCACCACCTGTTCCTCCCCATGCTACCACAACTGATGTTCTCTTGAAAGAACCACCTCCCAACAGGAGGACAACCAGCACAAAAATATTGCATTAAACAACCAAAGCTAAGGAAACTTACAGAGTCCATTTCACCCCCCTGCCACTTCCACTGGAGCAGGAACTGATATCCACAGCTGAGAGATCCACATACGTTTCACATCATAAAATGTTGTGCAGACAACCCCCAGTACAAGCCCAGAGCCTGGGAGGCTTGCTGGGTGGCTAGATCCAGAAGAGAGATAACAATCACTACAGCTCAGCTCTCAGGAAGCTACATCCCTAGGAAAAGGGGGAGAGTACTATATCAAAGAAACACCCCTGGGACAAAAGAATATGAAAAGCAACCTTGAGCCCTATACCTTCCCTCTGATGTAGCCTACCCAGATGAGAAGGAACCAGAAAACCAACTCTGGTAATATGATAAAACAAGGTTTTTTAACACCACCCCCCCCCCCCCACCAGAATCACACTAGCTCACCACCAATGGATACAAACCAAGAAGAAATCCCTGATTTATCTAAAAAAGTATTCAGAAGGTTAGTTATTATGCTAATCAGGGAGGCACCAGATAAAGGTGAAGCTTAATTTAAGAAAGTACAAAAAAGATACAAGAAATGGGAGGATAAATTTTCAATGAAATAGATAGCATAAATAAAAAACAAAACTTGGAACAATAGGCGGACTTATAGAAATGCAAAATTCTCTGGAAAGTCTCAGCAATAGAATCAAACAAGCAGAAGAAAGAACTACAGAGCTCAAAGACAAGGTTTTTGAATTAACCCAATCTAACAAGGACAAAGAAAAAAATATATAAACAAAGACTCCAAGAAGTCTCAGATTATGTTAAATGACCAAACCTAAGAATAATTGGTGTTCCTGAGGAAGAAGAGAAATCTAAAAGTTTGGAAAATACATTTGGGGGAATAATTAAGGAAAACTTTCGTGGGTTTGCTAGAGACCTAGACATCCAAATACCTAAATACAAGAAGCACAAAGAACACCCGGGAAATTCATCACAAAAAGATCACCTGGGCACATTGTCATCAGGTTATCTAAAGTTAAGACAAAGGAAAGAATCTTAATTGCTGTGAGGCAAAAGCACCAGGTAACATATATATTAAGAAAAAAAAAAACCCTATCAGATAAACAGCAGATTTCTCAGCAGAAACCCCCTACAAGCTAGAAGGGATTCAGGCCCTATCTTCAACCTCCTCAAACAAAGCAATTATCGGCCAAGAATTTTGTATCCAGTGAAACTAAGCTTCAGAAGTGAAGGAAAGATATAGTCTTTCTCAGACAAACAAATGTTGAGAGAATTTGTGACTACCAAGCCAGCACTACAAGAACTGTTAAAAGGAACTCTAAATTTTAAAACAAATACTGGAAATGCATCAAAACAGAACCTCTTTAAAGCATAACTCACACAGGACATATATAATAAAAATACAATTTTAAAAACCCAAAGGAATACAGGCAACAAATAGCACAATAAATAGAATCATACTTCATATCTCAATACTAACATTGAATGTAAATGGTCTGAATGCTCTACTTAAAGATATAGAATTGCAGAATAAATAAGAATTCATCAACCAACTATCTGCTGTCTTCAAGGGACTCACCTAACACATAAGGACTCATAAAAACTTCAGGTAAAGGGGTGAAAAAAGGCATCTCATGCAAATGGACTCCAAAAGCAAGCAGGAGTAGCTATTCTTATATCAGACAAAAAAAAACTTTAAAACAATTGCAGTTTAAAAAGACAAAGAGGGTCATTATATAATAATAAAAGGCCTTGTCCAACAAAAAAAAATCACAATCCTAAATATATATGCACCTAACACTGGAGGTTCCAAATGTATAAAACAATTACTAACAGACCTAAGAAATGAGATAGAGAGCAACACAATAAGGGGGGGCTTCAATACTCCACTGACACCACTACACAGGTCATCAAGACAGAAAGTCAACAAAGAAACAATGAATTGAAACTATACCCTGGGAAAAAAATGGACTTAACAGATATTTAAAGAACATTCTACCCAACAACCACAGAATATACATTCTATTCATCAGTCCATGGAACTTTCTCCCAGATAGACCACATGATAGGCCACAAAACAAGCCTCAATAAATTTAAGAAAATTGAAATTATATCAAGCACTCTCTCAAACCACAGTGGAATAAAACTGGAAATCAACTCCAAAAGAAACCTTCAAAACCCTGCAAATACATGAAAATTAAATAACTTTCCCCTGAATGATCATCAGGACAAAAATGAAATTAAGGTGGAAATTAAAAAATTCTTCAAACTGAACGACAATGGTGACATAACCTACCAAAACCTCTCGGATACAGCAAAGACACTGATAAGAGGAAAGTTCATAGCCCTAAACGCTTACATCAAAAAGTCTGAAAGAGCACAGACAGACAATCTAAAGTCACACCTCAAAGAACTAGAGAAGCAAGAACAAAGCAAATCCAAACCCAGCAGAAGAAAGGAAATAATAAAGATCAGAGTAGAACTAAATAAAATTGAAAAAAAAATACAAAAGATAAATTAAACAAAAACTGGTTTTTTGAAAAGATAAATAAAATTGATAGACCATTAGCAAGATTAACGAAGAAAGAAAGAGAGAAAAATTTAAATAAACTCAATTAGAAATGAAACACCACAGAAATACAAAAGATCTTTCAAGGCTACCATGAACACCTTTATGCTCATAAGCTAGAAAACCTAGAGGAGATGGATAAATTCCTGGGAAGATACAGCCCTCCTAGCTTAAATCAGGAAGAATTAGATACCTTGAACAGACCATTAAATAGCAGTGAGATTGAAATGGCCAATAAAAAAAATTTTACCAACAAAAGAAGTCCAGGACCAGATGGATTCACAGCAGAATTCTACGAGACATTGAAAGAAGAATTGGTACCAATTATATTGACACTATTCCCCCAAGACAGAGAAAGAGGAAATCTTTGCTAAATTATTCTATGAAGCCAGTATCACCCTAATACCAAAACTAGGAAAGGATATAGCAACAATAACAAAAAACTGCAGACCAATATCCCTGATGAACATAGATGGAAAAAAACCTCAACAAAATACTAGTTAACTAAATCCAAAAACATATCAAAAAGATAATCCACCATGACCAAGTGGCTTTTATACCAGAGATGCAGGGATTGTTTAACACACACAAGTCAATAAATTTGACACACCACATAAATATAATCAAAAATGAAAATCACATTATCATCTCAGTAGATGCAGAAAAAGCATTCAACAAAATCCAGCATCCCTTTATGATTAAAACTCTTAGCAAAATCAGCATACAAGAGACATACCTCAATGTCATAAAGTCAATCTATGAACAACCCACAGCCAATATAATACTGAATGGGAAAAAGTTGAAGCATTTCCTCTGAGAACTGGAACAAGACAAGGATGCCCAATCTCACCCCTCCTTTTCAACATAGTACTGCAAGTCTTAGCCACAGCAATCAGGCAAGATAAATAAATAAAGGGCATCCAAGTTGGTAAAGAGGAAGTTAAACTGTCAATGTTTGCTGACGATATGATTGTTTACCTAGAAAACCCTAAAGAATCCTCCAGAAAGCTCCTAAAACTGATAAAAGAATTCAGCAAAGTTTCTGGATACAAAATTAATGTACACAAATTAGTACCTCTTCTATAAACTAACAGTGACCAAGCAGAGAATAAATTCAAGAACTCAACCCTTTTTACAATAGCTGAAAAAAAAAAAAGAAACCTGGGAATATACCTAGCCAAGGAGGTGAAATACCTCTACCAAAGAAAACTACAAAACACTGCTGAAAGAAATCATAGACAACACAAACAAATGGAAACACATTCCATGCTCATGAATGGGTAGAATCAATATTGTGAAAATGATCATACTGCCAAAAGCAATCTACAAATTCATGCAATTCCCATTCAAAATACCACCACCATTCTTTACAGAACTAGAAGAAACAATCCTAAAATTCATATGGAACCAAAATAGCCCACATAACCAAAGCAAGACTAAGCAAAAAGAACAAACCTAGAGGCATCACATCATCTGATTTCAAACTACACTATAAGGCCATATTCACCAAAACAACATGATATTGGTATAAAAATAGGCACAAAGACAAACGGAATAGAATAGAAAATGCAGAAATAAGCCCAAATACTTACACCAACTGATATTTGACAAAGCAAACAAAAGCATAAAGTGGGGAAAGGACACCCTATTCAACAAATGATTCTGGCATAATGGGCAAGCCACATGGCGGAGAATGAAACTGGATTGTCATCTTTCACCTTATACCAAAATCAACTCAAGATGGATCAAGAACTTAAATCTAAGACCTGAAACTATAAAAATTCCAGAAAATAACATTGTAAAATCCCTTCCTGACGTTGGCTTTGGCAAGGATTCATGACCGAGAACCCAAAAGTAAATGTAATAAAAATAAAGATGAATAGATGGAACTTAATTAAACTAAAGAGATTTTACATGACAAAAGGAACAGTCAGCAGAGTAAACAAACAACCCACGGATTGGGAGAATATCTTCACAATCTATACATCTATCGAAGGACTAATATCCAGAATCTACAACAAACTCAAACAAATTAGCAAGAAAAACAAACTTCAATAGACAATTCCCAAAAGAAGATATCCAATGACCAACAAACATGAAAAAATGCTCAACATCACTAATGAGCAGGGAAATGCAAATCAAAACCACAATGCGACACCACCTTAGTCCCTCAATAATGGCCATAATCAAAAAATCAAAGAATAACAGATTTGGCATGGATGTGGTTAACAGGGAACACTTCTACACTGCTGGTGGCAGTGTAAACTAGTACAACCACCATGGAAAACAGTGGAGATTCCTTAAACAACTAAAAGTAGAACTACCATTTGATCCAGCAATCCCACTACTGGGTATCTACCCAGAGAAAAAGAACTCATTATATGAAAAACATACTTGCACACATGTTTATAGCAGCACAATTCACAATTGTAAAAATGTGAAACCAACCAAAACACCCATCAATGACTGAATAAAGAAACTGTGGTGTGTGTGTGTGTATACATATATATGTATACACACACACACAACAAACTCAAACTCATCATACAGAAGGAATACTACTCAGCCATAAAAAGGAATGAATTAAAGGCATTTGCAGTGACCTGGATGAGATTGGAAACTATTATCCTAAGTGAAGTAACTCAGGAATGGAAAACTAAACATTGTATGTTCTCACTGATATTTGGGAGCTAAGCTATGAGGACACAAAGGCATAATAATGACACAATGGACTTTGGGGACCCAGGGGGAAAGGGTGGGAAGAGGGTGAGGGATAAAAGAATACAAATTGGGTACAGTATACACTGCTTCGGTGATGAGTGCACCAAAATCTCACAAATCACCATTGAAGAATTTACTCATGTTACCAAACACCACCAGTTCCCCAATAACCTATCAAAAAAAGAGGTCCCCTTCTTCAACCCATCCTCTCACTTATTCACTGAAATGAGAATGTGGTTGTGAGCCTTCTTGGATTATGTGTTCAAAGGTACCACTTTAGGTATGATGGGAAAACACAGCAAAAGGAACCTGAGATGCTGAACCTGTGGAGCACTACATTTCCCACAGATGACCTTAAAATCAGTCTGCTATACCTGTACTGGCCAGCTGTCTCCAGGCTATCATACGAGACAGAAAATAAAACTCTACATATTTTAAGTCATTGTTGTCTTGGTTCCTGTTAAATACAGATAAACTTATATTTTAACCAATATATAAAGTGCTTCTTCATTTTTTAGTATTCTCTGAAATTTATAAGGTTAAAATTATCTGTTCCTTCAGTTTTTATAGCAATTGCCTGTGAAATAACCCAAACATGGTGTTTTATTTGGGGAAAGATTTTAAACTACTGATTGTAGGTTACTAGTTATAGAACCATTAAGATGTTTTATTTCTTCTTGAGCCATTTTAAATAATTTTTATTTTCTAGGAATTTGTCCATTTTACCTAGGTTTTTAAATTCATTGAGATTGCTATTATGATTAAGAAATAGTAAATTTCAGAGGTCTTGTAAAGGGGCTTTTTTATAAAGAAAATACCTTTCCCCATGGCAAAGTACCAACTGCTATACTCAGCCTTATTAATATGTCGGATTTGTGAAGCAGGAAATGATGGCATTACTTTTAATCCAGTATTCTTATGGTCACTTGTATTTGAAGTAAAAACTGACCACTAAGATGGGACAGTGGTGGAATTCTATGTTGTTCTCCCCTAGTTGAGCTTGTATTTTGAGGTCAGTTCAATCTCCCATGAAGATGAACTGCTGCCTAGGTAGAAAACTGATGAGCCCAGCATCATAATAGCAGTATAGGTATGTCTGCCAGATTGTACAGGGCTCTTCCTTGAGGAGCAATGGTAGTAGGGAACTGCTCAGATCTTGTTCAGTTTTGTCATGGAAATTGAACTTACTCCCTTTGGACTCTGATTAACCTCAGAGATTAAGCTGTGTTCAACCCTAATTTTCAGTAGTTCATCTAAATTTTATATGGAACAGGAGGTATGTTTGCAACTACCAGCCTCTGCCAAAGCTATTTAGAGGCTTAACAAATATAGCACCCTGGATTAATTTTTACTTCCTCACTTTTGGTCAAATAACTAAAAAGGCTAAGTGATTCGACCACTACCACACAGGAAATTTATGGAAACTAGTCACTTTCCATGACTCTAAGTCCAGTAGATTTTTTACTTTACCACTTGGTTTCCTTTGCAAAGAGTATATATACAGTAATATACTGACAATGACTCTTGTAAAATGACTCTATAGGGTAATGCCAATAATTGATGAGTTTTTTTCCAGTTCTATAAGCATTTTCACTTAACTTGACTGAACTAATCACTTCTTAATCCCAGGCATTAAAAAAATATGAAAAACACATTAATTGGGTACAGAGCCAAAGGGGAAAAAAAGATGGTTCTCACCCCATCCTACTCTCTCCACCTCTAGTGGAAAAATGTCACAGGTGTGGGTTTGTTTCCACTTGGAACATGATATTAATATTTCTTCCTGGGCCAAGGATAAATGGCACAATTCTCCATTTTTCTCATCCTGGAAAGAATTTAAAAAGTGTGGCTGGGTATGAGAACATAGTTCCATTAGGTTGTATATAATGACCACAACAGCAGCCCCCATCTGTGTCAAGACTCCTAACTTTTAGAGTAAACCTCCTAACTTTTGTTCATCAAAACTGAACTGGTTTTCACCATGCCCTCAAACTCAAAAGATCCTAAACAAAATGATGGAGAATGCTGATAAGAGAAGAGAGGAGTCATTCTCATTGATGTGCTTTGTAAAAATAAGGCAGAGAAAAATGGGAGTTCTGTGTACTGTTGCTCTAACTGTGAAGGAAAACAACTTTAATAATTCAGAACATTTTCCTCTTGGGCCTTATGGAACAGAACAAAGTTTGATACTTGAGCTTACTTAAACTCTAAACTCCTAACATTAGCATGACCTTGTTTTTGCTTTTGAACAATTGGGAAATTATCTGTAAAGAAAAGTTCTCAAACATAAGCTGAAACCTGGTTTCTCTATTTCATCCCAACCCCAAGGAAAAACTATCACAAAAAGAACTTTACCAATTAAAAAAAAAAATCAAAAGTAACCCCAAAACTACATTACATCTATTTGTTTAGTGGATGTTTTGTGGTTTGTTGATGTTGGTTTTTTGTCTGCTTTTTCCTTTATGTACTTTGTTTACATTGTATCTCCATCCTGTTAAGTAGCTATAATTGCTTACAATTTAATTACTATAGCTCTTCAAACTAAATATTGATTTATTGTTATTGTATTTATTATATAAAACTGCATTAATATAAATATCTTTGCTTCATTTTAATTTTTTTGTTATTTCCATCGATTTTTAAGTTTTTTACAAATTTGAATTTCACTTCACTTGAAAATAAAACCACTGTAATTCAATTGTCCATTTACTCAGCTTATGTAGGAGAGCAAATTAAGATTTAGAGAAGTTCATCAAGACTTGTCTGTATTCAGTGGTACTTAGTGGTTCTTATAGGAAGACTGAACATAAAAGTCTAGAAAAAGATAACTTACAGAATGGCTCCTGAACAAGCTTGAGTAATCAGGAAATAGTTTATGTAAATATTTCCTATCTCATCAGTGTGGTTTATCTAGAATTGGACTACAAAAGAAAATAAATGGCAATGGACATATATTTCCTTGTTTTCCTATTACTTCATTGCCAACAGGATGCTTTCATTTCCTAGGTATTTTCTGCTAGTATAATTGGAGCTGATGATAAATGTGATAACAATAATAACAACTCACCTTCTTGGGACCATGAAGTGGCTCCACTGGGTGCCATTATTGTTTGACTCATTCTTCTATGAGAAATCAGTCTTAAGACCCCAGTTAAATAAATAAACTGTTTACCACAAAAGTCTATATTATGACTGTCATTATCTCTTTTATAACACCCCTCTTTTTATAATGCCTCCCTTTTATAATGCCCCTCCTCTTCTATTCATTGTGGGAAGAGCCCTACATTCAGGTTGTTTTATCAGAAAAAAAGGTGGAATCTCTCCTTGGCTTATTTCTTGCTAAGACCTAGTCAGAGACATAAGGATTATAACTGACTCAATTTCTTTATTTTATTTCAGGATTCAAACCATAATAAGTTAAAATTAATTTATTTTTACAGGTAGGTCTCAGTGAATAAACCGTAATCAATATTCTACCCTAAACACAAACTTTACTTCTCTTCCAGTGAGACATAGTTATGTCAACATTCAGTGAATTACCCTGGCAGAACTGCTTAGGCTTTTCTTTCTCTTGACCTCCAAAAAGTTTCTCACAAGAGAATTTTAAGAAATTTATTGCTCATTTTGAACACATGGACACAGGAAGGGGAACATCACACTCTGGGGACTGTTGTGGGGTGGGGGGAGGGGGGAAGGATAGCATTAGGAGATATACCTAATGCTAAATGACGAGTTTATGGGTGCAGCACACCAGCATGGCACATGTATACATATGTAACTAACCTGCACATTGTGCACATGTACCCTAAAACTTAAAGTATAATAATAATAAAATAAAAAAAAGAAATTTATCATTCATTTTATTTGGTGTAGATTAGTCTAAATAATCTAATAAACAGATACAGGGAATCACATACAAAGAACTTCTGTTTGATAGTAAAATACATCTTATAATTTTACTAGGATAACAGATTTCTATTACTACTTGTTTACTTTTTGTCCATAATTTGCATTACCACAGTACTTATCAATTGATGAGAAATAATGTGGGCTGGGTTTTTTTAATGTGGCCACTGGATTAAAAAATTAACTTTTCAGTAATCAGCAAAACCTGATAGAATCTATTTTGCTCCTAAAAGAAATCTTTAATAAAAAGAATTAAAAGAAAAGTTTAAAGAATAAATGCCCTATCATAATGGAACTTTGGAATAAATGTTCACACAGTATTTTTCTTAACTGTTCTACTCCCCAGTGAAAGTGGCAAAAATACTCTCTGTTAGATATTTTCTAATCCTTAAGTGACTTGTCATCTTTATAGAGTGAGAGGTCATTTGGCAAGTGGAAGAAAGTTAGCTTAGACAGTGATGGGTAATCTAATAGGGGTGACAATTTGGGACCACCAGGACATTATTGCAAGCATCTAGGCCTACTATTTATACTGGAATATGTCAGGTCTCCTGAGAGGAAGAATAAAGACTTTGAGACTGAGAATCAGCTATAGGATACCAAGGTTAATACACACAAAAAGAGAAGATAAATGGTGTTTCCCAATTTCTCAAGGAAGAGGGTAACTGGTAAGTTTCCATGAGTTAGGAGAAAGTCAAGTTACCTGGGCCTTATCTTGGACCACTGGTTCATAGTTGGCCAGAAAAAGTGTTATGAGTTTCCTGCTGAGTTATCCATCTGTCCACAAATTGAGTTATTCAAGGAAAAGCTTACAAAAATTGAAATATCCAAGTATATTTGAGAAGCTTAATAAATAATAACATATTCTGGTTCAAAATAAATCCTTCCTCATCTTTAAGGACAGCTCAGAATTGGTAAGAATTATATAGGTTAATATTTGAGCAAACTGGAATCAGTGATAATAGCCACGGTCATAGGAAATCTACAATCAACTCTGATCCTAGATGTGAAACATTGAGAAAGTCTTAAGAAGAAAATACACTCAGGGTTAGGAGGATAACTTGGATCTCTTAAAGGAAATAAGTGGAAGCTCAGATAAATCAGTGTTTTTTTCTATACAATGGTAAATGTGCTAAGATATAAAAGAGCAGTAGCTGAGCTGAAACACCCCACCGTACAGGACAAACAACTCTAGTACCATTCTTCCCTAGAACTGGACTAGCCTCCCAGAGTCTGACATACCAAAAGACCCCTCTCCCCAGGGAGCTGAGTCATCACTGTGCTGCTCCATTCCTCCAAGGGCCCAAACAACAGCCATGCTCAGTCATTCTGGGATTCTTGCTGCTTCTGCTGCTGCTGCTGCTGTACCTGGCCTCACAGAGTCTGCATTATTGCTAAAACCCACCATCCTGGGGTCTAGAGTCTAGGTTCTACATGGTGCCTCATCCCCAAGGACCCAAGTTGCCACTGAGCCTTAGTGGCTCAGGTTTCCAAATTATAGTTATACCCTGCACCCTGGGATTGAACCTTCAGAGTATCCCTTCCTCCCTGGAGTCAGGCCAGGGCTGTACCCTCCCCATCGGGGGTGGAATCACAGTACAACTGAACCCCCTGGACCCAAGCTGCCAGGGGGTGTCTCAGAGCCACAGATTCTGTTGCTGTGAGCAACCAACCAACCCTGCAACAGAGGGTGAACCTGCATTCCAAGGCCTAAGTGCCACAATAGGTTTGTCAGACTCTGAACCTAGCATCGTCAGCCCCACATTGTCCAAGCACCTGTATCTGCTGGAATCCTGCTGTTTGGAAACTGTAAGACATAATGAGAAAAGGGATCTCTTCAATTAAGTCTCTCCATTGTGAGGAAAGTGAGAATAGAAGGATCTCAGGAGCTTTCATGACAGAGAATATTAATAGCCTACACTGCCACCATGACTACTACAAACTTCCAGAGCCTAGGACACTGAGGACCTCCAGTTATTGATGATAATGAAAACAGCTGAAGAAACTGCATGGAGACTATATCACTGCAGCTATGCAGAAACAGAATAACCATACCCTTTCTAACTAGCACACTAAGATCCCACTGCAGGCAAAAATCTTTTTCTATGAAATCCACTCACATGTTGAAAGAGGTGATTGTTCCACCAGATACACAGACATCAATGCAGGGACACAAAAAAAAATATGAAAAAGCAAGGAAATATGACATCACCAAAAGACATTAATAACTCTAGTAACTGACATGAATGAAAGGGAAATCAACAAATTGCTGGAAAAGGAATTCAAAATAATGAAAAGGAAACTCAATTAGAAATAAAAATATAGATAGATAAATCAACAAAATAAGAAAAATAAATTAATATATGAACAGGAAATTCAACAAAAAGAAGAAATGTTGCAGCTGAAGCACTCAATAATTAAATAAAAAATACAATAGAGAGCTGCAACAGGAGACTTGATTGAGCAGAAGAAAGAATCACTAAACTTGAAGATAGGCATTTGAAATTAACCAGTTTGAAAAAAGATATAAGAATAAAAAAGAGTAAAGAAAGTTTACAAAACTTACCGGACACCATAAGCCTGCAAATTGTATCATGAAAATTCCAAAAGAAGAAATGGAAAAAGTTTGAAAAAAATATTTCGCTGAAATAATAGCTGAAAACTTACCAAGTGTAGGGAAAGATATAGACATCCAAATCTTGGGAGATTAAAAGTCCCCAAATAAATTCAACCCTAAAAGTCTTCTCCAAGGCATTTTATAGTCAAAATGTCATAAGTGAAAGACAAAGAGTGAATTCTAAAAACAACAAGATAATAGCCCCAAGTTACAATAAGGGAATTCCCATAAAATAAATACAGCTTTTGCAGCAGAAACCTCACAGGAGGGGAGAAAATGAAGTTATATTCAAAATATTGAAAGAAGAAAATTGTGATCCATGAATATTATACACAGCCAAGCTATCTTTCAGAAATGAGGGAGAAATAAAATATTTCCCAGACAACAATTATGAAAGTATGAAAAAGCAGGGTGTTACAGCACCCTCAAAAGATTGCACTAACTTTCTAACATTGGATCCTAACCAAAATAAAAATTTTGACATTCCAGAAACAGAATTCAAACTATTGATTTTAAAGAAGCTAATGGAGTTTCAAAAGAAACCTGAAAACTAACACAAAGAAATCAGAAAATCAATTTGGGATATAAACAAGAAGTTGACCAAGTAGATACATATATCTTAATTTAAAAAAAAGAAATAAAAAAATGTTTTGAAGGAACTTAAAAATACAGTTGAAATTTTCAACAACAGACCAAGCAGAAGATGGAATCTCAGAACTTGAATATAGGTCTTTTTCATTAATTTGGTTAAACAAAAATAAAGAAAAATATTTAAAAAGAATAAACATACCTGGCACATTTGTTCATGCCTGTAATTTCAGGGCGGATCACTTGAGTCCAAGAGTTTGGGAGCAGCTTAAGAAATATAATGAGACCCAATCTCTGCAAAAAAATTAAAAGTTTAAAAAATTAGCTAGGCATAGTGGAGTGGCATGTGCCTGTGGTCCCAGCTGCTTGAGAGGCTAAGGCAAGAAGATTGCTTGAGCCCAGAAGTTTGAGGCTGCAGTGAGCTATGATGGTACTACTGCACTCCAGGTTGGACAGCAAAGCAAGACCTGTCTCAAAAAAAAAAAAAAAAAATTAGTGAAGCTTTTCAGAAGTATGGGACAAATTGTTCAACTTTATGAATCATTCTTCTTGCCAGGGGACAAAAAAAGACCAAATGATTTGAAAACCTATTTAAGAAAATAATCAAGACTTCCCTAGTATTGCAAGAGATTTAAACATTCAGATACAAGAGGTGAAGTGAACACCAGAAAAATACATTGTAAGATGAATTTTGCCAAGACATGTAGTCAACAGACTATCTAAAGTCAACCTGGAGAAAAAAATATCCTGAAATCAGCAAGAGAAGAGTGTCTAGTCACCTATAAAAGAAATGCCATCAGACTAACAGCAGACTTCTCAGTCCACTGTTACATGCCATTATATATTGGGATTCTATTTTAACAGCGTTTGAAGAAAAAAAACTGTCAACCATGAATTTTATATTCTGTTGGAATAAGCTTCATAAATAAAGCTTTCCAGAAGTGCAAATGCTAAGACAATTCATCACCACTAAACCAACACTACAAGAAATGCTCAGAGTTAAAAACACAGAAACAAAAGGTCAATACTTGCCATCATTAAAACACATAAAAGTGAAAAACTCAAAAGACTTATAAGACAGTTACACAAATGAGGAAGAGAGAAATCAAATGACAACATGGCAGAACTCTACCAAACCAAAATTACAAACAGACTATAGACAAAACAATCTACAAAGCAATAAGATAACAATTAATATTATGACCAGAATAAAATTTCACGTCTCAATTAACCTTGAAAGTAAATACATTAAATTATCTGCTTAAAAAATATAGATTAGTAAAATAGATTTTAAAAACCATGAACCAACTATATATTGCTTAAAATAAACTCATCTTACTGATACAGACATTTATAGACTAAAGGTAAAGAAATGAAAAAACATATTATATGCAAACAGGAATGAAAAGCAAACAGACTTTAAACCAACAATCATAAAAGATAGAGAAGGTCTTTATATAATAATAAAAAGATAAATTTTTTAAAAATTGATTTTGAAAATTTTAATAAGACCTAATAATCCTAAATACATATGTGTCTAACATTGAAGAACCCAGATTTATAAAACAAATATCAACAGAACTTTAAAAAAAAAGAGAGAGATAGAAAGCAATACAATAATAGTGGAGGAGAAGGGGTGGCTGGCAAGATGGCCAAATAGAAACAGCTCTGGTCTGCAGTTCCCAGTGAGATCAATGCAGAAGGCGGGTGACTTCTGCATTTCTAACTGAGGTAGTGGGCTCATCTCACTGGGACTGGTTAGACAGTAGGTGCAAGCCAGGGAGGGTGAGCCGAAGCAGGGTATGGTATCGCCTCACCTAGGAAGCATAAGTGGTTGGGGAACTCCCTCCCATAGCCAAGGGAAGCCATGAGTGACTTTACCAAGGGAAACGGTGCATTCCAACTCAGATACTATGCTTTTCCCCTGGTCTTTGCAAACCACAGACCAGGAGATTCCCTCGGGTGCTTACACCACCAGGGCCCTGGGTTTCAAGCACAAAACCTGGTGACCCTCTGGACAGACACCAAGCTAGCTGCAGGAATTTATTTTTCATACCCCAGTGGCACCTGGAACGTGAGCAAGACAGAACTGTTCACTGCCCTGGAAAGGGGGCTGAAGCCAGGAAACCAAATGGTCTAGCTAAGGAGATCCCAACCTGTCAGAGCCCAGCAAGCTAAGATCCACTGGCTTGAAATTCTCGCTGCCAGCAGAGCAGTCTGAAGTTGACCTGGGACACTTGAGCTTGGTGGGGACAGGGGCATCCATCATTGCTGAGGCTTGAGTAGGCGGTTTTCCCCTCATAATGTAAACAAAGCCTCTGGAAAGTTCAAACTGGGCAAAACCCAACTCAGCTCAGCAAAGCCACTGTAGCCAGACTGCCTCTCTGGATTCCTCCTGTCTGGTCAGGGCATCCCAAAAATAAGGCAGAAACCCCAATCAGAGGCTTATAGATAAAACTCCCATCTCCCTGGGACAGAGGACCTGGGGAAATGGGGGCTGTGGGTGCAGCTTCAGCAGACTTAAATGTTCCTGTCTACCAGATCTGAAAAGAGCAGCGGATCTCCCAGCACAGCGCTCAAGCTCTGCTAAGGGACAGACTGCATCCTCAAGTGGGTCCCTGACCCCTGTGCCTGCTAACTGGGAGACAGCTCCCTGATGAGATCGACAGACATCTCATACAGAAGAGCTCTGGCTGGCATCTGGTGTGTGCCCCTCAGGGACAGTTTCCAGAGGAAGGAACAGGCAGCAATCCTTGTTCTGCAGCCTCTGCTGGTGATATCCAGGCAAACAGGGTCTGGAGCAGACCTCCAGCAAACTCCAGCAGACCTGCAGCAGAGGGGCCTGTTAGAAGGAAAACTAACAAACAGAAAAGAGGAGCATCAACATCAACAAAAAGGACATCCACATAGAAACCTCATCCAAAGGTCACCAACATCAAAGACCAAAGGAAGATAAATCCACGAAGATGAGGAAAAACCACAAAAAAGGATAAAAATTCCAAAAGCCAAAACACCTCTTCTCTTCCAAAGGATCACAGCTTCTTGCCAGCAAGGGAACAAAACTGGATGGGGAATGAGTTTGACGAACTGAAAAAAGTAGCCTTCAGAAGGTAGATAACAACAAACTCCTCCGAGATAAAGAAGCATGTTCTAACCGAATGCAAGGAAGCTAAGAACCTTGAATAAAGTTTAGAAGAATCGCTAACTAGAATAACCACTTTAGAGAAGAACTTAAATGAACTGATGGAGCTGAAAAACACAGCATGAGAACTTTGTGAAGCATACACAAGTATCAATAGCTGAATTGATCAAGTAGAAGAACGGATATCACAGACTGAAGATCAACTTAACAAAATAAAGCGTGAAGACAAGATTAGAGAAAAAAGAATGTAAAGGAATGAACAAAGCCCCAAAGAAATATGGTACTATGTGAAAAGAGCAAACCTACATTTGATTGTTGTACCAGAAAGTGACGGGGAGAATGGAATCAAGTTGGAAAACACTCTTCAAAATAGTATACACCAGAACTTTCCTAGACTAGCAAGACAGGCCAACATTGAAATTCAAGAAACACAGAAAACACTACAAAGACAATCCTCGAGAAGAGCAACTCCAAGACACATAATCACCAGATTCACCAAGGTTGAAATGAAGGAAAAAATATTAAGGACAGCCAGAGGGAAAGGTCAGGTTATCCACAAATGGAGGCTCATCAGACTAACAGCAGATCTTTCTGCAGAAACCCTACAGGAAGAGAGTGGGGACCAATATTCAACATTCATAACAAAAAGAATTTTCAGCCCAGAATTTCATATCCAGCCAAACTAAGCTTCACAAGTGACGGGAAAATAAAATCCGTTACAGAAAGCAAATGCTGAGAGATTTTATAACCACCAGGCCTGCCTTACAAAAGCTCCTGAAGGAAGCAGTAAATATAGAAAGGAAAAAAATGGTACCAGCCACTACAAAAACATACCAAATTGTAAAGACCATCAACACTATAAGGAAACTGCATCAACTAACAGGTAAAATAACCAGTAACCAGATAGCATCATAATGACAGGATCAAATTCCCAAATACCAATATTAACCTTAAATGTAAAAGAGGTAAATGCCTCAATTAAAAGACACAGACTGGCAAACTGGATAGTCAAGACCCATCAGTGTGCTGTATTCAGGAGACCCATCTCCTGTGCAAAGACATACATAGACTCAAAATAAAGTGATGGAGTAATATTTACCAAGCAAAAGGGAAGAAAAAAAAAGCCGAGGTTGCAATCCTAGTCTCTGACAAAACAGACTTTAAACAAACAAAGATCAAAAGAGACAAAGAAGGGGCATTACATAATGGTAAAGGGATCAATGCAACAGAAGAGTTAACTATCCTAAATATAAATGCACCCAATACAGGAGCACCCAGATTCATAAAGCAAGTTCTTAGAGACCTACAAAGAGACTTAGACTCTCACACAATAATAGTGGGAGATTTTAACACCCTACTGTCAATATAAGACAGACCAACATGACTGAAAATTAACAAGGATATTCAGAACTTGAACTCAGCTCTAGACCAAGCAGACCTAATAGACATCTACAGAACTCTCCACCCCAAATCAAGAGAATATACATTCTTCTCAGCACCACATCACAATTATTCTAAAATTGACCACATAATTAGAAGTAAAACACTCCTCAGCAAATGCAAAAGAACGAAAATCATAACAAACAGTCTCTCAGACCACAGTACAATCAAATTAGACCTCAGGATTAAGAAACCCACTCAAAACAGCAAAACCACCTGCAAACTGAACAACCTGCTCCTGAATGACTACTGGGTAAATAACGAAATTAAGGCAGAAATAAATAAGTTCTTTGAAAGCATTGAGAATAAGGGCAAACATACCAGAATCTCTGGGACACATTTAAGGCAGTATTTAGAGGGAAACTTATAGCACAAAATGCCCACAGGAGAAAGCAGCAAATATCTAAAATTGACACCCTAACATCACAATTAAAGGAACTAGAGAAGCAAGAGCAAACAAATTCAAACACTAGAAGAAGACAAGAAATAACTAAGCTCAGAGCAGAAGTGAAGGAGATAGAGACTCGAAAAACACTTCAAAAAAATCAATGAATCCAGGAACTGGTTTTTTGAAAAGATTAACAAAATACATAGATCGCTAGCCAGAATAATAAAGAAGAAAAAAGAGAAGAATCAAATAGACACAATAAAAAATGATAAAGAGGATATCACCACCAATCCCATAGAAATAAAAACTACCATCAGAGATTGCTATAAACACCTCTATGCAAATAAACTAGAAAATCTAGAAGAAATGGATAAATTCCTGGACACATACACCCTCCCAAGGCTAAACTAGGAAGAAGTAGAATTTCTGAATAGACCAATAACAAGTTCTGAAATTGAAACAGTATTTAATAGTCTGACAACCAAAAAAAAACCATGGACCAGACAGATTCACAGCCGAATTCTACCACAGGTACAAAGAGGAGCTCGTATCATTCCTTCTGAAACTATTTGAAACAAAAGAAAAAGAGGGACTCCTCCCTAACTCATTTTATGAGGTCAGCATCATCCTGATACCAAAACTTGTGAGGGACACAACAAAAAAAGAAAATTTCTGGCCAATATCCCTGATGAACATCGAAGCAAAAATCCTCAATAAAATACTGGCAAACCGAATCCAGCAGCACATCAAAAAGCTTATCCACCATGATCAAGCTGGCTTCATCCCTGGGACGGAAGGCTGGTTCAACATATGCAAATCAATAAACATAATCCATCACATAAACAGAACCAGTAACAAAAAACACATGATTATCTCAGTAGATACAGAAAAGGCCTTCGATAAGATATAACACCCCTTCATGCTAAAAACTCTCAATAAGCTAGGTAGTGATGGAACTACCTCAACATAATAAGAGATATTTTTGACAAACCTACAGCCAATTTCATACTGAATGGGCAAAAGCTGGAAGCATTCCCTTTGAAAACCGGCACAAGACGAGGATACCCTCTCTCACCACTCCCATTCAACATAGTATTGGAATTTCTGGCCAGGTCAACCAGGCAAGAGAAAGAAATAAAGTGTATTCAAATAGAATGAGAGGAAGTCAAATGGTCACTTTTTGCAGATGACATGATTGTATATTTAGAAAATTCCATCGTCTCAGCCCAAAATCTCCTTAAGGTGACAAGCAACTTCAGAAAAGTCTCAGGATGCAAAATCAATGGGCAAAAATCACAAACATTCCTATACACCAATAACAGACAAACAGCCAAATCATGAGTGAACTCTCATTTACAACTGCAACAAAGATAATAAAACACCGAGGAATACAACTTACAAAGGATGTGAAGGACCTCTTCAAGAAGAACTACAAACCACTGGTCAAGGAAATAAGAGACTACACAATCAAATGGAAAAACATTCCATGCTCATGGATAGGAAGAATGAATATCATGAAAATGGCCATACTGCCCAAGGTAATTTATAGATTCAATGCCATCCCCATGAAGCTACAAATGACTTTCTTCACAGAATTGGAAGAAACTAAAGTTCATATGGAACCAAAAAAGAGCCTGCATTGCCAAGACAATCCTAAGCAAAAAGAACAAAGCTGGAGGCATCATGCTACCTGACTTCAAACTATACTGCAAGGCTACAGTCACTAAAACAGCATGTTACTGGTACCAAAACAGACATATAGACAAATGGAACAGAACAGAGGCCTCAGAAATAATGTCACACATCTGCAACCATCTGATCTTTGACAAACCTGACAAAAATAAGCAATGGGGAAAGGATTCCCTATTTAATAAATGATGTTGGGAAAACTGGCTAGCCATATGCAGAAAACTGAAACTGGATCCCTTCTTTAGACCTTATGCAAAAATTAACTCAAGATGAACTAAAGACTTAAATGTAAGTCCTAAAACCATAAAAACCCAGAAGAAAAATTAGGCAATACCATTCAGGACATAGGTATGGGCAAAGACTTTATGACAAAAACAACAAAAGCAATGGCAACAAAAGCCAAAATTGACAAACTGGATCTAATTAAACTAAAGAGCTTCTGCAGAGCAAAAGAAACTATCATCAGAATGAACAGGCAGCCTACAAATTGGGAGAAAATTTTTGCAATCTGTCCATCTGACAAAGGGCTAGTATATCCAGAATCTACAAGGGACTTAAACGAATTTACAAGAAAAATTAAACAACCCCATCAAAAAGTGAGTAAATGATATGAACAGACACTTCTCAAAGGAAGACATTTATGCAACCAACAAACTTTTGAAAAAAAGCTCATCACTGGTCATTAGAAAAACGGAAATCAAAAACCACAGTGAGATACCATCTCATGCCAGTTAGAATGGTGATCATTAAATGTCAGGAAACAACTGATGCTGGAGAGGCTGTGGAGAAATAGTAACATTTTACACTGTTGGTGGGAGTGTAAATTAGTTCAACCATTGTGGAAGACACTGTGGTGATTTCTCAAGGATCTAGAACCAGAAATACCATTTGACCCAGCAATCCCATTACTGGGTATATACCCAAAGGATTATAAATCATTGTACTATAAAGACTCATGCACACATATGTTTATGGCAACACTGTTCACAATAGCAAAGACTTGGAACCAACCCAAATGCCCATCAATGATAGAGTGGATAAAGAAAATGTGGCACATATACACCATGGAATACAATGCAGCCATAAAACGGATGAGTTCATGTACTTTACAGGAACATGGATGAAGCTGGAAACCATAATTCTCAGCAAACTAATGCAGTAACAGAAAACCAAACACCACATGTTCTTACTCATAAGTGAGAGTTAAACAATGAGAACACATGGACACAGGGAGGGAAACATCACATACCAGACAATGTCATGGGGTGGTGGGCTAGGGGAGGTATAGCATTAGGAGAAATACCTAATGTAGATGATGGGTTGATGGGTGCAGCAAACCACCATGGCACATGTATACCTATGTAAGAAATCTGCATGTTCTGCACATGTATCCCAGAACTTAAAGTACATTTTAAAAAATGAATTTAAAAAAATTTAAGAAATTAACATACTTTATGAAATTAGTCATTGAAAATTGTACACATATCTCTATTAAAATAATTTGTGCTTCAATCATTTTATAATTTTTAGTTAAATAATTCCATATTCTTATAAAATCAATTTTTAACTTATACTGATATTTCAAAAGTATATTTAAATTGGAGAACCACCAAATTACATTCCTGATAAAAGATTTATCACTAAAAAATTGCTAAAGAACTACTCAGTATTACTGGAACATTGCTTTATTCTCACTGAAAGTCACATTTTTTTTTCTGGAAAAGGCAACTTGTTTTTCATTTTTTGAACAAGTTAACCTCTTGTGACCCAGCTTCTAAACAGACACTGGAAAATAAAAATGGCCAATTCCCATCTTCCAAAATAAACCAAACAGCTTAGAACAGATATTGAAAAAAAAAAAAAAAAAAGGTGGAGGACTCCAACACCTTCCTGACAGCACTAGATAGATTATTGAGACAGAAATCAACAAAAAACACTGTACATAAATTGGACTTTAGATCAAATACCTAACAGACATTTACAGAACACTTTACTCAATAACCACAGAATATATATTCCTCTCATTAGAGGAATTAGAACATTCTCTAATCTAAAACATTTGTTAGGCCACAAAACAAGACTCAATAAATTTTTAAAAATTAAAATCATACCAAGTTTCTTCTTGCATCACAACAGAATAAAACTAGAAATCAACTCCAAGAGAACCTCTTAAAACTATGCAAATATGCAATAACTAAACAACATACTCCTCAACAATTTTGGGGTCAATGATGGAATCAATTTCTTTTAAAAGAAATTTTTTGAAATAAGTGAAATTGGAAATACCGAAACCTCCGGGAAACAGTAAAATCAGTGCTAAAATTAGAGTTTATGGTATTAAATAGCTACATCAAAAAATAGAAAGATCACAAATAAACAACTTAATATCTCACATCAAGGAACTAGAAAAACAAGAACAAACCATATGCAAAGCTAGCAGAAGAAAAGAAACAATGAAGATCAGAGTATAAACAAATAAAATTGAGACCCCAAAATATACAAAATATCAATGTAACAAAAACTTGCTTATTTGAAAAGATAAATAAAATTGATAGACTGTTAAAAAGAATAAGAAGATAAAAGATCCAAGTAATCCTAATCATAAATGAAAAGAAGACATTGCAAATAATCGCAAAGAAATATAAAAGATCAGAGACTACTAGGAAGAACTATATACCCACAAATTAGAAAACTGACAGAAAATTGATAAATTCCTAGAAACATACAATCTCTCAAGATTGAAAAAGGAAGAAATAAAAATTCCAAACAGATCAATGATAAAGTATGAGATTGAATCAGTAATGAAACACCTTACAACAACAAGAAAAGCACAAGACTAGATGGATTCACATGACATACAAAAAAGAAATGATACAAATCCTCCCAAAACTTTTCTGAAAAATTAAGGAATAGAAATTTCTCCCTAATTCAGTCTGTGAAGCCAGTGTAACCTTGATACAGGCTTCCTGTAAGCTAGACAGGAACACAACAAATAAAATAATAAAACTTTACACCAATATCCCTGATGTGTAAATACTCAAGAAAATACTAGTAAATTCAACAGCGCATGAAAAAGATAATACAACATGATCAAGTGTGTTTTATTCCAGGAGTGCAAGGATGATTCAACATACACAAATCAATAGATGTGATTCATCATGTAAACAGAATTAAAGACAAAAACCATATGATAAGTTCAATAGAGGCAGCATAAGCAAGCATTCAATAAATATCAGCATCTCTTCTGGATAAAAAATCTCGGCCGGGAGGGCTGGAGCCAAGATGGCCGAACAGGAACAGCTCTGGTCTAGAGCTCCCAGCGTGAGCGATGCAGAAGACCAGTAATTTCTGCATTTCCATCTGAGGTACAGGGTTCATCTCACTAGGGATTGCCAGACAGTGGGCGCAGGACAATGGGTGCTGCACACAGTGCGCAAGCCGAAGCATGGAGAGGCATTGCCTCACTCGGGAAGCCCAAGGGGTCAGGGAGTTCCCTTTCTTAGTCAAAGAAAGGGGTGACAGATGGCACCTGGAAAATCGGGTCACTCCCACCCCCATACTGCGCTTTTCCGACAGGCTTAAAAAATTGCGCACCAGATTATATCCCGCACCTGACTTGGAGGGTCCTACGCCCACGGAGTCTCACTGATTGCTAGCACAGCAGTCTGAGATCAAACTGCAAGGCAGCAGCGAGGCTGGGGGAGGGGCACCCACAATTGCCCAGTCTTGCTTAGGTAAACAAAGCAGCTGGGAAACTCAAACTGGGTGGAGCCCACCACAGCTCAAGGAGGCCTGCCTGCCTCTGTAGGCTCCACCTCTGGGGGCAGGGCACAGACAAACAAAAAGACAGCAGTAACCTCTAAAGACTTAAATGTCTCTGTCTGACAGCTTTGAAGAGAGCAGTGGTTCTCCCAGCACGCAACTGGAGATTTGAGAACGGGCAGACTGCCTCCTCAAGTGGGTCCCTGACCCCCGAGCAGCCTACCTGGGAAGCACTCCCCAGTAGGGGCAGACTGACACCTCACACGGCCGGGTACTCCTCTGAGACAAAACTTACAGAGGAACGATCAGACAGCAGCATTCGCGGTTCATGGAAATCCACTGTTCTGCAGCCACCGCTGCTGGTACCCAGGCAAACAGGGTCTGGAGTGGACGTCTAGCAAACTCCAACAGACCTGCAGCTGAGGATCCTGTGTGTTAGAAGGAAAACTAACAAACAGAAAGGACATCCACAACAAAAACCCATCTGTACATCACCATCATCAAAGACCAAAACTAGATAAAACCACAAAGATGGGGAAAATACAGAGCAGAAAAACTGGAAACTCTAAAAAGCAGAGTGCCTCTCCTCCTCCAAAGGAACGCAGCTCCTCACCAGCAATGGAACAAAGCTGGATGGAGAATGACTTTGACGAGTTGAGAGAAGAAGGCTTCAGACGATCAAACTACTCCGAGCTACAGGAGGAAATTCAAACCAAAGGCAAAGAAGTTAAAAACTTTGAAAAAAATTTAGACGAATCTATAACTAGAATAACCAATACAGAGAAGTGCTTAAAGTTGCTGATGGAGCTGAAAGCCAAGGCTCAAGAACTCCGTGAAGAATGCAGAGGCCTCAGGAGCTGAAGCAATCAACTGGAAGAAAGGGTATCACTGATGGAAGATGAAATGAATGAAATGAAGTGAGAAAGGAAGTTTAGAGAAAAAAGAATAAAAAGAAATGAACAAAGCCTCCAAGACATACGGGACTATGTGAAAAGACCAAATCTACATCTGATTGGTGTACCTGAAAGTGATGGAGAGAATGGAACCAAGTTGGAAAACACTCTGCAGGATATTATCCAGGAGAACTTCCCCAATCTAGCAAGGTAGGCCAACATTCAGATTCAGGAAATACAGAGAACGCCACAAAGATACTCCTCAAGAACAGCAACTCCAAGACACATAATTGTCAGATTCACCAAAGTTGAAATGAAGGAAAAAATGTTAAGGGCAGCCAGAGAGAAAGGTCAGGTTACCCTCAAAGGGAAGCCCATCAGACTAACAGCGGATCTCTTGGCAGAAACTCTACAAGCCAGAAGAGAGTGGGGGCCAATATTCAACATTCTTAAAGAAAAGAATTTTCAACCCAGAATTTCATATCCAGCCAAACTAAGCTTCATAAATGAAGGAGAAATAAAACCCTTTACAGACAAGCAAATGCTGACAGATTTTGTCACCACCAGGCCTGCCCTAAAACAGTTCCTGAAGGAAGCACTAAACATGGAAAGGAACAACCAGTACCAGCCACTGCAAAAACATGCCAAATTGTAAAGACCATCGAGGCTAGGAAGAAACTGCATCAACTAATGAGAAAAATAACCAGCTAACATCATCATGACAGGATCAAATTCACAGATAAAAATATTAACTTTAAATGTAAATGGACTAAATGCTCCAATTAAAAGACACAGACTGGCAAATTGGATAAAGAGTCAAGACCCATCAGTGTGCTGTATTAAGGAAACCCATCTCACGTGCAGAGACACACATAGGCTCAAAATAAAAGGATGGAGGAAGATCTACCAAGCAAATGGAAAACAAAAAAAGGCAGGGATTGCAATCCTAGTCTCTGATACAACAGACTTTAAACCAACAAAGATCAAAAGACACAAAGAAGGCCATTACATAATGGTAAAGGGATCAATTCAACAAGAAGAGCTAACTATCCCAAATATATATGCACCCAATACAGGAGCACCCAGATTCATAAAGCAAGTCCTGAGTGACCTACAAAGAGACTTAGACTCCCACACAATAATAATGGGAGACTTTAACACCCCACTGTCAACATTAGACAGATCAACGAGACAGAAAGTTAACAAGGATACCCAGGAATTGAACTCAGCTCTGCACCAAGCAGACCTAATAGACATCTACAGAACTCTCCACCCCAAATCAACAGAATATACATTTTTTTCAGCACCACACCACACCTATTCCAAAATTGACGACATACTGGGAAATAAAGCTCTCCTCATCAAATGTAAAAGATCAGAAATTATAACAAACTGTCTCTTAGACCACAGTGCAATCAAACTAGAACTCAGGATTAAGAAACTCACTCAAAACCGCTCAACTACATGGAAACTGAACAACCTGCTCCTGAATGACTACTGGGTACATAACGAAATGAAGGCAGAAATAAAGATGTTCTTTGAAACCAATGAGAACAAAGACACAACATACCAGAATCTCTGGGACACATTCAAAGCACTGTGTAGAGGGAAATGTATAGCACTAAATGCCCACAAGTGAAAGCAGGAAAAATCCAAAATGGACACCCTAACATCACAATTAAAAGAACTAGAAAAGCAAGAGCAAACACATTCAAAAGCTAGCAGAAGGCAAGAAATAACTAAAATCAGAGCAGAACTGAAGGAAATAGAGACACAAAAAACCCTTCAAAAAATTAATGAATCCAGGAGCTGGTTTTTTGAAAGGATCAACAAAATTGATAGACCGCTAGCAAGACTAATAAAGAAGAAAAGGAACCAAATAAATGCAATAAAAAATGATAAAGGGGATATCACCACCGATCCCACAGAAATACAAACTACCATCAGAGAATACTACAAACACCTCTATGCAAATAAACTAGAAAATCTAGAAGAAATGGATAAATTCCTCAACACGTACACCCTCCCAAGACTAAATCAGGAAGAAGGTGACTCTCTGAATAGACCAATAACAGGCTCTGAAATTGTGGCACTAATCAATAGCTTACCAACCAAAAAGAGTCCAGGACCAGAGGGACTCACAGCCGAATTCTACCAGAGGTACAAGGAGGAACTGGTACCATTCCTTCTGAAACTATTCCAATCAATAGAAAAAGAGGGAATCCTCCCTAACTCATTTTATGAGGCCAGCATCATCCTAATACCAAAGCCAGGCAGAGACACAACCAAAAAAGAGAATTTTAGACCAATATCCTTGATGAACATTGATGCAAAAAGCCTCAATAAAATACTGGCAAACGGAATCCAGCAGCACATCAAAAAGCTTATCCACCATGATCAAGTGGGCTTCATCCCTGGAATGCAAGGCTGGTTCAATATACGCAAATCAATAAATGTAATCCAGCATATAAACAGAACCAAAGACAAAAACCACATGATTATCTCAATAGATGCAGGAAAGGCTTTTGACAAAATTCAACAATGCTTCATGCTAAAAACTCTCAATAAATTAGGTGTTGATGGGACATATCTCAAAATAATAAGAGCTATCTATGACAAACCCACAGCCAATATCATACTGAATGGGCAAAAACTGGAAGCATTCCCTTTGAAAACTGGCACAAGACAGGGATGCCCTCTCTCACCACTCCTATTCAACATAGTGTTGGAAGTTCTGGCCAGAGCAATTAGGCAGGAGAAGGAAATAAAGGGTATTCAATTAGGAAAAGAGGAAGTCAAATTGTCCCTGTTTGCAGATGACATGATTGTATATCTAGAAAACCCCATTGTCTCAGACGAAAATCTCCTTAAGCTGATAAGCAACTTCAGCAAAGTCTCAGGATACAAAATCAATGTACAAAAATCACAAGCATTCTTATACACCAATAACAGACAAACAGAGAGCCAAATCATGAGTGAACTCCCATTCACAATTGCTTCAAAGAGAATAAAATACCTAGGAATCCAACTTACAAGGGATGTGAAGGACCTCTTCAAGGAGAACAACAAACCACTGCTCAATGAAATAAAAGAGGATACAAACAAATGGAAGAACATTCCATGCTCATGGGTAGGAAGAATCAATATCGTGAAAATGGCCATACTGCCCAAGGTAATTTACAGATTCAATGCCATCCCCATCAAGCTACCAATGACTTTCTTCACAGAATTGGAAAAAACTACTTTAAAGTTCATATGGAATCAAAAAAGAGCCCGCATCGCCAAGTCAATCCTAAGCCAAAAGAACAAAGCTGGAGGCATCAAGCTACCTGACTTCAAACTATACTACAAGGCTACAGTAACCAAAATAGCATGGTACTGGTACCAAATCAGAGATACAGATCAATGGAACAGAACAGAGCCCTCAGAAATAACACCGCATATCTACAACTATGTGATCTTTGACAAACCTGAGAAAAGCAAGCAATGGGGAAAGGATTCCCTATTTAATAAATGGTGCTGGGAAAACTGGCTAGCCATATGTAGAAAGCTGAAACTGGATCCCTTCCTTACACCTTATACAAAAATTAATTCAAGATGGATTAAAGACTTAAATGTTAGACCTAAAACCATAAAAACCCTAGAAGAAAACCTAGGCATTACCATTCAGGACATAGGCATGGGCAAGGACTTCATGTCTAAAACACCAAAAGCAATGGCAACAAAAGACAAAATTGACAAATGGGATCTCATTAAACTAAAGAGCTTCTGCACAGCAAAAGAAACTACCATCAGAGTGAACAGGCAACCTACAAAATGGGAGAAAATTTTTGCAACCTACTCATCTGACAAAGGGCTAATATTCAGAATCTACAATGAACTCAAACAAATTTAGAAGAAAAAAACAAACAACCACATCAAAAAGTGGGTGAAGGACATGAACAGACACTTCTCAAAAGAAGACATTTATGCAGCCAAACAACACATGAAAAAATGCTCATCATCACTGGCCATCAGAGAAATGCAAATCAAAACCACAATGAGATACCATCTCACACCAGTTACAATGGCAATCATTAAAAAGTCAGGAAACAACAGGTGCTGGAGAGGATGTGGAGAAATAGGAGCACTTTTACACTGTTGGTGGGACTATAAACTAGATCAACCCTTGTGGAAGTCAGCATAGCAATTCCTCAGGGATCTAGAACTAGAAATACCATTTGACCCAGTCATCCCATTACTGGGACTATACCCAAAGGACTATAAATCATGGTGCTATAAAGACACATGAACACATATGTTTATTGCGGCACTATTAACAATAGCAAAGACTTAGAACCAACCCAAATGTCCAACAATGATAGACTGGATTAAGAAAATGTGGCACATATATGTCATGGAATACTATGCAGCCATAAAAAATGATGAGTTCATGTCCTTTGTAGGGACATGGATGAAATTGGAAATCATCATTCTCAGTAAACTATCGCAAGAACAAAAAACCAAACACCACATATTCTCACTCATAGGTGGGAATTGAACAATAAGAACACATGGACACAGGAAGGGGAACATCACACTCTGGGGACTGTTTTGTGGTGGGGGGAGTGGGGAGGGATAGCTTTAGGAGATATACCTAATGCTAAACGACGAGTTAATGGGTGCAGCACACCAGCATGGCACATGTATACATATGTAACTAACCTGCACATTGTACACATGTACCCTAAAACTTAAAGTATAATAAAAAAAAAAAATCTCGTCCGGGCGCGGTGGCTCATGCCTGTAATCCCAGCACTTTGGGAGGCCGAGGCGGGCGGATGACGAGGTCAGGACATCAAGACCATCCTGGTTAACACAGTGAAACCCATTTCTACTAAAAATACAAAAAAAATCAGCCAGGCATGATGGTGGGCACCTGTAGTCCCAGCTACTCGGGAGGCTGAGGCAGGAGAATGGCATGAACCTGGGAGGCAGAGCTTGCAGTGAGCTGAGATCATGCCTCTGCACTCCAGCCTGGGTGACAGAGCAAGACTCCGTCTCAAAAAAAAAAAAAAAAAAAAAAACTCAAAAAATAGGCATAGAAGAAACATATCTCAAAATAATAATAGCTGTATATGACAAACCCACAGCCAACATAATACTGAGCAGAAAAAAGTCAAAATAATTCTCGTATGAACTGGAACAAGATAAAAATATCCACTTTCACCACTCCTATTCAAAGATAATACTGGAAGGTCTAGCCAGAGCAATCAGATAAGAGAAAATATATAAAAGTCATTTAATTTGAAAAAGGGAGAGACAAATTATCTCTTTGCTGATGATATGATCTTGTGTGTAGAAAATCCTTAACAATACTCCAAAAAACTCCTATTTGATAAACAAATTCATAAAGTTTTAAGATCTAAAGTCAAAGTGCAAAATTTAAAGGCATTTCAATACCAATAACAATCAAGCTGAGAACCAAATCAGGAAGTCAATTTCATTTACAGTAGCTACAAAAATCTCACCTAGGAATATATTTTTTGTTGTTGTTGTTTTGTTTATATATATATAATTTATGTTCTGGGATACATGTGCAGAACATGCAGGTTTGTTACAGGAGTATACACATGCCATGGTGGTTTGCTGCACCTATAAACCTGTCAACTACATTAGGTATTTCTCTTAATGCTATTCCTTGCCTAGACCCCCATCTCCTTACAGGCCCTGCTGTGTGATGTTCCTGTCCTCGTGTCCATGTGTTATCATTGTTCAACTCCTACTTATGAGTGAGAAAATGCAGTTTTTGATTTTATTTTCCTGTGTTAGTTTGCTGGGAATGATGGTTTCCAGCTTCACCCATGTCCCTGCAAAGTACATGAACTCATCCTTTTTATGGCTACATAGTATTCTGCCTAGGAATATGTTTAAACAAGTAAGTGAAAGATCTTTACAAGGACAACTACAAAACACTACAGAAGAAATCATAGATGACACAAATGAGTGGAGAATCATTCCATGTTCATGGATCAGAATTAGTATGGTTGAAATGACCATATTGCCCGAAGCAATGTACAGAGTCAAAGCAATCCCTTTCAAAATTCCAATGCCATTTTTCAAAAAATTAGAAAAAAAGAAATCCTAAAAATCATATGAAACCAAAAATGTACTTGAATGGCAAAGCAATCCTAAGTAAAAAGACGAAAGCTGGAGGCATCATATTACCTGACTTCAAGTGTTACTACAAGGCGACAATAAGCATGGTACTAGTATAAAAATAGATACACAGATCAATGGAATAGAACAAAAAATTCAGAAATAAAGTTACATATCTACAGACAACTGGCCTTTGGCTGTCAACAAAAATATACAATGGGAAAAGAACACCCTTTACAAAAAGTGGTCTTGGGAAAATTGGATTGCCATTTGCAAAAGACAAAAATTGGATCCCTATCTCTTACTATATGCCAAAATCAACTCAAGATGAATTATAGGCTTAACTGTAAGACCCGATACTGTAAAAATATTAGCAAAAAACCTAGGAAAACTCTCCTGGACATTGGTCTCAATAAAGAAGCCATGACTAAGACCTCAGAAGCATAAGCAATGAAAACAAAAATAGACAAATAGGATGTAATTAAACTATAGAGCTTCTGCACAGCAAAAGAAATAATTGACAGATTTAACAGACAATCTGCAGGATAAAAGAAAATATTTGCAAGCTATTCCTCTGACAGCAGAGTAATATTCCAAATATACAGGAAACTCAAACAAGTCAACAAGAAAATATCTCCTAAATAATCCAATTAAAAAGTAGGCAAAGGACTTTAATAGGTATTTTTCAAGGACGTCACACAAACGGCCAACAAGTATATATAAAAATTATCAATATCAGTAATTATTACAAAAATACAATCCAAACTGCAATGAGATATCATTTTACCCCAGTGATAACGGTTATTATTAAACAGAAAAAATAATACATGTTGGTGAGGATGTGGAGAAAGGAGAACGCTTATACACTGTTGATAGAAATGTAACTTAGTACAACCTCCATGAAAAACAGTATGAAGATTTTTCAAAGGACTAAAACTAGAACTACCATTCAATCCAGCAATACCACTACTGAACATACACTCAAAGAGAAAAAAAATCATTATATCATTACATTATAAAGATATCTGCACTCATACGTTTATAGCAGCACTATTCACATTAGCAAAAATATGAAAACAACCTAAGTATCCATCAGTGGATGACTGACAAAGAAATTGTAATTCAATTCTTTGCCTTCTACTTTTAAACTTAACTTCCTCGTAAAGCAACATTTTCAATTACCTACTCCACCCTAACTCATTCTGATCACCTGCTCCACCCTAACTCATTCTGATTACCTGCTATCTGCTTTGCCCTGACTCTTGCCAAAGCACTCACCCCATCATTCTCTTTAAATTAGCTAATTGGAATTAGTTTAGCCTGTGCTGTCTAACACTAGTCAATAGGGGAACCACACAGCAGCAGGGGCCATGTGTGTCAGGGATAAGAACTCCTTCCCCTCCCTTGTCCAAATGTGCGCTTGCCATTGTTCCATCTGTAAGGGTACACCCTTCTATATAGAAGTAAATTGCCTTGCTGAGAATTAAAAAGAAAATTAAAAAAAGAAATTGTAATAAATATAATAGTATAAAATACACACATGCACACGCTAGAATACTATTCAACCATAAAAAGAAAGCAATCATGTCTTTTTCAGCAGCATGGATGGAACTGGAGGCCATTATTTTAAGTGAAACAACTCAGAATCAGAAAGTCAAATACCATACGTTCTCACTTAAAAGTGGGAGTTAAATAAAGTGTACATATGGGCTTAGAGTATGGAATAATAGTCATTGGAGACTCAGAGGGTGGAAAGATAGGAGGGGGTTGAAGAATAAGCAATCACTTAATGGGTACAATGTACACTATTCCAGTGATGGATACACTAAAAGCCCAGAGTTCACTGTTACTCAGTATATCCATAGAACAAAAGTGCACTTTTACCACCTAAATTTATACAAATAAAAAGAAACCAATTCAATCTACAAAAAAAATAAAATACCTAGGATTTAATTGAACCAAAGTGAAAGATCACTATTAGAAAAACTAAAATACTGATGAAAGGAATTGAAGAGGAAACCAAAAAATGGAAAGATATCTCATGCTTATGGATTGGAAGAATCAATATTTTGAAAATGTCTATACTGCAAGTGTTCTGCAGATTCAATGCAATCTCTATCAAAATACCAATGACATTCTTCACATAAATAGAAAAACAAATTTTAAAATTCATATGGAACTACAAAAGACCCCAAATAGTTTAATCAATTCTAACCAAAAAAGATGAAGCTGAGGTATCATACCACCTGATTTCAAATTGTACTATAAAGCTATAATATCCAAATCAGCCTGGTAGTGGCATAAAAACAGACACATAGACTACAGGAACAGAATAGAGAGTCAGAAATAAATCCACACACTTACAGCCAACCCATTTTCAATAAAGGTGCCACAAACATACATTGAGGAAAGGACAATCTCATTAGTAAATGGTGCTGGGTAAACTGGATATACGTATGCAGAAGAATAACCCTAGATCTCCGCATTATAACATATACAAAATTCAACTCAAAATGGCTTGAAGACTTAAAAGTAAGACCTGAACCTATGAAACTACTAGAAGAAAACATTGGGAAAATACTTCAGGACATTGGTCTGGGCAAAGAGTTTTTAAATAAGACCTCAAAAGCACAGGCATCAAAAGAAAAATAGATGAATTAGATTATATCAAGCTAAAAAGCTTCTGTATAGCAAAGAAAATAATTAACAAAGTGAAGAAACAGTTTACAGAATGGGTAAAAATATTTACAAACTATTCATATGACAAGGAATTAATAACTAAAATATATGAGGAACTTAATAGCAAATAAATGAAGATAATAATAGTAATCCAATTTTTAAGTGGGCAAAAACCCTGAGTAGATATTTCTTAGATGAAGATATACAAATAACAACCAGTTACATGAAAAAAAATTCTCAACATCAGGTAAATACCAATCAAAACCACAATGAGACATCATCTCACTCAAGTTAGAATAGATATCATCTAAAAGACAAAAAATTACAAGTGCTAGTAAGGATGCAGAGAAAGCATACACTATTGATGGGCGTGTAAAGTTGTAAAGCCACTATGGGAAATCAGTATGGCATTCATCAAAACACTAAAAATAGAACTACCATATGATCAAGCAAGTCCACCACTGGATATATATCCAAAAGAAAGAAAATCCATTTATCAAAGAGGAATCTGCACTCCCATGTTTACTACAGCACTATTCACAATAGCCAAGACATAGAATCAACCTAAATGCTCACCAACAGATGAATGGATAAAATAAATGTGGTATATATACAAAATTGAATACTATACAGGCATAAAAAATAATAAAATTCTGTTGTTTGCAGCAACATGGATAGAACTGGAGATCATTATGTTAAGTGAAATAAGCCAGCACAGAAAGACAAATAGTGCATGTTCTCACTCACATGTATGTGTTAAAAAAGTGGAACTCATGGAGGTAGAGAGTAGAATGGTGCTTACCAGAGACCAGGAAAAGAAAGAGGTGGGAGACGTAGAGATGTTGCTTAATGGGTACAAAAATACAGTTAAATAGAAAGAATATGTTCTAATATTTGATAGTACTGTAGGAAAATTATAGTTAACCATAATTTATTGTATATTTCAAAGTAGCTAGAAATCTAGAATTTTAATGTTCCCAACACAAAGAAAAGATAAGCATTTGAGTTGATGGATATCCCAATTACCCTGATTTGATAGTTACACATTGTATACATGTATCAAAATATCACATGTCCAATAAAATGTACAGCTATGATATATTGATTAAAAATAACCAAAAAAGTAAAGTGGCTCATGAAGAACAAATTTAAGATACAAAAGTTAACATCCTTAATGCATTAAAAACTCTTAAAAATGAATTTTAAAAAATTAACAGAAAATTGGCAAAAGACATGAGCATACAAGTCACACATCCAACAGAAACACAAATGGTTAAAAAATATATTCTAAAATGTTCAAACAAATTGAAATTAAAGCTGGGAATTGTGACTCTCACCTGTAATCCCGACACTTTGAAAGGCTGAGGTGGTAGGACTGGTTGACCTCAGAAGTTCAAGGCTATAGTGAGTTGTGATCATGCTACTGCACTCCAGCCAGCCTGGGCGACATAACAAGACCCTGTCTCAAAGGAGGGAAGGGAGAGAGACATTTTTCATCTATCAAATAAAACGAAATGGTACTGTGGGTAAAACACTGGTGCTATGAGAGATGAAATGTCAAAGTCTGCTAGTATGAGTATAAATTGATACTTGTTTGAAGGATAGAGTGGATTCATTATTCAGTCTTTAAATTGTTCATACATTTTCAATCAATTATCCCACTTCTTGAAACCTTATGCAAATAATCAAAGAAAAAAATTTAATGTGGAAAATAAGATATATAAAGGTAAAAAAACTTGAAAATAAACTGAATATGAGAATAGCTAAATACATTATGAACCTCTATAAAATGGAATATAATGTCATTCAAATCATAATTTTGAAGAATATTTAAGGCAAATTCTCAAGATATAATGTTAATGAAAGAACAGGATGAAAAACTACACTAAAAACAACGATGTATTTTTAAACTCTTCAGATACATATCAAACAAAAAAGACCAAAAAAAATGTTTTAATGGTTAACAGACATCAATTCTGGGTGTGGTAGTTTTAGTAGTTTTTAATTGCTTTTTACCCTCTTCAGTACATTTCAGGTTTCCTACAGAAAGCATCTATTACTTTTATTTATTATATTTAATAGCATAAAAAGATATTATAACATATCACATTGTTATGTATGAAGGGACTCTGGAATCTATTATACTGACTACACACTGATGATAAGTGCACCATTGGGTAATTCAAGACCAATTACTCTAAATTGCCAACACTGAGGCAAATACACAGGTTGATCTAATCATTGTGTTAAAATTGTATTTGAAATTGAGATAAGTGGTACAAATCACACATTTTCAGAACCACAATCTGTTAGCAAAACATTTTTTTAACATCAGAAAACATCTTGATGTTTATTTGGGTACAAGAATTAAAGGTGAAGTAAGAGAAGATAAAAAACAAGTTCAAAATCATTTAACTGCAATTACCCAATCTAGAATTTTGAAAATTCAATAGTAATTGGACCTTGATCTTTCATTAACAGTACTGAGTCTGGGACACTGAAATCACATCACTCTTCTAACTTTGGCATGTCATTTCTACAACTGATTTATCACCAAAGCAAATCTGACTCCAGCCATATCTAGAGCAACAGAAGTCTCACCTCTGAGGAACAGAAAAGCAGCCAGAACATCTGATGATCTCTTTTGATTACAGTTAATATTAGTGGTTAACTTAATGTCTTCTGGAGCTAACTTAAGTTTCTGAAAATCAGTGCCATTATAATCTTCCTCTGTCCTAATCCTAAAAATAGACAAAGATGGTTTCTAGATCTAAACATGTAAATCCTCTTTTACAGTTGTTTTAAAAACACCAATACATGGCAAAAGCCTGAGAAAGGGTTTTAATGAAGAACATGAAGAAAACGTTGGTGTGGAGACAACTGTATTAATGAATTCCACTTTACATTCAGTGATACTGAGAAAGGAAGAAGTTTCAAGGGTTAGGAAAAGGTTGATAGCCTTTAGACATTCACAATGATTCACTTTCCCAGCACTTTCTGAAAGAGAATCATGAACTGAGTAACAATCAATAAATACATGCAAAACTATCTTCACTTTATTCTCTTTCTGGTAAGAAGACTGACATCTATATAACCATGGATTTTGAGAAAACCATAATTTATCACTTTAGAAGGAAACATAAGAATAAGAGTAGAATTGAGGCTGGTCACAGTGGCTCACACCTGTAATCTAACACTTTGGGAGGCTAAGACAGATGGATGACTTGAGCCTAGGAGTTCGAGACTAGCCTGGCCAACATGGTGAAACCCCATCTCTACTAAAAATACAAAAATAGCCAGGCATGGTGGCCCATGCCTGTAATCTCAGCTACTCAGGAGGCTGAGGCAAGAGAATCCATTGAACCTGGGAGGCAGATCTTGCAGGGAGCCAAGATCGTGCCACTGCATTCTAGCCTGGGTGACAGAGCAAGACTCCGTCTCAAAAAAAAAAAAAAAAAAAAAAAAAAAAAATGTTATTTGAAGAGAAGTAAAAGGAAAATAGCAACTGGGAGAATAAACAGAATATAACTTACTGATATTTCCTCATTTTTTCACATAAAGAATATGTTGATAATCTTTCACCTCAAAGCAAATCCTAGTAAGAAATATATTTACTTTGACTGATTTTTGTAACTTCTAAAATTATGTAAAATGTAAAACACATTTTATAAGTTTTAGGAAATTTATATAAAAGGAGTCAGCATATCTACCAGTAAGTATGGTACCTGATTTTACTTGTGGTTACTTGTGATTTTCAGTAAATAAGTTTAATGAGACATATGAAAATGGTACTAAATAGAGATTTTCTCATTTTTGCAGGCTTTACTTTTGGTATTATATTATCTTTAAGAGAAAATATTTTTAGCAGGGAATAATATTACTAACATATATAACATTGTCAGGAATTGTTATAAAAAATAAAAATTCAACATTGGTTTAATGCAGTAAAATAGTGTACTTTTGATTACAGATTTTTAAAAATTGTTTCCCTAATGGAACAGAAAAAAAAGTAAAAAAGAAGCAGCATTAATTCAAGAAGAAATTAAGTATCTAACACCAAAAACATTTTGAGTCAAGACTTGACATAGTATTTACACCATAAACAGTCAAACCCTAGCATGGTGAATCTTCATACACACACAAAAACAGAAGAAAAAAAAAAAAAAAAGGTAACAATTCTCAGGGAAAGTTAATCACACAAAATAAGCATGTGAAGAAAAAGTGAGTTTATAATATGCTTTGTTATGTATACAACCAGCATTTGATGGTAAATTATCAGCCAAAAGAAAAAACATTTTTACAAACACTGTGAAAATGAGATTTATTATAGCTTAATTAAGTATAAAGAGTTATTTGTCAAAATACTAAGTAAAATCTGACTAAATCCATTATGTCATTTGCTTAAAACAATAATTTAAAATAGTATCTTTTCTGAATCCTTTTCTTTTTGTTCAAATTTTATTTAAAAAGGAAAGCAACCACTAACTCTGAAATCAGCAACTTGTATGTGTAGTAATAATCCTTGGCTATTTCTGTGTGCTATAAAGATGTGGGCCTGGGAATTTTCACTGGATTGAGGGTAGATTTTTATTTTCATTTACACATAAAAAATCATTGAGTTTGATTTAAGGAAACCTGTAACTGTTAGTATTTCTATTGACATGACATATATACTTCAAGGTTTCATTCTGTCCCTTGACAAACAATAAATAAAAATAAGATTATCATTCTATAAGTGGCTTTACACATTGTCATGACAAAAATAAAAGAACTAAAGATGAATGAGAAGGAAGAAGAGAAAATTAAGGAATGGAAAGAGAGAAGGAGAAAGAGAAAAAAAGCAAACATGAGCTTCATGTTCTTGAAGGAAAACTTGACTTTGGGATTAGATTTTTAGATATGGCAGTTACTGCCACAAAAGTACAGTCATCATTCTTAGGTAAGAAGAACTTATGAACACAAAGAAGAAAATTACAGGCACCGGGGTCTACTTGAGGCAGGGGTGGAAAGAGGGAGAAGAGCAGAAAAAATAACTATTGTATACTGAGCTTAATACCTGGGTGATGAAATAATATGTACGGCAAACCCCTATGACACGTGTTTACCTATCTAACAAACCTTCACGTGTATGCCCAAACCTAAAAGTTAAAAAAAAAAAAAAAGAAAGAACTGGAGTCAGACACAGTCTTGGGGAACAAATGACAATTTCTATGCAACTCAAAATTTCTGCTTGTTTTTTAAACTAAAATTGACCACCACTAAAGCCTAGGTAGCTTAACAGTGCTTGATCCACAGGAAACACTCATTAAATACACTTCTTGATTGACTGAGTGACTGAGGACTTTGAAAAATCAATATTTTATCTATGTTAGTATTTATATAATCACTTTTTAAACTCTGATCTGTGGAAATTAGTTGTGTCTGGGACTTACCCTGGGATAGTAACCATATAAAAGCAGTGACCATCTAGTGACTTATGGTAAAATAAACCCTTAAAAAAATGCATGTTCTTAACTTTAAAGAAATGTATAAAAATATATTTAATAATATTAATACCTCAATGAAACATTTGACAGATAAAGAATTTTAAAGATACATTTAAATTTTTTCTTATTCTATTTATCATCAGTGAAAACAAACCTCATTAACATTTTCTTTTAAATCAAGGTCAAAAAAGGCAGTGCCATAATTAATTTTTAGTGCCTCATGACTAGATCAGGTTTTTAGTTTTATTTAATTTAAAAATTATAATCACAGACCTCAGAAACTTCACAGCATTTCTCAAGGAGACTAAATTCTTCCAATATATAATTTTATGATTTCATCTTTTATTTCAGATTCAAGGGGTACATGTGCTTGTTTGTTAGGTGGGTTTATTGCATGATACTGAGGTTTGGGTTATGAATGACCCTGTTAGCCAGGTACTGAGCATAGTACCTAATACGTAGATTTTCAGCCCTTTCCCCCTTCCTCTCTCCCCGTTCTACTAGTCTCCAGCTTCTGTTGTTGCCATCTTTATGTCCACGTGTACCCAATATTCAGCATTTACTTATAAGTGAAAACGTGGTATTTGCTTTTCTGTTCCTATGTTTATTTGCTTAAGATAATGGCCTTCTGTTGCATCCATGTTGCTGCAAAGGACATAATTTTATTCTTTTTATGGCTCTGTAGTATTTCATGGTATATATGTACCACATTTTGTTTACCCAGTCCACCATTGATGAGAACCTAGGTTGATTCCCTGTCTTTGCTATTGTGTATAGTGATGCAATGAACATAAGAGTACATGTGTCTTTTGGTAGAACAATTCATTTTCCTTTGAGTATATACACAATAATGGTATTGCTGAGTTTAATGGTAGTTCTGCTTTATGTTCTTTGAGAAATCTCCAAACTGCTTTCCACAGTGAATAAACTCATTTACATTTTCACCAACAGTATATAAGAATTACCTTTTCTCTTCAGCCTTGCTAGCAAGTTATTTTTTGACTTTTTAGTAATAGCTGTTCTAACTGGTGTGATATGATATGTCATTGTGGTTTTGATTTGCATTTCTCTGATTAGTGATGTTGAGCATTTTTTCATATGCTTGTTGGCTGCTTGCTTGTCTTCTTTTGAGAAGTGTCTGTTCATGTCTTTTGCCCACTTTTAATTAGGTTTTTTTTGGCTTGTTCAATTGTTGCTTATAGACTGTGGATATTAGAATTTTGTTGGATGCATAGTTTGCAAGTATTTTCTTCCATTCTGTAGGTTGTCTGTTTACTCTGTTTATCGTGGTTTTTTTTTTTTGCTTTTTTCTTTTTTTTTTTTTTTTTGCTGTGCAGAAGCTATTTCATTTCATTAGGCCTCATTTGTCAATTTTTATTTTTGTTGCAATTGCTTTTGAGGAGTTAGTCATGATTTCTTTCCTGGGTTGATATACAGAATGGTATTTTCTAGGTTTTCTTCTAGGATTCTTATAGTGTGTGGTCTTACATTTAAACCTTTAATCCAACTTGAGTTAATTTTTGTTTATGGTGAAAGGTAGGGGTCCTGTTTGCATATTCTGCATCTGGCTAGCCAGTTATCCCAGCACCATTTATTGAATAGAGAGTCGTTTCCCCATTGCTTATTTTTGTCAACTTCATCAAAGATCAGATGGCTGTAAGTGTGTTATGTTATTTCTGGGTTCTGTATTCTGTTCCATTGATATATCTATTTTTTTCTTTCCTTTTTTTTTTTTACCTTGGCTAAATCCATTTATTTATTTATTTATTATACTTTAAGTTTTAGGGTACATGTGCACAATGTGCAGGTTAGTAACATGTGTATACATGTGACATGGTGGTGCGCTGCACCCACTAACTCGTCATCTAGCATTAGGTTTATCTCCCAATGCTATCCCTCCCCCCTCCCCCCATCCCACAACAGTCCCCAGAGTGTGATATTCCCCTTCCTGTGTCCATGTGTTCTCATTGTTCAATTCCCACCTATGAGTGAGAATATGCAGTGTTTGGTTTTTTGTTCTTGTGATGGTTTACTGAGAATGATGATTTCCAATTTCATCCAGGTCCCTACAAAGGACATGAACTCATCATTTTTTATGGCTGCATAGTATTCCATGGTGTATATGTGCTACATTTTCTTAATCCAGTCTATCATTGTGAGACAGGGTCTCACTGTGTTGCCCAGGCTGGAGTATAGTGGCACAATCTCAGCTTACTGCATTCTAACCTCCTGGTTCAAGCATCCTCCCACCTCAGCCTCCCAAAGTAGCTAGGACCATAGGCATGCATCGCCACACCTAGCTAATTTTATTTTTTATAGAGATAAGTTCTCCTTATGTTGTCCAGGCTGGTCTCAAACTCCTGGGCTCAAGTGATCCTCCCGCCTCAGCCTCCCAAAGTGCTAGAATTACAGGTATGAGCCATCACACCTGGCTAATCTATTTTTCTATATAATTTTTGTAATCTATTTTTAATATATTTTAAAACTTACATACTAATTATGAAAGTATTTTTAGAATTTAATCAAATTGTTAAAATCATTTTATAATATATTGGCATTTACCTTAAACATATTTTTGCCTTCACACAGAAAAGTGGTAACTAATATTTTTATCCACTGCTTAAGTTTGTAATTAGCTGCAAATCAAGTAATGTGGCAAATAACAAGCAATGATTAGTATGAAACTGAAATAATTAAGTAATTCCAAAATATGTTTTTTAACCACTGGGTTTTCTCACTCTTCAATTTTCCAATCAGGTATTTAATTGGAGCTATTAAATATTTTCAAGTCTATTTTTACTTCATTTTCCATATTTCTCTCTCAGATCTCTAGTAGAGATAAGAGAAGAAAAATGACCGCTAAGCATCAAGGAGACTAGACATCAACTGACAACTGTGAGAGCCAACTACACATGAGGCACTATCCTAGGCCATTTTGAATTTGATAAATTTAGCAATCTTTAAATGATTGATGATGGCAAGAGATTTCTACCTTTTCATTTTTCTAAATTAAAACATTTGAAAGCAACAACCATCTAATCTCAAAATCATTTCATGTTTAAAATAAAGATACTTTGACAACAAAAAAATGTTAAAAATTATCTCAGAATCAGTTACAATCCTTTAAATTCTGCATCTTCAGGTTTATGGAAGACAATGGTTTTACTTTTCTCATTTGGCTGAAGCCTAGAACAAATTTTATCACAGTTCAGTGTTTATCTATGGATCTGTTCTTAGGAAAACCTGGTTTGTGAGTTTGTGGAATGAAAAGATGAATAATACACAGTAGCTGCCTTTAATAAATTTAGGATCTAGGAGAGAGATAAGAGTAGTGTACAAAAAATTAAAATGGACACAGCAGTTGCACATAATAAAAACTGCAAAAAAGGCATAATTTGCATAGTTATTATGTATTAAGTCATTCCAGTTGCTTGTCATGAACCCTATGGTAGATACTGTTACTGTTCTCATTTCAGATGAGGATACTAAGGCTGGGAAAAGGTATGTAATTTATTCTAAGTGACAGTTTCTAAGTGATGAGCTGGGATTCTCACATATATCAATTTGACACTAAAATTCTCTGTTACTGGAAGAATTCAAGCAGAACCTATAGAATTTGATTTGTGGAAGAAGTTTCAAGTAGATGATCCCTAACCTTTCTCCTCCATTTGTAGCAGGCTATGTTCTCACAGGAGGTTGAAAACTAAAAAGAGGATGCTCGACCAAGAATTCAGAGAGGGGTGTGTGTGTGCATGCATGCATATGCAGGCAAGCACGTTCCTGTGTGTGGAGTGGGGGGATGGTTGTTGTCCATATAGAGGGCAGAGTTGCAGCAAGCTGTCTTGAATGAGACTTTTCACTGTACAACGTGGAAAGAAAAGAGTAGATATTTTAGAGCCAAACCTTGTGGAATATTTCCATTTGGGGAACAGCAAGATAATATTGTTAAAGCAAATAGAAAAGGAGTAATCAAAGTAATAGAAGAGATAATATTTATGGATAAACCACCCACAATGAAGCATAGGCAACTGTACATGTATTGAAACATTTGTCATCCCTCTTCAACTAAGACATATTTCCATATCATTATAAACTGAAGTCATATCACTCTAAATTTCCAGTGAAAGGCTTTTGTAGAATTATAAAATCATAAATCAGAGTGGATCTCAGATTCTGTTCCTTTTAAGGCTTAGAGATTTTAGAAATAAATTGTTAGGAAATTTTAAATCCTTTAGAAAGAAGAAGTTGGGAAATTTTAAATCCTTTCTTTTTCTTTTCACATGAGAACCCTGAACTTGCACAATAGAAACATCCTGTCCTTTGAATTTGATTGTCTTTATTTTTTAGTCAATTTGAGGATAAGCTTCAGAGTGTTTTATATTCTCTGAAAAAAAATGTGTCTGCTTCTGAAGCACGTTTCCTATTGAATATCTTTATAACTCATCATTAAATTTTCAATCTTCTATTCATTTTCAACCTATCTAATTTTCCCAAGCCTTTTGATCATGAATGTGAATTACTAGACTTCTAAAAGTAATTATATAATTTATCCAAATATAAGTTGAAAGGCTTAGAGTTTATTTAGTCTCTCGGTGGTATCAAGGATTAATGAAAGCCCCCAAGAAAAAGCAAAGGAAATGACATAATTTCAGTATTAGTTTGAGCTCAATATCTCCATATTAAAAAGGAAGAACATCTGAAAACTTTTTCTTGGCAAATCTAAATATTGCTAGGAAAGAGTTCTCAGAACCAGTGATCCAGAGTTTATCAGATCTGAAGGATTTCTCAGACAGAGCCTAAGATGCTGACTAGTGACCATTTCTAAATTATAGAAAAACAAAAACTTAGATATCATAATTAATACATTTTTGAGAAAAAGTTAGTTGTAATTTTTCTCAAGGTAACACTGTTACCTGAGTTAATATATATAACAGCAATGCCTCTTTGATCCAAAACCCTGCGGGAAAGTGGTACTGCACCAAAGCAGTGTCCAGCTAACCGAAGCTTACTCCTTTAGGCAAGATGCTATTTGAGTCATTCTTATTAGAAATCTTTTAATACCTTCATTGATACCCACCTTATTAAACAGAAAACACTGCTCTTCATCTTTTCTTCATGATTTGAACACTCTTACTATGATCCTCAGTTATTGTCAGGAGAGATGCACAAAAAATAGTGCATGTGCAGCACATGATATAGAAGTACCTCAGAAGCTACTAGGGAATGGTGAGTCATCTGCCTTCAGCTGAGTAGTTTTTATACTTCCTCTGATTCCACTGTCAGCCCTGACAGTGTCTACTGCTGTATCTCTGTCCTTTCTATTTTCAATTATTTTTATTACTGTGTCTAGAATTCTGAAAGAATCATAAGAAGGCCTATTGAAAACTTAAAATGAGTAGTGTGTGTGTGTGTGTGTGTGTGTGTGTGCGCGCGCGCGTGTGTTATTTTTTATTTATTTATTTATTTTGAGATGGAGTCTCGCTCTGTTGCACAGTCCGGAGTGCACTGGCGTGATCTCAGCTCACTGCAACCTCCACCTCCCGGGTTCAAGCAATTCTCCTGCCTCAGCCTCCGGAGAAGCTGGGGCCACAGGTGTGTGCCACCATGCCCAGCTAATTTTTGTATTTTTACTAGAGACAGTGTCTCACCATGTTGGCCAGGCCGGTCTCGAACACCTGACCTCAGGTGATCCACTCACCTCGGCCTCCAAAAGTGCTAAGATTACAGGTGTGAGCCACCATACCCAGCCATGTATAATTTTTTTTACTATATGATAGGTTATCAATAAAGATGTCTTTTGTTTATTCCTGGGATTAAATCTTGTTCCAAAGAAACAGCAGTCCAAACTCCAAGTAAGTAATAATTGTAGTTTTTTGTTTTCATTGCATTGCATAACTTCCCTATTACCATTTTTGTCACTGAAACCTGTCAAACAGAGACAATGAGGAGTGTGCTGAGAGCAGTGGCTTACTATGGCCTCACTTGGAGGTCAAGGCACTGGGGTTACAGGCATGAGCTACTGCACTCAGGAAGATTGCTTAAGGCCAGGAATTTGAGACCAGCCTGGGATCCTGTCTCTACAAAAAAAAAAAAAAAAAAAAAAATTTAAACATTGACAATAATTAGTCAGGCATGGTGGCACAAACCTGTAGTCCTAGCTACTTGGGAGGCTGTGGCAGGAGGGTCACTTGAGCCCAGGAGTTCATGGTGACAGTGAGCTATGATCATGCTACTGCACTTCAGCCTATGTGACAGAACAAGACCCTGTCTCAAAAACAAAAAAAGGTGAAACATCAATCAAAATTATACCATATGGTTAGATAAGCAGAATTACCTTTCATGAACAACTTTTTTTAATATACTTTAAGTTCTGGGATACAAGTGCCGAACGTGCAGGTTTGTTACACAGGTATACACGTGCCATGGTGGTTTGCTGCACCCATTAACCCATCAACTATGTTAGGTATTTCTCCTAATGTTATCCCTCCCCTAGCCCCCCAACCACTGAGAGGTCCTGGTGTGTGACATTCCTCTCCCTGTGTCCATGTGTTCTCATTGTTCAACTCCCACTTATGAGTAAGAACATGCAGTGTTTGGTTTTCTATTCCTGTGTTAGTTTACTGAGAATGATGGCATCCAGCTTCATCCATGTCCCTGCAAAGGACATGAATTCATCCTTTTTTATGGTTGCATAGTATTCCATGGTGTCTATGTGCCACATTTTCTTCATGCAGTCTATCACTGATGGGCATTAGGGTTGGTTCCAAATCGGTGCTATTGTGAACATTACTGCAGTAAACATATGTGTGCATGTGTCTTTATAGTAGAATGATTTATAATCCTTTGGGTACATACTCAGTAATGGTGTTTCTGGGTCAAATGGTATTTCTGATTCTAGATCCTGAAGGAATCACCACACTGTCATCCACAATGGTTGAACTAATTTACACTCCCACCAACAGCGTAAAAGTGTTCCTATTTCTCCACATACTCTCCAGCATCTGTTGTTCCTAACTTTTTAATGGTCACCATTCTAACTGGCATGAGAGGGTATCTCATTGTGGTTTTGATTTGCATTTCTCCAATGACCAGTGATGATGAGCTTTTTTTCATTTTTCTTGGCCACATAAATGTCTTCTTCTGAGAAGTGTCTGTTCATATGCTTTGCCCACTTTTTGATGGTTTTTTTTTTCCCTGTAAATTTGTTTAAGTCCCTTGTAGATTCTAGATATTAGCCCTTTGTCAGATGGATAGATTGTAAAAACTTTCTCCCATTCTGTAGGTTGCCTGTTCACTCTGATGATAGTTTCTTTTGCTGTGCAGAAGCTCTTTAGTTTAATTATATCTCATTTGTCAATTTTGGCTTTTGTTACCATTGCTTTTGGTGTTTTAGTCATAAAGTCTGCCCATGCCTATGTCCTAAATTGTACAGCCTAGGTTTTCTTCTAGGGTTTTTATGGTTTTAGGTTTTATGTTTATGTTTTTAATCCATCTTAAATTAATTTTTGTATAAGTTGTAAGGGAGGGATCCTGTTTCAGTTTTCTGCATATGACTAGCCAGTTTTCCCAATACCATTTATTAAGTAGGGAATCTTTTCCCCATTGCTAGTTTTTGTCAGGTTTGTCAAAGATCAGATGGTTGCAGATGTGTGGCATTATTTCTGAGGCCTCTGTTCTGTTCCATCGGTCTATATATTTGTTTTGGTACCAGGCTATTTTGGTGACTGTAGCCTTGTAGTATAGTTTGAAGTCAGGTAGTGTGATGCCTCCAGCTTTGTTCTTTTTGCTTAGCATTGTCTTGGATAGACTGGCTCTTTTTTGGTTCCATATGAAGTTTAAAGTAGTTTTCTCTAATTCTGTAAAGAAAGTCAATGGTAGCTTGATGGGGATAGCATTGAATCTATAAATTACTTTGGGCAATATGGCCATTTTCACGATATTGATTCTTCCTATCCATGAGCATGGAATAAGTAGGCAATCTTTTCCCCATTGCTTGTTTTTGTCAGGTTTTGATGGGCAGTATTTTATGAGGATTTTTGCATTGATGTTCCTCAGGTATATTGACCTGAAATTTTCTTGTTGTTGTTTTTCCATTTGATTGTGTCCTCTCTTATTTTCTTGAGCAGTGGTTTGTAGTTCTCCTTGAAGAGGTCCCTTACATCCATTGTAAGTTGTATTCCTAGGTATTTTATTATCTTTGTTGCAATTGTGAATGAGAGTTCACTCATGATTTGGTTCTCTATTATTGGTATATAGAAATGTTTGTTATATTTGCAAATTGATTTTGTATTCTGAGAATTTTTCGAAGTTGCTTATCAGCTTAAGGAGATTTGGGGCTGAGACGATGGGGTTTTCTAAATATACAATCATGTCATCTGCAAACAGAGAAAATTTGACTTCCTCTCTTCCTATTTTAATACGCTTTCTTTCTCTTGCCTGATTGCCCTGGCCGGAACTTCCAATACCATGTTGAATAGGAGTGGTGAGAGAGGGCATCTTTGTCTTGTGCCAATTTTCAAAGGGAAAGTTTCCAGCTTTTGCCCATTCAGTATGATATTGGCTGTGGGTTTATCATAAATAGCTTTATTTTGAGATACGTTTCATCAATACTTAGTTGTTGAGAGTTTTTAGCATGAAAGGCTGTTTAATTTTATCTGAGGTCTTTTCTGAATCTATTGAGATAATTATGTAGTTTTGTCATTGGTTCTGTTTATGTGATGGATTACGTTTATTGATTTGTGTATGTTGAACCAACTTTGCATCCTAGGGATGAAGCTGACTTGATCGTGGTGGATAAGCTTTTTGATATACTGTTGCATTCGGTTTGCCAGTATTTTATTGAGGATTTTTGCATTGATGTTCCTCAGGTATATAGACCTGAAATTTTCTTTTTGTTGTTGTTGTTGTTGTGTCTCTGCTAGGTTTTGGCATGAGGATGATGCTGGCCTCATAAAATGAGTTAGTGAGAATTCCCTGTTTTTCTATTGTTTGGAATAGTTTCAGAAGGAATGGTACCAGCTCCTCTTTGTACCTCTGTTAGAATTCGGGTGTGAGTCCATCTGGTCCCGGGTTTTTTTTGGTTCGTAGGCTATTAACTACTGCCTCAATTTCAGAACTTGTTATTGGTCTATTCAGGGATTTGACTTCTTCCTGGTTTAGTCTTGGGAAGGTATATGTGTAAAGGAATTTATCCATTTCTTCTAAATTATGATGGACTTTTCCTTTCCATTTTGTTCATTTTTGTGTAGTTGATATTTTTAGTGATTATATTTATCCTTCTCTAGAGATAAAATTATATTACATACTAAATATCCTTTTTTAAAACTTGTATTCAAATATGTCCCTCTAGGAACACTGAGAGTCACTGATCTAGTTTTTCAACTGGAAATCAGAAAGTTTTATTATTAAATAGACCCACATATTTGTTAATTTAAAATCACTGAACATTACCATAGAATGCTCAGGGAGAAATCTAAGACTATAAGATATACACAATTGGCTGGGTGCTGTAGCTCACGCCTGTAATCCCAGCACTTTGGGAGGCCAAGGTGGGTAGATCACGAGGTCAGGGCCAGCCTGACCAACATGGTGAAACCCTGTCTCTACTAAAAATACAAAAATTAGCCGGGTGTGGTGGCACACACCTGTAATACCAGCTACTCAGGAGGCTGAGGCAGGAGAATCGCTTGAACCCAGGAGGTGGAGGTTGCAGTGAGTTGAGATCATACCACTGCACTCCAGCCTGGGTGACAGCAAGACTCTGTCTGAAAAAAAAAAAATAAAAAATACACACAAGTGAATTCTTAGAGAATTAGTGGCTGATTTTTCAAAATGATTAATGGTATTAGAAGGCTTCTTGTCTTTAGCAAGTATAATAATCACATGAACTCTGCTTCAGTGTGCTTTGGAGTGACAGAATATCTATCCCTTACCCCTGCCCAAGCCCTGCCTCAGGGATGGAAGTTGGTAATAGGCTGTGCCTTACATAGAGTGTGAGGATATTGAAGAGCTGCCAATTTTAAAAGCTAAAAATATTAGTTTGCTTGTTAAAATGTACATGGCCTTTTAATAGCTTTATCAAAATAGCTACATCAAAATATTTCAATGAAAGTGTCCAGTACCTATCCAGACAGTGCATGCTGAACACTGCACACATGCTTGAGCACATAGTAGTGCTCAATAAATGGTGACTGTCAGTATCATTTATCTTCACTACAACCATTCTAGATTCCTAGTGCTGGCAAAAAATTCAGCTAACATTTGCTAAGGACCTACTCTGTCCCTAGGACTGGCCCAGCATCTACGAGGACAGAGAGGAGCTATCAGCTCCAGCAGTAGCTTTCCTTATTTTTCTGGAGCTTTCCCAGGAGCTGACCCAGCAACATAAAAACTCTGCCAAGGCTGGCATGGGGAATGCAAGAACTGGCCTGGAATGTTTTATTTGAACTCCAACTGATTTATTATTGCGTTTTTATTTATGCTCACAGCTGTGGCTATAGTGAGTATTATTTTTAGAAGCTGAAAAACACAAGTAAGGGGAAAGAAAAGGTGCTTTTCCCTACTGAATTCTTTAACATTTGAAAAACAATAAATTGTAAAATTCAGGGGGACATTTAGAGAAAATGGTAAAAACAGAAATTATTTTAAGATATTTTTGTGCTTCCAATGCATTTGGAAAATAGTTTTGAAAAAAGTAATGAAAAATGCAATGCATAGATCCAGGGAGGGCAGGGATTAAAAGCTAAAACATCAGTGTCCGATGCCCCCAATATTCCTACAAAACCAGACACTTGGTTCATACAGTTATAGAATTTTATATTCATAAAAATGATCCAGGAATATTCATATATTTATTTAAGATGAGAAATACTTTACATTATACATGGGGACCTAGTTTGTTATGGAGGAAAAATAAAATGTGCTTTCAGTCTAACTAAAATTCTCTCTAAATCTAAAGTTTGAATATACCTCAAGTAATGAGATCTTCAGAATATTCCTATAATTGAAGGTCAGGGAAAATTATACAGTTATAGTCTGTATTTAAAACTTTATGCTGAATACAAATCTACAGTGTTTTTTAGAATTCTTGAGACTGGAGAAAAGCCTTGGTTAGGTATCATCACACAGCAGGAAAGTCAGAGACCTCAAGAAAAGCAAAACTGACAGTTCAGATTTCAAAAACATACCTAGGTTAATGATTAACTGTCCAGAATTGTGGTCAAGTTAAAGTTTACAGAAGAGGCAGGGATGGATCTAGATTTTTGTGAGATACTGAAGTTTATATAATTGAGAGTAGAGGAGTCCTCTTTAAGAAAAAGAAATAGGCCGGGCGCAATGGCTCATGCCTGTAATCCTAGCACTTTGGGAGGCCGAGGTGGGCAGATTGTCTGAGCTCAGGAATTTGAGACCAGCCTGAGCAACACAGTGAAACCCCATCTCTACTAAAATACAAAAGAAATTAGCTGGGAGTGGTGGCATGCGCCTGTAGTCCCAGCTACTTGGGAGGCTGAGGCAGGAGAATTGCTTGAACCCGGGAGGCAGAGGTTGGTTGCGGTGAGCCAAGATCACATCACTGCACTCCAGCCTGGGCAACAGAGAGAGACTCTCTGTCTCTACAAAAAAAAAGAAAAAAAAAGGAAAAGAAAAGAAAAAGAAATAAAAATTACAAACACAAAATTAGATCCATATGAGTTAGCTATTATGCTAAATGCTGGGGATACTAAAGTTAACAAGACAGGTAAGGCCTCTGTCTTTGTGGGGCTTCATTTGAGTTGAGGGTGAGAGATTACAAATGAGTAAGAAAAAGGTACAGCAAAACGCAGTAATTTCAGCTAGTGTTAATATCTCTTAAGAACATAAAACAGGAGAATGGAATAAGGGGCATTCATTTATTAAATTAACTTCTCTGATATATCATTGTAAAACATGCAAGGGTGAAGGAAATGTCATCATGACCCTCAAGAAGCTTATCTAGTCAAACAAATAAAATATTCTACAATGCATGGAAGGCAAGCAGCATCAAATATGGAATGGAAAGTAGAAGAAAAAAAGGCTGGGATGTTCAAAGGAAGGAGGAAGAACAAGGAAGGTTACCTGAAGAAGGAGTTGCTATTTCAGCTGTGCTTTAAAAGATGGACAGATTTTACCCAGACAACTATAGGAGTAGAAGAAGCAGTACATCCCATGTGAGTATCTGAAATGCTAAAGTTTAAATACTCAAAGTTCAGTGAGATAACATCCCTGTTTAGAATTCACATTTGAGCATCTTTAAATGTCCAGCAAAATATTTTAACTTTTTTATTTTTTCTAGTGTCATCTATATATTTCACATAGCTATGGTACTTTCTTGAGAAAACTTAGTTGATGTGCAAGTTAGAGTTCTGTTAATATATATCAGTATTATTTTTCATTAACTGTGACATAGTTACAGCAGCTTACTAATTAATGTGCAGTTTATTAACACATTGAAACTGTTTCCACTAATAGCAAAAACTCACTTGCATTGCTAAATAGCATTAATGTTATTTATTGTTGAGAGCATCTTAAAGATTTGAGCTGCAAGGATAGTTGTCTGCAAACCAAAATAATTTGAAGACAGAGTTGACATACATTTTAAATTTTATTAAAACATTTTAAATGGAAATAAAATTACTTTAAAAACAAATAAAAGATTAGGCAGCTATAAACCTACTCTAGAAGCCAGTGGCAAACTTCAAGTTCCCATTCGAAGACAGCAAGCTTTCTCTTGTTGTTTTCTTCTCAAACCTAATCCTTTTCAGTTATTTGGTTGTGGTGGTGGCAGTGGTGGTGGTAATAATGGTGGTGGTGGTGATGGCTCTAGCCATCTTCAGCGCCTGTCATAATGTGAGCTGCCTTGGGAATGAGGTGTGTCTGACCTTGGCAATATCAGCCAGGGAGAAAGAGGATTTCACCAGAACCAGGTAACAGATCATTAGGAAACAATATATAGACATTATATCCAGAGCATGGTACATAAAGCTCATAGGAGGGTGAGACCTCAAGGTCTCTTGATTGCCATTGAGAGACAATCTTGCAGGTTTATCACAATCCAAGGAAATTCTGCTCTTATGGGGATGCAGTGCCTGCTCTTTAGGAAGCAATAATTAAGTAAAAACTTCTACTTGTTATTTACTATTAGCAATCAAACTGCTGATATACTTCCTGCTCAGAAACTGAAGAATTCTTGGTCTTTCAGTGGGGACAGAAAGATATTACTATGTAAATATGAAGGGAAAGGCTGGAGCTGATGGCCAGAAATTTAGACACTGTCTTAGAGATGTCTCATCTGTTTTTCAGTTGCAAGGGTAAAGTTACTTTAAATCACTTCTCATCAAAACCATGGTCACAGGCTTGCCAATGAGATAACTTTCTTTCTCACATAGAGTACAATTTTAACTAAGATAATTGCTTCTCCAGATTAATACCAAAGATAAATACTACCCCAAGAAGGAAAACTGCAAAAGAGAGTTCTCAGAAGAAAGGGAGTAAGGTTAGAATCCCATTTTAATCATCTTTTCTTGCATTCACGGAAAATCATTTGCAAGGCATCACTTTGGTGGTCACTAAGGGAATGCAACAGAAGAGTGCCTGTAGTTTGGTTAAGAAAAGCAACATTCAGCAGCCTGCCACTCTCCACTCTGAGAGCCAACTCTGACTCTGGTACTCCTGGACTCTCCATCCTGCTCCTGTTGTAATCACCTTCCTTGCCCAAACCTCAGCCTATATTCAATACCTGAATCTCCTGTGTGACTGCCCCCAGAATCCCTACTAATACTCTCTGCCCATTTCTCCATTTCTGGAGACATCTTGGTACTTCATATTGAGCTCTTTGTTGACAACTGTTTGCAGAAGTCTGACTCTGTTGCAGCCTCCAATGGGTGCAATTTTAAGTTCTAATCCAGCCAACTTCTGTCAATCCCAAGACACAACACCCTGTCAATAAACCCTAACCATTGCCTCACCTTTTCCATGAAAAGAGAATGCCTTGTACATCCTAGGAAGCTCATAGTCCTGGGGCATAGCAACCCAAACTAAAAATAAAGAAAGCATTTAATCGGGTTGGGCGCAGTGGCTCACGCCTGTAATCTCAGCACTATGGGAGGCTGAGGTGGGTGGATCACGAGGTTAGGAGATCGAGACCATCCTGGCTAACACGGTGAAACCCTTGTCTACTAAAAATACAAAAAATTCGCCGGACATGGTGGCGGGCACCTGTAGTCCCAGCTACTTGGGAGGCTGAGGCAGAAAAATGGCATGAACCCGGGAGGCAGAGTTTGCAGTGAGCCGAGATTGCGCCACTGCACTCCAGCCTGGGTGATAGAGAGAGACTCCATCTCAAAAAAAAAAAAAAAAAAAAAAAAAGCATTTAATCAAAAGTAAGAAAGGGGATGTGTCTGTTTTCTATCCTGCATGTAACTGATGAGATCATGCCCAAGATACTCTCAGTATTCTTAAAGAGAATCTGAAATAAGCTAATAAAAACAAAAATGTGTCCAAACATGAAGAGAGTGGTTGATGAAGAAAAACCTTGAAAATATTAAATATCTCAGAAAAGACATAAGGAAAGAAGTGTCAATGAGCATTTAAAAATGTAAACTAAGCAAACAAGTGTTTAGTGAAATAAAACAACCAAAAGAAATATAATTGAATTAAGAAAAACATACCATTAAAAAAGTAATAGAAGTAACGGTGAGTTGGATATCAATAATTAACTTTCAAAGGAAAGTTAATTGGGGGGAAGGAGCCAAGATGGCCGAATAGGAACAGCTCCGGTCTACAGCTCCCAGCGTGAGCGACACAGAAGACGGGTGATTTCTGCATTTCCATCTGAGGTACCGGGTTCATCTCACTAGGGAGTGCCAGACAGTGGGTGCAGGTCAGTGGGTGAGTGCACCGTGCGCGAGCTGAAGCAGGGTGAGGCATTGCCTCACTTGGGAACTGCAAAGGGTCAGGGAGTTCCCTTTCTGAGTCAAAGAAAGGGGTGACGGACGGCACCTGGAAAACTGGGTCACTCCCACCCGAATACTGCGCTTTTCTAATGGGCTTAAAAAAAGGTGCACCACGAGATTATGTCCCGCACCTGGCTCGAAGGGTCCTAGGCCCACAGAGTCTCCCTGACTGCTAGCACAGCAGTCTGAGATCAAACTGCAAGGCGGCAGCGAGGCTGGGGGAGGGGCACCCACCATTGCCCAGGCTTGATTAGGTAAACAAAGCAGCTGGGAAGCTCGAACTGGGTGGAGCCCACCACAGCTCCAGGAGGCCTGCCTGCCTCTGTAGACTCCACCTCTGGGGGAAGGGCACAGACAACAAAAAGACAGCAGTAACCTCTGCAGACTTAAATGTCCCTGTCTGACAGCTTTGAAGAGAGCAGTGGTTCTCCCAGCACGCAGCTGGAGATATGAGAACGGGCAGACTGCCTCCTCAAGTGGGTCCCTGACCCATGACCCCCGAGCAGCCTAACTGGGAGGCACCCCCCAGCAGGGGCACACTGACACCTCACACGGCAGAGTACTCCAACAGACCTGCAGCTGAGGGTCCTCTCTGTTAGAAGGAAAACTAACAAACAGAAAGGACATCCACACCAAAAACCCATCTGTACATCACCATCATCAAAGACCAAAAGTAGATAAAACCACAAAGATGGGGAAAAAACAGAGCAGAAAAACTGGAAACTCTAAAAAGCAGAGTGCCTCTCCTCCTCCAAAGGAACGCAGTTCCTCACCAGCAATGGAACAAAGCTGGATGGAGAATGACTTTGAGGAGCTGAGAGAAGAAGGCTTCAGACGATCAAATTACTCTGAGCTACGGGAGAACATTCAAACCAAAAGCAAAGAAGTTGAAAACTTTGAAAAAAATTTAAAAGAATGTATGACTAGAATAACCAATACAGAGAAGTGCTTAAAGGAGCTGATGGAGCTGAAAACCAAGGCTCGAGAACTACGTGAAGAATGCAGAAGCCTCAGGAGCCAATGTGATCAACTGGAAGAAAGGGTATCAGTGATGGAAGATGAAATGAATGAAATGAAGCAAGAAGGGAATTTTAGAGAAAAAATAATAAAAAGAAATGAGCAAAGCCTCCAAGAAATATGGGACTACGTGAAAAGACCAAATCTACATCTGATTGGTGTACCTGAAAGTGATGGGGAGAATGGAACCAAGTTGAAAAACACTCTGCAGGATATTATCCAGGAGAACTTCCCCAATCTAGCAAGGCAGGCCAACGTTCAGATTCAGGAAATACAGAGAACGCCACAAAGATACTCCTCGAGAAGAGCAACTCCAAGACACATAATTGTCACATTCACCAAAGTTGAAATGAAGGAAAAAATGTTAAGGGCAGCCAGAGAGAAAGGTCGGGTTACCCTCAAAGGGAAGCCCATCAGACTAACAGCGGATCTCTCCGCAGAAACCCTACAAGCCAGAAGAGAGTGGGGGCCAATATTCAACATTCTTAAAGAAAAGAATTTTCAACCCAGAATTTCATATCCAGCCAAACTAAGCTTCATAAGTGAAGGAGAAATAAAATACTTTACAGACAAGCAAATGCTGAGAGATTTTGTCACCACCAGGCCTGCCTTACAAGAGATCCTGAAGGAAGCACTAAACATGGAAAGGAACAACCAGCACCAGCCGCTGCAAAATCATGCCAAAATGTAAAGACCATCGAGACTAGGAAGAAACTGCATCAACTAACGAGCAAAATAACCAGCTAACATCATGATGACAGTATCAAATTCACACATATCAATGTTAACTTTAAATGTAAATGGACTAAATGCTCCAATTAAAAGACACAGACTGGCAAATTGGATAAAGAGTCAAGACCTATCAGTGTGCTGTATTCAGGAAACCCATCTCACGTGCAGAGACACACATAGGCTCAAAATAAAGGGATGGAGGAAGATCTACCAAGCAAATGGAAAACAAAAAAAGGCAGGGGTTGCAATCCTAGTCTCTGATAAAACAGACTTTAAACCAACAAAGATCAAAAGAGACAAAGAAGGCCATTACATAATGGTAAAGGGATCAATTCAACAAGAAGAGCTAACTATCCTAAATATATATGCACCCAATACAGGAGCACCCAGATTCATAAAGCAAGTCCTGAGTGACCTACAAGGAGACTTAGACTCCCACACATTAATAATGGGAGACTTTAACACCCCACTGTCAACATTAGACAGATCAATGAGACAGAAAGTCAACAAGGATACCCAGGAATTGAACTCAGCTCTGCACCAAGCAGACCTAATAGACATCTACAGAACTCTCCATCCCAAATCAATAGAATATACATTTTTCAGCACCACACCACACCTATTCCAAAATTGATGACATACTGGGAAATAAAGCTCTCCTCAGCAAATGTAAAAGAACAGAAATTATAACAAACCATCTCTCAGACCACAGTGCAATCAAACTAGAACTCAGGATTAAGAATCTCACTCAAAACCGCTCAACTACATGGAAACTGAACAACCTGCTCCTGAATGGCTACTGGGTACATAAAGAAATGAAGGCAGAAATAAAGATGTTCTTTGAAACCAACGAGAACAAAGACACAACATACCAGAATCTCTGGGACGCATTCAAAGCAGTGTGTAGAGGGAAATTTATAGCACTAAATGCCCACAAGAGAAAGCAGGAAAAATCCAAAATGGACACCCTAACATCACAATTAAAAGAACTAGAAAAGCAAGAGCAAACACATTCAAAAGCTAGCAGAAGGCAAGAAATAACTAAAATCAGAGCAGAACTGAAGGAAATAGAGACACAAAAAACCCTTCAAAAAATTAATGAATCCAGGAGCTGGTTTTTTGAAAGGATCAACAAAATTGATAGACCACTAGCAAGACTAATAAAGAAAAAAAGAGAGAAGAATCAAATAGACGCAATAAAAAATGATAAAGGGGATATCACCAGGGATCCCACAGAAATACAAACTACCATCAGGGAATACTACAAACACCTCTACGCAAATAAACTAGAAAATCTAGAAGAAATGGATAAATTCCTGGACACATACACTCTCCCAAGACTAAATCAGGAAGAAGTTGAATCTCTGAATAGACCAATAACAGGAGCTGAAATTGTGGCAATAATCAATAGCTTACCAACCAAAAAGAATCCAGGACCAGGTGGATTCACAGCCGAATTCTACCAGAGGTACAAAGAGGACCTGGTACCATTCCTTCTGAAACTATTCCAATCAATAGAAAAAGAGGGAATCCTCCCTAACTCATTTTATGAGGCCAGCATCATTCTGATACCAAACCCAGGCAGAGACACAACAAAAAAAGAGAATTTTAGACCAATATCCTTGATGAACATTGATGCAAAAAGCCTCAATAAAATACTGGCAAACGGAATCCAGCAGCACATCAAAAAGCTTATCCACCATGATCAAGTGGGCTTCATCCCTGGGATGCAAGGCTGGTTCAATATACGCAAATCAATAAATGTAATCCAGCATATAAACAGAGCCAAAGACAAAAACCACATGATTATCTCAATAGATGCAGAAAAAGCCTTTGACAAAATTCAACAACCCTTCATGCTAAAAACTCCCAATAAATTAGGTATTGATGGGACATATTTCAAAATAATAAGAGCTATCTATGACAAACCCAGAGCCAATATCATACTGAATGGGCAAAAACTGGAAGCATTCCCTTTGAAAACTGGCACAAGACAGGGATGTCCTCTCTCACCACTCCTATTCAACATAGTGTTGGAAGTTCTGGCCAGAGCAATTAGGCAGGAGAAGGAAATAAAGGGTATTCAATTAGGAAAAGAGGAAGTCAAATTGTCCCTGTTTGCAGATGACATGATTGTATATCTAGAAAACCCCATCGTCTCAGCCCAAAATCTCCTTAAGCTGATAAGCAACTTCAGCAAAGTCTCAGGATACAAAATCAATGTACAAAAATCACAAGCATTCTTATACACCAATAACAGACAAACAAAGAGCCAAATCATGAGTGAAATCCCATTCACAATTGCTTCAAAGAGAATAAAATACCTAGGAATCCAACTTACAAAGGATGTGAAGGACCTCTTCAAGGAGAACTATAAACCACTGCTCAAGGAAATAAAAGAGGATACAAACAAATGGAAGAACATTCCATGCTCATGGGTAGGAAGAATCAATATCGTGAAAATGGCCATACTGCCCAAGGTAATTTACAGATTCAATGCCATCCCCATCAAGCTACCAATGACTTTCTTCACAGAATTGGAAAAAACTACTTTAAAGTTCATATGGAACCAAAAAAGAGCCCACATTGCCAAGTCAATCCTAAGCCAAAAGAACAAAGCTGGAGGCATCACACTACCTGACTTCAAACTATACTACAAGGCTACAGTAACCAAAACAGCATGGTACTGGTACCAAAACAGAGATATAGATCAATGGAACAGAACAGAGCCCTCAGAAATAACACCGCATATCTACAACTATGTGATCTTTGACAAACCTGAGAAAAACAAGCAATGGGGAAAGGATTCCCTATTTAATAAATGGTGCTGGGAAAACTGGCTAGCCATACGTAGAAAGCTGAAACTGGATCCCTTCCTTACACCTTATACAAAAATCAATTCAAGATGGATTAAAGACTTAAATGTTAGACCTAAAACCATAAAAACCCTAGAAGAAAACCTAAGCATTACCATTCAGGACATAGGCATGGGCAAGGACTTCATGTCTAAAACACCAAAAGCAATGGCAACAAAAGACAAAATTGACAAATGGGATCTAATTAAACTAAAGAGCTTCTGCACAGCAAAAGAAACTACCATCAGAGTGAACAGGCTACCTACAAAATGGGAGAAAATTTTCGCAACCTACTCATCTGACAAAGGGCTAATATCCAGAATCTACAATGAACTCCAACAAATTTACAAGAAAAAAACAAACAACCCCATCAAAAAGTGGGCAAAGGACATGAACAGACACTTCTCAAAAGAAGACATTTATGCAGCCAAAAAACACATGAAAAAATGCTCATCATCACTGGCCATCAGAGAAATGCAAATCAAAACCACAATGAGATACCATCTCACACCAGTTACAATGGCAATCATTAAAAAGTCAGGAAACAACAGGTGCTGGAGAGGATGTGGAGAAATAGGAACACGTTTACACTGTTGGTGGGACTGTAAACTAGTTCAACCACTGTGGAAGTCAGTGTGGTGATTCCTCAGGGATCTAGAACTAGAAATACCATTTGACCCAGCCATCCCATTACTGGGTATATACCCAAAGGACTATAAATCATGCTGCTATAAAGACACATGCACACGTATGTTTATTGCGGCATTATTCACTATAGCAAAGACTTGGAACCAACCCAAATGTCCAACAATGATAGACTGGATTAAGAAAATGTGGCACATATACACCATGGAATACTATGCAGCCATAAAAAATGATGAGTTCATATCCTTTGTAGGGACATGGATGAAATTGGAAATCATCATTCTCAGTAAACTATCGCAAGAACAAAAAACCAAACACCACATATTCTCACTCATAGGTGGGAATTGAACAATGAGATCACATGGACACAGGAAGGGGAATATCACACTCTGGGGACTGTTGTGGGGTGGTGGGAGGGGGGAGGGATAGCATCGGGAGATCTACCTAATGCTAGATGACGAGTTAGTGGGTGCAGCGCACCAGCATGGCACATGTATACATATGTAACTAACCTGCAGAATGTGCACATGTACCCTAAAACTTGAAGTATAATAAAAAAAAAATTAAGAAAAAAACAAAGGAAAGTTAATTGCTGTCATGTCCATTGCCCACATAGAGCAAATTGACTATATCATAAGAAAGCTTTGCCCAATAGCAATAAAGCAATCACTACGTAGCCAGAGCACTTGAATAAGATAGGAGTGAAAGGGCAGCATTATAACCTGTTCCTCTAGGAATTGAGCTCTGCAAACCTCTGATCTAAGTGTGTGTGATTAGATTTTAATATAGGCAACACCCTAAGCCACAAACTACTAAATGAGGCTGTTAATAGATACTCAGTCTAAAACCCCAGTTATACTAGCACACTATTGAATGCCAATTTTTTTTCATAAAGTAAAGCACAATTTTCCCCCAGAAATTGTCCCTCATCTCATCCAAAAATTGCTTTGCCTTATTAGCCTTGCAACTCTGGAAGCTAAAACTTGAAGTTAAATTCCATTCTGGCCTTGCTCTTCCAAAATCAGTGTAGGGTATGGGACTAGAACGCTAGACTTAGTATAAGGACAGATACTAGTCCTGACCCCATCATTAATAAGCTTTTTGGCCCTGAACAAGTCACTTCTCCTGATCCCCTTCTCATTCATTAACTGAGAATGCTCTTAATTAATAGCTGCCTTTCTTAAATCTTTAGTGCTATGAGTATAAAATGAGATGATGGTTGTAAAAGGGGTTGAAGCATGGAGGAGGGCTGCCCAGGGATGCCTAAGCTGACTGAAAGAACAGACAGTAGGCATGTGGCAAGGGGTCATTTAAGGAAGAGGGAACATAGATGCAACAGAAATAATGAGGTTTCCAGAGAACCATAAGTGATGACTTATGTATGTCAGAAGACTGAGCTGCAGAAGGACTCAATTAAGAGAGACTGTGTGCCAGGCTAATTAGCTCACATTTTATCCTTGTGGAGAAAGTTGTGCTCAAGTTTGACCTCTTGCAGTTTTCGTCTCTCAAAGAATCAGCAAGTGCAGAAGCCTCCTAACAGAATGTGGTCACATATATTTTCATTAAAGTATGTTTAACATAGACAAAGGTTGGAGAAAGATCAGCAGTGTGCTGCCTTTTTCAGAGCATTTAGGCTACCAAATCAACAATATTCTGCTGATAACAAACTTCCATGAAGCCATGGAAATAGTTTGATTATATAAAAACTATAACTTAGATGATCTGGTAATCCTGATTCCAGCAAGGATGGGTGGTCAGGGACCTGAGATAAAGCTTGAGTTCTCTTTTCCAAGGCCCTGTGAATTCAATATTCAGATTTAAGGATCTTCCTCTAAAATTACAGAATCGTGATGCCTTAGGCTTTTGAATGAGTGGCACTTCCTCCTAAATTAAAAATGCTTTTGTGGAACACCTTCCACATAGCATACACTGAAGTAGGTACTTTCACATATAATGTCCCTTTTAATTCTCCTAAAAACATGTTTTTTTTCCTTTAAATTTAGTATCAAAAATTAATTATATTCTGAGAACTTCATAATATCCTTTGAGATCATTAGCATAGCTCTAGAGGGTCCTCCCTGATACCATAAGAATCACTAGTTTATGGAGAGTCATCTGTCAGTAGCTTTGGCATTATCTACCATTACTCCTAATCTTTGAACACCTGTTTTGAAATAGTTATTAAATCCTCATTCATGTTACTGCTATTTTCTCTCCTTTTTATTAAATTGCAATAGAAATGGATAGTCAATCCATCCAACATTTTAAGATGTCTCTCTTTTTTGTGAATAGAATGAGTAGCCAATAGCAAAACACATCCTCACATAGAATTCTAAGTTACACTTCTTTTCACAAAATTCTGGTGCCAAAAAATGTCCCCAGAAATAAATAATCTGCAAATATCACTGAAACAGATCAGGACTGATGGATGAATCAACCATGATCATAAATCTTGGGTGAAAGCTGAAAGGAATAAATAACTTTCCTTTTACTTTCTCATGTCACCAACTCGGTAATGACAAGATCCTCTTTGAAAAGATATAGATTTAAAAGCTGTCTCTCCCATTATATTTTGAGTACATTTTCCCTTCCTCAGACATCTCCAGTTAGGGAGGTATAGAATACCAAATAAAAGGTGATATTAAAATTATTAGCCAAGTTTTCAGCAGTCAGCTAGAATTATGAATATGTTGCAAGAAGTTTCCAAAAGTATTGACTGCTGCCCTTAAAAATATTTCAATAAAAGTTACTTCTATGGACAGTATTGTTTATAGTTTCACACCTATTGACCCTTCATAGCTTGATATATTGGGGGAACCTGCCCCCAATATTTTAACATAGGTTCTTTCTATTTTCCATAAGTGTTGGCCAGCTGAAAAATAAAGAGAAAGAGTACAAAGAGAGGAATTTTACAGCTGGGCCACTGGGGCTGACATCACATATGGGTAGGACCGTGATGTCCACCTGAGTCTCAGACCAGCAAGTTTTTATTAAGGGTTTCAAAAGGGGAGGGGGTGTAAGAACAGGGAGTAGGTACAAAGATCACATGCTTCAAATGGCAAAATGCAGAACTACCAATAAGGGTCTAACAAAGATCACATGCTTCTGAGGGAATAGGACAAAAGGAAAAAGCAGAACCACTGATAAGGGTCTATGTTCAGCAGTGCACGTATTGTCTTGATAAACATCTTAAAAAACAGAAAACAGGGTTTGAGAGCAGAGAACCGATCTGACCACAAATTTACCAGGGTGGAGTTTTTCCCCACCCTAGTAAGCCTGAGGGTACTGCAGGAGACCAGAGCATATCTCAGTTCTTATCTCAACCGCATAAGACAGACATTCCCGGAGCCGCCATTTATAGACCTCACCCCAGGAATGCATTCCTTTCCCAGGGTCTTAATATTAATATTCCTTGCTAGGAAAAGAATTTAGTGACATCTCTCCTACTTGCACATCTGTTTATAGGCTCTCTGCAAGAAGAAAAATATGGCTCTTTTTGCCCAACCCCGCAGGCAGTCAGACCTTATGGTTGTCTTCCCTTGTTCCCTAAAAATTGCTATTATTCTGTTCTTTTTCAAGGTGAACTGATTTCATATTGTTCAAACACACACGTTTTACAATCAATTTGTAGTTAACACAATTATCACAGTGGTCCTGAGATATCCTCAGCTTATAAAGATAACAGGATTAAGAGATTAAAGTAAAGACAGGCATAAGAAATTATAAAAGTATTATTTGGGAACTGATAAATGTCCATGAAATCTTCACAATTTATGTTCCTCTGCTGCAGCTCCAGCTGGTCCCTCCGTTCAGGGTCCCTGACTTCCTGCAACATTGATATGTCTAAAGTTTGCCATTCATGTCAAATTCTTTTCATGAAATTTTGATTACTTTCAGAGCTGCCTCCTCTGGAACATTTATTTATACTTGATTTTTTTTCTCAAAAAAAAAAAAAAAAAAAGTACTCCACTAGGGGTTAGGAAAACAATTATCTAATCTACTTAAACTTGTAAGTTAATTAAAATTAATAAAATTCTGTATGTTAGAACTCCCAAAAGCAGTTTTATGGCCTAAAATTCTGCGTTTGTTTTAATGGAAGCAAGTTTAGGGGCAAGGAATTAACATCATTTCAACTAATTCAAATAAAAAGGAACTCACAGGCTCACAGGACAGGGAGCTAGGGATAAGGAAGCCATCAAGAATCCAAGAAAATATTCCCTTGGCCACTTGGTCTGTTTCTTAATCTCTCTCCCCACCACTCCCACCTCACCTCTCCTGCAACCCAGCATTGGCTTCCAACTCTGTTTCTCTTTGCTATATTCTCTCACTGCATTTCTACTCTTATCCATAATTTCTTTGCCCACAACTTTAGCTTCTAGTTGGTTTTGGCTCTAAAAACACAGACCCTGACCCCAACGTTACATAAACTCAAGATCCAGCACCCATCACAAACTGAGTCTTTTGACTCAAGTTCTTGAGAGGAAGAATTTTGGGGGCACATGCCAGACAATAGAGTCAGCCTGCTGTCCAGATAACCACTGTGGTCCAAACTGCTTGGCCAGATAACAAGGTCACATGGACACTTAGGCACATCATAGCACAGCCTATGTAGGGTGCAGCCCCCAGAGAAAGTGGTGAAGCTGGGCAGCCTCTAGTGTTGCTTCTGAGGTATCATTAGGTTCCCTCAGGAAACTGATGATTTGCATAATTCCTCAGCTACACCCCCAAAATGACTGGAGCTGAATAAAACTGAGAATCTTGGTAGCACTTGGCATGCTGAACTCAGCTTTTCCACTCCTGACACACTCTGCCTCAAAGGACAAATAAAAGCCCCCTGAGTTAGGCAATACTTTTAGTTACAAAGTGTCCCACCCTTACCCTTAATATGACATTGGGTTTAAATGAAATTTCTCCTGAAAAGCAAAACAGTTTTTAGAAATATTACTAAAGTATTGATGTCAGTTGACATTTTTCTCTCAAAAAAAAAAAAAAAAGTACTCCTTTAGGGGTTAGAAAACAATTATCTGAGCTACTTAAACTTGTAAGTTAATTAAAATTAATGAAATTCTGTAATACATTAAAACTCACCAAAGGTACAGGCATTTGCTTCTGCTACAAGCACAGCTGGCCTCTCCCTAGCTATTCACATACACCTGCCAGATTTATTAGCCTGAAATGACCATGAAACCTTAACAGAGCTGGGATCCTGGGACATTCGCAGCCCTCCCAGCCCCACCGCCCCCCTTCCTCCCTGGTCTGTGCAGAGCTCCCAGGTCTTTCTGACTAAACCTCAGCAACAGGCTCCAAACCTTTTGCTACAGCGGCCTCACCTGCATCCCACTGCTTGTTTGTCAGAGTCTCTTTGACTGCCTTCCTCATCTCTGGGATTCTGACCTAGCTGACCCACCAGGAGCTCAAAATCCTGTCTCTACCACACACCCCTCTTTCTCACTTCTCACACCTTTTTTCCTGTGTCATGCCTCACACTTGTAAACTGATTCTAACAACTCCAGATTTCGTTTTCCTGCCCATATCTGTGGTGTTTTTCCACCTGCTCCCTGTCCAACTGCTCTGATCCCTTGGGCTGACCAGACCTTCCACATCCTGCACCAGCCTGCCTCCACACTTAATTCTCTGCTGTTCATTTACCAGATTAAGTGCTGTTATTCAAGTTAATGTCTCAGAGAAATTAGTTCATTTGCCTCTGAGATAAGAACTAAAGAAACTCGAAAGTACTGCATATGACTCAGAACATTTACCAGACTTGTCAAAGCATCCAAACATGAACAAGGAAAACTGACCTCTGAGGTGAAAGTTGTCAAACATTTCAGTCTGCTTGGAAATGCCAACATGGTTGATGTTTCCTATACAAATTCCACAAGGCTGTGAATAGAAATAAAAACATAGTTGGCCAGGCACAGTAGCTCAAGCCTATAATCCCCGCCCTTTGGGAGGCCGAGACGAGTGGAGCACCTGAGGTTAGGAGTTCAAGACCAGCCTGGCCAACATGATGTCTCTATTAAAAATACAAAAATTAGCCAGGTGTGGTGGCGGGCGCCTGTAATCCCAGCTACTCGGGAGGCTGAGGCAGGAGAATCACTTGAACCCCTGGACTGTCAAGAGATGGAGGCTGCAGTGAGCCGAGGTCGCGCCACTGCACTCCAACCTGGGCGACAGAGCGAGACTTCATCTCAAAAAAAAAAAAAAAAAGAAAAGAAAAGAAAAGAAAGAAAAACATATTTAACCAAAGAAAAAGACCAGAAGACTAACAGAGTTAAAGGATGACCTGCTCTTTCAGATTCAGATCTTAAATTGCATTATAAAAATCATATTTAAGAATTAAACCTAGTAAAATATCAGTTAAATTATATATTTGAAATTTAGTCCATCAAGTAAACTTGCTTGGTAAAACTGTGTATGTACTTTGAAAAATAATTGCACTCACATCATAGAGTAGAAAAAAATTATTTTGAAGTGTGGCTTGAATCTTGGACTTGGTAACAATCTTCTATGTTAATTTCCTAAAACAGGTAAAACTTGGAAATACTGTCTTAATAGGGTCTATCCCATTAAACTGTATTCCATTTTATAAAGCCCTCAATGGGGTGACACAGAAAAGGTCTGATGTCTTTTGGAGTACTATTCTCACTGTGTTATATACCAAACTTTTTTCTTTTTATTTTTTTGAGACAGGGTCCCACTTTGTCACCCAGGCTGGAGTGCAGTAGCATGATCTCTGCTCACTGCAGCCTCAACCTCCTGGATTCAAGCAATCCCCCTCCCTCAGCCCCCCAAGTAGCTGGTACTACAGATAAGCAGCACCACATCCAGCTAATTTTTGTAGAGACAGGGTTTCATCATGTTGCCCAGGCTGTTCCCGAGCTCCTGGGCTCAACCAATCACCTGCTTCAGCCTTCCAAAGTGCTGGGATTACAGGTATAAGCCACTGCACCTGGCTATAATGAACTTTTTAATGTACTTTCTATAGCCTTAAGTCTTACTTAAATGAGAATTAGTTAATAGTATCGGACAAAAGTGTAATGAAGTATAGGCTAAGATAGAGAATACTGATAACCCACACATTTAAAAAGTTTTTTTTTGTTTGTTTGTTTTGAGACAGAGTCTCGTTTAGTCACCCAGGCTGGAGTGCAGTGGTGCGATCTCAGTTCACTGCAACCTCTGCCTCTCGGGTTCAAGCAATTCTCCTGCCTCAGCCTCCCAAGTAGCTGGGATTACAGGTACACACCACCATGCCTGGCTAATTTTTGTACTTTTAGTAGAGATGGGATTTTACTATCTTTCTTCAGCTTCAGGTATATATGTGCTGTTGAGAGGCCATTTTTCCCTGATTAACAAATTTGGGGAATGAGAAAAATTTTCAACAACTACTGAAACTGAAAAATTTTTGTCAAGCCAAGAGAATTATTGGGAGACTTGCTGTATTAGTCTTCTAGGGCTACGATAACAAGGTACACAGACTGGGTGGCCTAAAAAACAGAAATTTATCTTCCACAGTTTTGGAGGGTGAAAGTCCAAGATCAAGGTGCCAGCAGGTTTTGTTTCTCCTGAGGCCTCTTGTCTTGGATGGCAAACAGCAACCTTCTCTCTGAACCCTCATATGGCCTTTTCTCTGGGTGTCCCCATCGCTGGTGTCTGTGTGTCCAAATTTCCTGTCTTTATTAGGACACAAGTCATATTGGATTAGGGCCCACCTGAACAACCTCATTTTAACTTTTCACCTCTTTAAAAGTCCTGTCTCCAAATACAGTCATATTCTGAGGTACTGGGGATTAGAGCTTCAACATAAGAATTTTGGAGGGACACATTTCAGCCCATTAAACTTGCCAAGAGATGTTCATAAAATTTAGAATAATTATTAATCAAACTGAGATTCTTAAATAGAGGAGACAGTCTACTCACAGCTTCCATAGCATTACCCTGCTGAATTCACAAAACAAAGGAGGACTGTGTTATATCCACCAAGGCCACAAAGCAATGTACTTGTTGATTATGATAGTACAACTGTCACAGGATGCCCTAATTTACAATGCCATAGAGAGCTCCTACATTTACTAAAACTGTGATTTGATTGTTAAACTCTTAAAAATCTAGTTGTATGCCTTCCAAAAGGACAGTGGGGTAAAATTTTTTGCCACATATTCTGATTTTGAGTCTTGAATATTATAATATTCTCATAGATATGGATTTTCAGAGATTCTTTTTAAACAACTTTAAAGCAGTTATTTACAGATTATAAGTGTATATAATATAATCAAAATAAATGAAACGTGGTATTAAAACTTCTTACATTATTCAACAAAAATGAACCATTAAAAAGGGCTTTATAGCTTTAATTTGCTATAGCATTAATTAAAAGGAACAAATAAAACAAATTATTGGTAACGCAGACAAAAAGTAACAAAAGCATGTCAATTTCTTAAAAATCAAAGTACTAATGCTTCATACAGAAGGAAAGAATACATTTATGAACAAGAATTAAGGCAATATATGAAATAGAAATAGCAAAATAAAGTTTCTAGTTGTATAGTGTTTCACCAGTAAATCAATTAGAAATTATTTGCACTCTGCAGACAGATAACCTACAAAATGGGAGAAAATATTTGCAAACTATGCATCCGACAAATGTCTAACATCCAGATTGTATAAGAAAATTAAATTTACAAGCAAAAAACAACCCCTTAAAAAGTGGCAAAGGACATGAACATTTTTCAAAAGAAGACATACATGTGGCCAACAAGCATATGAAAAAATGCTCAACATCACTAATCATTAGAGAAATGCAAATCAAAAAAACCACAGTGAGATACCATCTCACACCAGTAAACAGCTATTATTAAAAAGTCAATAAATAACAGATGCTGGTGAGGTTCTGGTAGAAAGGGAACCCTTATACACCGTTGGTGGGATTGTAAATTAGTTCAACCATTGTGGAAAGCAGTATGGCAATTCCTCAAAAAGCTAAAGGTAGAACTACCATTCAACTTTGCTATCCCATTATTGGGTATATACCCAAAGGAAAATAAATCATTCTGTCATCAAAACACATGCACATGTATGTTCATTGCAGCACTATTCACAATAGCAAAGATATGAAATCAACCTAAATGCCTATCAGTGAAAGCCTGGATTTTTAAAAAATGTGTTACATTTGCACCATGGAATACTGCACAGCCATAAAAAAGAATGACATCATGTTCTTTGCAGCAACATGGATGGAACTGGAGGCCATTATCCTAAGTGAACTAACACAGGAACAGAAAACCAAATACTGCATATTCTCACTTGTAAGTGGGAGCTAAACATTGAGTACATATGGACACAATGAAGGGAACAATAGATACCAGGCCTACTTGAGGGTGGAGGGTAGGAGGAGGGTGATGATTGAAAAACTACCTATCAGGTACTGTGCTTATTACCTGGATGACAAAATAATCTGTAAACCAAACCCCCATGACACAGTTTACCTATGACAAACCTGTACATGTACCCCTGAACTTAAAATTAAAAAGGAAATCATTTGTATTCTGGGACAAAAAATAAAAATCACTTTAAAAGATTGAAATGACATGCCAAAAGGAATTTTAAATCACAACTGATGGACATGTAAGGAAGTAGAAATAAACTAAAAATATGAACCTGAATTATAGAAGTAAATAAAATAGATTTCTCTTTAAAAGGAGTTATTATGGGGATTTCAATAAAAATTAGAACAAAACAAGCCAAGGAAACAATGACATTAGAATTAGTGTCAACTGAGCCACGTATTTTGTTGCAATTCTCTGCAAAATAAAGGATGATGCCACCATTGAATGCCTAGTTTAAACTGTGCTTTTAAACTACTGTGGAAAAATCTATGGTAATCAGAATAATACATATACAAAAATCTAAGATTTAGAATCTTTCAAAAAATATAAATTTCTCCCCCAAATTTTTTAAATTTAACTCATAGGTATGAAAAATGTTTTAAGTTTGATTTTTTTTTTTTTGGTTCTTTGCTAACAAAATACAGCAAAGAGATGCCACTCCCAAAAGAGATATTTTCCAAAACAAATGAAATGAAAATGGAATTCCTACTATTTGGCAATTCAATATTTATTAAATACCTAACAGAAAACACCTGAAACCAGGCCAGGCTTTGTGCCAGGCAGATATATCAATGATTAAAATATCAAGTACTTACTAACTGATTCCTATGTGCCAGGCACTGTTGTAAACATTTTATATTCATTATCTCATTAAATTTTCACCAAAAAAGCCTTTGGGGTCACTCCCATGACCAGAGGCAAGGACAGGTGAATGACAGAGCTAGAGCTAGAACCTGGGACATGTGATTTCAGGGCATAAACTCTTCAATGTCACTACCAAGCTAAGGAGGACCCGTTACCTGTGGAAGGTATCTGAGTTACCGGTGGCCTATCCATACAGGTCTGCAGCGATGTCAATACTTGTCTCCTCAGAAGAAGGAATTCGACTGAGGGCCATAAGGCAAAGGAGCTGTAAGTGAGTTTTCGAGCAGGAGTGGGAGTTTATTTAAAAAAAAAAAAAAAGGCTTTAGAACAGTAAGGAAAGGAAATAAAAGAAGGAAAGTACAACTTGGAAGAGGGCCAAGCAGGCTACTTGAGAAACCAAGTGCTCAGCTTGACCTCTTGACTCTGGATTTTATATGTTGACATACTTCTGGGATCTTGAGTTACTTCTCCCCACTCTGAGATCTTATTGGGAAGCTGCTGATCAATTTCAGGTGTTTTCTCTTTCTTTTTTTTTATCTTGCAATCTTATTGGGAAGCTGCTGATCAATTTCAGATGTTTTCTTTTCCTTTTTTTTTTTTTTCCTTTGGAGACAGAGTCTCACTCTGTTGCCCAGGCTGGCATGCAGTGGAGTGATCTCAGCTCACTGCAACCTCCACCCCCCAGGTTCTAGCGATTCTCGTGCCTCAGCCACTGCCACCCCCCACCACCCACATTCCCCGCTATAGCTGGGATTACAGGTGTGTGCTACCACCCCTGGCTATTTTTAGTATTTTTAATAGAGATGGGGATTTCACCGTGTTGGCCAGGCTTGTCTCAAACTCCTGGTCTCAAGTGATCCACCTGCCTTTGCCTCCAAAACTGCTGGGATTACAGGCATGAGCTGCTGTGCCTGGCCTGGTTTCAGGTGTTTTCTGTTGGGGGGGCCCTCCATTCCCTGGCACCAGCTGTGACCAATTATTACTTTAGAGAAACAGTTAACAACTACCTGACCATCACCTGATGGTCACCCGACACTCCTAGTGTCTGCGCTGGGGGGTTGGAGAGGGAGCCCTCTCCTGCCCTACTCAAACCTAATGCTACCCACTGTAACAGACCCAGGGCTAGGTCCCAGAGGGGTCATAAGTGAGTTATAGAATCATGAATGATAAAATGAAGGTCATAAAGGACATTAAAGAGTCATTTGTTTATTCATTCAACAAATATTTGTTGGGTGGTTACTCAATAAAGGTTCTGTTTTAGATACACAAAGATCCAGCAGTAAAGACAAAATTGCTGGTCTCATGGAATGTGCATTCACTTGAAGAAACACACAGTAAAAAAAGTGAACAATTTCAGTTAGTGATAAGTTCAAAGAAGAAAGCCCCTCTCTCTAAGGAGATGGCATGTGGATGGAGACTTGAATCTCAGCAATGAGAAGGCACTACTCCTGCAACTACCCAAGGGAGAACGTTCCAGGTAGAGGGAAAAACATATGTAAAGACTCTAAGTCTAGACGAACATGTATGCATTCCAGGTCCCAGGGAGATGGAAAAGCTGAACCAGTCAGATATAAAGTCAAAGAAACAGTAGAAATGAGAGTAAACAGGAACTTTAAGATTACCTTCTTAATCTTCTTTTGGGGAAGAAATTTCATATTTGAAAGAATAACACCACAAAGATCTGCATTCTCTTTATCCAGATTTGTCTAGTGTTAACATTTAACCCATTTGCTTTATCATTTGTTTTCTCTTTACATGTGTCTGGGTGTATGTAGATGCATTTTTTAACCATTTCAGAGTGAGTTGCATGCATCCTGGCCCTTTGCCCCTAAACACATCAATGTGTATTTTCTAACAATAGGAATGTGTCTTACATAACCACCTGATAATAATCAACTTGAGTCAAATTAACATTAATACAGTACTTTTATCTAATCTCCCACCTGTGATCCAATTTAATCAATTGGCCTAAAACTGTCCTTTTTCCCTCTACTCAGAATCTCATCTAGTAATCAGATACTTCATTTTGTTGTTATGTCTCAAATAAAACATTACTCATTTTGGTTTTGTCCAATGGTTCCTTTGTGATTAGGTTCAGGTAATGGATCCCAGCCAGACTAGTACCTTAGTGATGTGTCCTCCTAAGGGTACTGTATATAGAGAAACTCAATGTCCATATGCCCCTCACTGATAATGTTAATGTTGATCACCCAGCCAAGGTGTTATCTGATTTCTCCACTATAAAATTATCATTTTTGTTCTTCCAACTAATAAGCAATCTGGAGAAAATCATGCAAACATCCTAGTCTTTGTCCAAGTCTCCCTCTAGATTTATACCCCATTAATGATTTGTGCCTGACCCTATCTTTACTATGACAGTTGCAAAGTGGCTATCTCAAACTCCAGGATTCCTTCCCCATTTACCACTGGTCTTCGGCATTCTACTATAAGCAAGAGTCCTCTCTTCTCTCTAATTTATTTATGTTACTTGTCATCAGTGTGAATGGATTTGTATTCTTCCAATGGTACACAAGTTACTAAAGTTTCTAATCATTTTAATATTTTCTAGTATTTCAATGCCCACATTTTCCTAGTCTTGGCCAGTAGCAGACCCTTTAATCTGGTTTGTATGTCATTGTGATTATTATTTCTTGGAGCATTCCTTTGTACTTGCTAGCATAATGCCGTCCGGTGAACTTTCGGCAATGATGGAAATGTTCCGAATCTGGGCTATTCAGGAGTTTAGCCACTGGCCATGTGTAGCTATTGAGCATTTGAAATGTGGCCAGTGCAACTGAGGAACTGACTTATTGATTTTATTTAATTTTAATTAATGTAATTTTAAATAGCCACAAGAGGAATGCTTCCAGTTTTTGCCCATTCAGTATGATATTGGTTGTGGGTTTGTCAAAAAGAGGTCTTATTATTTTGAGATACGTCCCATCAATATCTATTTTATTGAGAGTTTTTAGCATGAAGCGCTGTTGAATTTTGTCAAAGGCCTTTTCTGCATCTACTGAGACAATCATATGGTTTTTGTCTTTGGTTCTGTTTATATGCTGGATTACGTTTATTGATTTGCATATGTTGAACAAGACTTGCATCCCAGGGATGAAGCCAACTTGATCATGGTGGATAAGCTTTTCGATGTGCTGCTGGATTCAGTTTGCCAGTATTTTATTGAGGATTTTTGCATCGATGTTCATCAGGCATATTGGTCTAAAATTCTGTTTTTTGGTTGTGTCTCTGCCAGGCTTTGGTATCAGGATGATGCTGGCCTCATAAAATGAGTTAGGGAGGATTCCCTCTTTTTCTATTGATTGGAATAGTTTCAGAAGGAATGGTAACACTCCTCCTTGTACCTCTCATAGAATTCGACTGTGAATCCGTCTGGCCATGGACTTTTTTAGGTTGGTAGGCTATTAATTATTGCCTTAATTTCAGAGCCTGTTATTGGTCTATTCAGGGATTCAACTTCTTCCTGGGTTAGTCTTGGGAGGGTGTATGTGTCCAGGAATTTATCCATTTCTTCTAGATTTCCTAGATTATTTGCATAGAGGTGTTTATAGTATTCTCTGATAGTAGTTTGTATTTCTGTGGGATCGGTGGTGATATCCCCTTTGTCATTTTTTATCGTGTCTATTTGATTCTTCTCTCTTTTCTTCTTTATTAGTCTTGCTAGCAGTCTATCAAGATTGCTAAACTTGATCTTTTCAAAAAACCAGCTCCTGGGTTCATTAATTTTTTGAAGGGTTTTTTGTGTCTCTATTTCCTTCAGTTTTGCTCTGATTTTAGTTATTTCTTGCCTTCTGCTAGCTTTTGAATGTGTTTGGTCTTGCTTCTCTACTTCTTTCAATTGTGATGTTAGGGTGTCAATTTTAGATCTCTCCTGCTTTCTCTTGTGGGCAATTAGTGCTATAAATTTCCCTCTACACACTGCTTTAAATGTGTCCCAGAGATTCTGGTATGTTGTGTCTTTGTTCTTGTTGGTTTCAAAGAACATCCTTATTTCTGCCTTCATTTCATTCTGTACCCAGTAGTCATTGAGGAGCAGGTTGTTCAGTTTCCATGTAGTTGAGTGGTTTTGAGTGACTTTCTTAATCCTGAGTTCTAGTTTGATTGCACTCTGGTCTGAGAGACAGTTTGTTATAATTTCTGTTCTTTTACATTTGCTGAGGAGTGCTTTACTTCCAACTATGTGATCAATTTTGGACTAAGTGCGATGTGGTGCTGAGAAGAATGTATATTCTGTCAATTTGGGGTGGAGAGTTTTGTAGATGTCTATTAGGTCTGCTTGGTGCAGAGCTGAGTTCAATTCCTGGGTATCCTTGTTAACTTTCTGTCACGTTGATCTGCCTAATGTTGACAGTGGGGTGTTAAAGTCTCCCATTATTATTGTGTGGGAGTCTAAGTCTCTTTGTATTTCTCTAAGGACTTGCTTTATGAATCTGAGTGCTCCTGTATTGAGTACATATATATTTAGGATACTTAGCTCTTCTTGTTGAATTGATCCCTTTACCATTATGTAATGGCCTTGTCTCTTTTGGTCTTTGTTAGTTTAAAATCTGTTTTATCAGAGACTAAGATTGCAACCCCTGCCATTTTTTGTTTTCCATTTGCTTGGTAGATCTTCCTCCATCCCTTTATTTTGAGCCTATGTGTGTCTCTGCACATGAGATGGGTCTCCTGAATACAGCATACCGATGGGTCTGGACTCTTTATCCAATTTGCCAGCCTGTGTCTTTTAATTAGAGTGTTTAACCCATTTACATTTAAGGTTAATATTGTTATGTGTGAATTTAATCCTGTCATTATGATGTTAGCTGGTTATTTTGCTCGTTAGTTGATGCAGTTTCTTCCTAGCCTTGATGGTCTTTACAATTTGGCATGTTTTTGCAGTGGCTGGTACCGGTTGTTCCTTTCCATGTTTAGTGCTTCCTTCAGGAGCTCTTTTACAGCAGGCCTGATGGTGATGAAATCTCTCAGCATTTGCTTGTCTGTAAAGAATTTTATTTCTCCTTCACTTATGAAGCTTAGTTTGGCTGGATATGAAATTCTGGGTTGAAAATTCTTTTCTTTAAGAATGTTAAATATTGGCCCTCACTCTCTTCTGGCTTGTAGAGTTTCTGCTGAGGAAAAGAGGAAGTCAAATTGTCCCTGTTTGCAGATGACATGATTGTACATTTAGCAAACCCCATCGTCTCAGGCCAAAATCTCCTTAAGCTGATAAGCAACTTCAGCAAAGTCTCAGGATACAAAATCAATGTGCAAAAATCACAAGCATTCCTATAAACCAATAACAGACGAACAGCCAAATCATGAGTGAACTCCCTTTCACAATTGCTCCAAACAGAATAAAATATCTAGGAATCCAACTTACAAGGGATGTGAAGGACCTCTTCAAGGAGAACTACAAACCACTGCTCAATGAAATAAAAGAGGACAGAAACAAATGCAAGAACATTCCATGCTCATGGGTAGGAAGAATCAATATCATGAAAATGGCCATACTGCCCAAGGTAATTTATAGATTCAATGCCATCCCCATCAAGCTACCAATGACTTTCTTCACAGAATTTGAAAAAAACTACTTTAAATTTCATATGGAACCAAAAAAGAGCCTGCATTGCCAAGTCAATCCTAAGCCAAAAGAACAAAGCTGGAGGCATCATGCTACCTGACTTCAAACTATGCTACAAGGCTACAGTACCCAAAACAGCATGGTACTTGTACAAAAATAGAGATATAGACCAATGGAGCAGAACAGAGGCCTCAGAAATAATACCGCACATCCGCAACCATCTGATCTTTGACAAACCTGACAAAAATGAGAAATGGGGAAAGGATTCCCTATTTAATAAATGGTGCTGGGAAAACTGGCTAGCCATATGTAGAAAGCTGAAACTGGATCCCTTCCTTACACCTTATACAAAAATTAATTTAAGATGGATTAAAGGCTTAAATGTTAGACCTAACCACAAAAGCCCTAGAAGAAAACCTAGGCAATACCATTCAGGACATAGGCATGGGCAAGGACTTCTTGACTAAAACATCAAAAGCAATGGCAACAAAAGACAAAATTGACAAATGGGATCTCATTAAACTAAAGAGCTTCTGCATAGCAAAAGAAACTACTATCAGAGTGAACAGGCAACCTACAGAATGGGAGAAAATTTTTGCAATCTACCCATCTGACAAAGGGCTAATATCCAGAATCTACAAAGAACTTAAACAAATTTACAAGAAAAAAACAAACAACCCCATCAAAAAGTGGGCAAAGGATATGAACAGACACTTCTCAAAAGAAGACATTTATGCAGCCAACAGACATATGAAAAAATGCTCATTGTCACTGGCCATCAGAGAAATGCAAATCAAAACCACAATAAGATACCACTTCAGTTAGAATGGTGATCATTAAAAAGTCAGGAAACAACAGGTGCTGGAGAGGATGTGGAGAAACAGGAACACTTTTACACTGTTGGTGAGACTGTAAACTAGTTCAACCATTGTGGGAGACAGTGTGGCAATTCCTCGAGGATCTAGAACTAGAAATACCATTTGACCCAGCCATTCCATTACTGGGTATATACCCAAAGGATTATAAATCATGCTGCTGTAAAGACACATGCACACATATGTTTATTGTGGCACTATTCACAATAGCAAAGACTTGGAACCAACCAAAATGTCCATCAGTGATAGACTGGATTAAGAAAATGTGGCACGGGGGAGGAGCCAAGATGGCCGAATAGGAACAGCTCCGGTCTACAGCTCCCAGCGTGAGCGACGCAGAAGACGGTGATTTCTGCATTTCCATCTGAGGTACCGGGTTCATCTCACTAGGGAGTGCCAGACAGTGGGCGCAGGCCAGTGTGTGTGCGCACCGTGCGCGAGCCGAAGCAGGGCGAGGCATTGCCTCACCTGGGAAGCGCAAGGGGTCAGGGAGTTCCCTTTCCGAGTCAAAGAAAGGGGAGACGGACGCACCTGGAAAATCGGGTCACTCCCACCCGAATATTGCGCTTTTCAGACCGGCTTAAGAAACGGCGCACCATGAGACTATATCCCACACCTGGCTCGGAGGGTCCTACGCCCACGGAATCTCGCTGATTGCTAGCACAGCAGTCTGAGATCAAACTGCAAGGCGGCAACGAGGCTGGGGGAGGGGCGCCCACCATTGCCCAGGCTTGCTTAGGTAAACAAAGCAGCCAGGAAGCTCGAACTGGGTGGAGCCCACCACAGCTCAAGGAGGCCTGCCTGCCTCTGTAGGCTCCACCTCTGGGGGCAGGGCACAGACAAACAAAAAGACAGCAGTAACCTCTGCAGACTTAAGTGTCCCTGTCTGACAGCTTTGAAGAGAGCAGTGGTTCTCCCAGCACGCAGCTGGAGATCTGAGAACGGGCAGACTGCCTCCTCAAGTGGGTCCCTGACTCCTGACCCCCGAGCAGCCTAACTGGGAGGCACCCCCCAGCAGGGGCACACTGACACCTCACACGGCAGGGTATTCCAACAGACCTGCAGCTGAGGGTCCTGTCTGTTAGAAGGAAAACTAACAACCAGAAAGGACATCTACACCGAAAACCCATCTCTACATCACCATCATCAAAGACCAAAAGTAGATAAAACCACAAAGATGGGGAAAAAACAGAACAGAAAAACTGGAAACTCTAAAACTCAGAGCGCCTCTCCTCCTCCAAAGGAACGCAGTTCCTCACCAGCAACAGAACAAAGCTGGATGGAGAATGATTTTGACGAGCTGAGAGAAGAAGGCTTCAGACGATCAAATTACTCTGAGCTACGGGAGGACATTCAAACCAAAGGCAAAGAAGTTGAAAACTTTGAAAAAAATTTAGAAGAATGTATAACTAGAATAACCAATACAGAGAAGTGCTTAAAGGAGCTGATGGAGCTGAAAACCAAGGCTCGAGAACTACGTGAAGAATGCAGAAGCCTCAGGAGCCGATGCGATCAACTGGAAGAAAGGGTATCAGCAATGGAAGATGAAATGAATGAAATGAAGCGAGAAGGGAAGTTTAGAGAAAAAAGAATAAAAAGAAATGAGCAAAGCCTCCAAGAAATATGGGACTATGTGAAAAGACCAAATCTACGTCTGATTGGTGTACCTGAAAGTGATGTGGAGAATGGAACCAAGTTGGAAAACACTCTGCAGGATATTATCCAGGAGAACTTCCCCAATCTAGCAAGGCAGGCCAACGTTCAGATTCAGGAAATACAGAGAACGCCACAAAGATACTCCTCGAGAAGAGCAACTCCAAGACACATAATTGTCAGATTCACCAAAGTTGAAATGAAGGAAAAAATGTTAAGGGCAGCCAGAGAGAAAGGTCGGGTTACCCTCAAAGGAAAGCCCATCAGACTAACAGCGGATCTCTCGGCAGAAACCCTACAAGCCAGAAGAGAGTGGGGGCCAATATTCAACATTCTTAAAGAAAAGAATTTTCAACCCAGAATTTCATATCCAGCCAAACTAAGCTTCATAAGTGAAGGAGAAATAAAATACTTTATAGACAAGCAAATGTTGAGAGATTTTGTCACCACCAGGCCTGCCCTAAAAGAGCTCCTGAAGGAAGCGCTAAACATGGAAAGGAACAACCGGTACCAGCCGCTGCAAAATCATGCCAAAATGTAAAGACCATCGAGACTAGGAAGAAACTGCATCAACTAATGAGCAAAATCACCAGCTAACATCATAATGACAGGATCAAATTCACACATAACAATATTAACTTTAAATATAAATGGACTAAATTCTGCAATTAAAAGACACAGACTGGCAAGTTGGATAAAGAGTCAAGACCCATCAGTGTGCTGTATTCAGGAAACCCATCTCACGTGCAGAGACACACATAGGCTCAAAATAAAAGGATGGAGGAAGATCTACCAAGCCAATGGAAAACAAAAAAAGGCAGGGGTTGCAATCCTAGTCTCTGATAAAACAGACTTTAAACCAACAAAGATCAAAAGAGACAAAGAAGGCCATTACATAATGGTAAAGGGATCAATTCAACAAGAGGAGCTAACTATCCTAAATATTTATGCACCCAATACAGGAGCACCCAGATTCATAAAGCAAGTCCTCAGTGACCTACAAAGAGACTTAGACTCCCACACATTAATAATGGGAGACTTTAACACCCCACTGTCAACATTAGACAGATCAACGAGACAGAAAGTCAACAAGGATACCCAGGAATTGAACTCAGCTCTGCACCAAGCAGACCTAATAGACATCTACAGAACTCTCCACCCCAAATCAACAGAATATACATTTTTTTCAGCACCACACCACACCTATTCCAAAATTGACCACATAGTTGGAAGTAAAGCTCTCCTCAGCAAATGTAAAAGAACAGAAATTATAACAAACTATCTCTCAGACCACAGTGCAATCAAACTAGAACTCAGGTTTAAGAATCTCACTCAAAGCCGCTCAACTACATGGAAACTGAACAACCTGCTCCTGAATGACTACTGGGTACATAACGAAATGAAGGCAGAAATAAAGATGTTCTTTGAAACCAACGAGAACAAAGACACCACATACCAGAATCTCTGGGACGCATTCAAAGCAGTGTGTAGAGGGAAATTTATAGCACTAAATGCCTACAAGAGAAAGCAGGAAAGATCCAAAATTGACACCCTAACATCACAATTAAAAGAACTAGAAAAGCAAGAGCAAACACATTCAAAAGCTAGCAGAAGGCAAGAAATAACTAAAATCAGAGCAGAACTGAAGGAAATAGAGACACAAAAAACCCTTCAAAAAATCAATGAATCCAGGAGCTGGTTTTTTGAAAGGATCAACAAAATTGATAGACCGCTAGCAAGACTAATAAAGAAAAAAAGAGAGAAGAATCAAATAGACACAATAAAAAATGATAAAGGGGATATCACCACCGATCCCACGGAAATACAAACTACCATCAGAGAATACTACAAACACCTCTACGCAAATAAACTAGAAAATCTAGAAGAAATGGATACATTCCTCGACACATACACTCTCCCAAGACTAAACCAGGAAGAAGTTGAATCTCTGAATAGACCAATAACAGGCTCTGAAATTGTGGCAATAATCAATAGTTTACCAACCAAAAAGAGTCCAGGACCAGATGGATTCACAGCCGAATTCTACCAGAGGTACAAGGAGGAACTGGTACCATTCCTTCTGAAACTATTCCAATCAATAGAAAAAGAGGGAATCCTCCCTAACTCATTTTATGAGGCCAGAATCATTCTGATACCAAAGCCGGGCAGAGACACAACCAAAAAAGAGAATTTTAGACCAATATCCTTGATGAACATTGATGCAAAAATCCTCAATAAAATACTGGCAAACCGAATCCAGCAGCACATCAAAAAGCTTATCCACCATGATCAAGTGGGCTTCATCCCTGGGATGCAAGGCTGGTTCAATATACGCAAATCAATAAATGTAATCCAGCATATAAACAGAGCCAAAGACAAAAACCACATGATTATCTCAATAGATGCAGAAAAAGCCTTTGACAAAATTCAACAACCCTTCATGCTAAAAACTCTCAATAAATTAGGTATTGATGGGACGTATTTCAAAATAATAAGAGCTATCTATGACAAACCCACAGCCAATATCATACTGAATGGGCAAAAACTGGAAGCATTCCCTTTGAAAACCGGCACAAGACAGGGATGCCCTCTCTCACCGCTCCTATTCAACATAGTGTTGGAAGTTCTGGCCAGGGCAATCAGGCAGGAGAAGGAAATAAAGGGTATTCAATTAGGAAAAGAGGAAGTCAAATTGTCCCTGTTTGCAGACGACATGATTGTTTATCTAGAAAACCCCATCGTCTCAGCCCAAAATCTCCTTAAGCTGATAAGCAACTTCAGCAAAGTCTCAGGATACAAAATCAATGTACAAAAATCACAAGCATTCTTATACACCAACAACAGACAAACAGAGAGCCAAATCATGGGTGAACTCCCACAATTGCTTCAAAGAGAATAAAATACCTAGGAATCCAACTTACAAGGGATGTGAAGGACCTCTTCAAGGAGAACTACAAACCACTGCTCAAGGAAATAAAAGAGGATACAAACAAATGGAAGAACATTCCATGCTCATGGGTAGGAAGAATCAATATCGTGAAAATGGCCATACTGCCCAAGGTAATTTACAGATTCAATGCCATCCCCATCAAGCTACCAATGACTTTCTTCACAGAATTGGAAAAAACTACTTTAAAGTTCATATGGAACCAAAAAAGAGCCCGCATTGCCAAGTCAATCCTAAGCCAAAAGAACAAAGCTGGAGGCATCACACTACCTGACTTCAAACTATTCTACAAGGCTACAGTAACCAAAACAGCATGGTACTGGTACCAAAACAGAGATATAGATCAATGGAACAGAACAGAGCCCTCAGAAATAATGCCGCATGTCTACAACTATCTGATCTTTGACAAACCTGAGAAAAACAAGCAATGGGGAAAGGATTCCCTATTTAATAAATGGTGCTGGGAAAACTGGCTAGCCATATGTAGAAAGCTGAAACTGGATCCCTTCCTTACACCTTATACAAAAATCAATTCAAGATGGATTAAAGATTTAAACGTTAAACCTAAAACCATAAAAACCCTAGAAGAAAACCTAGGCATTACCATTCAGGACATAGGCGTGGGCAAGGACTTCATGTCCAAAACACCAAAAGCAATGGCAACAAAAGACAAAATTGACAAATGGGATCTAATTAAACTAAAGAGCTTCTGCACAGCAAAAGAAACTACCATCAGAGTGAACAGGCAACCTACAACATGGGAGAAAATTTTTGCAACCTACTCATCTGACAAAGGGCTAATATCCAGAATCTACAATGAACTCAAACAAATTTACAAGAAAAAAACAAACAACCCCATCAAAAAGTGGGCGAAGGACATGAACAGACACTTCTCAAAAGAAGACATTTATGCAGCCAAAAAACACATGAAGAAATGCTCATCATCACTGGCCATCAGAGAAATGCAAATCAAAACCACTATGAGATATCATCTCACACCATTTAGAATGGCAATCATTAAAAAGTCAGGAAACAACAGGTGCTGGAGAGGATGCGGAGAAATAGGAACACTTTTACACTGTTGGTGGGACTGTAAACTAGTTCAACCATTGTGGAAGTCAGTGTGGCGATTCCTCAGGGATCTAGAACTAGAAATACCATTTGACCCAGCCATCCCATTACTGGGTATATACCCAAATGAGTATAAATCATGCTGCTATAAAGACACATGCACACGTATGTTTATTGCGGCACTATTCACAATAGCAAAGACTTGGAACCAACCCAAATGTCCAACAATGATAGACTGGATTAAGAAAATGTGGCACATATACACCATGGAATACTATGCAGCCATAAAAAATGATGAGTTCATATCCTTTGTAGGGACATGGATGAAATTGGAAACCATCATTCTCAGTAAACTATCGCAAGAACAAAAAACCAAACACCGCATATTCTCACTCATAGGTGGGAATTGAACAATGAGATCACATGGACACAGGAAGGGGAATATCACACTCTGGGGACTGTGGTGGGGTCGGGGGAGGGGGGAGGGATAGCATTGGGAGATATACCTAATGCTAGATGACACATTAGTGGGTGCAGCGCACCAGCATGGCACATGTATACATATGTAACTAACCTGCACAATGTGCACATGTACCCTAAAACTTAGAGTATAATAAAAAAAAAAAAAAGAAAAAAAAAAGAAAATGTGGCACATATACACCGTGGAATACTATGCAGCCATAAAAAAGGATGAGTTCATGTCCTTTGTAGGGACATGGATGAAATTAGAAACCATCATTCTGAGCAAACTATCGCAAGGATAGAAAACCAAACACTGCATGTTCTCACTCACAGGTGGGAACTGAACAATGAAAACACTTGGACACAGGATGAGGATCATCACATACTGGGGCCTGACATGGGGTTGGGGGAGGGAGCAGGGATAGCATTAGGAGATTTACCTAATGTAAATTGCCAGTTAATGGGTGCAGCACACCAACATGGCAGATGTATACATATGCAACAAACCTGCATGCTGTACACATGTACCCTAGAACTTAAAGCATAATAATAAAAATAAATAAATAAATAGCACAAGAGACTAGTGGCTACCATACTGAACCCCACAGTAATCTAACAGAATGAGACTACTGATTTTAGGATCATGTATTACCTTTTCTGCTACAGCACTGGAATCAGCAATTTCTCCAACGGATCCTGTTTTTTTTTTAACAGGGAACAATCTTAGAGACCAAGATCCGCTACAAGATTTTGCTTGTGGACCCTTTCAGTAGACAAAGCTAGGAAATATATACATGTGTACATATATGTATACATATATATTACACACACATTTAAACATACATACATAAACTTCTGGATATATACAAGCATAGACATCAATATATAACTATTTTAGAATCATGGTTCATACTAATGCTTCCAATTCCAATCCATCTCTTCAGAGATCTTCTTTGCCTTCCTTCATTTTATTTTTCTGTGTCTCTTCATCCACTGAGAACTCTGGTTCCCAACAGTCAATATCAACTCATTTCATTGTGTGCTCAAACCTATAGATATCAAAAGTAATTTTAGAATTGTTTCACTCATACCAACATAAAAATCAAACCTATTAAGAAGAGCTGAGGATGTGTTTGCTTTTCCCTCCCTACCTTCCCCCAACTACAATGCAACCCAAGACAGAGGTTATAGTGTTGTTCAAAAAAATTTTTCAAAATTAAACAAAAAGTATACTCAGAGATGTGTCACTGTATGACCTATCCTTTCCACCCTGTTCCCCTTCCCTAACCATTCCATATAGTTAACCAACTTCATCTTTTTGTGGATGATACTTCTGGTGTTTCTTTTTCTAAAGATAGGTAGATTTGTGCACATTTTCTTCTTTCCTCTTATTTGTCACACAAAAGGTAGCATACCATATACACTTTCAGCACTTTGTTTTAGCATTTAACAACAAAGGTGATTAATTTTTACTGTTAGTGTGAGGAGAAGCCATTGAAGAGTTTTAAGTCTAAGAGTGATGGAATCTGATTTATGTTTCTGAAAAATCACTTTGGGCTCCTGTACTGGGAGCATGAGAAGAACTGGGGAGACCATTAGGGAGGCTATTGATATCATTCAGGTCAGAGATGATAAAGGCTAGAAACAGGGTGAAGTTGCACAGAGTATTATTTGTTCCCAACTTTTTTCTTCCACTTGGCCTTTGTTGTGGCTTTTCTGCTGGTGAAGTGTACTTCTCTGATCTACTGACTTGTGGCTTGGCCATGTGATTTAGTTTGACCAATAGAATATGAGCAGAAGTGAAAGTGCCAATTTTGAGCAAAGCTGTTAGAAAGCCTTGCCCATTTCTACTTGCCCACGTGTGCTCCTATTCTGTGAGAATAGAGAGAAACATGCTCTGACTAGACTCCACTCTTTTGACCTGTGTCCAAGAATAAGAAACAGATGAGGCATACCTGAACATCACTCATAGTCTTGCAGAGTCATAGACAACCTATAGACTGGTAGGTCAAAAAAAATTTCAGTTCTTAGCCATGAATATTTCGGAGCTATTTTTTACCATCATTACCACAGCAAAGCCTGACTAATGCAAGTGGCAGTAGTAGTGAGCTGAGAGTTGACAGATTTGGGATGGATTTTTATGATAAAGTTTATTGACACTGCTACATTAGATGTAGGGAGTAAGGTAAAGCAAAAAAATCAAGAATGAGATCTAGGTTTGGAGATGGATAGTGGTCCCTTTTACTCAGGTAGAGAAAAATAAGGAGGTTCAGAATGTGTTGGAAGCTAGAATAAACTACTGGTATTTCATCAGGAGTGATTTTGCCCATGAGGGGAGATTTAACAAGCTCTGGAAACAATTTTTGTTATCACAACTGGGAGGTGCTACTGGCATATAGTGGATAGAGGCCAGGGATGCTTCTAAGCATCCTACAGTGCACAGGACAGTCCCCCAAAACAAGAATTATCCAGCCCAAAATTTCAATAGTCCCAGGACTCAGAGATTCTAGAATACAGTGGTGTGTTATGTTTGAAGTGTCTATTAAATATCCAAGTGGATAAATTGTAAAAGAGATTTCTAGAGATTAGAGGAAGATCAGGGAGATAAAAGGTTGTGAGTAATTAATATACATAGACAGTATTTAAAATCATGGAACTGAATGAGACCACCTAGGGGAGGATATAAAGAGAGAAAAGAAGAGGCTTGAGGATTTGTCCCTCGTCCCTCCAACATTTAGAGATTGTAATGAAGAGGCAAACCCAGCTAAGGAGACTGAGAATGTTTAGTCAATGACGTAGGAGTAGACCAAGAGCCTGATATCCTGGAACCAAGCCAAGAAACTATTTTAAGGAAAAGAACACCTATTATGGTATATTTATTATTTAACATTGAATTTCCATTGTACAATTGGTGATATTTAATATTATAAACTCTGACAATAAAACCTTGCATTTTACACTTTATACATGTCAATGAGCTTTCAGACACCATATCTTGTATGGTTCTCACTACCGCACTGAATGAAATAAGGACAAAATTTGAGGTTACTAAAATTCAAACAGCCTCTGCTCTGATTTTACATAACAAGCTAGTGACAAACACAGGCCATAATTCATAATGGGAACAATCCAGAGACTGAAACAAATATTCCTGAGAAAAATCAATACTTATTGGAGATAATGAATCAAAATGGTTACAAACATGATTTTACTGGCAACAACTAAAATAAATATTTATCCAGTACATCCTAAATATCTGTCAAAGTTCTAAGACTACAGCAGTGAACAAAACAAAATCACTGCCCTTGTGGTGTTTACCTTACAGGGGCTCTCCAAAAGACCTGGGCTTGTATCCCAGTTCTTCTCTGTGACCTTGAGCAATTAACTTCCTGCAAACTTAGTTTTCTTTTCTAATGGCATTGATGATTCCTACCTCAGATTTCTGATTGAACATGGTGGAGCAAACTCAAGGTTCGCCTCTACACTCTCCTGAAACTCTATACTAAAATTACACTAAAGGAAGCAAAAGGAATAAATCCACAAAGACAAAAAGATTGAAAGAAAATAAAATGATAATGAACTTTGAAACCTAGAAAATAGATCAATAAATGGTAAACAATTTAGTAAATCAGAAAGCACTCAAACCCAAGGTAGCAATAGGGGAAATCCAGAAGCAGGTTGATTCATACTGTAGTGTAGTACAGTTGTCAGTACATTTTTTATGTAAAGGTCCAGATAGTAAATATTTCAAGCTTTCCATGCCATAGGGTCTCTGTCACAACTGTCCGTCTCTGCAGTCATAGATAATACATGTCTATGGACATGGCTGTGTTCCAAGAAAACTTTATTTATAAAAACAGGCAAAGATTGAAAGGACAAAGCAAATCATGATTTGGTTGGCAGATTACAGTTTGCCAAACCCTGGTATAACACCTCAGGGATGAAGGTACCAAATACTTCTGAAAGCAGCAGAGTAGGATCTAAAAATAGGATTGAAAGTGTGTAAAAAGAGGCAGATAGAATTCCAGGGCTCCTTTTCCACCCATCACAGACAGCTGACAGACCCCCATATCATACCAGGAGTCTCGAGGATTACTATGTGGAAAACTGAATTCAGCGGATGCCGGATGCAGGCACAGATTAAGGTGAATACGAGATTCCCTGATAAAAACAAGGGTATTAACTAAAAGAAATTCTCAAGCCCTAGTCCCCAGTCAGCTGGCAGAACCTGCAAGCAGGCTTAGATTCTTTTGACAAAAGATTAGTGGAGTCCTCTCTGGAAAAAGTTACCAACCCTCCAAAAATACCTAAAGATACTGCAAGTTGATGGCTCTCCAACAAAAAGGCCCAGCCAGAACCTTCTCGAGTAAAGCCTACCAGTTTATATCCATTCTCCATCCAAATACAGTTTCTAGTCTGTTTTGTTATTACTTCTATCTTAAAGAATAGCCCTCTCTTGAAAGACAGGATTCAAAATGAAAAGAGAGACAAAAATGTTAAAAAGAAAGACAATCCAAGAAACAGAGAAAATAGCCAAGAAAGTTTCAAAATATAATAATTAATCTCCTTGTAAAAGAAGAGAGTATATTGTATCCATGAAATAAAAATAAGAGGCTGAAAAAACAAAGAACCATCAGAGAACAAACAAACAAAAAAGGCTCTTGGAAATTGAAAATACAATATAGGAAGTGAAGAATTCAAAAGAAGGGTTGAAAAATAAAGTTGAGAAAATCTGCCAGAGACTAGAACAAGAAAATAAGAAAAAATAATAATAAAATGAGATGATTGACCAAGGAGGGTCTAACTTCCAAATAACAATCATTCCAAAAAGAAAGACCAGAGACAAATATGCTGTTTTCTAAAACTTTGATGTATTTTTATGAAAGCTTCCATTTTTTGGAGAGCAAAGAAATAATGTTATAAATTCATAACCCTTTAGATTTCTCTGTTGAGGCAAAACCTCCAGACAAGCCAGAAAAGGATCATTCACATTTCACCTCCAGTTTCTTCCGACACATATTATTCAAATCAGAAAAGCACTAACAAGTTAGTTTCCTCTTTTCCCAGACATACAAAAATGTCTCAAAAATTTCAATAAAATTCTCTTAAAATTCTCTACTATTTCTACTGAAAGATTTTATCAAGGCTTGTCATCCCACCTTCATTTGGGCCTGAGCATCCCTAGAATTCAATCTCTCCAGACATAATCCTCCAGTCTTCTGATAGATGTGGGAGGATCTTTCCCTGGCTGCAGTGGTAGGACATGAATACAGGATCCTAGCTGCCTCTTTTGAGCACTTTCAATCCATCATCCTGTTCAGATTCATTGCTCCACCACTTTCAGGTGTATCTCGTGCCTTCGATTCCTGCACCTTTTTCATATGCCTTCTGTTAAATTAGACATTAAACCCTTCAGACATTTGTGCACAAATGACAAATTCCTATAATCAATTATCCCCCAAAAGTTTTCCCATAAAAGTCACTAGACACAGATGCAAAAGGGCTACAGTTATGAATGGACACTTATAAAAAACCAATTCATTTGTATGCAAGAAGAGAAAAGTACTTACAGAGATGTGGCAGCCTGTTTTACAATTTCAGCCAAGGTCAAGAGCAAATACTATAGATCTATGAAAGTCCATTACTGTTTACCTTTCAAATTGTCATGGACCTTCAGATACTTTCACACACAGTTCAAAGACTCTCCAGCACAAATCCTGATTTTCAGTCTCTGAACTGAACTGAACAACAGGCGGTCAATCAGGTCCACCAGGCTCTCATCCTATACACAGCTCCTGGCATCCAGACTAGATCCTTTAGAATGCAGGATTCTCTGTTTAAAAAAAATAGTATTTTTATTATTTAACTGATTTTCAACCAGCAGTCATGATTTATAGAAACAGATTATTTTAGTTTCAATTTTATAAATGACAGAGATGTTTTAACCATGAATGGGTACAAAATAATAGCGTGAATAAGACCTAGTATTTATAGGACAACAGGGTGACTACATTCAATACTAACTTAATTGTACATTTTAAAATAACTAAAAGAGCTTTGCACCATGGCAGTATTGTAGCCAATGAGGTTTATCTGAGGTGTGATTATTGCTAATTGAAAACTTTTCCCAATACTCCACCATGATGACTTGTAACATAGTCAGTATTGGCAATTTTTGACAGTCTCCAGGGATATGGAGACTGAATATTTCAGTAAAAAAAATTATATATATATATATATATATAAAATAAATAAATAAAATACTAATTGGATTGTTTGAAACACAAAGAATAAATGCTTGAGGGGGATGGATACTCCACTCGCCATCATGTGATTATTTCACATTGCATGCTTGTATCAAAACATCCCATGTAGCCCATAAATATATACACCTTCTATATACCCATAAAAATTAAAAATTAAAAAACCTAAAAAGAGACATTTTAACAAAGACAGACATGTCAATGGCCATCTTTGACTCATGAACTTTGAAACTGAACACACTTGTCACCCTCTCATTAAAAACTCAATAGTCAGTAGTAACAGCATCAGAACATGAAAGTCAAGGAGTCACAAAAGGCTTAAAGTTACAGTTGTTGCAATATTCCTTGATCTAGGGACTGCTTCTCTGTTACACTGCATGCTTACAAGGTGAGTGAGAGTTTTGTTTTTGTTGTTGTTGTTGTTGTTGAAACCAAGACAAATAGCAAAGATAATTTTATCAGCCATCAGAAAATCAAATATTCAATGGCACAGAAAGTGGTGTGAGTAACTTGTCAACCCCACAGTTGAGAAAGACTATTAGTCCAACTAAACCAAAATCTGGTGGCCTTGAAGCAAACACATGGGTGTCCCAAGTGCCAGGAGATAAGACACTCCTTGAGAAATAAAAAACAAACAAACAAAAAGGTCATACATAAGTACCTAAATAGTCATCTATATTGCCTGTTATCTTCTACCAAAAGCAAACACATGCAGTGTTTTTGATAGCAAAGTCAAAAAAACAAAAACATATTTCAACGTTTCCTCCATTAATGAAGGCAAGAGAAGGGTGGCTTAAAAAAACAGAACTAGACTTAATCTAGAATCAAAGTAAGTGAAAGTGAAATCTTTATCACAAGATGGTAAGGTTCACCCCGAGAGTTAAGAAAGGCCAATCTGGGTTCAAGGGGCCCATGAGATTGCATATCTCAAACAATACAGTGTAGGTGACTCCAATAATTGGATGGGTCTGCGTAATCTTATCAAGGTCTCCATGGTAACTGTCCAAAGAAGACTCAAAGTTTAGCACTTAAAAAGTAATTTTATTTGCAAAATTTTATAAGGGGTTGTATCTGTTAGACAAAGTGGGTTCTCAATAAAGGGTATACCAAATATTTAAATTTAAAAACCTCTGGCCAGCTGCAGTGGCTCACACCTGTAATCCCAGCACTTTGGGAGGCAGAGGTGGGTGGATCACCTGAGGTCAAGAGTTCGAGACTAGCCTGGCCAACATGGAGAAACCTCTACTAAAAATACACACAAAAAATTAGCTGGTTGTGGTGGTGCACACCTGTAGTTCCAGCTACTCTCGGAGGCTGAGGCAGGAGAATCACTTGAACCCAGGAGGCAGAGATTGCAGTGAGCCAAGATCGCACCACTGCACTGCAGCCTGGGCAACAGAGGGAGACTCTGTCAAAAAACAAACAAACAAACAAAAAAAAACCTTCAAATTTTCAGTCTGTTTATAATTCTCTTTGGTGGAAAATAACAACTACTACACATAATTACCCTGTTTGCAAGGATCTTATGTATCTATCAGTATCAGCATTTTATTTAAGGAATCATCAACTTACAGGAAATGAAATTAAGCCTTCATCTACATTAGAGACTAGAAGAAAATACTGCATTCACAGGCACACATGTGTGTGCATGCACGTGTGTGTGTGGTTTATCTCAGAGAGTTTAAATGTTCTTAAACAAAATTGCAGCAGAGTAGGATATCTGTTTTGCTTCCTCACACTTCTATGACCTAATTACATCTTCTGTTTAAAGTACTTCACAGATAAAGCTCATATTATAGCCAATACCACAGAGAGCTTTATTTGAATGCCAGTTATGTCTTAGGAACTATTCTAAACGCTGGAAATATAGTGGTTAAGAAGATAGGAAAATCCCCTGCCCTCATCTGTGAAAACTGAGTAACATCCCCCAAAGAAAATTACTCAGTACCTCACACGTACACAAAATAGATGTCTAAGAAATATTTGCTGATTTAACTGAATTTTTATTAGAAGTTGAGTTCTAAGTGAAATTGTATTGTAGCAAGCTATTTGTAAATGGATAGTTGGGTGCATTTATTAAATCAACCAAATGTGAATTAATTAAAACTCACTATTTTTCACACACATATACACAAATAATGAAGCTAATGTTTGTTAGAAGGAGTCAGCCAAATTAATGATTGTTACATACTAACACATTAGTACCTAACGATAGCTGCCTTAATCTTAATCTTTTGACTATTTCCATTTCTAAGTCATTACAATTAAAAATCCTCTTATATTTGTCCATAGACACCTGAACTCCTCCTTTTAAATTAAAAATGAAGGTTGGGTGTGGTGGCTCACACCTGTAATCCTAACATTCTGGGAGGCCAAGGTGAGCAGATTCCTTGAGTCCAGGAGTTCAAGATCCACCTGGACAACATAACAAAACCCCGTATCTACTAAAAAGTACAAAAAACTAGCCAGGCACAGTGGTGCATGCCTGTAGTCCCAGCTACTCAGAGGCTGAGGTGGGAGGATCATCTGAGCTCAAGAGATCAAGGCTGTAGTGAGCTGAGATCACACCAATGCACTCCAGCCTAGGCAACTAGAGTAAGACTCTGTCTCAAAAAAATTAATTAATTAATTAAAAATGAATTGTTGGCCGGGGCGGTGGCTCACACCTGTAATCCCAGCACTTTGGGAGGCGGAGATGGGCGGATCACGAGGTCAGCAGATCGAGACCATCCTGGCTAACATGGTGAAACCCCATCTCTACTAAAAATACAAAAAATAAGCCGAGCATGTTGGCAGGCACCTGTAGTCCCAGCTACTCAGAAGGCTGAGGCAGGAGAATGGTGTGAACCCGGGAGGTGGAGCTCTCAGTAAGCCGGGATCACACCACTGCACTCCAGCCTGGGGGATAGAGTGAGACTCCATCTCAAAAAAAAAAAAAAATGAATTGTTGAAGGGATTTCATATATTGCAATTTAGCAAAAGTTTTTTAATGCAAATTTGGCTCACAGTGAGTACAGTTTTTTTCCTCAGTCACTAATATTGACAGATCCCTTCCCAAGTCACCCAAAATTTGTGAAGCTGTGGGCAACTCTGAGGCAAGGATTCTCTCCTCAAAAAGTCCAGCATACCACCAGACATAGAGCAAAACTGCAGCCAATGACTGTTAGATTGGCCAAATTTATTGCTTTCCACTAGAAAGCCAGTGTTAACACAACATTGCAACTAATTTCTTTTCATATTTCTTTTTTAGAATTTGGCTTATGATACAGTGATGTCAGGAAGATGGAGTGAATCCATCCTTTGTCTCTCACATAGAGAACAACTGGACAGCTATCCATGAATAAAAATAGCTCTGGAAGAGCTCAGAAGTCCACTTAAGAAGCTACAGAAATGCAGTGGAATAAATCCAAAAATAACCACATAAAATGGGGAGAAAAAACATTTTTTACTTTACCTGCATCATCCTATCCCCTGGCCATCACTTCTAATCACAGAGAGGGAATACTCTAGCTCATGAGTTCCCCTCAAGGAAAAAAAGAATAAGTTAAACAACCGACTTCCTTAGACTTCTGGAGCACTGCCTGAATTACATTCTTCGGCTTCACCCCATCTAGATCACTGGGGAGACTGGCATAACTAAGATGTCTGGAGACAGCTTGGAACAAAGAGTGGGCACTAACAATATCAGCCACACAATGGGAGCTACCATGGTTCCCCATGGCATACTCTGCACAGGAATTCTGAAGCCCCCTCCACTGAGGACTTCAACAGCCCTTGAAGCCATTGTGCAGCCCCACAGCTTTCACTGCTGAAGAACCATCCCCCAACCCTGCCAGAGTTTGCCATGACAGACCCCAGTGGCCTACTCTGCAGAGGACCCTAGCAGCTTTTGCTGGTGAGGAAACCAACAGCCATCACAACTGCAGCAGAATCCCACAACTTTCACCACTAGGTTGTGCCTGCCACCATCCCTGGCTTCTGCAGCTGTGTGTGCCAAGTAGTGGGTCCCAACTCCCACCACCAGTCCCTACCACCATTCTCGCTTCTACAGCTGGCCCCTGCAGTCAAACATATATATACCAAAAGCCTGGTTCTCACAGCTGTGCACTTTTGGTATCAAAGTCTATTTTATCTGATATGAGTATAGCTAACTCTGCTCTCTTTTGGTTTTAATTTGCTTGAAATATCTTCTATCTCTTCACTTTTAGTCTATGTTCACTGTTTTTTGTCCTTAAAAGTGAAGTGAGTCTTCTCAGCAGCATATAGTTGTGTCTGTTTTTTATCCATTGAGTCACTGTATGTCTTTTGATTGATAAACCTCACCCCCAACATAAGCTATCACAACCAAATATGGGACCATAGCTGCCTGTGTAGCTATGCACATAATCAGCATCATTCCTGGCCCCTGCAGATGCAAACACACAATCAGCTTGTTCTGACTCCTATTGCCAGCCCCTACTACCAAACACATGCCTGCAGCTGGCCCATGCAGCTATATACATGTTCGCCAGCAGCCCCAGCCCCCATAGCTGCATATGGGCATGCAATCAGCCCCACTCCCCAGAACCTACACCCACCAGCATGTTTGCACTCACAGCCAGCCCCTGCAACCACACATATGCCCACTGCTAACTTGGGCCCACAGCTGCACACAAACACAATCCCTGTTGCTGTTACCTACTTTTGGGCATGTACTCATAGCTCTCTTTGCAACCACACACATACATGCTGCTCTGGTTCCTATAGCCATGCACATGCATACCACTGGCCACCACCACCATATGTCTGCCTATAGTCTGCCCCAGACCTCCCCCTTGACTCTGGCCCTCACTGCTGTACATGTGCCCTCAACTAGCCTCTATCATCACAAATGTGTTTCAGCCAGCCACTTCAGCCAAGCGTATATACAATGACAGCCCCTACTGCTGAATACCTCATTCCCTTGATGCTGGACTCACAGGCAACATAGAGGATGACAACAGCCCTCACAGCTACTGCAGACATTCTGCAGTTCTTGCCTCCAAGGACCATGTAGTTGTCAATGTCGCAGACCTCAGCTGTGTAAGAAGACAAGTCACCCTGCTCTTCCATGACCTGGAGCCACTGCATTCCCCCCAGCCTTGGTGTCCCACATCTCTAGATCCAATGTCACAGCACACTTCAGCATGCTCCCCCATAGGTGAATGTCTTTTACTATCAAAGCCAGTCCATTAAGTCTGGAAGATATGAATGCATCTTCAAATGTGTAGAAAAGACTACAAGGATCACAATAAATCAGGAAACATGACATCACTAAAGAAATACAATAAATTTCCAGTAACAAATCCCAAAGAATTGGAGATGTGCATATTTCCTGACAAAGAATTCAAGATAATTGTTCTAAAGAAACTCAACAAGCTACAAGAGAACATAAATAATTTTATGAATTCATAGAAGAATAAAATAAGTTCAACAAAAAGATAGGCAATTTTTAATAAAAGTTTTGAAGATGAAGAATACAATGACAACTATAAAATACAATAGAAAGCTTCAACAATATAATAACCAAACACAAGAGAGAATAGGCAACCTTGAAGAGAGATCATTTTGAATTATCTAGTTGAAAGGGAAAAAAGAAAAAAATAATGAAAAGGAATGTTTTAAGCCTATAGGATTTATGGGACACCATCAAGAGACCTAACATTTACATTATAGGGGTTCCAAAAGAAGAAAAAAGGATAGAAAGTTTATTTGAAAAAATAATGCTTGAAAACTTCCCAAATCTTGGGAAAAATATGGATACCCAGATACATGAAGCTCAGAGATCTCTAATAACATTCAACCAAATAATATTTAATCAAGGCACATTATCATCAAACTCAAATATCAAAGAAAGAGAGATGTGTTTGAAGGTATCATGAGAAAAGAAGCATACCACATCCAAAGGAACACAAACAAAGCTATCAGCTGATTTCTCAGAAGAAATCTTGCAGGGCAGGAGAAAGTGGGTTGACATATTCAAAGTGGTAAAAGAAAAAGAACTGTGAGCACAAATAATTTACTCAGCAAATCTGCCCTTCAGAAACTAAGGAGAGATAAGGGCTTTCTGAGACAAACAAAAGCTAAGGGACTTTATCACCACTAGGCCGGCCTTACAATAAATGTTAAAGAAAATACTTCTAGCTGAAGAAAAGCCACTAATTGGCTGCATAAATGTCTTCTTTTGAGAAGTGTCTGTTCATGTCCTTCGCCCACTTTTTGATGGGGTTGTTTGTTTTTTTCTTGTAAATTTGTTTGAGTTCATTGTAGATTCTGGATATTAGCCCTTTGTCAGATGAGTAGGTTGCAAAAATTTTCTCCCATGTTGTAGGTTGCCTGTTCACTCTGATGGTAGTTTCTTTTGCTGTGCAGAAGCTCTTTAGTTTAATTAGATCCCATTTGTCAATTTTGTCTTTTGTTGCCATTGCTTTTGGTGTTTTGGACATGAAGTCCTTGCCCACGCCTATGTCCTGAATGGTAATGCCTAGGTTTTCTTCTAGGGTTTTTATGGTTTTAGGTTTAACGTTTAAATCTTTAATCCATCTTGAATTGATTTTTGTATAAGGTGTAAGGAAGGGATCCAGTTTCAGCTTTCTACATATGGCTAGCCAGTTTTCCCAGCACCATTTATTAAATAGGGAATCCTTTCCCCATTGCTTGTTTTTCTCAGGTTTGTCAAAGATCAGATAGTTGTAGACATGCGGCATTATTTCTGAGGGCTCTGTTCTGTTCCATTGATCTATATCTCTGTTTTGGTACCAGTACCATGCTGTTTTGGTTACTGTAGCCTTGTAGAATAGTTTGAAGTCAGGTAGTGTGATGCCTCCAGCTTTGTTCTTTTGGCTTAGGATTGACTTGGCAATGCGGGCTCTTTTTTGGTTCCATATGAACTTTAAAGTAGTTTTTTCCAATTCTGTGAAGAAAGTCATTGGTAGCTTGATGGGGATGGCATTGAATCTGTAAATTACCTTGGGCAGTATGGCCATTTTCACGATATTGATTCTTCCTACCCATGAGCATGGAATGTTCTTCCATTTATTTGTATCCTCTTTTATTTCACTGAGCAGTGGTTTGTAGTTCTCCTTGAAGAGGTCCTTCACATCCCTTGTAAGTTGGATTCCTAGGTATTTTATTCTCTTTGAAGCAATTGGGAATGGGAGTTCACTCATGATTTGGCTCTCTGTTTGTCTGTTGTTGGTGTATAAGAATGCTTGTGACATTTATGCAGCCAAAAAACACATGAAAAAATGCTCATCATCACTAGCTATCAGAGAAACGCAAATCAAAACCACTATGAGATACCATCTCACACCAGTTAGAATGGCAATCATTAAAAAGTCAGGAAACAACAGGTGCTGGAGAGGATGTGGAGAAATAGGAACACTTTTACACTGTTGGTGGGACTGTAAACTAGTTCAACCATTGTGGAAGTCAGTGTGGCGATTCCTCAGGGATCTAGAACTAGAAATACCATTTGACCCAGCCATCCCATTACTGGGTATATACCCAAAGGACTATAAATCATGCTGCTATAAAGACACATGTACACGTATGTTTATTGCGGCATTATTCACAATAGCAAAGACTTGGAACCAACCCAAATGTCCAACAATGATAGACTGGATTAAGAAAATGTGGCACATATACACCATGGAATACTATGCAGCCATAAAAAAGGATGAGTTCGTGTCCTTTGTAGGGACATGGATGAAATTGGAAATCATCATTCTCAGTAAACTATCGCAAGAACAAAAAACCAAACACCGCATATTCTCACTCATAGGTGGGAATTGAACAATGAGATCACATGGACACAGGAAGGGGAATATCACACTCTGGGGACTGTGGTGGGGTGGGGTGGGGGGAGGGATAGCATTGGGAGGTATACCTAATGCTAGATGACGAGTTAGTGGGTGCAGCGCACCAGCATGGCACATGTATACATATGTAACTAACCTGCACAATGTGCACATGTACCCTAAAACTTAAAGTATAATAAAAAGAAAAAAAAAGAAAAGCCACTAATTAGTACCATAAAAACACGTGAAAGCATAAAACTCACTATTAAAGTGAATTTGTGCTCAGAATATTCAAATACTGTCATGGTGGTGAATAAATTACCTATAGCTCTATTATAAAGGTTAAAAGACAAAAGTATTAAAAATAACTATAGATACAATAATTTGTTAATGATACACAATATAAAACGATGTGAATTGTGATATCAAAAACATAAAATGTGGGAGGGATAGTAAAAGTGCACAGCTTTTATATGCTAAAGTTAAGTTGTTGTTAACTTAAAACAGGCTTGTAAAACTATAAGATGTTTTATGATGTTTTATGCATGCCTCATCATAACCACAAAACAAAAACCCATAGTTGATACATAGAAGACAAGGGAATCAAAGCAAACCACTACAGAAAAATCATCAAATCACAGAAGAAGGCAACAAGAGAGAAAGAAAGGAGTTAAGGATCTATAAAACAATCAGAAAATAATTAATGAAATGGCAATAGTGAATTCTTACCTACCAATAATTGCTATAGATGAAAATGGATTAAAATTCACAAATCAAAAAACATAGCATTATGTCTACAAGAGACTCACATTACCTTTAGAAAATGCTGTGATGGTTAACATTAGTTGTCATCCTGACTGGATTAAAGGATTCCTAGATGGCTGGCAAAGTATTGTTTTGGGGTGTGTCTGTGAGGATGTTGCCAAAGGAAATTTACATTTGGGTCAGTGGACTGGAAGAGGAAGACCTAGGTGGAAGAAGTCATGGGGGTAGTCTTGCTTGCTGAGTCTTCTGGCTCCCACTTTCTTTCCATGTCAGATGCTTGCTTCCTCTCCTCCTGCCCTTGGACATCAGACTCCAGGTTTTTCAGCCTTTAGACTCTGAGACTTGCAGAAGTGCCTTTGATATGGGAAAGGGAGTCAATGGAGATTATTTTGGACCTTTTAAGATGTAACAGCTACCCTGCTGGGTTTTGAACTTGAATGGGGACTGTAGCCCCTTTCTTTTCTCATTTTTGGAATAGGAATGTTTATACAATGCCTGTATTCCTATTGTATCTTGAAAATAAATAATTTGTTTTTTATTTTATAGGCTCATAGGCAGAAGGAAATTGTGATATCTGAGCATACTTTGGACTTTGGACTTTTGAATTGATGCTGGAATAAGTTAAGACCTGGGGAACAATTAGGAAGGCGTGATTTTATTTTGCAATGGGAGAGGGACATGAGATTTGGGGGTGCCAGAGGCAGAATGATAGAGCTTGGGTATTTGTCCCTGCCCAAATCTCATGTTGAAATGTAATACCCAATGTTGGAGATGAGGCTGGTGAAAGGTGTTTGGATTGTAGGGGAGGATCTCTCATGAGTTGGTGTTGTCCTCATGACAGTAAATGAGTTCTCAAGTGATCTGGTTGTTTAAAAGTGTGGCACTTCCCCCTTCCTTGCTCCTGCTTTCACTTTGTGACTTACTGCTTCCACTTTGCTCTCTGCCATGAGTAAAAGCTCACCAGAAGCCGAGCAGGTACTGTCATCATGCTTGTATAGCCTGCAAGAACAGCAAACCAATTAAATCTCTTTTCTTTAAAAATTAACCAGTCTCAGGTATTTCTTTATAGTAATACAAGAACAGCCTGATACACGTGCAAACACTTAAAGTGAAGGGAGAGGAGAAGATATTCTATGAAAATGGAAACCAAAAGCATAGCAGGGGTATCTATACTTATACCTAACAAAACAGATTTTAAGTCAAAAACTGTAACAAGAGATTAAAAAATGTTATTATATCATGATAAAGAGGACAACACATCAATAGGACACAACAAATGTAAATATATATGCACCCAACATTGGAGAAATTAGTATATTTTTAAAATATTAACAGGGCTGATGGGAGAAATGCACAGCAGTACAGTAACAGTTGAGAACTTTAATGCCCCACAACAATGGGCAGATCATCTAAACAGAAAATCAATAAGAGAACACTGGACTTGAACTATATACTAAACAGACCTAATAGACATAAAGAACATTCCATCTAACAGCAACAGAACACACATTCTTTTCAAGCACACAGGAAACATTCTCCAGGATATATTATATGTTAGGCCAGAAAATAAGTCCCAAAATACTTAAGAACACTGAAATCATATCAAGTATCTTTTCTGACCACAATGTTATGAAACTAGAAATCAATAAAAGAAGGAAAATTCACAAGTATGTGGAAATTAAATGACATGCTCATAAACAATCATGAATCAAAGTAGCAATTCAAAAAGGAAAATAAAAAATATATTAAGAAACACAACATATCAAAACTTATAAGATGCAGCGAAAGCAGTTCTGAGGGAAGATTGTAACAATAAATAACTACATTAAAAAAGACGCCAATTTTTTAATCAGCGTGGCAGATTAGAGGCTTTTAGCATGCCTTGGCCACTTGAAAATAGCAAGATAATGTATAAAGATCAACTCTGTGAGCTTTAATCCAAGAAGTAAAATGGGAATCCACTGAATCATGAAGGACAACCCAGATCCCAGTGAGGATAAAGCTGACAAACAACCACTGTAACAGTGTCCTCTGATAAAGCTGACAAACAACCACTGTAACAGTGTCCACCTGATAAAAATGAGTAAAGCCCAGGTATGTAAGAGAGGCAGAGAGCTTCCCTCTGTGATTCACCTCTCTACTGGTGATCAGAGCAACCCATGCCATGGTAGAGCAATTTGATTTTCCCTAGCCCTTGAGTTAACTTGGGGAGAGGCTTGGAGACATCATGAAGAAAAGACACTGGGAAAAGGTGTAGACATTTCCTCAGACCCAGGACCAAGTGCAGGATGCCATTTTTAATATGAGTGCATATAAATTTAGCCATTCTTTAGCAACCTGGCAGCATGGCCATGCAGGCATTTTAGTCTCGGGCCAGAGACAGAAGCGCCTGCTCAAGTGTGGGGAAGGAGCCACCACAGCCAGAATTACGGAAAGAGTCTCAGCAGTAGGAGCTGGAAATTTGTTTTCACCTGTTGCAAGCCTGGGGCAGGAGGAGAGCAGGTAGCATTGCAGATTCTTTTGAGCAGTAAGATTTCAGCCAAGCCTAGCTTGCTGTCCTGGAACTGGTCTGTATGTGACATTGCTGGGTGCCCCATACTGCTCACCGGAAATTGTGGTGCAGCAGGACCCTCTCTAATCCATCCCAGGCAGAAATCCAGGCATTTAAAGCACATGTTTGCCTGGACTAGAAGGCTGAGTTGCCCCACAGTTTATGGAAATAGATCAGGGTACAGCAACACCCTCTCTGCCCTTTTACCAGACAGATCACCAGGAATCTCGAGCACTCATGTGCCTAGTTCAGCAGCCTGAGCCATGTCAACCTTCCCATATGTAGATTGAGGTACCATGGGTCCTTCTCCACTCCATGCACATTCAGATATCCAGGGATTTGGAGTACCTAGTCACCTGGATCACTAGCCTGAGCTGCCCTACACTTCCTGTGCAGAGATCCCAGTGCAAGGAGGCCGTCTCAGATTCATGCTCAAGCAGATCTCCAGGCATTCACAGTACCTACTCATCTGGCTCAGTGGCCTGAGCCACTTCACACATTCTGAACATAGATCATGGTGCAGTGAGGCCCTCTCTGTGCCAAACCCAGGCAGATCTCCAGGCATTCGAAGCACCAGTTCACCTTAATCAGCAGCATAAGCTGCATCACCATTTCTTGTGCAGAGATCCATGTATGAGGGGGAAGGAGGCTGTCAGCTACACACCCAGGCAGATCTCCAGGCATTCAGAGCAACTGTCTACTTGGATTAACACCCTGAGTCAGTCCACCCAATCGTGCAGAGATCTTGGTGCAGTGGGACCCTCCCCACAAGCCACAGCAAATCTCCAGGCATTCAGAGCACACACTAGCCTGCAATAGCAGCCTGAATTGCCCAAATATTCCTGTCAAAACTGTGATATAGGGAACTCTCCCTGCTCCATGTACAAGCAGGTCTCCAGGCATCTGGAACACTCACTCTCTTGGGTTAGGAGTGTAGGCAACCTCCCAGCCCCATGCAAGAACCTGGAGGCAAGGAGATCTAACAGATTCATGCCTAGGCACACCTCTGGGTACTTAACAGCTGCTCACTAGATTCTCCCCTGGCATGCCTGTCATTTGGGGACCTGTAGGTGGTCTAACCCAGTTCAATCCCACCCATTTTTGTCCTCACCACCTGGGGACTGAGCAGGGAGCTCAGACCACTGTGCACTGAATTTTGTTCAGTTCTGCTCTGATCATAGTTTTTTCTTTTCTTTTGCTAACTTTGGGGTTAGTTTGTTCTTATCTTTTTGGTTTCTCTAGATGTGGTGTTAGATCGTTAATTTGAGATCTTCCTAACACTTGGAGGTAGGTCTTTAGCATTACGCTTTCCTCTTAACACTGCTTCTGTTGCATCCCAGGGATTTTGGTACATTGTGCCTCTGTTTTCATTATTTCACAGATTTTTTTGATTTCTGTGTCAATGTTGTTTACCCAAAAGTCATTTAGGAGCAAGTTGTTTAATTTCCATGTAATTTTGCTGTTTTGAGAGATCTTCTTGGTATTAATTACTGTTTTTATTTCACTTTCACTGAGAGTGTGCTTAGTATGATTTTGACTCTTAAAAATATATTGACATTTGCTCTACATCTGTGCATGTGTTTGATCTTCGAGTTCCATGTGGAGACAAGAATGTATATTCTGTGGCTGATGCATGGAGTGTTCTGTAGATGTCTATTAGGTCTACCTGGTCACATGTCAAGTTAAAGCCCAGAATTTTTTGTCAGTTTTCTGCCTCTATGGTCTGTCTAGTGTTGTTTGTGGGGTTTTGAAGTTCCCTACTATTATTTTGTGGCTGTCTATGTCTTTCCATAGGTCTGTAAGTACTTGTTTTATGCATCTGGGTGTGCCCATGTTAGGTGCAGATATATTTAGAATAGTTAAGTCTTCTTGTTGAATTGAACCCTTTATTGGGTTCAATTTATCCTTTTTTTTACTTTCGTTGGTTTAAACTCTGTTTAATCTGATATAAGAATAGTGACCCCTGCTCTTATTTGTTTTCCATCTGTGGGGCTGATCTTTCTCCCTTTACTTTGAGCCTATAGGTATTGTTAAGTGTGAAATGGGTCTCTTGAAGACAGCAGACTGATGGGTCTTTTTTTAGCCACTGTGCCATTCTGCAATTTAAGTGGGGCATTTAGAACATTTATATTCAAGATTCATTTAGATTCAGGATTAATATTGATATGTGACCTTTTGATCCTATCATGAAGTTGTTAGCTGGCTGCTTTGTAATTTCTATTGTGTGGTTGCTTTGTAGCATATATGGACTATGTACAAGTGTTTTTGTGGTAGCAGGTATCTTTGCTTTGTTTCCATGTTTAGAATTCTCTTAAGCATCTCTTGTAAGTCTGGTCTAGTGATTAAGAAAATTCTCTTAGTGCTTGCTTGTCTGGATAAGATGTTATTTCTCCTCTACTTATGAAGCTTTGTTTGGTGAAATATGAAATTCTTGGTTGGAATTTCTTTTTTTAATGAATGCTTAAAATAGGCCCCCAATCTTTCCTGGCTTGTAACTTTTCTGCTGAGAAGTCTGCTCTTAGACTAATTAGGCTCCCTTTTTAGGTTATATGACATGTTTCTTTAACTGGCTTTAAGATTTTTTTATTGAGCATTGACCTTGGACAGTCTGGTGACTCCATGCCTTGGTGATGTTTGTTTTATACAGTATCTCGCAGGTATTCTCTGGATGTCTACCTCTCTAGTAAGATTTGAGAAATTTTCTTGAATTATTCCCTCAAATATGTTTTCCAGGTTGTTTACTTTTTCTCTTTCACACTCAGGAATGCCTAAACTTATAGGTTTCCTTGCTTTACATAATCCCATATTTGTCAAAGACTGTTCATTTTTTAAAATTCTTTTTGCTTTATTTTTGTCTGACTGGGCTAGAGTTTGAAAGACTAGTCTTCAAGCTCTGCAATTCTTTCTTCTGCTTGGTCCAGTCTATTACTATAGATTTCAATTGTATTTTGAAAGTCTTTAAGTAGGTTTATCAATTCCAGCAGCTCTGATTCATTCTTTTTAGTATGCTTATCTCTCCCTACATTTCCTGGAGTGCTTTAGAAATTTATTTGTATTTATTTTGTCTCAGAGCTCATTGAACCTTCCTTGCAGTTGTGAAATGAAAATATCTTGAGCCCCTTCAAGCTGGGAACCACTCAGGGCAAATCTGCTTCCCATTTTATTCAAAGTCATCCCTTTTGCTCACAGAGATAGATGCATATTCTGATTGCCTCCTTTGGAAAGACTTATCAGAAACTCAAAAGAATGCAACCATCTGTCTCTCACCAACCTGTGACCTGGAATCCCCCAGGGAGTTGGGGTGGGGGGGTCCTTGCTTTGAGCTGTCTCCGCCTTTCTAGATAGAACTAATGTACTTCTTACATATTGATTGAAGTCTCATGTCTCCCTAAAATGTATAAAACCAAGCTGTGCCCTGACCACCTTGGGCACATGTCATCAGGACTTCCAGAGGCTGTGTCACAGGCACGTCCTCAACCTTGGCAAAACAAACTTTCTAAATTAACTGAGATCTGTCTTAGATTTCCTGGGTTCACACAGTCGTTTCTTTGAATTCTTTATCTGTCGTTTCTGAGTCTCCATTTTGGTTAGGAGAGCCAGTGCAGTCCTTTGGTGGTATCAGCACATTCAGATTTTTTGTAGTATCAGAATTCTTGTGCTGGTTCCTTCTCATCTGGAGATGTTGTAACTTCTAACTTTTGTATTTATTTTCATAGGCAGGATTTTTTCCTTTCCTTTCTTTTTCCTATAACATTATTAGGGAGTTTCTCTTTTCCTTTACATCCCTGCCCCCTGCCCTGCTCTCTAGTGAATGTGACTGTAGAGAATGCTGGGTAGGGTCTTTTGGCTTTGCTTTTGCAGCCCTATGCACTTCTAATGGCAGGTTTTCTATTGGGCTGTGTAGTGGACCTGCTGGGCTGTAGATGGTGCTTATAAATAAGAGTGAGCTGTAGCCAAAGTGGCTGGGTAAATACTTGATCCTTGTTTACTGGGAGAGGCTTTCTGTTACCTCAGGCAATGGGCTGATCCATGGAGTGCAGAGTGGTCTGAGCTCCCTGCTCAGCCCTAGGGTGGTGGGGACAAAGATGGGTGAGACTGAACTGGGGGAGTCCACATACAGGTCCCCAGATGACAGGCACAAGAACCAATGCCAGGAGAGAATCTAGTGAGCAGCTGCTAAGCACCCAGAGGTGTGCCTAGGCATGAATCTGTTAAACCTCCTTGGCCCCAGGTTCTTGCATGGGGATGGGAGGTTACCTACACTCCTAATCCAGGAGAGTAAGTGTTCCAGGTGGAATGTCTTTCACAATTCCAGTGCATTCCCATTTTCATCTTGAATTAAAGCTCACAGTTTATGTATTATCTTCCTCACAGTTTATCTTTATGTATTATCTTGCTCTTTTCAACTGGCTAAGGCACACTAAAAGCCTCTAATCTTGGAGGAGAAAAGGTTCCTTATGACTTTTAAAAGTAACTCAGAAGTAGCTTTGGTTTTGTCATTTGGGTTTCCTAGATTATATTAGATGCCTCAAGTTGTTTCTTTGTTTCTGAGGAAAACACTCAGACTCCTCATTATTATTTCTTTGTTCTGATTTGTATTGCAAGAAAGAAAACATTTCTGTTCCTCCCAGACACAAAGCTATTCTCTCTAATACAAAAAAGTATCTCCTGATTAAATATGTTTTACACCAGCACTTTCTTGAAAAGAGGGACACTCTGAACATATGTATTAGGATAAATGTCCATATGTTCAGCTATGCAAAAAGCACATATTTATTCTCTTGTAACAATATAATTTTCTTCTTCCTATGAGAGATAATATAATCTTAGGCAAACTTGCTAAATTGGGTATTTTAGTTAAAATTCAAAAAAATTAGTTTAAAAATAGGCATAGGACTGGGTGCAGTGGCTCACACCTGTAATCCCAACATTTAGGAGGCCAAGGCTGGCAGATCATGAGGTCAGGAGATCGAGAACATCCTGGCTAACGTGGTGAAACCGTCTCTACTAAAAATACAAAAAATTAGCTGGGCGTGGTGGCACGCACCTGTAATCCCAGATACACGCGAGGCTGAGGCAGGAGAATTGCTTGAACCCAGGAGGCAGAGGTTGCAGTGAGCCAAGATCACGCAATTGAACTCCAGCCTGGGCAAAAGAGTGAGACTCCATCTCAAAAAGAAAAAATAATAAATAGGCATAGAACTTTCCCATCACCACTTTTTCACTTTAGCATTTTCTAAGCTCCTGAGGCAGGCATTACCTAGCATCATGGCATGAGGAAGAGGCATTTGTGTGTTCTGCATTCTCTGTCCAGACTATATTTGTTTTCCACATTAGCACCCTGTGGTTCTCAGATGTTGTCTTTTATCTACACTGGCATCTATAGAAGTGTCCACACTCTTTGCCAGACTCTGGTTATATACTCTGCTTTATTTCCACCAAAATCATCATTCATCACAACTCTAAACCACTCTAAGTTGGCCATCTCTCTTTCTCAGCCTGGACAGGCAGAAAACCTGACATAATGGGCTAGGGCCCCCTTAGTTCCTGATACCGAAGCTCTCTGTCTACTACGTACAGTGATTATTTCTACTTTCTTGCCCCCACACCAAGGTGGTAACAGGAACTGCAATGTCATGGTTTTAGGAAAGAGGAAGAAAAACCTCCCTACTGTTCTCAGACTCTCACACCTATTGATGGCTCTGTTATCCCTCCTTGGTGTGAATCTGATGGGGAGGGGCAAGAAACAGAGCCTCCATTTCAGAAACCTTCAAAAGTTTCTAAGTATCTTGCTTTTTTCTCCTATAGTTTTTGCCTCCTTCTTACCTTTCAGAATGAGGGGTGGAGTTGGCAGGACTTCCTTGGCCAGTTTAGGGACTTTTGCAAAAGATCCCTATGACTCAGTGTTTTGAGTTCTTAACCAATCGAGTGAAGGATTCAAAATTAACCACTCCAAGAGAGGATTGAAAAAGAACTACTCTCTGGACAAAAAGAAAGAAAGGGGAGGGGGTAACACAGGGATATAAGCCTTAGCCACCCGAGCCAGCAATAGCAACCCTTCCAAGTCCCCTTCCACCATGTGGAAGCTTTCCTTTCACTTTGTTCAATAAACTGTTCTGCTGCTCACTCTCCTGGTCTGTGGACTCTTTTTGAGCTGTAACATACACCGCGAAGTTCCGTAGCTTCATTCTCCGAAGTTAGTGAGACCACGAACCCATCAGCAGGAAAAACTCCTAACTCATCAAGGGGGCTTGCCTGGGATTTCCAAAGTGGTGAGTAACATCGGAACTCTTTCTCTTGCTACTCTGCTCTATTTTTCTTTATAATTGGGGGTGAACAACGGCACCTGTCGGCCATTTAAAAGCGACAAGTGCGGCCGCCTGACTAAAGACACAGGTGGAAGGCTTTCTGGGAAAGGGCTAACAACCCCCCGACCCTTCTGAGTCAGGAGTGTTGGTTTGCCTGGAATGAGTTCTCACTTTCTCTGCATTTTCTGTGTTGAACTGAGGGCCAGCCAAAGGTGGAAAACAGTAGCCCTGGGCTCCTGGTACCACCGGTCGAGATCATGGCGCTGTGTGAAACCTTTGTTAAAAAGCCTCCCAAACGTGCTTCACCCACCCTTCTAGACCCATGCCTCCGGGGTCCAAATGTCTGTAGGGAAGACTTTCTTGAGACCCTGTCTTCCAGGATTTTCTCTACCTCTGGGATGAAAACTCTCTGGATTAGGAATCTAAAACAATTAGGATGGCAACCCTCAGATCCATTTTTCTGGTATCCCATGGCTTATTCTTATGTAGATGGGCAACAATACAAATATACAGGACCTGTTCCTCATATTCAGCACCTGAGGCAACACCCAGGACAATATAGTGTGTGCCAGTGGTTACTGGAAGACTTAGGCCATTTCTCTTTCTGTCATCTCCACCTCACTGGGAACCGTCTCACCTATCATCTTTCTTGTTTGTGATCAGCAATCCGAACTATGGAGCTCTTCCACTTGGGGTACCACTCACTGTTGTGGGAGTTAAGTAATATAATAGACCATTGACTGGGAGATCAAAAGTCATATTCTTATGATGGAAAGCGGGGACAAAAGGCCTTAGTACATGAGATGCTATTTCAACCTTGGCCCAATGCCCTGTTGCCCCCCACCTTAAAATTGCTATGTCTATGTACAATCTTTAAGGAGTTTATCTTACTGGGGCAGTTTCAAGCTCAGAAATATGCCAACTGGAGCCTCGTCAACCACCTAAGAATACACCCTGGACTTAGAACCCACTCACAGGAAAAAAAAACTCTTTCAGGCGTGCTGGTAAAAGGCCATTAAACCCAGCAGCCTGGCCTCCTTCTTTGTGGCTAAGAAGGGAGGGAAAAGACTGTAGTTGAAACTGCTACGTTGGTAAGCACAATTAAATCTGATAAGCAGTGTTCCATGGGTGATTTCGCACCCTGGAAAAAGGACACTAAAACAGTATAGAACTCCCTAGAACCAGTGTCCACAGGGAATGACTAGGGGTGTGGGCATCCCTATGCTCTCCTTTCAGATGGGAGATGTTCCCTCCAAAGCAAAGTCACCCCTGAGGTGTATTCTGAATAACTGGGACCAATTTGGTCCCCAGACATTGAAAAAGAAGCGGCTCATATTTTTCTGCAGCACTGCCTGACCACAATATCCTCTTCCAGGAGGAGAACAATGGCCACCTGAGGGAAGTATAAACTATAATACCATCCTGCAACTAGATCTTTTTTGTAAACAAGAAGGCAAGTGGAGTGAGGTACCATTATGTTCAGACCTTCTTCTCATTAAGGGGTAACCCATGATCGTGTAAGACATGTAACCTGCACCCCACGAGGAGTCCTCAAAGTCTACTCCCATACCCAGGCCTCCCCACAGCTCCTTCTCCTACTAATGCTGAAGCCTCTCTGGGCTCTACAGCCCAAAAGGGAACAAATAAAAGAGCTTCCAAAGAGCCAAGAGACCCCATTGCTCCCTGCTTCCTGTCCCTGGAGCACGAGTTTTTCTTAATGCAGCTAGCCACCAGTTTGCCTTAGAGGAACCCCATAATATGTCCTTGACAAATTCTATTCAGTTCCAACCACTAGGAGTGGCTCATTTGTCCCGAAGCCTTAAATCATGGGAATGAGAAATTAATGCAGACCGACCTCAGCCCTTATTAGATTTTCAGCTACAGGGGTGTATAGAACCCCGGCAAGGAGTTTTCTTTGTGTGTGGAAGATCCTTCTATATTTGCCTCCCCACCAACTGGATGGGAACTTGTACTTTAGCCTACATAGTACCTCCTGTGACTTGTTCCTTTTCAGAAGAGGCAGTAGCTGTGCCCATTCATGCTAAGCTTCAGCCAAGAGCAATCTCACTACTTCCTCTATCGGCTGGTTTAGGATTTACTATCACACTAGGAACTGGAACCACTGGACTCACAGTGTCCTTAACACTCTCTAAAGAATTAAGAGAAAGCCTAGATGAAATCTCTCTCCAACGTATTCAAATCCAGGACCAAATAACTCATTAGCAGCCACGGTTCTCCAGAACCGGCAAGCACTAGATCTCCTCACTGCTGAAAGGGGAAGAACATGCCTTTTTCTGAACGAGGAATCTTGTTTTTATGTCAATAAATCAAGTAGTCAGAGATGGAATTAAATGACTTCAGGATAGAGCCAGCAGACTACACAGTGGGACAACCGAAGCTACCTCATGTTTCTCACAGCATGTTCTCCCCTGGCTTCTTCCATTTTTAGGTCCCCTCCTTGTGATTATTCTGGGAGTAACCTTTGTCCCAAGTCTTTTCAATTCCCTCATCCATTTCATTTCTTCTCGAATAGAATCAATGAAACTACAAATGGTACTGCAGATGGAACCTCAGATGACTTCAACCAGCACCTATTATCAAGGACCTCTAGACCAGCCTGCCAGCCCATACCCGGACGTTGACACCCAAACCACCTCTCATGAGGAAACCTCAGGTGCAGGGCCCCTTCTACACCCCTATTCAGCAGGAAGCAGTTAGAGTGGTCATTGTCCCACACCCCAACAGCAGTTGGGCTCCCCTGTTGAGAGGGAGGACTGAGGGGTGGAATTGGCGGGACTTCCTGGGCCAGTTTGGGGACTTTTGCAAAAGACCCTTGTGACTCAGGTTTTGAGTTCTTAACCAATCGAGTGAAGGATTCAAAATTAATCCCTCCAAGGGAGGATTGAAAAAGAACCACTCTCTGGACAAAAAGAAAGGGGAGGGGGTAACACAGGGATATAAGCCCTAGCCACCCAAGCCAGCAACAGCAACCCTTCCAGGTCCCCTTCCACTGTGTAGAAGCTTTCCTTTCACTTTGTTCAATAAACTGTGCTGCTGCTCACTCTCCTGGTCCGTGGACTCTTTTTGAGCTGTAACACTCACCGTGAAGGTCCGCAGCTTCATTCTTCGAAGTTAGCAAGACCACGAACCCATCAGCAGGAAAAACTCCTAACTCAAGAATATTTATATAGTCAGAGAGGGAGGCAGAAAATACTTATTGTTTATGAGAAAAAATTTGTGTCCCAAGACCTCTGTATTTGAGAAACCAAAATTCAAGGTCTTAAAGCTCAACATTTTTGTCTCTGCTCTGGCCTTGGAAAGAATACTTTAAAAAAACAAAAACATTTATCAGTAGTCTTTCACTCCTGCACTTCCACAGTGACAACCTAACCTGAAGATAACAATCTTGGTATGTTTCAGCTACCTCGGCTTTAGGAAAGCTAAGATACATGCACAGCTCAGGGTCCAGGGTGTAAAATGGATATTTCAAATGCAAGAAGTTTAATACAGGAAATTGTTTAATAGGCTTTTGAACTCAAAGCTAATAGAACAACAATTAGAGTTTTGGGTAACTCTAGAAGGCAACCACTACCCCTAGGGCTTGGAGGACAGAAGAGAAAAGATAGGGCAGAAGAGGTGGTGCTGTGCAGCTGAGGTTCTGACCATACAAGAGGTGCTCCAAACTCATGTACACCCCTCTGGACCTGGGTGGGCCCCACACAGCTGACACTTGGACCTCTGATGGGACACCGCAATTCAGTGCTTGGACTCCTAAGGAAGGCACCACATGTTAGGCTTTCAGAACATAGAGGAAAGCACTGCTCATCTGGTGCTTGGACCTGACTGGGCTCCTTGAACAACTGGTACTCAAAGATTAGAGATGGCACTGCCCATCTAATTTTTGAGGTTTTGTGGGAGGGGATGTATGTGTCTTACAAAGGCACTCAGATCTCTAAATCAGGGCTTCTTTGGGGCTGTTTTTCAAGTATGTTGAGGAAATACTGCACATCTGGTGCTTAGGCCTTTGAGGGGAGTGCCTTGCAGCTGCTGCTTAGCATACCAAAAAATGCAAGAGCTGGAGTTGTCTGTGGCTTCTGTAGCTACTGCTGTTGGGATGCTTACAAAACCTGGGAACAGGAGGAGTGTGCCTTCTCTCTTCCTCCTTTTTTTGAATCTCCTGCCAACTCCTCCCAGTAGAGCTACAAAGGAGTCCTGAAAATTCAGTTTGCAGATTCAGCCTGTCATCATGAAGCCAAGGATAAGTTAAGAAATGGTAAGTAAGTAGCTAGCACAGCACAAAAAGAAAATGTGTCACTGGAGAGGACAATGAGGATACTCCAAAATGTTGTGAAGGACACACTTTTCAAAGTAACAGATACTGCAGAAGTACTTAGACTGTGGCATGAATTTTCTCATCTGTTTTCAATTGAAGGAGCTTATATTTTTATTAACAAAAGGTTGGTATTTGCTGTCTTAAACTACTCAGACTACTAACACTTGGCTATGCTAAGCATTCAGCAACATCCTAATAAAATGAGACACAGGACAAGTATGTTTTGCTGGAGAAATAAGGGAAACAAAATCCTAGCCTCTGCCCACTTGAGCAAGACCTGCAGTGGGAAGCCTTGGGAGTTTTGATCTACTATCTTTACCATCGCCCAGTGAACTAAGCTAAATCTAAAAAGGCATGATGGGGTCAAGCTCAGCATCAGTACAACTTGTATCTTGTGCTTTTCCAGCCCTGACCAACCAGACATAGCTGTTTACTTCCCATCACAGACACTGAGTTTGTCTATGGCTCTTCTCAGGCTTCTGGCCTAGCTCTTCCTTTTCATGTGGGCTTTCACTGTCCCTCTTTTGGTGCCAATCGTGGTTAATTTTATGTGTCATCTTGGCTAGGCTATGGTGCCCAATCATTTTGTCAAATACTAGTCTACATATTGCTGTGAAGGTATGTTTTAGATGTGATTAACATTAAAATCAGTAGACTCTAAGTGAAGCAGATTATCTTCCCATGGTGTGAGTGAGCCTCATCCGATCAGCTGAAGGCCTTAAGAGAAAACAGACTGAGGTTTCTCAAAGAAGAAATTCTGCCTCAAGACGACAACATAAAAACCCTGACTGCCTCCAACCTGCTGGTCCGCTCTAGAGACTTTGGACTTGCTGGCTCCTCAATCGCATTAGCTAATTCTTTAAAATAAATAAATAAATAAATATATATATATATATATAATATTTATATATATATATATAATATTTATATATATATGTGTGTGTGTATATATGTATGTATAACCAATAGAAGATATAGATAAATGTATCTCCTATTGATTCTGTTTCTCTAGAGAACCCTAACAAATAGAGTTACCATAAACCCCGCACTTCTCCCTGCTCCCTCCCACCCTTATTAATTCAAGTCATCTCTGGTTCCAACTATCTGGGGCTTCCAATTTCAACTTCCAGCACAATTTTTGAAATGCACCTTGCTGAGTTAAGTATATCCTTCACCTGATCTATATATGTCAAAACACTTTCAAGGTCTCTGGCAGCCCTAACCCAGCCTCCTGTCCACCTGAGTGACTGGGGATGGAGAGTCATTCCATTATTATTCCATTATTATTTTTTGGCTCCTAATCACTGTGGTATGACCTGCCTAGGGTTCTCACATTCTGGCTGAAATTAGTTATGTGGTTGCTGACAGCCTCTTCCCTGGTCTAACTGAGCAGCTGGGGCCCTGGAGGTCTGTTAGAAGAGTAAGTGGAGATGTTGAAAGGAGGGGTCTGGGGACTTATACAGAAATCTGGCAGGGTGAGGGTTGCTGCCAGGACCTTCACCTGCTACCCCACTGTGTGCCCCCAAGGTTTTGGGGATGAGCCTGTCATGAAGGAAAGAACTGTGGCTTTATACCTATATTTTTTTAACATAACTCAAACAGTGAAAGATTAAGTACTGTTCTCATGATGAAGCATCCAGCTGCCAAATCATTTTTACTTTCCTTAGAAAAGAAAGCAAGCCTTGGGTGTTTTCAGACTGATTACAAAGGTTTTGCTCTGAATTTTATTGAAGCAGATGCATTTGGCTGCTTTTTCATGGCTAAAAGCATGCTCACCCAAATCACTCATATCTTTCTATCACTTTAATTGCCCCACAATTCACTTTGAGAAGCTCTTAACAGCTTTTCTTTCTATTTTGAAGTATTGCAGGGAGAGGTGAGGTTGGTGTTCAAGCATGCAGCTTTACCTTCAAGCCTCTCAATGCCCAGACTGTGAAAGTTAAATATACTTACTAAACCTCCTCTCCCCAAGATCAGCAGAGACCTTCATAAAGACAAATCCAATGACCTTTTATCCATCCTTATTCTATTTAACCTCTTACATTCATTCAGAAAAAAATATTTACTGAAAGCTTACTGGGTATCTGGCTTTAACTAGGCAGCAGGGACAAAGAAATCGGCAAGAAAGATACAGTTCCCATTCCCAAATAGAGTAAAAGAAGAAGGTTGAGATAAACATTAAATAAACAATGTTGAGTTAAACATTAAAATATAATGTGATGGCTCCACAAGAGCATGTGAATTAAAGGTATGCGTGAAGGAGCACAGAGAAACACTGCCTTATTCAGGCTGGGATTTAAAGGGATGGCTTCCTGGTAAAGGTAGCAGGAAATAATTTATAAAGCATAATTAAGAATTAGCTCAATGGATACAGAAAGAAAGGTGACCCAAAAGAATAAATCACCTGTGTAAAAGTAGCAAGGCATAAGAGAGCAGGAAGCATTCTAAGAACTACCAGAAGAATGACTGGAGGAAAACAAGTTTATGGGAAGTAGCTAGATGTGAGACAGGATAAAATGAGGGTAGGGATGGGGCCCAAAGGATTTTAAAAGAGCATTCTGGCAGCAACATGGAGGTAGATTGCTATCATATGGGGGAATAAGGAGCAAAAAGATTCTTTAGCAAGTTATTAGAATAGTCCATGTAAGAAATGATGAGAACCTGGCCTAGGGTATTTACAGTGAGGGTAGAAAGAAGGGCATGGAGAGGAATTGGTAGTGGTTTGGATTGGGAGGTTTGGAAATGGGAAGGTAGGAGGCCAATGTTGGGGGTTCTGGGGAAAGAAGGAGTCTAAGGTGTCAGTGTGGAACTGGTTGAATTCTCCCACCATTAAATGAGATGGCACACACAAGAGAAGAAAGCATTCACTGGTGAATGGGTTCAGTGTGTTGACTTTGAGGCACCTACAGATTAACCAGATACAAGGTTCAGGGTTAGAATATAGATTTGGAAAATCAGGGTATGCTTAGCAATTAAAATAATTAGTATGGTTAAGATCATTCAGTATAGAGAATGAGAGGAACAATGGCCTGCAAATGGAACTTTTGAAAGGAGCAATATTTCATAGAGGCACAAAGGGTGATGAGCCTGAAAATTAGAGAAAGAGCAGACAGGAGAAGAAAAATCAAGAAACAGTAATATCAGAGAACCATTTAAAAACATTGGCCAGCTAGGAGAGGATGGTAGAATATGGGTCAAAAGGTAATTGTTTCAAATTTTACAAATGTGCTTTGTTCCTTTTGCTTTTCTGAGTATATCATACTTTACATTAGGCATCCATCTGCCAATAGGTAGATTAAATTTGTTATATAAGAAATGTAAGGAAAAGAACAAAGAGGAAGTTTGTTTTTTGCCCCTACATACAAATTGGACATACAGCAAGACAATAAATTTTGCTCACCAGAATGTTATCTTGGGGAAGAATGTTTTACTTGTCTTTATTCCCTTCATTAACTTACCAACAACTTAGGCTGATGGATTTAGAATCTAGGGTTTGCTAATGTGGAGGGGTGTCTCATACTCCTACCAACAGCCAGGATCACTCTATAGAAGAAGAAAAGATAAAGGAGAAATAAAATAAGCATCTGGCTTGGGAGACAATGAGAAGAAAACAGAGAAAGAGATTGAAAATTATCAAACTGATGTCTCCCCTTTTACCCTCCCTGGATTTCAGGGGGATGTGTTTCACATAAGTGAAAATAAAATAAATGTTAAAGATAAGAGCTATAGTGACCTACTTCTCATGGAAGACTCTGGAAAATGAGCACCTTTCAAGTTTTTCCCTTCTCCCTAAATACAACAGCCTGGGATGCAGACACAGCTACTTGGCTATGCACTATGTGCAAAAAAAAGAAAGATTATGAGGTTGAGTTTTCCCAAATCTCTCCAGTTCCTGCATGTTTGCACCTGAGAGACAATGGGCCTGCCACAGGGCCTGCTGGGCAGACAAGTGACCTCACAGAGGAGACTTGGGGGTAGACACCAGGGTGGCAGGCTCACAGAGGAGCGAGGTGAGGCCAGGTCAGCCAGGAGCCCTGCTGAGGGACAGCAAATAGAGTTCCATTAGGTGCACACTGTCTATAACAGGGCCGGCAGCACTCAGTCATCCAAGAGACACTGCTCCTAAGACCAGCAGAAAACAGCAAGCCTATATCCCAGGACGAGCACAAGCCAGGGAGCCCTGTCCTTGACACAACTTAGGGAAAGAAGCCAAGACTGGCGAAGGCCATCTGAGAGACTGAGTAAACATTTATCTCAAAAAAGAAACCAAAAACTCGTCATATTGGTCTTTGTTTATCACACATGACATGAGTCCATTTGTTTCCCTGCTACTTCACAGATAAAATCTTGGGAAAAAGAAGAGATTCATTGTAGATAAAATAATTTACTTTTTTCCCTACATTACAATGTCAGACGCAATACAACCTTGCTGTACAAGTAAAAATGAGGAATAATATTTCCCAAAGTATGTTCCACAGAACACTAATTCCTTAGAACACTGAAAGATTTTATATAGGCCAAAAAAAAAAATTGTGGTCATTTAAATTGAGGGAATTGGTTTAAAAAACAAACAAAAAATTTAATGCAAAGTGTTCAGAGAGCATACAGTAATATGGAATGCCTCATTTCCTGAATCTATTTATCCACAGAACTTCATTTTCCTTTTTTTTTTCTTTTTTTTTTTTTTTCTTGTTTTGAGACAGAGTTTCACTCTTGTTGCCCAGGCTGGAGTGCAATGGTGCAATCTTGGCTCACTGCAATCTCCACCTCCCGAGTTCAAGCAATTCTCCTGCCTCAGCCTCTCGAGTAACTGGGATTACAGGCGCCCACCACCACACCTGGCTAATTTTTTGTATTTTTAGTAGAGACAGGGTTTCACCATGTTGGCCAGAGTGGTCTTGAACTCCTGACCTCTGTTGATCCACCCACCTCAGCCCCCCAAATTGCTGTGATTACAGGCGTGAGCCACCATGCCTGGCCCAGAGCTTCATTTTCAAAGATCACCTCTCATAAACACTTTTGGAAGTAATTCTCACATTTAAAAAATGGATATACCCCCAAATCTTTAGAACAGTTAAGATCACAAGCCCTACTCCACTGCTTCCCCTATGCTATAGTTCATCAGTTGGTGACATAAGATATTGCCAAACAGAGGCCAGTCACAATGGCTCATGCCTGTAATCCCAGCACTTTGGGAGGCTGAGGTGGGAGGATTGTTTGATCCCAGGAGTTCAAGGCTGCAGTGAGCTATGGGCATACCCCTACACTGCAGCCTGAGCAACAGAATGCAACCCTATCTCTAATATAAAATAACACAAAATAATACCATATTGCCAAACTGAAAAGTATCGCCTTGAGCCAAATGTTAAGACACAAGAAACAAACATTTGATAAGTACAGAATTCCATCTCCCCTCACTTTGGGCACATTTCTTCCCCCTCCCTACCTCCTAATAAAACTTAACTTGTCAGAATTCTCATTTATTCTAAACTACATTGGATCTATTTATGAATCATGACAGTGGACAAACCACACAAATTTGCCTCATCTTTCTCACAGGAATCAAAGGAGTATTGTGTAGTGGGTGAGAGTCGGGAGCCAGACTATCTGAGTTTGAATCTTGCCTTACTACTTCCTAGCTGTGTGATGATCTTGGGAAAGTTAGTAACTTTTCTGACCCTAGCATCCTTATCTTCAAAGTAGATAGAAGAACAGTACTTACCTGTTGTACTGAGAACAGTTGTTCTCTGTTTATATATATTAAATGAGTGTGTGTGTGTTAGGACATATTTATGCCACATACATTTTAGTGGGGTTTTTTTTTTATTTGTTTGTTTGTTGAGACAGGCTCTTGCTTTGTCACCCGGGCTAGAGTATGGTGGCACAATCACAGCTCACTGCAGCCTCAATCTCCTAGGCTCAAGTGATTCTCCTGCCTCGGCCTCTCAAGTAGCATTTTATCCATTTTTTTAGCTTCCCAAAATATTAGCAAAGGAATAAAAATGAAATGAACTGACAACAACAAAGACAAGAGAAGGAGCCATCAATACAGTTGTATCAATGAATATATAAAAGACACAAAGGAGATAAAAGAACACTACTGACAGAACAGAGCAGAGGACCTACCACCTAGTGTCAGGGATGGCAGACTGTTTCTATAAATGCCATATGGTAAACATTTTAGGTTCTGTAGGCCAAGAGGCAAAATAAAGGATATTATTTAAGTCTCTGTTACCACTACTCAATTATGTCATTGTAGCATGAAAGCAGCCATAGACAACATAGACATGAATAAACATGACTACATTCCAATAAAACTTCACTTATGGACACTGAAATTTTAGTTTTATATAATTTTATGTGTCACAAAATATTATTTCTTGGATATATTTTAAAATTCAATTTAAAATATAAATATTAAAGTGTAATTTAAAATGTAGAAACCATTCTTGGCTCTCAGGCTATACAAAAACAGATGACTGGCAAGATTTGGGCCACAGAACATAGCTTGCCAATCCCTATCCTATGAGATGTTAATGTGAGAGATAGTTAAGAAGTTTCTAGACTTAAAAAAATCAGACACCATGGAAAGCAGAAAAAAAGGAGACTAAAAACAGGGGGATTCACTGAAAGTCTATATATGGAACAGCCATTCCCCTGACCCTCCCTAAACTCCTCCAGAGAAAGAAACTTAACTCGAGAAATAAGAAACCCCTCTCCAGTCCCCTTCTCTGCCATTAATTGGAGGGACCATGCATCCTTAGTTACTTGCTAAGTATTTATCTTACCATATGTGATAAAAGGTTTGGTTTCTTTCTCTTTTTATTTTAACATGTTCCTTTTTGTTACCTATGCTGATACCTGAGTAAGTGTCGTGCTTACTTGATTCCTCTCTGGGTTATTTTCAGCACTGCTGACATTAGGGTACCTCTGGAAATACTTTCATCCCTTCCCTGCCCACCCAAGCTCTTCAGGGCTGGAGAGCTGCTCAAATTAGAGCTCCCCATGGCGGGAGCCTATCAGGCACCTTGGGGAATTGTTCTCCCCTGTAGCTTTTCTCTTTGCTTAGCCTTAGGCTCTGTTTCTTCCCTCTCTTTATGAAATCCTAAAGAACATGACTGAGTTTTTGGAGATGCACATATTCATATACAAGCTACATTAAAAACTATACTACCTTTTGGTAATTTCTTAATATCAACACTATTTGAACATTTTAGGAAATTCTAAAAAGGGGTCAGAGGGAAATATACCTTTTCTTTTCTATAGCAGAGAAGGAACAGATTCTAAGAAAAAAGGGGAAAGAGTGAAGCTATATGAGATCAGAAAAGCTGCCATCCAGGAAAAGAGAAGGGGCTAGGAGGGATTGATTTTTAGAATCAAGGACATATCAGATCCTAAAAATTCTTTAAACACCTTAAAAGGAATATAAAATAAATGCAATGCTTCTAGAATTGATTAGTACAGGTATTAGAAAACTATTAGAAAATCATGAATAACATAGATTTAAATATATTAATGTCTTTTTTATTATATTATTCAATTTACTTTTTCTTATGCAGCTACAGTTATACTCCATTGCCTTGAGAGACTAGGATACCTTCCCAACCAGCTAAGTTTGCAGTTAGAGTTTGAAAATCCTAAAAACAAAAACCCTATCATCATCTCAATAGATGCAGATAAGGCATTTGATAAAATTCAGTATTCCTTTGTAATAAAAACCCTCAACATACTAGATATTGAGGGAACATGCCTTAAAATAATAAAAACCATATAGGACAAACCCACAGCCAACTTCCTACTGAACATGGAAAAGTTGAAAGCATTCCCCATAAGAACTGGAACAAGACATGGATGCCAGCTTTCACAACTGCTATTCAACATAGTACTGAAAGTCCTAGCCAGAGCAATCAGACAAGAGAAGGAAAAAAGGCATCCAAATAGAAAAAGATGAAGTAAAATTAGCTCTGTTTGCTGATAATCTTATACCTAGAACACCCTAAAGACTCCTCCAAAATACTCCTAAATTTGATAAATGAATTCAGAAAAGTTTCAGAATACAAAATCAATGTAAAAAAATCAGTAGCATTTATATATACCAAAAGTTATTATATTAAACTGAGAACCAAATCAAGAAGTCAATCCCATTTATAATAGCTACAAAACAAATATACTTAGGAATATATATAACTAAGGTGGTAAAAGATCTCTACAAGGAAAACTACAAAACACTGATGAAAGAAATTATAGATGACACAAACAAATAGAAAAACATCCCATACCCATGAATGGGAAGAATCATGACCATACTGCCCAAAACATCTACAGATTCAATGTAATACTTATCAAAATTCCAATGTCATTTTTCACAGAATTAGAAAAACCAATCTTAAAATTCGTTTTTAAATTCAATTCATATTGAACCAAAAAAGAGCCCAAAGAGCCAAAGCAGTCCTAAGAAAAAAGAACAAAGCTGAAGGCACCACATTATGGGACTTCGAATTATGCTATAGGTTATAGTAACCACAATCGCATGTTACTGGTATAAAAATAGACATAGATCAATGGAATAGAACAGATAACCCAGAAATAAAACCAAATACCTACAGCCAGCTGATATTTGACAAAGTCACCAAAAACACATACCGAGAAAAGGACATCGTATTCAATAAGTGGTGCTGGGAAAATTGGATTGCCGTATGCAAAAAAAAAAAAAAAAAAAAAAGAAAGAAAGAAACTGGACCCTTATCTCTCGCCACATACAAAAATTAACTCAAGATAGATTAAAGATTTAAATGTAAGATCTGAAACTACAAAAATGCTAGAAGAAAACCTAGGAAAAACTCTTCTGGACATTAACATGGGCAAAGAATTTATGACTAAGACCTCAAAAGCACGTGCAAAACCAATAATAAATGAATGTGACTTAATTAAACTAAAAAGCTTATGTACAGTAAAAATAATAATAATAATCAACAGAATGAACAGACAATCTGCAGAATGGGATAAAATATTTGCTAACTATGTATTCAAGCAACTAATATCCAAAATCTACAAGAAAATCAAACAACTTAACAAATAAAACAACCCCATTAAAAATCTGGCAATGACATGAAAAGACATTTTTCAAAAGAACACATATAAATGACCAACAAGCATGTGAAATAATGCTCAACATCACTAATCATTACAGAAATGCAAATTAAAACCACAATGAGATAACACTTTACACCAGTCAGAATGGCTATTATTAAAAAGTCAGAAAATAACAGCTGTTGGTGAGGATGCAGAGAAAAGGGAATGCCTATATACTGTTGGTGGCAATGTGGGCTAGTACAATCTGATAAAGAATTAACTAATAATTATTAATCCAAATTATTAGATTTAATTTTGTTTTTATGACCTAAACTTTTCCTCTAAAATGGTGCTTAGTCTGAATGTCTTATCTTTACAGAATATCTGATAAAAGAACTATCTTGCCACAGTTTTTTCTCCATACATTTCCTTTCTTTAACCCAATCATCGTTTTGTAACCACTTGTTCTGAGTGAGGCAGGTTGGTTTTGTTAAATCTATAGATCTGGGTTACTTTAAGTCACCAAAATTACAACTTCACTATGGATTTGGCCATTAAACCAGACAATATTTATCAGACATGCCTAGATTCATCAGAGGGATAGTTAGGTTAAAGCCTCACTGAGAATATTTTTTAATCTCGCTCAGTTTGTCCTACTGTAGAGATGTTTGGTTATCAAGTACAGGAGCCAAAACATTCATAAAAGAATGGTCTTTATCAGAGCCTTGTTTAACTTGGATTAATGCCTATCTGTAATTAAAACACTGAGGGTACAGTGGGAAAATAAAAGAAAGCTGTCATGGATTTTTCCCTAAACCCTTACCTCTATCCCTTTCCTCTCTCCCAGAGCCAGTTCTACATTTCCTGGTGACTGCTGGAGACTTCTGCCCAGATATTCCACTAATACCTCAACTCAATATGACTGAAACTAAACCTTCTTCCTCAACCCACTCATTTTACTTACTCAAACATCCATTCAATCACCAATAAAAAGGTCCCATAAAATGCTTTCTTCATCTTGTTACCCATTTTTGTTAACTTGGTAACCAATTATAGAAAAAGCTGGACTCTTCTAAGCAAAGAGAAACTCCTCTGTGATAAACCAGATCTGTTGAAAAGTTATTTCCACCCTCAGATGAGATCTTGGGCAGGTCTCTTCATTTTACAATCTCTTATTAAGAAAAAGTAATCTGATCATTTACAGATAATAGAGTCTAGAACCATCTAATAATCACACAACTTGTTTGGTGCAGTTAATAATTAAAACTCTGCATGCTGATCTAATATGAAACTTCTCCTTCCTTCTCTGTCCTGACATAGGCTTGGGAGTAGACAGTGGATGCTGTTCAGTCTCAACCTACGTTTCCCAGGTTCCTTTGTTTCTAGAGGAGCCATGCAACTAAGTTCTGGCCAGTGGAATACAGGGAGAAGTGATGTTTGCACTTTCCAGTCTAAACCACAAAATCTCCTCTAAAACCCTCCACAGTCTATCTTTCTCCATACACTGGCTTGAAGCTAAAGATTCTGAGGCTCTAGGGGAAGGTGAAATCATGCAACAGAAGAGCCTAGGTCCCTGAGTCACTTCAGGGAAGACTGCCCATTGAACACCCTCTGAACAAAGCAATTGAGTAATAAATCTCTATTTTATTATGCTGCTGATAGTTCAGGAGCTATCTGATTTAAAACTAGCATTACTGTAAATAATATATTTTGCCTATGCCATTTTGTTGCCAGGAATACCTATTCTATTGTATCTGACTGTCAAAATGCGTAAAAGTCCAGCTCAAATGCCACTTCTTTCTCAGGTTACACAGCCAAAATTATCCTTCCTTCTTCTAACATTGAATATACTCTCCTTTTATCTTTTTATAGCACTGATCACAGTAGACTATATGCTTCCAGAAAGCAAGGGTTATATTTCTTTCACCATTATATGTCCCATGGTATCCGGCAGAGTGACTGGAACACAGACACTGTAGACGTATTGAATTATACAGGCAGTCTGTGTTACACATCATTTATCTCCCTTAAGTCACCTCAGCAAGAGAAGGTCATCAGACTGGTCCTCCTGGGGCATAGTTTGTACATTGGAACCTGATTTTCCATTTCTTGAATGTGATTTTTGCTCTGACTCCACCATTTTTTCTCTGTCCTTTTCTCAGAAAAGCATCCAGGCAGCCTTCCTTCCTAAAACTCCTTTTAAACACTAAATTTTTTCCATATAGAAGTTTCTGCTTCTTACAAACATTTGGCTCAGAAAAATCACTAAAAAAAAAAAGATTCATTATAGGAACTCAGTAGGTTCCCCATCCTTCCCACCATGTCTGACAAAAATGAATCATGGTATTCATCCCTAAGCTATACTGTTGTCCAGGGCATCTCTTTGAGTACTACCTCCTAGGACATGTAGAGTCAAGTTTTATTCCCTAGAACTTCCACAGCCAGTTAACTTTGTTTCTCTGCACTACCCTAAGGAATAAGCTTGTTCACTTATCTTATTCTTTTTTTTTTTTTGAGATGGAGTCTTACTCTGTTGTCCAGGCTGGAGTGCAGTGGTGCAATCTCAGCTCACTGCAACCTCCACCTCCCAGGTTCAAGCAATTCTCCTGCCTCAGCCTCCCGAGTAGCTGGGACTACAGGCTCATGCCACCACACCCAGCTAATTTTTCATACTTTGAATAGAAACGAGGTTTCACTGTGTTAGCCAGGCTGGTCTCAATCTCCTGACCACATGATCCATCCACCTTGGCCTCCCAAAGTGCTGGGATTACAGGCACTTTGTTTCTTATCTCTTCTGAAGTCTAATTCTTCTTAAAAATGTTTGTTATAAGAACTAAAAGTATACCTACTATTCAATCCAGCAATCCCACTATATACCCAAAGGAAAAGAAGTCATTCTATCAAAAAGACACCTGCATGCATATGTTTACTGTAGCACAATTCACAATTGCAAAGATATGGAACCAACCTAAGTGTCCATCAATTGATGAGTGGATAAAGAAAATGTGGTATACATCATAGAATACTACTCAGCCATAAAAAATAATGAAATAGGGGGGAGCCAAGATGGCCAAATAGGAAGAGCTCCAGTTTACAGCTCCCAGTGTGAGCAACGCAGAAGACAAACGATTTCTGCATTTCCAACTGAGGTACTCGGTGCATCTCACTGGGGATTCTCGGACAGTGGGGGCAGGACAGTGGGTGCAGTGCACCGAGCCTGAGCTGATGTAGGGCAAGGCATTGCCTCACCCGGGAAGTGCAAGGGGTTGGGGAATTCTTTTCCTAGCCAAGGAAATGGGTCACAGATTGCACCTGGAAAATTGGGTCACTCCCACCCTAATACTGCGCTTTTCTGACAGTCTTAGCAAATGGCACACCAGGATATTATATCCCACACCTGGCTCAGAGGGTCCTATGCCCATGGAGCCTCGCTCATTGCTAGCACAGCAGTCTGAGATCGAACTGCAAGGTGGCAGCAAAGCGGGGGAGTGAAACACACCACTGCTGAGGCTTGAGTAGGTAAACAAGGAAGCTGGGAAGCTCGAACTGGGTGGAGCCTACCGTAGCTCAAGGAGGCCTGCCTGCCTCTGTAGACTCCACCTCTGGAGGCAGGGCATAACCAAACAAAAGGCAGCAGAATCCTCTGCAGACTTAAATGTCCCTGTCTGACAGCTTTGAAGAGAGTAGTGGTTCTCCCAGCACACAGCTAGAGATCTGAGAACGGACAGACTGCCTCCTCAAGTGGGTCCCTGACCCCCGAGTAGCCTAACTGGGAGGCACCCCTCAGTAGGGGCAGACTGACACCTCACACGGCCGGGTACTCCTCTGAGACAAAACTTCCTGAGGAAAGATCAGGCAGCAACATTTGCTGTTCCCCAATATCCGCTGTTCTGCAGCCTCTGCTGCTGATACCAAGGCAAACAGGGTCTGGAGTGGACCTCCGGCAAACTCCAACAGACCTGCAGCTGAAGGTCCTGACTGTTAGAAGGAAAACTAACAAACAGAAAGGACATCCACACCAAAACCCCATCTGTATGTCACCATCTTCAAAGACCAAAGGTAGATAAAACCACAAAGATGGGGAAAAAACAGAGCAGAAAAACCAGAAACTCAAAAAATCAGAGCACCTCTCCTCCTCCAAAGGAATGCAGCTCCTCACCAGCAATGGAACAAAGCTGGATGGAGAATGACTTTGACGAGTTGAGAGAAGAAGGCTTCAGACAATCAAACTATTCCAAGCTAAAGGAGGAAGTTCGAACACATGGCAAAGAAGTTAAAGACCTTGAAAAAAGATTAGATGAATGGCTAACTAGAATAACCAATGCAGGGAAGTCCTTAAAGGACTTGATGGAGCTGAAAACCATGGCACAAGAACTACGTGACAAATGCACAAGCCTCAGTAGCCGATTTGAACAACTGGAAGAAAGGGTATCTGTGATGGAAGATCAAATGAATGAAATGAACCAAGAGGAGAAGTTTAGAGAAAAAAGAATAAAAGGAAACAAACAAAGCCTCCAAGAAATATGGGACTATATGAAAAGACCAAATCTACGTCTGATTGGTGTACCTGAGAGTGATGGGGAGAATGGAGCCAAGTTGGAAAACACTCTGCAGGATATTATCCAGGAGAACTTCCCCAACGTAGCAAGGCAGGCCAACATTCAAATTCGGGAAATACAGAGAATGCCACAAAGATACTCCTCAAGAACAGCAACTCCAAGACACATAATTGTCAGATTCACCAAAGTTGAAATGAAGGAAAAAATGTTAAGGGCAGCCAGAGAAAAAGGTCGGGTTACCCACAAAGGGAAGCCCATCAGACTAACAGCAGATCTCTCGGTAGAAACTCTACAAGCCAGAAGAGAGTGGGGGCCAACATTCAACATTCTTAAAGAGAAGAATTTTCAGTCCAGAATTTCATATCCAGCCAAACTAAGCTTCATAAGTGAAGGACAAATAAAATACTTTACAGACAAGCAAATGCTGAGAGATTTTGTCACCAACAGGCATGCCCTACAAGAACTCCTGAAGGAAGCAGTAAACATGGAAACGAACAACCGGTACCAGCCACTGCAAAATCATGCCAAATTGTAAAGACCATCAAGGCTAGGAAGAAATTGCATCAACCAACAAGCAAAATAACCAGCTAACATCATAATGGCAGGATCAAATTCACACATAACAATATTAACCTTAAATGTAAATGGGCTAAATGCTCCAATTAAAAGACACAGAATGGCAAATTGGATAAAGAGTCAAGACCCATCAGTGTGCTGTATTCAGGAAACCCATCTCACGTGCAAAGACATGCATAGGCTCAAAATGAAGGGATGGAAGAAGATCTACCAAGCAAATGGAAAACAAAAAAAGGCAGGGGTTGCAATCCTAGTCTCTGATAAAACAGACTTTAAACCAACGAAGATCAAAAGAGACAAAGAAGGCCATTACATAATGGTAAAGGGATCAATTCAACAAGAAGAGCTAACTGTCCTAAATATATATGCACCCAATACAGGAGCACTCAGATTCATAAAGCAAGTCCTTAGTGACCTACAAACAGACTTAGACTCCCACACAATAATAATGGGAGACTTCAACACCCCACTGTCAACATTAGACAGATCAACGAGACAGAAAGTTAACAAGGATATCCAGGAATTGAACTCAGATCTGCACCAAGTGGACCTAATAGACATCTACAGAACTCTCCACCCCAAATCAACAGAATATACATTCTTTTCAGCACCACATCACACCTATTCCAAAATTGACCACATAGTTGGAAGTAAAGCACTCCCCAGGAAATGTAAAAGAACAGAAATTATAACAAACTGTCTCTCAGACCACAGTGCAATCAAACTAGAACTCAGGATTAAGAAACCCACTCAAAACCACTCAACTACATGGAAAGTGAACAACCTGCTCCTGAATGACTACTGGGTACATAACGAAATGAAGGCAGAAATAAAGATATTCTTTGAAACCAACAAGAACAAAGACACAACATACCAGAATCTCTGGGACACATTCAAAGCAGTGTGTAGACGGAAATTTATAGCACTAAGTGCCCACAGGAGAAAGCAGGAAACATCTAAAATTGACACCCTAACATCACAATTAAAACAACTAGAGAAGCAAGACCAAACACATTCAAAAGATAGCAGAAGGCAAGAAATAACTAAGATCAGAGCAGAACTGAAGGAAATAGAGACATAAAAAACCCTTCAAAAAATCAGTGAATCCAGGAGCTGGTTTTTTTGAAAACAGGAACAAAATTGATAGACCACTAGCAACACTAATAAAGAAGAAAAGAGAGAAGAATCAAATAGATGCAATAAAAAATGAAAAAGGGGATATCACCACCGATCCCACAGAAATACAAACTACCATCAGATAATACTATAAACACCTCTATGCAAATAAACTAGAAAATCTGGAAGAAATTGATAAATTCCTCGACACATAAACCCTCTCAAGAGTAAACAAGGAAGAAGTTGAATCTCTGAATAGATCAATAACAGGCTCTGAAATTGGGGCAACAATTAATAGCTTACCAACCAAAAAAAGTCCAGGACCAGATGGATTCACAGCCGAATTCTACCAGAGGTACAAGGAGGAGCTGGTACCATTCCTTCTGAAACTATTCCAATCAATAGAAAAAGAGGGAATCCTCCCTAACTCATTTTATGAGGCCAGCATCATCCTGATACCAAAGCCTGGCAGAGACACAACAAAAAAAGAGAATTTTAGACCAATATCCCTCATGAACATCAATGAAAAATTCCTCAGTAAAATACTGGCAAACCAAATCCAGCAGCAAATCAAAAAGCTTAGCCGCCATGATCAAGTGAGCTTCATCCCTAGGATGCAAGGCTGGTTCAACATATGTAAATCAATAAACGTAATCCAGCATATAAACAGAATCAAAGACAAAAACCATATGATTATCTCAATAGATGCAGAAAAGGCCTTCGACAAAATTCAACAGCCCTTCATGCTAAAAACTCTCAATAAATTAGGTATTGATGGGACGTATCTCAAAATAATAAGAGCTATCTATGACAAACCCACAGCCAATATCATACTGAATGGGCAAAAACTGGAAACATTCCCTTTGAAAACTGGCACAAGACAGGGATGCTCTCTCTCACCACTCCTATTCAACATAGTGTTGGAAATTCTGGCCAGGGCAATCAGGCAGGAGAAAGAAATAAAGGGCATTCAATTAGGAAAAGAGGAAGTCAAATTGTCCCTGTTTGCAGATGATATGATTGTATATCTAGAAAACTCCATCATCTCAGCTCAAAGTCTCCTTAAGCTGATAAGCAACTTCAGTAAAGTCTCAGGATACGAAATCAATGTGCAAAAATCACAAGCATTCTTATACACCAATAGCAGACAAATAGAGAGCCAAATCATGAGTGAATTCCCATTCATAATTGCTTCAAAGAGAATAAAATACCTAGGAATCCAACTTACAAGGGATGTGAAGGACCTCTTCAAGGACAGCTGCAAACCACTGCTCAGTGAAATAAAAGAGGATACAAACAAATGGAAGAACATTCCATGCTCATGGGTAGGGAGAATCAATATCGTGAAAATGGCCATACTTCCCAAGGTAATTTATACATTCAATGCCATCCCCATCAAGCTACCAATGACTTTCTTCGCAGAGGTGGAAAAAACTACTTTAAAGTTCACATGGAACCAAAAAAGAGCCCGCATTGCCAAGTCAATCCTAAGCCAAAAGAACAAAGCTGGAGGCATCACACTATCTGACTTCAAACTATACTACAAGTCTACAGTACCCAAAACAGCATGGTACTGGTACCAAAACAGAGATATACACCAATGGAACAGAACAGAGCCCTCAGAAATAATGTCACATATCTACAACTATCTGATCTTTGACAAACCTGAGAAAAACAAGAAATGGAGAAAGGATTCCCTGTTTAATAAATGGTGCTGGGAAAACTGGCTAGCCATATGTAGAAAGCTGAAACTGGATCCCTTCCTTACACCTTATACAAAAATTAATTCAAGATGGATTAAGATTTAAATGTTAGACCTAAAACCATAAAAACCCTAGAAGAAAACCTATGCAATAGCATTCAGGACATAGATATGGGCAAGGACTTCATGTCTAAAACACCAAAAGCAATGGCAACAAAAGACAAAATTGACAATTGGGATCTCATTAAACTAAAGAGCTTCTGCACAACAAAAGAAACTACCATCAGAGTGAACAGGCAACCTACAGAATGGGAGAAAATTTTTGCAATCTACTCACCTGACAAAGGGCTAATATTCAGAATCTACAATGAACTCCAAAAAATTTACAAGAAAAAAACAAACAACCCCATCAACAAGTGGGTGAAGGATATGAACAGACACTTCTCAAAAGAAGACATTTATGCAGCCAAAAGACACACGAAAAAATGCTCATCATCACTGGCCATCAGAGAAATGCAAATCAAAACCACAATGAGATACCATCTCACACCAGTTAGAATGGCAATCATTAAAAAGTCAGGAAACAACAGGTGCTGGAGAGGATGTGGAGAAATAGGAGCACTTTTACACTGTTGGTGGGACTGTAAACTACTTCAACCATGTGGAAGTCAGAGTGGCGATTCCTCAGGGATCTAGAACTAGAAATACCATTTGACCCAGCCATCCCATTACTGGGTATATACCCAAAGGATTATAAATTATGCTGCTGTAAAGACACATGCACACATATGTTTATTGCGGCACTATTCACAATAACAAAGACTTGGAACCAACCAAAATGTCCAACAATGATAGACTGGATTAAGAAAATGTGGCACATATACACCATGGAATACTATTCAGTCATAAAAAATGATGAGTTCATGTCCTTTGTAGGGACATGGATGAAGCTGGAAACCATCATTCTCAGCAAACTATCACAAGGACAAAAAACCAAACACCCTTGTTCTCACTCATAGGTGGGAATTGAACAATGAGAACACATGGACACAGCAAGGGGAACATCACACACCGGGGCCTGTTGTGGGGTGGGGGGATGAGGGAGGGATAGCATTAGGAGATATACCTAATGTTAAATGACAAGTTAATAGGTGCAGCACACCAACATGGCACATGTATACATATGTAACAAACCTGCACGTTGTGCACATGTACCCTAAAACTTAAAGTATAAAAAAAAAAGAAAGAAACTGAGCTCACACAATATGGCAAAAAAAAAAAAAATTTGCCAACTTAAACAAAATAGAAAAAGGTATTGAAATACGCAAATCCCTAAAAGTGATTTCAGAAGAAATAGTCAAATGACTTAATATCTGTTAGAGAAATTGAGTTTATTGTTTAAAAACCTTGCCAAAAATAAACTATAAGTTTAGATGGTTTTACAAAAACATAATAATAATAATGAAATAATGTCTTTTGCATCAACTTGGATGAAACTGGAAGCCATTATTGTTAATGAAGTAACTCGGGAATAAAAAACCAAATACTGTATGTTTTCATTATAAGTGGGGGCTAAGGTATGGGCACACAAAGGCATACAGATTGTTACAGTGGACACGGGAGACACAGAAGGGGAAGGGTGGGAGGGGGGTGAGAAATAAAAAAAAAACTACATATTGGGTACAATGTACACTATTTGGCTCATGAGTACAGTAAAATTAGAGTTCACAACTATAGAATTTATCTGAATACAAAAAAACCACTTGTACCCCCCAAGTTACTGAGATAAAAAGTATATATTAAAAATAAACAAGTAAATAAAAATAAAATGTTGTGTTATCTATCTGATGTTCATCACTTTAAGTATACAAATTACCTTGTATATATTATCTCATTTAATCATAATCATAATCATATGAGGAATTATTCTTTTTTTGAGGGTCATTTTCTTTTATTATTATTATTATTATTATTATACTTTAAGTTCTGGGATCCATGCGCAGAATGTACAGGTTTGTTACATAGGTATACACGTGCCATGGTGGTTTGCTGCACCCATCAACCCGTCATCTACATTAGGTATTTCTCCTAATGCTATCCCTCCCCTAGGCCCCCACCCCCCAACAGGCCCCGGTGTGTGATGTTCCCCTCCCTGTGTCCCTGTGTTCTCATTGTTCAACTCCCACTTACAACTAAGAACATGCGGTGTTTGGTTTTCTGTTCCTGTATTAGTTTGCTGAGAATGATGGTTTCCAGCTTCACCCGTGCCTCTGCAAAAGACATGAACTCATCCTTTTTATGGCTGCATAGTATTCCACGGTGTATATGTGCCATATTTTCTTTATCCAGTCTATCATTAATGAGCATTTGGGTTGGTTCCAAGTTTTGCTATTGTCAATAGTGCTGCAATAAACATATGTGTGCATGTGTCTTTATAGGAGAATGATTTATAATCCTTTGGGTATATACCCACTAATGGGATTGCTGGGTCAAATGGTATTTCTGGTTCTAGATCCTTGAGGAATCGCCACAGTGTCTTCCACAATGGTTGAACTAAATTACACTCCCATCAACAATGTAAAAGTGTTCCTATTTCTCCACATCCTCTCCAGCATCTGTTGTTTCCTGACTTTTTAATGATCACCATTGTAACTGGTGTGAGATGGTATCTCATTGTGGTTTTGATTTGCATTTCTCGGATGACCACTGATGATAAGCTTTTTCTCATATGTTTGCTGACTGCATAAATGTCTTCCTTTGAGAAGTGTCTGTTCATAACCTTCGCCCACTTTTTGATGGGATTGTTTGTTTGTTTTTTCCTTGTAAATCTGTTTAACTTTTTTGTAGATTCTGGATATTAGCCCTTTGTAAGATGGATAGAGTGCAAAAATTTTCTCCCATTCTGTAGGTTGCCTGTTCACTCTGAGGATAGTTTCTTTTGCTGTACAGAAGCTCTTTAGTTTAATTAGATCCCATTTGTCAATTTTGGCTTTTTTTGTCATTGCTTTTGGTGTTTTAATCATGAAGTCTTTCCCCATGCCTATGTCCTGAATGTTATTGCCTAGGTTGTCTTCTAAGGTTTTTAGGATTTTAGGTCTTCCATTTAAGTCTTTAATCCATCTTGAGTTAATTTTTGTATAAGGTGTATGGAAGGATTCCAGTTTCAGTTTTCTGCATGTGGCTAGCCAGTTTTCCCAACACCATTTATTAAATATGGAATCCTTTCCCCATTGCTTGTTTTTGTCAGGTTTGTCAAAGATCAGATGGTTGTAGACGTGTAGTGTTATTATTGAGGCCTCTGTTCTGTTTCATTAGTCTATATATCTGTTTTGGTACCAGTACCATGCTGTTTTGGTTACTATAGCCTTGTAGTATAGTTTGAAGTCAGGTAGCATGATGCCTCCAGCTTTGCTCTTTTTGCTTAGGATTGTCTTGGCTACATGGGCACTTTTTTTGTTCTATATGAAATTTGAAGTAGTTTTTCTAATTCTCTGAAGAAAGTCAATGGTAGCTTAATGGGGATAGCATTGCATCTATAAATTACTTTGCGCAGCATGGCCATTTTCACAATATTGGTTCTTCCAATCCATGAGCATGGAATATTTTTCCATTTGTTTGTGTCGTCTTGTATTTTCTTGAGCAGTGGTTTCTAGTTCTCCTTAAAGAGGCCCTTCACATCCCTTGTAAGTTGTATTCCTAGGTATTTTATTCCCTTTGTAGCAATTGTGAATGGGAGTTCACTCATGATTTGTCTCTCTGTCTATTATTGATATATAGGAATGTTTGTGATTTTTGCACATCAATTTTGTATCCTGAGACTTTGCTGAAGTTGTTTATCCGCTTAAGGAGATTTTGGGCTGAGACGATGGGGTTTTCTAAATATATAATCATGTCATCTGCAAAGAGAGACAATTTGACTTCCCATATGAGGAATTATTCTTATCCCCAACCTAAATTTTTTAAACTGATGCTCTGAGAGTTTTAGAAGATTACCCTAGCTTACACAACTACAAAGTAACAGAATAAGCTTAAAATAAATAAATAACTTTTCTGCTCACCTCATTTTTCAACTATTCATCTTCATTGTTCTGTTCTTCCAGGGAAAATTTCTGTGTCCCACAGCTTAAGTCCAGTGGACAAGTTGACTAAGGGAACTGTTTCAACCAAGTGATCCAAAGTAAGGTAGCCAAAGACCAGGTCCTGGAGAAATAGAAACACGGCCCAAAAAAATGCTGCCAAACATAGCATTTCAAGAGACAGAAGAGAACAAAAATGGGAAGATTGGCATGAAAGTTAGTAGGACAAAAGAAGGTGCAAAGAGGAGATCACAGAGGCCAATGAGTGCCTAGAGCTCACCATTTATGCAGCACCTGGAGGAGAGCAGCTAGACTTGAGAGGTCTGGTTTTCAGTTTGGGAAGATAAAGCTTTTAAAGTCCTGTATAGTCCTGAACATGATTTCCAAGTTTTTCTTAGAATTCTGATATCCTGTAGACTTAGATTAAAAGAATATAGATTTGTAGAGAAGAGTTTAAACATTAATTATATTATTTCATGTGCCTAATTTTGAGATGGAATAAGAAAAAAACACACATATAAAATATAAAGTTCTCCAGTTTATTTAATGGAATGAGATTTGGGGCAGAATTTCATAATTGGAGTATCCAACATATTACTCTTATCTGCCTTTGAAGATCTGGGTAGAACAAGTTTAATATAGACTCTGCATCTCTTTTCAGCCTCTACTTTTATCAGTAGCATTTTAACTTTCACTATGTTTCACATTCAAATTCCTGAGAGAGAGCATTTCCTAGGCTCAGTTGATCACCATCATCTTTGCTGGATAGAACTCTGGGTTTGACCACCTCAAGGTCCACTGCTCAGGCCATCCATGGACTTGCCTTGGATCAGATGCCTGTTCTTCCTGCATCCTATGGCAAGGTGTTTGTGCTATGTTGTGTAGATCATGGCCACTTATTCATTTTTGAAGATGATTTATAGATGAAGGGTTGTTCTACTAGGCAAAAGTTTTTCTATCTATCAAGTTATTCCCTTAAAGGTCTCTATTTTCCTCAAAATTTTTAAGTATGTTTTGTAAGTATAATTCCTTCCTTCTGATGAAGGTGGAATGCCTTATTTAAACTTGAAAATAATTAAACTCTATGATTTGAAAATTCATTCATACTAACATGCTGAGGGTAAGGTCAACATGAATTTATAAACAAACTTCCTTTAGGTTGCTTTGTAGTTGTTTGAGTATAATTTTAAAAGTCTAGTTCTTCATGTATGTGTTTTTCATAGTTACCCAACTGAAAAATCCTTGAAGGCAAGAACCATAGTTTATTACTTTTTATCCCTGACAACATCTAAGATGCTGTGCTCGTCAAGCGTGTTAAATGTTGCTGAGTGACTGAGCCTACGGATCTCTAGGAGTTATTGAATAGTTGACTTTAACTGCTTTGTTAGCTGTCTGTATCCACAGAAATTTGAGATCAGCTGTTTGGAATAATGCACACAAAAGCCTTCTGTTCTGTAATGTCAGTAAAAGATATTTAAATTAGAGCAATGGAGTCCTAAATGTGAACCATAAAGGAAATTATTTCCACTCTATGTGAGAAGAACTGGATGCTCCTTATTTCTTTGCAAACTAATAAAATTCTCATTAATAGGCCAATAGCATGTAATTGAAATTTTCTAGGCCCAGAGCAAATTTTGTTTAAAGTGACCCAACTGTTTCTTAAGGTTCCAAAGCAAAGGGAAAAGTCAAGCAGGCAAGGATTTTTTTTTTCATGTCAGGGCTTCCTCCTTTAAATGAATCTTGCCCATCTTTGAGATTTTGTTTTTAAGAAACATGCCAGCCCAGTAGAAAGTTATTTTAGGCATTTAGCAAACCCACCAATCTAGGTGACTGTGAATAGTAAAATAAACTTGGTTTACTGCAGTGGCTCTCTTGGGCCTTAGCAGCAAGTACATATGCCTTGTAATCAAGCTTTATATACCATTAAGAGTAATCTGAAACTTGGTATACATAACATTTTAACTGCAAAGTCACATAAATTTTTAAAAAACACTCCATTTGCTTTAGGTAAAATCTTTGCTTGGAGACTCCCTCCCTCTTTTGTTTTTTTCTTTTCTTCTTCTTCTTTTTTTTTTTTTTTTGAGACGGAGTTTTGCTCTCGTTGCCCAGGCTGGAGTGCAATGGTACGATCTCAGCTCACCACAGCCTCCGCCTCCTGGGTTCAAGCGTTTCTCCTGCCTCAGCCTCCCGAGCACCCAGGATTACAGGTATGCACCACCATGCCCGGCTAATTTTGTATTTTTAGTACAGACGGGGTTTCTCCATGTTGGTCAGGCTGGTCTCGAACTCCCAACCTCAGGTGATCCACCCGCCTCGGCCTCCCAAAGTGCTGGGATTACAGGCATGAACCACCAAACCCGGCCTTCTTTTTTTTTTTTTTTGAGTCAGACTATTTCTCTGTCGCCAGGCTGGAGTGCAGTGGTGCAATCTTGGCTCACTGCAACCTCTGCCTCCTGGGTTCAAGCAATTCTCCTGCCTCAGCCTCCTGAGTAGCTGGGGCTATAGGCACGCACCACCAAGCCCAGCTAACTTTTGTATTTTTAGTAGAGACGGGTTTCACCATGTTGGACAGGATGGTCTCAATCTCTTGACCTCATGATCTGCCCGCCTCAGCCTCCCAAAGTGCTTGGATTACAGGCATGAGCCACTGAGCACGGTAAACTCCCACCGTCTTAAAGAGCTGTAGAGATTTTTAGTTTTCTCTCTTACTGAAGAGATTAATAATAGGTTTCTTCATTGTCACCAGAAAAAAAAAAATCTCATTTGTCTTTAACCTCAATATATCAGGGTTATCTCAATATTACAATCAGCAAATAACATGAGTTTTTGTTTTTCAATGTGGAATCAGTTCTCGCATGCAAAAGTTGGATAACAAATTAGATTTTTCTTTTAATCTGCCACATTGGGAAGGGTCTTCTTGCCAAAAATCTTCAGCTCGGAAGTCATGACCTCTCCTCACTACTCTTTATAACTCCACTCACAAACAAATACAAAAGGAAGAAAAATTATACATAATATATAAAGGTACAAACTACAACCCTATGCAGGAAGCTACCTGTTGAAGCATTTTTAACTCTTCCCCAATTGTAATATGCCATGCCTCAAATGTACAATACTACACACTAGATCATAAGTTCCTCCAAGTCAAGATTTTATCCATATTTTATAATTTCACTGCTTCACAGTACCCTTTCCTCTGGCAATTAGAGTCTCATATACTGTAGGCACTGTTTAACAAATACCTTGAAATGCCATTAAATGGAAACAAACTAAGCTACCAGTACAGTTATTCGCTTTGATACAGGAAGAGAAAGAGAAGAAGTTTATCCTAGCATTCCCCAAACCATGTACCCACATATTCTACAGAAAATAAATAAATAAATAAATGGTAGTCAAATTGATTTTGGATACTTCATACACTAGATTACATTCCTGGAAATTCACAATGTGCATAAGCATATTGTAGCTACAAGGTATGTTGTCAAAAAAAATTGTTTAAGTTGATTTAGGACATAATTTCCCATTAGTATTTGACAACAGAGCCCTTTGCAGAGGATACACACCTACTAACATTTAGAGGAACATCAGTGTCCTGTGGAGCAAGATTTGAGAAATCTTTAGTTGTCCAGTATTTTTGTTGCTTTTTTGTCTGTTTGTCCAGCTTTTTGTTCTTCTCCAAAGGAAAGACTACCCATTCCCCTTAGGAGGATAGAAGAAAGAGGAAAGTAGCATTCCCTTAGGATAGTAGTTACTTACAGATATGGGAAAATTAGGAACAATTAGGAATCAGTTCTCTTGTCCTGCAATTAACTGAGAAAACAAAACATAAAATGTATTCTAAAATACTAACTTATCCATGCTAAGAAAAGTATAATGGTAAAAGCAAGAGAAATGGGAGATATGGGAAAGACCCTTTTCTGCCAGGCCTATGAAACAGTGAACTTCAGAAGACTGTCTGTGGGTTTGCAAAAGAATAGAACGGCATTTGTATCAAACCCAAACTCTCTGAACATTCTGCACACTTCAGAGCAGGACAGGCTGAACATAAGGTTTTTGTCACCTAACACTGGGGATTTGGGCCTAACTCTAATTCATCAACTGCAGAAATCCAGTCCAACCGAGATATTCAGTTTCTTTTCAGTTGGTATTGATGTGTGGTAACAATATCTCAGTCCTTGACAAAGAACAGCCAGCCTGCACCACAGACAGAAAAAAAAAAAAAAAAAAAAAAAACTCAAAAGCATTACAATTGGAAAGATAGATTAGAAAAATTTACTCACCAAATCTCCAACTACTGCATTAGACTTGTCAGCATGTTACACAGGGGTTTAATTTAGTAGCTTTCCGACATATGGGCAACAATATGGTCTCAGTGGTTCCCTGCTACTGGCGTGGTTGAGGAGGAGGGAGAAATAATTAGACATCTGACAGGCAAGTGACTGCTCTCACAGCTCAGCCAAGGCTTTTGCAGAGCACACTAGATATTTTTAAACCACATTTCCGTGACAGCTAAAGAAATTGTACATTTTCTTCACGTAAATAGGTATTAGTTTCTTTCAGAGTCTGATGATAAAGAAATGAAAGAAGTCATAAACCCTCTAATCCTAATTCTTTCATCTAGTTTCCCATGAAAAATTATGTATGCTGCATATAATATATGAAGGGGGATACTACGAAGCAAAAACATTGATATTATTTTTATTCTTCTCTTCTTGAGAATGCATCCACCTAAACAATTTGTTTTTAGTTGTCAGAATCTTCATTTTGCACATTAAATGAGGGGGAACCTGAGGATTCTGTATAAAGCCGGCAAAACAAATCATAGACATATACATGGGTGAGAGCTAGAGCAACAAATGCTTTCCTCCATCAACCTGTAAACTGTTCAAGGCCAGTGAATCTATCTTGATTCCCACCCACAACACCACCACAACCATGAGCAACCAGAATAGGACTGGGTATCCAGCAGCATTTCATAAATATCGACCAATGTATTGATATTTATTCATTATGTAGGCTCTCTGTGCATGAATTCTGGGAAAGTGCAACAAAATCACTCAGGATAAAAGTCTAATGCTTTTTCTTTGAGCTCGTCTGTCTTATCACACACAACAGGACCTGACAGAAGGTCAGCCCACAGGAAGGTTTAATTTGTCTGAGATCAGACACTTTTTTGAAAGTAAATAGGATTTTCTCCAAAGAAACCCACATATAAATTTCAACCAAGTTTTACTTCTTATGCTTTCTTTGTAAAACAAAGAGTGTGTACTTTTACGATCTAAAGAAGAAAATTTCTTGTCTAATGCTCATCTCTTGTTCTTATCCAGTGTTGCAGACAATGTTTGTGACTCCACAAAATTCATATGTTGTAGTCCTAAGCCCCCAATGTGATGGTGTTGGGACATGGGGCCTTTTGGAGTTAATTAGGTTTAGATGAGGCCATGAAGATGATGCCCTCTTGATGAAACTGGTGCCCTAATAAGATGAGATACCATCGAGGTTGCTCTCTCTCTCTCTTTCTCTCTACCATGTGAGGACACAGAAAGAAATCTCCTTCTCCAAGTCAGGAAGAAGGCCCTCACAAGAACTCAATCATGCTGACACCCTGATCTTGGACTTCCAGCCTTCGGAATTGTGAAAAAATAAATGACTGTTGTTTAAACCACTCGGTCTATGGTATTTTGTTATAGAAGCCCAAGAAGACTGATATCCAGGAAAACAATGACTAAGAAACATGATTAAGAATACAGCTAGTGGTCCAAGGGAAAGGACAGCAGTGATACATATATTCATAATACCAGGATATGTTTTCCCCTGACTCTTTTAAAAGATGAGAAGTTATAGGAATTCTGAGAGTCAGAAAAGGTAAGTCTGCCTTTGTCAGAGGTCACTTTGTTAGAGGGTTAGGCATTACTGCTATGAAAATTTAAAAGTTCTGTGACAGGACACAAAACTTAGTGAGCTTGAAGGTGAACAAACAGGTCTCCAACAGCAACCCTATGAGACAGATACAGACCAACAACATTTGAAAACTCAGATCTTTGATGCAATTTCCAGACTCATTGGAATTTAGTTCTATGGATTCAAAAGTCCAATCAACTCTCAGGCTTCTATTTTCATAAAGAGGAATGAGAGGTCGTTATTATCTAAAACCCCCTAAAGCATTTTACTTGTCTCTATAAATTTGCTCTAGAGAATGGCATTGTATTAGTCAGGTTCTTCAGAAAAACAGAACGAATAAGAGATAGACATAGACACACACACCCACACATACATGATAGACAGATAGATAGATATAGAGATATACAGAGAGAGAAATTTATTTCAATGAATTGATTCATGTGAGGTGGAGTTTGGCAAGTCCAAAACATATAAGGTACGCTAGGAATTTAGGTAAGAGTTGCTGTTGGCCGGGCACGGTGGCTCACTCCTGTAATCCCAGCACTTTGGGAGGCGAGGCGGATGGATCACGAGGTCAGGAGATCGAGACGATCCTGGCTAACACGGTGAAACCCCGTCTCTACTAAATATACAAAAAATTAGCCGGGCGCGATGGCGGGCGCCTGTATTCCCAGCTACTCGGGAGGCTGAGGCAGGAGAATGGCGTGAACCCAGTGGGCGGAGCTTGCAGTGAGCTGAGATCGCGCCACTGCACTCCAGCCTGGGTGACAGAGCGAGACTCCGTCTCAAAAAAAAAAAAAAAAAAAGAGTTGATGCTGCAGTCTTGAGTTTGAAATCTTCAGGCTATCAGGTTAAAAACTCAGGCAGCAATTCTGAATTGCATGCTTGAGAACTTCTTCTTTGGGAAACCTCAGTCTTTGCTCTTAAGACCTTCAACTGATTAGATAAGGCTTATCTACATTACGGGAGAATAATCTGCTTTACTCAAAGTCTACTGATTATAAATGTTAATCATGTCTAAAACATACCTCCACAGTAATGTATAAACTAGTGTTTAACCAAACAACTGGGCGCCATAGACTTGTCAAGTTGTCACCAAAAATTAACCACCAAAACATAAAATGGGAAGTGAAAGGGACAACAAACCTCCAAATTCTTCAAATTTCTCATCTGTCCTCACTAGCAAATGTTCTTAGGTATATACTTTATTCATTATCTCATTAAACAGCTCCCTGAATGCAAGATGGTCTATTATGTCCAAATGAGTACCTTGCATTTTTACTAATGTCAACACAGCAATTGCAAGATCAGTTATCTGGGATGCAAGAAATAAACATGGTCAGCCCTGAACCATGAGACATCAAAAGAGTAAACTAAGGCAAAGCTTATAAAAAAGATGTGCTCATGAAGGATGTGATACTGCTTCTATGTTCAGCATTTTAGCCTCATGGGCTAGCCTTATGCCCTGGCACATGGTTGGTGCCCCAAAAATATTTGTTAAATGAATACATGAATGAATTAGGGAGGTAAAAGAGCTTAACATTATTGAAGATGCTTCCTACTTTGAGATAACATTGTTTACCTGTTTTTTGCACATCATTACAAAATAGATATTAATAATTACTTCTGCAAATTCAACAAGTTGTGAGTTTACTGTAACTACTCTTAGTTCTTAAGTCAGTAAGATATCTTGGGTATTTTGGACCTATAAACTTTCATCCATGTTGTAGCATTCAGAATTCAGTAAGCATTTTTTTTTTTTTTTTTTTTTTTGAGAGGCAGGGTCTTGCTCTCTCGCATAGGCTGGAGTGCAATGGCACAATGTCAGCTCACTGCAACCTCCACCTCCCAGGTTCAAGCGATTCTCCTGCCTCAGCCTCCTGAGTAGCTGGGATTACAGGGGCATGCCACCACGCCTGATTAATTTTTTGTATTTTTAGTAGAGACGGGGTTCCACTGTGTTAGCCAAAATGGTCTTGATCTCCTGAACTCATGATCCACCTGCCTTGGCCTCCCAAGTGCTGCAGTTATAGGCATGAGCCACCATGCCCGGCCACAGTAAGCATTTTTACTAGCTGTGTGACCTAGGCTAATAACAATAATAGCTAACATTTATTGGGCATTTACATAATGCCTAGTCCTGCTCTTATTGTCTATATTTGCCCATTATATTCTCATGGTATGAGTTTTATTATTAGCACCCTTTTTACAGAGAGGAAACTAAAGCAAAAGTAACTTCAAGAACTCACTCAAAAGTCAGACTAGTAGTTAATGGCTGGGTTGGAACTAGAGCTCAAACAGTTCCACACATCTCTATACTGCAAGTTACTTAACTACTCAGAGCCTCACTGTGCTCACTTACAAAAGGAAGATAATAGTTCTCCCCCTGCAAAATTCTCTTAGGATTGGAGCCAATTTATATAATGCTCATAGCACTGTCCTGGCTCATGGCTTATAGACCCTGGGTAAATGACAGTAGTCAATAGGACATGTATCATCTCTACAACTTGATTCATAAAATTAATAATAAAACTCATACTAATAAATGTGAATTCAGGAATGCAGATTAATCACTTTAAATTGTGTCATGCCACTCACTGTTAACACAAAATTTTAGACTAAAATTTTAGAATGTGGTAAATTAAAGATGACCACAAATTCTTTGCTACTCCTCTTATTGAAGGCTAGATTTTAATTTCCCTCTCCATGAATCTGGACTAGCCTTAGTGAGTGGCTTGGCCAATAAGAATGTGACAGAACTGACAGTTCACAAATTCTAAGACGAGGTCATGGGAGCCTTCCAGCTTCTTCCTGGGCCACTTGGAATACTTGCCCTAGGAGCCCTGAGCTTCATGGAAGGAGTCTACTTACCTTGAGTCGCTAAGGTCAGTCTTCCAGCCATGTCCATCAAAGTGGCAGACATGTAAGTAAAGCCATCTTGGGCTCTGCAGATCAGCCCATCTGCCAGCTGAATACCACCAAGAGACCTCCATTAATGCCACAGGAAATAGTTGTACCACCCAAATTTCCAAATTTCTGATCAAGAAAATAGTGAGCTGTAATAAATAGTTGTTTTAAGCCTTTTGCTCTGTGGGCAGTTTGTTAAATAGTTTGTTAACTGGACAAAAAGAATTCAAAAAAATACCAAATGAGAAATTGCACAGCACTATGTCCTGAGAGAAAATACTTTTTGGATTCAGCTTCCAATCAATAAAATCCACATGAATGATGCTGAGCAGACAGCCCTCATTGGAGAGGAATATTTTTACTGGAAAAACATTTATCAGGATTAGTAAGTAGGAGTAGAATATGTGATGTCAGTGAATTCAAGGTAATGCTTACAAGTCACCAAGACCAGCTGAAGATAAGAGAGCAGAAACTACATAATGTTTTCATTCTTGCTATCACAAAATTGAAACAAATCTAGAACAGAATTTGATCAGATGGAGGGTCCAACTGAGACTAAAATACATGTGTCATGTAGATTCCCTTACAAACAGGACTATCTCAGGTTAATAATATTGCAATGAGAGAGTCAGATGTAAAGTAAGTTTACAGTAGTTAAAGGCGAGATGCATGTGTCTTGCAAATGCCACTTTAAGAGGGTCTGGAGAGGAATGAGGGAGCCATTTCTGCAGCAGACAGAAGATGAGATCCTGAGTATAAAAATCACTACAATCCAATACCAAATTATATATAATTTCCCAGCAGTATGAAACCTAAAGAAATTCTGACCCACAAATACTGATTTCTTTATTTGCTAAAAAAAAAAAAAATACATTTGAGGAGATATACAGCTTCAGAAATGTCTTTTGCTGGTTTTAGAAATAAGAGACTAAAGATTTTGTTATAAATAAAGACAGTCAAAAATCCTTGAGTCACAAACCATTTTCTAAACTATCTTAGAAAAAATATTCTCTTCCCTACGTAATGTAAACATAGGCTTAAGACAGCCCCAAAGAGAAAGTAAAAGATTTTATTTTTAAATGTTAATTAATAAAATACCAAGTTTTATCTTGTAACTTAAAAATAAATACATAATAAGCTGCCGGTAACTCTATTTTCTTTTGGATCTATAATCAATTACTGGACAGTTGCCAGTAATTTTGTTTTCTTTTGGATCTGTAATCAATTACACCGTCATGTATTGTCTCATCTTTCTTTTCTCTCCAAGAAGGTTTTGAACTCTGAATCTCAGGAACTCTTTCCATTTGAATTCTCACTACAGAAAGTCTAATTCTAGACATACAAGATAATCTGTTTTTCTTAATCTAAAATTCACACAAATTGATATAGTACATGTTTGATAATGTGTGACATATCTTTTTCCCAGAATTATGCAAGATTTTTAGAAAGTTGATGATGGATTATTTATACAACTATTTAAAACAATTCATTATTGTTTATTAATAATAAATTTATATAAACATGATTAACATTTTTATCCTAGGAAGCAAAAGTTTCAAAGATCAAATAGTGAGTATTACTAATTCCAAGCACATATGCTAAGACCATTTAAAACACTAACAGAAATATTAGAAATATTTTCTATTAATATTTTTGAATATTAATAGGAAATGTTTTATTAACAAAATAAATGGAAAAAAATAGGAGGTGAGATATTTAGGCTGTAATCACTAATGAAAGAATGAGAAATAAATTACAGTCTACTAAATTTCCACAGAGATGTCCAGGAAAAAAAATGTGATGTATATACCACTATGATTTCTAGAAGGCTTATCCTTTTTTTTTTTTTTTAGAGAGGAGGTCTGGCTTTGTCAACCGGGCTGGGATGCAATAGCATAATCGTAGCTCACTGTAACCTTGAACGCTTGGGTTCAAGCAATCCTCTGGTCTCAGTCTCCCAAATAGCTAAGTCTATAGGCATATGCCACCATGCCCAGCTGATCTTTTTAATTTTTTTGTAGCAACAGAGTCTCATTATGTTGCTCAGGCTGGTCTCAACTCCTGGCCTCAAGTAGTCCTCCTGCCTCGACCTCCTAAAGTGTTGGAATTACAGGCATGAGCTAATGCTACTGGCCTCCATAAGCATTTTAAATGATTGAATTTGAACTTCCAAGTTAACATGTAGACAGATTTTACATGATAAGATAAACCTGAGGGCCAGGTGCTGTGGCTCATGCCTGTAATTCCAGCACTTTGGGAGGCTAAGGCAGGCAGATCACTTGAGGTCAAGAGTTCAAGGCCAGCCTGGTCAACTAAAACTATAAAAATTGGGCATGGTGGTGAGCACTTGTAATCCAAGCTACTCGGGAGGCTGGGGCAAGAGAATCCTTACACCCTGGAGGCGGAAGTTGCTGTAGCCGAGAACACGCACCACTGTAATCCAGCCTGGGCAACACAGCAAGACAGCAAGACTCCGTCTCAAAAAAAAAAAAAAAAAAAAAAGATAAACATGATAGGCTCCTTCTTAACTTTCTAATAAAATACTTAGGCTTCTTCTTAACTTTCTTTTTTTTATTATTAGACTTTAAGTTTTAGGGTACATGTGCACAATGTGCAGGTTAGTTACATACATATACATGTGCCATGTTGGTGTGCTGCACCCATTAACTCTTCATTTAACATTAGGTATATCTCCTAATGCTCTCCCCTCCCCCCTCCCCCCACCCCACAACAGGCCCCGGTGTGTAATGTTCCCCTTCCTGTGTCCATGTGTTCTCATTGTTCAATTCCCACCTATGAGTGAGAACATGCGGTGTTTGGATTTTTGCCCTTGCAATAGTTTGCTGAGAATGATGGTTTCCAGCTTCATCCATGTCCCTACAAAGGATATGAACTCATCCTTTTTTATGGCTGCATAGTATTCCATGGTGTCTATGTGCCACATTTTCTTAATCCAGTCTATCATTGTTGGACATTTGGGTTGGTTCCAAGTCTTTGAAATTCTGAATAGTGCCACAATAAACATATGTGTGCATGTGTCTTTATAGCAGCATGATTTAGAATCCTTTGGGTATATACTCAGTAATGGGATTGCTGGGTCAAATGGTATTTCTAGTTCTAGATCCCTGAGGAATCACCACACTGACTAATACTCTTGAAGACAGACAAAATTGTGAAAGCTTGGACTTGGAACCCCATGGTAAAAGAAGATCTTGGAAAATACTGGTGGAATTTCTACTAAATGCATCACCATTCAAGATAGAGTGGTATGTTATTGAACCACATATTACATACTCTATCCTCTGAAATAGAAGAGAAAGCCACCCCATCCTCAGCAAATCATTATTGAAAAGCAAGAAGCATAAAAGAAAAACAAAGAGAAAACAATGAGAGGAGATAATATATTTGGAAGGTAAAGGACAAAAAGCCAGCTAAGATTATAAATGTTTCAATAAAAGAAAAAAAATTCTTTCTCTGATGTGCTGAACAAAAAGAAAAAATAAATAAAACAGAGTAATAATCAACTAGAAGAAAATATCTTAGCTGCAAAAATATCTGAGCCTATGTGTTCTTAGAGTCCTATGAAAAAATAGAATAAAATGCAAAAATTACATATATAGATGTATACATATGTATGTATGTAGGCTTGCAACATTTCATAATTTCAAAGATAAAGAAAACACTATAAGCATCTGGAGAAAATATCTGACTTCGTATTTTTCCCCATCCCTAAATACACCAGAAGACAGTAAAGCAATCAAAGTCTACTGAATGATGAGATAAAACAGCTGTGACCTAGGAACTACATATTCATCCAAGTAATTATTTATTTGTGACAACAACAGAAAGACTTCCTCAAATAAGTAAATAGCAAAAGACAAACTACTGAAGAATGCTCTTTTTTAAATTTGAAGATAATCACAAGCATTTTGTTTAAATAATACATCTGCAGAGTAATTTTATTTTACCTCAACCATGTGAAATAAAAAGGAAATACCAAGGCTTTCCTTCAGACTTCCAGAGTTCACAAATCATACACCTTTTATGAGAAAGTGATGTCTACATCCAAATTATTTCCAATGAAACACATTATTAAGTAAAACAACCAATTAAAGTTAGTTACTAACTTTTCAGGGGTTAAACATTACTGTCAAAGTATTTCGCAACAATCTCTGAAGACCAGGTATCTTATAAGAATTTTTATCTAGCATTAATATAAGCAAGAATAGTTTCTATTTTTCTCTGCAAGTGCAGGGAAAGAGGAACAAACATTTCCTTCTTATATTGAAGTGCCTTCCTTTATTCATGATTGGAAGGCTAAGACTTAAGTACTGGGATTTCATCAGTTAACACTGGCAGAAAAAGAAGCAGACCTGAGAATCTCAAAGCATATAATAAGAGAAAAAAAAAAAAAGGAGAAAACAGCATTATATACATCAGAATGTGGGAGGTACAAAGCTTTGCATCTAAACTTTCCCAAACATGCTAACAATAGATTGATTCCAACTGTCTGAAGAATAAGTCAATATGGGCCACATGTGCTGTTTCATGACTGTAATTCTAGCACTCTAGGAGGCTGAGGTGAGAGGACTGCTTGAGCCCAGGAGTTCCAGTCCAGCCTGGGCAAACAGCAAGACCCTGTATCTACCAAAAAAGTTTAAAACATTAGCCAGGCGGGAGGGTGGAGCCAAGATGGCCGAATAGGAACAGCTCCAGTCCACACCTCCCAGTGTGAGTGACGCAGAAGATGAGTGATTTCTGCATTTCCAACTGAGGTACTGGGTTCATCTCACTAGGGAGTGCCAGACAGTGGGTACAGGACAGTGGGTTCAGCACACTGTATGTGAGCCAAAGCAGGGCGAGGCATCGCCTCACCTGGGAAGTGCAAGGGGTCAGGGAATTCCCTTTCCTAGTCAAAGAAAGGGGTGACAGACGGCACCTGGAAAATCGGGTCACTCCCACCCTAATACTGCACTTTTCCAACAGGCTTAACAACCAGCACACCAGGAGATTATATCCCGTACCTGGCTTGGAGGGTCCTATGCCCACGGAGCCTCACTCATTGTTAGCACAGCAGTCTGAGATCAAACTGCAAGGTGGCAGCGAGGCTGGGGGAGGCGCGTCCGCCATTGCCCAGGCTTGAGTAGGTAAACAAAGCAGCCTGGAAGCTTGAACTGGGTGGAGCCCACCACAGCTCAAGGAGGCCTGCCTGCCTCTGTAGGCTCCACCTCTGGGGGCAGGGCACAGACAAACAAAAGGCAGCAATAACCTCTGCAGACTTAAATGTCCCTGTCTGACAGCTTTGAAAAGAGTAGTGGTTCTCCCACCACATAGCTTGAGATCTGAGAATGGGCACACTACCTCCTCAAGTGGGTCCCTGACCCCCGAGGAGCCTAACTGGGAGGCAACCCCCAGTAGAGGCGGGCTGACACCTCACACGGCCGCGTACTCCTCTGAGACAAAACTTCCAGAGGAATGATCAGGCAGCAGCATTTGTGGTTCACCAATATCTGCTGTTCTGCAACCACTGCTGCTGATACCCAGGCAAAGTGGGTCTGGAGTGGACCTCCAGCAAACTCCAACAGATCTGCAGCTGAAGGTCCTGACTGTTAGAAGGAAAACTAACAAACAGAAAGGACATCCACACCAAAACCCCATCTGTATGTCACCATCATCAAAGACCGAAGGTAGATAAAACCACAAAGACGGGGAAAAAACAGAGCAGAAAAACTAGAAACTCTAAAAATCAGAGAGCCTCTCCTCCTCCAAAGGAACGCCAGCTCCTCACCAGCAATGGAACAAAGCTGGACAGAGAACGACTTTGACGAGTTGAAAGAAGAAAGCATCAGAAGATCAAACTACACGGAGCTAAAGAAGGAAGTTCGAACCAATGGCAAAGAAGTTAAAAACTTTGAAACAAAATTAGATGAACGGATAACTAGAATAACCAATGCAGAGAAGTCCCTAAAGGAACTCATGCAGCTGAAAACCATGGTATGAGAACTATGTGACAAATGCACAAGCCTCAGTAACCGATGTGATCAACTGGAAGCAAGGGTATCAGCGATGCAAGATGAAAGTAATGAAATGAAGTGGGAAGAGAAGTTTAGAGAAAATAAAACAAAAAGAAATGGACAAATCCTCCAAGAAATATGGGACTATGTGAAAAGACCAAATCTATGTCTGATGGGTGTACCTGAAAGTGATGGGGAGAATGGAACCAAGTTGGAAAACACTCTGCAGGATATTATCCAGGAGAACTTCCCCAACGTAGCAAGGCAGGCCAACATTCAAATTCAGGAAATACAGAGATGCCACAAAGATACTCCTCAAGAAGAGCAACTCCAAGACACATAATTGTCAGATTCACCAAAGTTGAAATGAAGGAAAAAATGTTAAGGGCAGCCAGAGAGAAAGGTCAGGTTACCCACAAAGGGAAGCCCATTAGACTAACAGTGGATCTCTCAGCAGAAACTCTACAAGCCAGAGGAGAGTGGGGGCCAACATTCAACATTCTTAAAGAAAAGAATTTTCAACCCAGAATTTCATATCCAGCCAAACTAAGCTTCATAAGTGAAGGAGAAATAAAATACCTTACAGACAAGCAAATGCTGAGAGATTTTGTCACCATCAGGCCTGCCCTAGAAGAGCTCCTGAAGGAAGCACTAAACATGGAAAGGAATAACCGGTACCAGCCACTGCAAAAACATGCCAAATTGTAAAGACCATCAAGGCTACGAACAAACTGCATCAATTAACGAGCAAAATAACCAGCTAACCTGATAATGACAGGATCAAATTCACACATAACAATACTAACCTTAAATGTAAATGGGCTAAATGCTCCAATTAAAAGGCACAGACTGGCAAATTGGATGAAGAGTCAAGACCCATCAGTGTGCTGTATTCAGGAAAACCATCTCACGTGCAGAGACACACATAGGCTCAAAATAAAGAGATGGAGGCAGATCTATCAAGCAAATGGAAAACAAAAAAAGGCAGGGGTTGTAATCCTAGTCTCGGTTAAAACAGACATTAAACCAACAAAGATCAAAAGAGACAAAGAAGGCCATCACATAATGGTAAAGGGATCAATTCAACAAGAAGAACTAACTATCCTAAATATATATGCACCCAATACAGGAGCACTCAGATTCATAAAGCAAGTCCTTAGTGACCTACAAACAGACTTAGACTCCCACACAATAATAATGGGAGATTTTAACACCCCACTGTCAACATTAGACGGATCAACAAGACAGAAAGTTAACAAGGATATCCAGGAATTGAACTCAGCTCTGCACCAAGCAGACCTAATAGACATCTACAGAACTCTCCACCCCAAATCAACAGAATATACATTCTTTTCAGCACCACATCACACCTATTCCAAAATTGACCACATAGTTGGAAGTAAAGCACTCCTCAGCAAATGTAAAAGAACAGAAATTATAACAAACTGTCTCTCAGACCACAGTGCAATCAAACTAGAACTCAGGATTAAGAAACTCACTCAAAACCACACCACTACATGGAAACTGAACAACCTGCTCCTGAATGACTACTAGGTACATAACGAAATGAAGGCAGAAATAAAGATGTTCTTTGAAACCAATGAGAACAAAGACACAACATACCAGAATCTCTAGGACACATACAAAGCAGTGTGTAGAGAGAAATTTATAGCACTAAATGCCCACAAGAGAAAACAGGAAAGATCTAAAATTGACACCCTAACATCACAATTAAAAGGACTAGAGAAGCAAGACCAAACACATTCAAAAGCTAGCAGATGGCAAGAAATAACTAAGATCAGAGCAGAACTGAAGGAAATAGAGACACAAAAAACCCTTCAAAAAATCAATGAATCCAGGAGCCGGTTTTTTGAAAAGATCAACCAAATTGATAGACCACTAGCAAGACTAATAAAGAAGAAAAGAGAGAAGAATCAAAGAGACACAATAAAAAATGACAAAGGAGATTTCACCACTGATCCCACAGAAATACAAACTACCATGAGAGAATACTATAAGCACCTCTATGCAAATAAACTAGAAAATCTAGAAGAAATGGATAAATTCCTCGACACATTCACTCTTCCAAGACTAAACCAGGAAGAAGTTGAATCTCTGAATAGACCAACAACAGGCTCTGAAATTGAGGCAATAATTAATAGCTTACCAACCAAAAAGAGTCCAGGACCAGATGGATTCACAGCTGAATTCTATGAGAGGTACAAGGAGGAGCTGGTACCATTCCTTCTGAAACTATTCCAATCAATAGAAAAAAAGGGAATCCTCCCTAACTCATTTTATGAGGCCAGCATCACCCTGATACCATAGCCCGGCAGAGACACAAAAAAAAAAAGAGAATTTTAGACCAATATCCTTGATGAACATTGATGCAAAAATCCCTAATAAAATACTGGCAAACTGAATCCAGCAACACATCAAAAAGTTTATCCACCATGATCAAGTGGGCTTCATCCCTGGGATGCAAGGCTGGTTCAACATACGAAAATCAATAAACATAATCCAGCATATAAACAGAACCAAAGACAAAAACCACATGATTATCTCAATAGATGCAGGAAAGGCCTTTGATAAAATTCAACAACGCTTCATGCTAAAAACTCTCAATAAATCAGGTATTGATAATAAGAGCTATCTATCACAAACCCACAGCCAATAACATACTGAATGGACAAAAACTGGAAGCATTCCCTTTGAAAACTGGCACAAGACAGGGATGCCCTCTCTCACCACTCCTATTCAACATAGTGTTGGAAGTTCTAGCCAGGGCAATCAGGCAGGAGAAGGAAATAAAGGGCATTCAATTAGGAAAAGAGGAAGTCAAATTGTCCCTGTTTGCAGATGACATGATTGTATATCCAGAAAACCCCATCATCTCAGCCCAAAATCTCCTTAAGCTGATAGGCAACTTCAGCAAAGTCTCAGGATACAAAATCAACGTGTAAAAATCACAAGCATTCTTATACACCAATAACAGACAAACAGAGAGCCAAATCATGAGTGAACTCCCATTCACAATTGCTTCAAAGAGAATAAAATACCTAGGAATCCAACTTACAAGGGATGTGAAGGACTCTTCAAGGAGAACTACAAACCACTGCTCAATGAAATAAAGGAGGATACAAACAAATGGAAGAACATTCCATGCTCATGGGTAGGAAGAATCAATATCGTGAAAATGGCCATACTGCCCAAGGTAATTTATACATTCAATGCCATCCCCATCAAGCTACCAATGACTTTCTTCACAGAATTGGAAAAAACTACTTTAAAGTTCATATGGAACCAAAAACGAGCCCGCATTGCCAAGTCAATCCTAAGCCAAAAGAACAAAGATGGAGGCATAACGCTACCTGACTTTGAACTATACTACAATGCTACAGTAACCAAAACAGCACGGTACTGGTACCAAAACAGAGATATAGACCAATGGAACAGAACAGAGCCCTCAGAAACAACGCTGCATATCCACAACTATCTGATCTTTGACAAACCTGAGAAAAATAAGCAATGGGGAAAGGATTCCCTATTTAATAAATGGTGCTGGGAAAACTGGCTAGCCATATATAGAAAGCTGAAACTGGATCCCTTCCTTACACCTTATACAAAAATTAATTCAAGATGGATTAAAGACGTAAATGTTAGACCTAAAACCATAAAAACCCTAGAAGAAAACCTATGCAATACCATTCAGGACATAGGCATGGGCAAGGACTTCATGTCTAAAACACCAAAAGCAATGGCAACAAAAGCCAAAATTGACAATTGGGATCTCATTAAACTAAAGAGCTTCTGCACAGCAAAAGAAACTACCATCACAGTGAACAGGCAACCTACAGAATGGGAGAAAATTTTTGCCACCTACTCATCTGACAAAGGGCTTGTATCCAGAATCTACAATGAACTCCAACAAATTTACAAGAAAAAAACAAACAACCCCATCAAAAAGTGGGCAAAACATATGAACAGACACTTCTCAAGAGAAGACATTTGTGCAGCCAAAAAACACATGAAAAAATGCTCATCATCACTGGCCATCAGAGAAATGCATATCAAAACCACAATGAGATACCATCTCACACCAGTTAGAATGGCAATCATTAAAAAGTCAGGAAACAACAGGTGCTGGAGAGGATGTGGAGAAATAGGAACACTTTTACACTGTTGGTGGGACTGTAAACTAGTTCAGCCATTGTGGAAGTCGGTGTGGTGATTCCTCAGGGATCTAGAACTAGAAGTACCATTTGACCCAGCCATCCCATTACTGGGTATATACCCAAAGGTTTATAAATCATGGTGCTATAAAGACACATGCACACATATGTTTATTGTGGCACTATTCAGAATTGCAAAGACTTAGAACCAACCCAAATGTCCAACAATGATAGACTGGATTAAGAAAATGTGGCACATATACACCATGGAATACTATGCAGCCATAGAAAAAGGATGAGTTCCTGTCCTTTGTATGAATACATTTATATTCTGAATATAAAATCTAATAAATTTGCTTATTTAATTACTTTCAAGCACCTATGCTACTTGACTATGAATCCCTGGGGTATTTTTGCATGATCAAGCTCAAGCTCCATTGATAAGAGCATGGTATTGAGCCACCGTTGATAATCCTAGATCATTCAATTAACCTAACCTAAAAGCAGAAAGGGAACAGAGCCTGTTACAGATTGTATTAGTTATCTATTGCTGAGTAACATTACCACAAATTTAGCAGCTTAAAATAACATATATGAGTCTGGGACCCAATGGCTTCACTGCTGAATTTTAGCAAGGAATGAAGAAGAACTAATACCAGTCCTATTCAAACTATCCCAAAAAATAGAGGGGAAGGGAATACTTCCAAACTCATTCTACAAGGCAAGTATTATCCTGATAATAAAAGCAGACAAAGACACATTTAAAAATAAAACTACAGGCCAGTATCCCTGATGAGTACTGATGCAAAAAATCCTCAACAAATACTAGCAAACTGAATTCAACAACATATTAAAAAGATCATTCATTGTGACCAAGTGGGATTTATCCCAGGGATGCAAGGGATAAATGTAACACATTGAACCATCCTTGGTTCAACATATGCAAATCAATCAGTGTGACACATCATATCAACAGAATGAAGGACAAAAAACGTAAGATCATTGCAACTGATGTTGAAAAGGATTTGACAAAATTTAACATCGCTTTATGATTTAAAAAGAAAACTCTAAAAACTAGAGTTAGATGGAACATACCTCAACATAAGAAAACCCATATACAGCAGACTCATAGTCAGTATCATACTGAATGGGGAAAAACTGAAAGATTGGGAACACAATAAGAATGCCCACTTTTGCCACTGTTATTCAACATAGTACTGGAAGTCCTACCTAGAGCAATCATACAAGAGAAAGAAATAAAGCACATCCAAACTGGGAAGGATGAAGTCAAATTATCCTTGTTTGCAAGTAATATGATTTTATATTTAGAAAAACCTAAAGACTCCACCAAAAAAACTATTAGAACTGATAAACAAATTCCGAAAAGTTGCAGGATTCAAAATCAACATACAAAAATCAGTGGCATTTCTATATGCCAATGGCAAACAATCTGAAATAGAAATCAAGAAAGTAATTGCATTTACAATATCTATAAATAAAATTAAATACCTAGGAATAAACTTAACCAAAGAAGTGAAAGATCCCTATAATGAAAACTACAAAACATTGATGCAAGAAATTAAAGAAGACACCAAAAAAAAAAAAAGGAAAGATATTCCATGTTCATGGATTGGAAGACTCAATATTGTTAAAATATCCATACTATCCAAAGAAATCTACAGATTCAATGCAATTCCTATCAAAATACCAATGACATTGTTCACAGAAATAGAAAAAAGCAATCCCAAAATGTGTATGGAACCACAATAGACCCAGAACAGACAAAGCTATCCTGAGCAAAAAGAACAAAACCGAAGGAATCACATTACCTGACTTCAAATTACACTACGGAGCTATAGTAACCAAAACAGCAAGATACTGGCATAAAAACAGACATGTAGACCAGTGGAACAGAATAGAGAACTCAGAAACAAATCCATACACCTACAGTGAATTTATTTTCAACAAAGATACCAATAACATACATTGGGAAAAGGACAGTCTCTTCAAAAAATGGTGCTGGGAAAATTGGGTATCCATATGCAGAAGAACGAAACCATATATGAAAAGCAAATCAAAACGGATTAAGAACTTAAATATAAGACCTCAAACTATGAATGTGATCAAAGAAAACTTTGGGAAAACTTCCCAGGACATTGGAACGGGTAAAGATTTCTTGAGTAATGTACCATAAGCACAGGCAACCAAAGCAAAAATGGACAAATGGGATCACATCAAGTTAAAAAGCTTCTGCATAGCAAAGGAAACAATCAATAAAGTGAAGAGACAACCCATAAAATGGGAGAAAATATTTGCAAACTAGTCAGCTGACAAGGGATTAATAACTAGAATACATAAGGAGTTCAAACAACTCTATAGGAAAAAAATCTAATAATCTGATCAAAAATGGGCAAAAGATTTGAATAGACATTCCTCGAAAGAAGATATATAAATGGCAAACAGGCATATGCAAAGATCAACATCATTGATCTTCAGAGAAATGCAAATCAAAACCGCAATGAGATATCATCTCACCCAAGTTAAAATGGCTTTTATCCAAAAGACAGGCAACAACAAATGCTGACAAGAATGTGGAGAAATGAGAATCTTCCTAAATTCTTGTGGGGAATGTCAATTAGTCAAAGAACAGTTTGGAAGTTCCTCAAAATCAATAAATAGAGCTATTATATGATCCAGCAATCCCACTGCTGGGTACATATCCAAAGGAAAGGAAATCAGTATATCAAAGAGATATCTGCACTCCCATGTTAACTACAGCACTATTCACAATAGCCTATATTTGGAAGCAACCTAAGTGTCCATCAATAGATGAATTGAAAAAGAAAATATGGTACATATACACAATAAAGTACTATTCAGCCATAGAAAAGAATGAGATTCTGTCATTTACAACAGCATAGATGAAACTGGAGGTCATTATGTTCAGTGAAATAAGCCAGGCACAGAAAGACAAACTTTACAGGTTCTCATTTATTTGCAGGAGCTAAAACAATAACCATAATTCAACTCATGGAGATAAAGAGTAGAACTATGTTTACCAGAGGCTAGGAAGGGGAGTGGGAGTAGGAGAGTGGGGATGGTTAATGGGTACAAAAATAGAGTTCAATAGAATAAATAAGATCTAATATTTGCTAGTACAACAGGGTGACTAAAGTCAGTAATAACTTATTGTACATTTTTAAATAACGAAAAGAATATAATTGGAATGTTTGTAACACACACACACCCACACAATAAAAGCTTGAGCCATATGTAGAAAGCTGAAACTGGATCCCTTCCTTACACCTTATACAAAAATTAATTCAAGATGGATTAAAGACTTAAATGTTAGACCTAAAACCATAAAAACCCTAGAAGAAAATCTAGGCAATACCATTCAGGACATAGGCATGGGCAAGGACTTCATGTCTAAAACACCAAAAGCAATGGCAACAAAAGCCAAAATTGACAATTGGGATCTCATTAAACTAAAGAGCTTCTGCACAGCAAAAGAAACTACCATCAGAGTGAACAGGCAACCTACAGAATGGGAGAAAATTTTTGCAACCTACTCATCTAACAAAGGGCTAATATCCAGAATCTACAATGAACTCAAACAAATTTACAAGAAAAAATCAAACAACCCCATCAAAAAGTGGGTGAAGGATATGAACAGACACTTCTCAAAAGAAGACATTTATGCAGCCAAAAGACACATGAAAAAATGCTGGCCATCAGAGAAATGCAAAATCAAAACCACAATGAGATACCATCTTACACCAGTTAGAATGGTGATCATTAAAAAGTCAGGAAACAACAGGTGCTGGAGAGGATGTGGAGAAATAGGAACACTTTTACACTTTTACACTGCTGGTGGGACTGTAAACTAGTTCAACCATTGTGGAAGTCAGTGTGGCGATTCCTCAGGGATCTAGAACTAGAAATACCATTTGACCCAGCCATCCCATTACTGGGCATATACCCAAAGGATTACAAAACATGCTGCTACAAAGACACATGCACACGTATGTTTATTGCAGCACTATTCACAATAGCAAAGACTTGGAACCAACCCAAATGTCCAACAATGATAGACTAGATTAAGAAAATGTGGCACATATACACCATGGAATATTATGCAGCCATAAAAAATGATGAGTTCCTGTCCTTTGTAAGGACATGGATGAAGCTGGAAACCATCGTTCTCAGCAAACTATCGCAAGGACAAAAAACCAAACACCGCATGTTCTCACTCGTAGGTGGGAATTGAACAATGAGAACACATGGGCACAGGAAGGGGAACATCACACACTGGGACCTGTTGTGGGGTGGGGGGAGGGGGGGAGGGATAACATTAGGCGATATACCTAATGTTAAATGAAGGGTTAATGGGTGCAGCACACCAACATGGCACATGTATACATATGTAACTAACCTGCACGTTGTGCACATGTACCCTAAAACTTAAAGTATAAAAAAAAAGAAAAGAAAAAAAAAAGCTTGAGCTGACAGATATCCCATTTACCTTGTGTGATTATGACACATTGTATGCCTGTATCAAAATATCTCATGTATCCCATAAATCTATACACCTACTATGTATCCATAAAATTAAAATAAAATATAACACACATGTATTATCTTACAATTTCAGTCCAAGCATCTAAAGGAGAGGGTCACTATGAATCCAAATTGTTTTAAGCATATGAATAGGTGTCAACAAACATGAATTGAACACTTAATATTTGCAATGTCCCACATCATACATTGTAGAAAACTAAAATAAATAAACCATAGTCCATGCTGTCAAAGAGCTGACACTCTAGCAGAAGAGAAACAGGGACATAGTTACAAATCACTATAATAATGTAGAATGCAATAAACATCGCTGAAAAAAATTATAGATGACACAAACAAATGGAAACACATCCCATGCTTGTGGATAAGTCAAATCAGTATTGTGAAAATGACCATACTGCCAAAAGCAATCTACAAATTCAATGCAATTCCCATCAAAATACCACTATCATTCTTCACAGAACTAGAAAAAAGCAATTCTAAAATTCATGTGGAACCAAAAAAGAGCCTGCATAGCCAAAGCAAGACTAAGCAAAAAGAACAAATCTGGAGGCATTACATTGCCCGACTTCAAACTATACAATAAGGCCATAGTCACCAAAACAGCATGGTACTGGTATAAAAATAGACACACAGACCAGTGGAAGAGAATAGAGAACCCAGAAATAAACCCACATACTTACAGCCAACTGATCTTTGACAAAGCAAACAAAAAAATAAAGTGGAAAAAAGGCACCCTATTCGACAAATGGTGCTGTGATAATTGGCAAGCCACATGTAGAAGAATGTAACTGGATCCTCATCTCCCATCTTACACAAAAATCAATTCAAGATAAATCAAGGACTTAAATCTAAGACCTGAAACTATAAAAATTCAAGAATGTAACATCAGGAAAACCCTTATAGACATTGGCTTAGGCAAAAATTTCATGACCAAGAACCCAAAAGCAAATGCAACAAAAAACAAAGCTAAATAGGTGGGACTTAATTAAACTAAAGAATGTTTGCACAGCAAAAGAAATGGTCAGCAGAGTAAACAGACAACCCACAGAATGAGAGAAAATCTTCACAATCTATACATCCGTCAAAAGACTAATATCCGGAATCTACAAGGGACTCAAACCAATTAGCAAGAAAAAAGTAAACAACCCCATCAAAAAGTGGGCTAAATACATGAATCGACAACTCTCAACAAAAGATATACGAAAGACCAACAAGCATATGAAAAAATGCTCAATATCACTAATGATCAGGGAAATGCAAAACCACAACGCACTACCACCTTACTCCTACAAGAATGGCCATAATCAAAAAATCAAAAAATAATCGATGTTGGCATGGATGTGATGAAAAGGGAACACTTCTACACTGTTGGTGGGAATGTAAACTAGTACAACCACTATGGAAGACAGTGTGGAGATTCCTTAAAGAACTAAAAGTAGAACTACCATTTGATCTAGCAATCTCACTACTAGGTATCTCCCCAGAGGAAAAGAAGACATTATACGAAAAAGATACTTGCATATGCATATTTATAGCCACAAAATCTGCAATTGCAAAAATGTGGTACCAGCCCAAATGCCCATCAATCAACGAGTGAATAAAGAAAATGTGGCATGTATGTATACCATGGAATACTACTCAGCCATAAAAAGGAATGAAATAATGGCATTTGCAGCGACCTGGATGGAATTGGAGACCATTATTCTAAGTGAAGTAACTCAAGAATGGGAAACCAAACATTGTATGATCTCACTCATAAGTGGGAGCTAAGTTATGAGGATGCAAAGGCATAAGAATGATACAATGGACTTTGGGGACTATGCGGGAAAGGGTTGTGGGAGGGAGGAGGGATAAAATACTGCACATTGGCTACAGTGTACACTGCTTGGGTAATGGGTACACCGAAATCTCAGAATCACCATCAAATAATTTATTCGTGTAACGAAGCACCAACTGTTCCCCAAAAACCTATTGAAATAAAATAATAAAAAATATTTAAAATTAAAAATTAAAAAATAAAAGTTATAATAGAAAAATAAAAAAGAAAAGTGGTTGGAGCATAGAGGATGGTAAAGTTATAAAATAGTAGAGTTGTAAGTAGGTAATCATTCCCAAAGAATAGACTGCAGAACGGTCATGAGGAATGTGAAAAGACAAAGAACAAATCTGAGAGCAAGCAGGCCAAGGACAGCACACCAGCTTTCATCTAATCTGGGTTATCAGCCCTTGCTGTCTCAAAGAAGAGCTGTGAAAACACAACATATTGAAGAGGACACAGAGCAACCAGGATCTCAGACATTCATGATAGGAGAATATAACGATGCAACCACTTTGAAAAACTGGAAGTTCCGTAAAAAAATGAAACATACATCACCCCCCACATCCCAGAAGTTCTACTCCTAGGTATTTGTTTAAGGGAAATGAAATCTTATGACAGCAAAAAGATTCCACAAGAAGTTTCATGGCAACTTTACATATAATAGCCAAAAACTAGAAACAACCCTGATGTCCATCAACAGGTGAATGGATCAGCAAAATGTGATACAGTTATACAATGAAATACTAGTTGGTAATATAAAGGAAAAATAGATTATAAATAGATAATTAGATAGATAGATAATAGAGACATAGATATGCATGCAACAGGGATGAATCTCAACATTGTACTGAGTGAAAGGGAAGAGTTCACTTAAGATCTGAGCATTTCATTGCATGTAAGTTGTATCTTATATCTATCAGATTCCGATCAGGAGACAGAACCACACAGTAATTTGAACAGGGGAAGTTTAATATAAAAAATTATTAACTATAAACGGGAATTACCTACTAATAGATAAAGACAAGCTTAAAGGATAAATACATAGAAAACATACATAGCAATCAATACCTCTAGCACTGAAGCACAGCACCTAGGCATGCATCAAATACAGAAGAGGCCTCCAGAGCTGAAATCCAAACTTTCACTGGGAAGGACACCATCCACCTGTGTGGAAGTTCATGCAGATGCCATGCTGGTAGAACTTACTGAGAAGCTGCCTTCTGGGATGCTGAAGGAAGCCCTCAACAAGGTGTTGTACCTCAGAACTCACTGCAAAGCCTCCCACAGAGATGGTGAGCTGGGAAACTACTTCCTTGGTTGCTAGGTGAAGCTGCCCACAGAAAGATGCCATGCTGCAGAGCTCACTGAGAAACTACCCATAGGGGTGGCCCAATAGGAAGCAATCCCCTGGGGTGCTAGGGAATGCTGCCCATGGGGAAGTAAGTATCAGCCAATTGTCCTATATGCTCCTGACTCATGCACTGCAATAGCAATCGCGCAGAGCACACTAGGAACCAGAAGAAAAGCCCTTTCATCCTCCAGCATACATCCAGTGCCCTCTAGTGACAAAATTTAACATTGTGCCAGCTGATAATGAAAACATGCTTCAGAATCACAAGCAGGGCAATGAAGGATAGATCTAAAACTGAGAGGCAACAAATAGATAACTAACACATGCCTCAAGGAGATGAAGAAGGGGGCGGGAGGAGAAGAGGAGGAAGAGGAGAAGGAGGAAGAAGAGAAGGTCATCTGTGGGATTTGAGGTATGATGGAAGATCAGAGACTTAAACAGAATAGATATAACTGGCTAAACATGAACAATAAATGATAGCTGGTGAACCTTGAGTATTTGCAAAGAGTGTACTAGGCACAGTATTTTGTTTAGTAAAATATTTCTAGAAGTTAGTTATTGTTATTCTCATTTTGGTGAAGAAACTGGGACTCAAAGGGGATGGACAACTTACCCTAAGGTCACACAACCAAATGGTAATAGACCCAAAATTTTCACCCAGAACTCTGACTCCAAAGCCTCACTACATTGCATCTCCTCGATGATATATAATCATTCCAATGCCAAAACGGAAAGTCAAGATTCTGGTCCCCCCAGTAATTGCTTTTATACTTATCCCTAAGTCTGTCATTGAATACAAGAAGCTACAGGACTGGTTTCAAGTGGTGCTACATTTTTATAATCTTAGTGCAGAAATGGAAAGAGCAACTTGCCCATTCACCCAAGACTAACAACTGGCATGAAGTGAATTGCTTCTGTAGACAGTAAACAAGAGTAAGCTGGTATTTTTTTCTAAGTCAACTTTAGGACAGCTTTTCAAACAAACACACATTGCCTTTATTCCCAGGACAAAAACCAGAAACTCTAATAGTCCCTGGCTGTTATAATTTGATGCTTAATGTACTTCTATCTATGTAAGCCGTATCACATACCTTTCTAATAAGGCAAGGAAGAGTGAATAACATCAATTATATCACGATTGTTTCTCTTATAAAGTTAATTAATATTAATAATGGTTATTTATATTGGAGTTACCATTATCATCACCTTATATCATTCAATATTTATTCTGAAAGTCAAAGAATTATAATGTGGGTGGAAGGGTACTTGGAATTGTCTTGTTTAATCACCAGTGACCTATGAGTGCATGGCGAACTGTTAAAAAAATAAGCTAATGCTCTCTACTCAATTATTATGCCATAACTGAATCATAATATTTATTCACTTTCTCCCTGAATGACTTTATCCAATTTCTAGACTTCACATATCTATGCTGAAAATTTCCAGATTTGTATTTTCAGCACTGAACTCTCTCATGATCCAGATTTCTTATATCTTATTGACTACACAGATCTCAAATATGCTTCTCAGATTTAACAATTCCAAAACAGAACTTTCTGTCTGTTTTCCTCCAGTCTTTTAGAGCTAATGAATGGCATTATTATCCACCTACTTGCTCAAGCTGAAAACCTAGAGGTCATTCTTGATTCTTTTCTTTACCTTATCACCCAAATCCAATTCATCAGCTAGTCATACTATCCCTACCTCAAATAATGTATTAATATATCCATTTCTTTCTAGCTACACTACCATCTTCCTAGTCCAATTTACTACCATTTCTCATTTAGACTATTGATATAGAACTGCTCAACTTGCTTATACCTATGACTGTCCTCAATTCATTCACATTACTGCATGCTGCCAAAAACTATCCAAAAGATTCTTAATGCATTAAGAATAAAATCCACACTCTTTATCATGGCCTATTAGTTCAAACCCTAATTGCCTCCCTGTATCAGGATTCAATCAGAAAAGAGATCCACTATAAGTGATATAGAATAAAGTTTATCATAAGGGTTTGATATTGAGCCCCTAGCAATTGTGAGAGCTAGTAACGATTCTATATAAGGATGTTGCTTCTATATCTGATGCTGGACTGGAAAGAAGGATGAATGGGAAATGTGAAGTGGGGAGAGCAAGAATGAACTGAAACCTGAAAGGATGAGCTGAAGCTCATGAATATGAACTAAAACTTGGATCTATCTTTTGCTACATTCAGGCCTCAATTTCAACATTGTGGGTGACTTGCAGAGGAAGCTAACACTCTTTGTCATAGATTTAGGCCACATACCTGGCATAGGATTAGGAGGAGCTAAATAAGGTGTTTCATCAGCAGTTGAAGTAGCTGTAGGCTTGGCTGCCGTCCCATGCCACTAATGTGAGCCAACAGAGCAGAGACAATGTGTGTGAACTGGAGCAGAGACAATGTGTGTGAACTGCAGCAGAACCTGACTGAACACAAAACATCTGAACACAAATGCAACTGATGCTTTACTTATGCCTCCCAAATCTCATGCAAATTTTTCTTGTCACCAACCCTAAACAGAACTATATGGGAAAGGGAATTCTTGTAAATGTAGTTCCAGCTTAGCTAGGTTAACAAAGTATAAAGCCACCACTAACCACTCTTATCAATGTGGCCCAACCATACTTCTTTTAACCATACCTAATTTCCAAATAAAAATAAATTATGCTTCTGCCTCATATAATGCAACTATCCTTTGTAAAACTGAAAATATGTTAAACTTCTCAAGGGTCTATAAAATTTCTTTGTATATTTTGGGGTAGTATTTATTCTTCTCGTAGCTGAGTCACACTCTCCCTTTGATATTCTGTAATTTAAACACTGAGCTATAAGAAGTGGTTCACTGATAAATGTTTAGCAACCAGTTCTCCAAAGGGGAAAAAGCCCTTACATAGATTTTGCTAGTTTCTATGGTATTAATACTCCCACCATGGCCAGTTTTATCCCAGCAAATGTGATATCACTGAACACAGAGTTAAGAAGAGGTAGGCGGTTGCACATCAATATGTAGTAGTTCCATTATACAGATACAGTATACATAAATAACTTCCAGAGTACAGATAATACTAACTATCATACAATAATTTAAAATTATGAGACTTTGGGAGCTGGAAAGTCTATCTATAGGGCAAGATTACAGGTTGGAAATTTAGGTAAGAGTTGGCGTTGCAGTCTTGAATCTTAAATCTGCAGGGCAGACCAGCAGGTGGGAAACTGGCAGTGTTTTTACATTACAGAATTGAGACAGAATTCCTTATTTTCCAAGAAACCTCAATTCTTGTTCTTAAGGACTTCAACTGATTGTATGGAATGCACCCATTTCATGAAAGGTAATCTTCTGTACTTGAAATCAACTGATTGCAAATGTTTGCCATGTTTATAAAATAGCTTCACAGCAACATCTTTACTAGTGGTTGACAAAATAACTGGGCAGTAGCCTAGCCAAGATGACAGATAAAATTTACCTTCACACCATCTGAATGCAATTGCTCTTAATTGTCTTTACTAACAAATATAGGGAAAAAGGCATCCATCAGTTCAATTGCTATGTGCCATGTGTCAGGTGATATGTGTTGATTTGCTCCTGTTGAGAGACAATTCTCTAGGGATCGCTCACATTTCTACACATTATGTATTACGTTTTGTTATGCACTATCTTTTCAAGAATGTTTGCTTAAAAACATCAAAAGCAATTGCAACAAAAGCAAAAACTGGCAAACGATACCTGAATAAACTAAAGAGCTTCTGCACAGCTAAAGAAACTATATCAGAGTGAACAGATAACCTATGGAATGGGAGAAAAATTTTGCAATCTATCCATCTGACAAAGGTCTAATATCCAGAATCTACAAGGAACTTAAGCAAATTTGCAAGAAAAAAGCAAGCAACCCCATCAAAAAGTGGGCAAAGGACATGGACAGGTACTTCTCAAAAGAAGACATACATGTGGCCAACAAACACACAAATAAAAGCTCAACATCATTGACCATTAGAGAAATGCAAATCAAAACCACAATGAGATACCATTTAACATCAGTCAGAATAGTGATTAAAAAGTCAAGAAACGACAGATGCTGGTGAGGCTGTGGAGAAACAGGAACACTTTTACACTGTCAGTGGGAGTGTAAGTTAGTTCAACCACTGTTGAAGACAGTGTGGCAATTCCTCTAGGATCTAGAACCAGAAATACCATTTGACCCAGCAATCCCATTACTGGGTATATATGCAAAGGAATATAAATCATTCTATTATAAAGATACATGCACACATATTTGCTATGTACAATAGCAAAGACATGGAATCAACCTAAATGCCCATCAATGATAGACTGGATAAAGAAAATGTGGCACGTATACACCATGGAATACTATGCAGCCATAAAAAGAAATGAGATTATGTCCTTTGTAGAGACACGGATGGAGCTGGAAGCCATTATCCTCAGAAAACTAACTCAGGAACAGAAAACCAAACACTGCGTGTTCTCATTTATAAATGGGAGCTGAACAATGAGAACACATGGATACAGGGAGGGGAATGACACAAACCACGGCCTGTCAGGGGGTGGGGTAGGGGGAGGGAGAGCATCAGAATAAATAGCTAATGCATGCTGGGCTTAATACCTAGGTGATGGGTTGATAGGTGCAGCAAACCACTATGGCACATGTTTATCTGTGTAACAAACCTGCACGTCCTGCACAAGTATCCTGTAACTTAAAATAAAATAAATAAAAATTTTTTAAAAAAAGTTTGCTTAGCAAAACACCTTGGAAGATAGAAATAGTGTCTCCCTCTGAGAAAGAGCACAGATTTGTTTGTTGTATAAGATAGTAAAGAAAATGTCTTCTTCCAGAGAAAACATTGGACAGGTTTACCAGCAATACTTTTAAAAGGTCAAGGTTCCCTAAGCTTAGGGATCCTCAGCTCTAACATAAATCCACTGAATGTTCAGATTTCACCCAGGGTCCTCCACATTGCTTTATGAGACTTTTGAAGCAAGGAGAACCAATGCAAACATGAAACTCATGCTGTTTGCTGTGATGTGAATCATACAAAGGCTACAGTCTCTGATGAAGGAGTCTCATATCATCTGCCAGCATGTATAAAACTATAGTATGCTAACTTATTACCTTGCAAATATAGTAAAACCTCAGACACTTCACAATTCTTGATAGCTCCAGCCGTGAAATCATATTTGGAATAGCAGTTGTAATTGGTTACATTTACGATAATTTGGCATTATTCTCCAAGACCCATTATCTTCTGTACAGGACCAAATAGCAGTTTGAAGGAGGATGCTGTAGGAATGACTGTCCTGCATTCTTAAGCCCTTGATTATTGTGATAATGTCTATACCTTTTACAGAAACAGTGGCTTACTATTGGTAGGTAGAGACAGTTCTAATGGCTTCTACTTGGCCTTTCCCACCATAATAGCCTTAATTCCATGGAGTAGGGAATCAATGTAGAGATTCTTCCAGGCGCCAAGTATCTCTGACCTAACTCTGCATTCTGGAACTGAAGAAATAAACCACACAGTGGTTTCTGAGACCCACCTGACTCACTATGAGAAAAACCTGAGCTAAAACTGGTCTTACTCTGACTGGTGGACCCAGTAGTATTTTGGGTCTATAGAAATTAGTATCAGCAGTGAGTATCCAGTAATATCCAGAAAGTTTCATTAGTCCCCTTTCCCCAATGCACAGTCAACTTGGAAAATGGCTGCAGGTCCACTTGGGGAAGAGTAGGAGGAAGATTTTCAGTACAAATTTTTGGCATGAAGCAGGGTCTTTTCTCAAGGTAAATGGCCTCTCTTCCATTTACAGAACTGTAGGTCATGAGCTGGCTCAAATCTGGGAATTGATTGGGAACTGCAACTCTGTATTGTGATGATTCAAGTCAGACTTCTATCCACCAGACCTAGAGCTTCTCAGCATCAATAAATCCAGAAAGACTTTAAAGGCTCCCTATCTATTTCAGTTTTAGGTAATTCATGATCAATCAGTCAATGCCAAAAAATCTCTGTGGGTTAAACTGTTTTGATTATTACTTCCTTTTGTTGCCCATTATGATAACCACCCCCACCTTAATTCTGGAGATTCAATGACTCATCCTGGTCCCTGCCACTCCTTTCCATCATAGCCATGAATAAGGAAGCCAAGTTGATTGGCAGGTCCACTATTCCTGGCCTACAAAGAATAAGCACCGCAGAAGTCTTCAATGATGCTGAAGCTCCCCTCACAAGTTTATCTTCCACCACCTTGGTGAAAGAATTGTCCTCTGGACCCTCTCAAAGCACATGTTTAAGAGGTAGGTGAGGCTGGGCGCGGTAGCTCACGCCTGTAATCCCAGCACTTTGAGAGGCCGAGGCAGGTGGATCACGAGGTCAGGAGATCGAGACCATCCTGGCTAACATGGTGAAACCCCGTCTCTACTAAAAAATACAAAAAATTAGCCAGGTGTGGTGGCGGGTGCCTGTATTCCCAGCTACTCGGGAGGCTGAGGCAGGAGAATGGCGTGAACCAGGGAGGCGGAACTTGCAGTGAGCTGAGATCGTGCCACTGCACTCCAGCCTGGGTGACAGAGCAAGACTCCATCTCAAAAAAAAAAAAAAAAAAAAAAAAGAGGTAGGTGAGCAGAGCTTACAGGATAAATCCACTCAGCATTCCAAATCTTCTGAGTCTTTGGATACCCTCTTCCGCAGCATATCAGGAAAGTTTTAGTTTTTCACCTTCATTTAGTATATATTGCCTTTGGATTCAGGTTTTGGTCACAATCAAGCCAAATAAGAGCCACTCCCAAATGCTCAAGCTGATATATTGAACCCAGAATCTGAACTAGTGAACCCATATTAATAAATTCAGCCCAGGCCAGCATTATATTTGTTCTACCCCGATTCAACACCTTCAAGATCTACTCCCACATGTTTCCCAGATTTCTGTTTATACAAATTGGCAAAATACTGCAAATATTTTAGTATATATCACACTTCCATTTGGGTAACACTTTTTACCTTGCTCTCTGGAGCCTGCAACTTCAGTTTAGTAATAGGTCTAGAAGCGATGGCAGGTATTTGGGAGAAGCTCCTGATGAGGATAATCAGTCCCTTGTAAATACATCAGTAGAGGCAGGAGAGAATCTAATATTCTCAGGTAGGAGAAGAAGGGTTGCTCCTACTGGCAAGAAAAATGCAGCATAATTTAGAAGTTGGAGATCTTCAGTTTCATCAAAATGTACTCATATTTCCTTATCCTAATTTTCAGGGTACCACTCCTTTCCAATCAATGTCCTAACATTAATACAAAAGACCTAGAGAAATTAGAAACCCAGATTATCCTGTCAATCAGCCCCTCCTGAGCTCAGACTTTAGGTTTTCTTTTCAGAAATCAGTCCTGCAGCTATAGGAGATAAGTGTGTTTTTAGAACAGTTATAGAAGTTTCCAGGAATTTGAAGCCCTGAGCTCATCATTTTCTTTCTACTTGTAGAATCAACTACCCAAACCCATTACACTCCTTGTTTTCATTTAAATGTTCTATGGCAGGGAATGGTGAGTCACCTAAGGACTTGCCTTCTATAGGCATTAAATTACAGGTGTCTACAGATGGTGATGTAAGTTAAGTGTTTTACCTCTGCATGTTATGAACTAATAGTGTGTCCTTTACCACTGGAAACAGGATTATTATGCCTCTAAATCTAATCTGAAGAGAGAACTGATTTCAGAGAATCCAGAACCAACTCAGAGAACCTAGAACTCACTCAGAGAATGCTTCCTTAAGCTTCCATTCCTCTAGAACTACTTCCTGTACTAAATTCTGTGTCAGTTTAGGTTTGATCAAGACTTACTATAGGAGTTTGACCTTAGGCAATTATAGAAGGTAAACAGTCTATATAAGGTTGTTGCCTCTACATCTGGTGCCCAGCTAGAGTTAGCAAAACAGGTAATCTGGAAGAAAAGACAACTGGAGGAGAGCAGGAACTAACAGGAACCCCAAAGAACAAGCTGGACCCCAAAGAACAAGCTGAATACCAACAGATTAACTGGTACATGCATCTCTCTCCCACCACCTCTAAGCTTTCAGCTTGGATTATATGAGTGACCTGCAGGAAAATCTAGTGCCCTTCACCACATACACATACACATGAACACGTACACAAACGCACACACAGCACAGTATTCAGAGAGGCTTAGGAAAGATTCTGGCAGGAGCTAAAGGAGCTGCAAGCTGTCCCACACCACCCAGTTGAGCCAGCAGAGCAGCTGACCTAATGTGTCTCTTTTCTATCCTTCAGTCCATAAATGGTGGCTTCAACTTAGGGCTGATGTTCTCAGGGTTGGAGGATGTTTGTCAGCAGTCAGGGTCCAATGCATCTTAGTTCATGTTCAGCAAGGCTTCCATCAGAGCATTCTAGTAAAAGGGACTGGATTCATTAGCTTAGGTCTTGTGTTCATGCCTGTATCAATGACTGAGGCCAGGAATAAAATCTTCTGATTCATTTAAGCCAGTTGGGGACCTGGATGTGGTGAGAGACCGATGCAGGCACCAGAGCAGGGAGAGAGGGGCTGCATGGGAAAGGGTGCCTGAAAAAAAGATCTGCCTACTATTAGTAAGAAGAGAGGGGAGGAATTGATGCTGGCCAAGCCACTAAAAACGTTCACTTTAGAGAGCAATGAGGAGCAAGAAATACTTTATATAGGGGAAAGAGGTAATATGAAGGTGGAAAAGTGAATGATAAGAAAAAGCTATGTAAGGAGATATCTGGGGAAATACTTCTTCACTTCCAGCAGAAGTAGTACCAAGTACACAGGCTCTGAGGTGGAAATTCCAAGAACAGAAACATGTTGGTGTGATTGGAGTGGTGGGCAATGTCGGAGAGATGGGGCAGTGTGGTAACCTAGTATTATGTCAATTTAGCTAAGCTGGAGCTACATTTCCCAAAATTCCCTTCCTTGTATGGTTTCAGATTAGGGCTGGCCACATGCAACATTTATGTGAGATTTAAAAAGCAGAAATAAAGCAGTAGCCATGTTTACATCCAGAAGACTGGTGTATGATCAGGCACTGTTGCATTTCTTACATACTTGTTGTTGCTCCACTGTCTCAACTTGGTGGTGTTGAACAGCTTGCAGCTCCTTCAGCTTTTGCCAGAATCTTCACTAAGCCTCTGTGAATACTAGGCCCTGGGCTCTAGGCTGTGGGGGCCATGGGGAAGGAGGGTGAAGGGCACTAACTTTTCCTGGAGGTCACTTATATCATCCAAGTTAAAGACCTGGAGGTGGTGAGAGACAGATATAGGCACCAGTTCATTGACTGAGGGTGTCTTTTTTTTAAAATTTTAACAAAAATCATCATAAATGATGCACCCTTATCAGACTATACTGTTTTATTACCTTCAAGGCGAGTGGCACTTCACTATCTGTAATTATCTTGTTTACTTTTTGTCTTATTTTTTTTTTAATGGAGTCTGACTCTATTGCACAGGCTGGAGTGCAGTGGCGCAATCTCGGCTCACTGCAACCTCCGCCTCCCAGGTTCAAGTGATTCTCCTGCCTCAGCCTCCCAAGTAGCTGGGATTGCAGGCACCCACCATCACGCCCGGCTATTTTTTGTATTTTTAGTAGAGACGGGGTTTCACCATGTTGGCCAGGCTGGTCTCGAACTCCTGACCTCAAGTGATCCGCCCACCTCAGCCTCCCAAAGTGCTGGGAGGCTCCTGGCCCTACTTTTTGTCTTGTTTTTAACTTCTGCATCCTCTGCTAGAATGTAAACTCAATGAAAGCAGAGACTTCGAGTCTTTTAATCCAAACTCCCAGAGCAACACCCAACACACATTAAAAATTCAAAAATACCTGAGGAATAAATGCATAAAATGGATCTACATAAGGTCTTCTCTTTCTATAGAAGGTAAAATGCAGAAGAGGTACTATGCTGCCATCAAACATTGACATGTTTTAATTCAATTGGACCAGAAATCCCAAATGTGCCTTTCTTTTGTTCTGATTTCATCATTTTCTTTAGAGCTGAGCTCTACATGAAATAGTTGTGACCATAATATAATTGCTAAATGGCTAGCATGCCTGGCATTGTAAAGCATCATGGGTGTTCGACTGAAAATGTATAGCCAATGATTCAGATTGCTATGTAATGAAACAGCTAACCTTTAAATGTTTCTCAATTCCCTAAGCAGCAGGTGCTGATTTTCCACTTAGGCATCCTAGAAACACAGGCGTTGTTTTTCCATTAAAGAGTCTTTAAAGACCCTCTAAGAATTTCATCAGCTGACTATATTTGTTACAGTTTTGAAAAGGAAGGCAACAACAACAGAGACTACAGCTAATCCTTAGGAAATAAAGAAATAAACCTCCTCATCCACCCTCAGGATTTATTTTCTAATTTTCTTTTTGCTTTTCATCACCTGATTTTACGCAGCTTAGAGAAGTACACAGTAAAAAGGGTCACAGTTTCCAAAACATATGCTTTCTCAGGCAATCTTTATTGTGCCAGGAACTATGGTAACTAGAAGTGCAAACATCGAGAAACATAGTGATCAACTCTGTGGCTCTACTGTAGGACCTCTGTGCAGGAGAATGCTTCTAATCTTTTTTTTTTTTCTCCCATGTTGTGGAGTCCTAAACACTGAGATTTTTATAGCACCCTGAAGCAGTGTGTGACATTTGATAAATATTTTAACAATGATAATCATACTTACCTGAAGAGTCGGCCTTCCCAAGAAGAAGGTAGATTTTAGATACCTGCATTCCAACTAATTTCTTCCTTAAAGTCATATACATATATAGCTTCCTCCTGAAGCCATCTCTCAACAGACGCAAGATACCTCCCAAAAAATCCTAAGTATAACAGGCAGGAGAGGATAAGATAGAATTGAAGATTACTTGAAATGATCAATACCCCAATTCCAGACAATTATACACTAAACCATTGCACACATGTGCATCTCAACACTATTTCCAACACCTCTAAAAATGATCTGATTTTAATATCTCATTTTCCTCCATAACCAGAAAATGTTGTAGATAGCTTATAATTCTGTCTGGGAGGGTAGTTGTTAGAATTAAATTGGGTAAGGTGCGTAGAAAGTGCTTAACTCACTGCCTGTACCAGGATGCGCCTTTAAAAAGACATAATAACTATCTCCCAGGTATAGTAATTAAGAGGATGGTAGTAAACTGTTAATTTGGCCTATCTGCCCCATTGCTTATACATAATTAGTGTGTTTATTACAAGATTGAAATTGTTCAGTATTTTATAGAGAGAGAAAAAGAGCACTAACATGAACTTTTGATATTTTAAGTAAAAACTGTAGTTTTTCCTATTAACCTAAAGCTATGGTAAATAAAATCAGAGCTCAGAAAAGTAGAAAAAAGGAAGGAACAGTGCCTTTGTCCTTCGTCTGCAGTTGATCATTCCCTCTTCTTTTTTATTATACAGAAGGAGATGACCTACCATTGGTGCTTAAAAATTGTACTCTTAAGTAACTGCTGCAGATTCAATGTTTGTGTGTCCCCCCAGAATTTATATGCTGAAGCCTTAACTCCCAGTGGAGTTAAACAATAGAAATTTATTGTCTTTTAGTTCCAGAAGCTAGAAGGTAAAGGTCTGGCAGGGTTGGTTTTTAGTGAGGGTCCTCTTTGTAGCTTGCAGACAGCAGCCTTCTAACTGTGTTTTCACAAGGCAGGTGAATGAGAAACACTTTCTAGTGTCTTTTCCTATACGGAAGCTAATAATTTTGACCTAATTTAACCTTAATTACACTCCTAGAGGCCTCATCTTCAAATATAGCCCTGCCCAGTGAGGAAGATGGATCCAGGTCCCACCTACAGAAGCAGTCTGGCCACAATCTGCCACAGCCACTGTGCTGTGCTGTGCTGTGGGGGAATACTGCCTAGTCCAAACCACCCAGGCTCCCTAGCCCTGGCAGGGAGAAACCACCGACTAGAGCTGCAGTAATGGCGGTCGCTTCTCCCGCCAGAGACTCAGTCATCTTAGGCAGACTCCAGGCTGCTGTACTGGCCAGCCGGGATTCCAAGCCAGTAGGTCTTAGCTGGCGGGGATCCATGGGAGTGAGACCCGCTGAGCAAGGCTGCTTGGCTCCCTGGCCTCAGGCCCCTTTACACAAGAATGGACAGATCTTCTGCCTCTGGAGTTCTGGGAGCCGCCAGATTATGTAAAAACTCCTGCAGCTCAGTGCCTGCCCAAACAGACGCCCAACAGAGCAGCTATGCCATGAGTCTGCCCAGTTTTGTGCTTGGGGCCCAAGGCCCTGGTAGTGTAGGCTCACGAGGGAATCTCTTGACCCACGCGTTGCAAAAATCCATGGGAAAAGCATCGTGCCCCGGGTAGGCAGCACATTCCCTCACCTCCTCCCTTGGCTGGGGAAAGGAAGGTCCCTTTGCAACGTGCAGCTGCCAGGTGAAGCTGTCACCTCATCCTGCTTTCCCTTGCTCCCCGTGGGTTGCACCAACTGCCTAATCAGTTCCAAAGAAAAAACCTGGGTTCCTCAGTTGGCAATGCAGAAATCACTCACCTTTTTGTTCGTCTCAGTGGGAGCTGCAGATAGGCGCTGTTTCTACTCAGCCATCTTGGCCATTCCCCTTTCTTTTCTTCTTATAAAGCCACCAGTTCAATCATGAGGGCCGCAACACGATGACCTTATCTAATTCTAATTATCTTCTAAAGGTCGTACCCCCAAATACCATAAACATACAAGTTAGGAGATTAAGTTTCCAAAACATGAGATCTTATAGACAAATTCAAACCATACCACAGTCCAAGCAGACTAACACAGCAAAAATCACCAGTTCTTTTTTCTTATTTAAAATTTACATTCCGTGCTATATTTGACATAATATATTTGAAAATACCCTGAAAAGAGAACAAGTGCAAAAATGAAAGATGATAGTCACCCTACTTGAAAATGCGAGTTTTTTTAATCTTTTTTTTTTTTTTTTTGGTCTTTTGTCACTTACTATATTTTGGGCATGTTTCTTTTTTTTTTTTTTTCAATATACTTTAAGTCCTACGGTACATGTGCACAACGTGCAGGTTTGTTACATACGTATCCATGTGCCATGTTGGTTTGCTGCACCCATTAACTCGTCATTTACATCAGGTGTCTCTCCTAATGCTATCCCTCCCCCATGCTCCCACCCCAGGACAGGCTCTAGTGTGTGATGTTCCCCGCCTTGTGTCTAAGTGTTCTCATTGTTTAATTCCCACCTATGAGTGAGAACATGCGGTGTTTGGTTTTCTGTTCCTGTCTTAGTTTGCTGAGAATGATGGTTTCCAGCTTCATCCATGTCCCTGCAAAGGACATGAACTCATCCTTTTTTATGGCTGCATGGTATTCCATGGTGTATATGTGCCACATTTTCTTAATCCACTCTATCATTGATGGACATTTGGGTTGGTTCCAAGTCTTTACTGTTGTGAATAGTGCTGCAATAAACATATGTGTGCATGTGTCTTTATTGTAGCATGACTTACAATCCTTTGAGTATATACCCAGTAATGGGATCGCTGGGTCAGATGGTATTTCTAGTCCTAGATTCTTGAGAAATCACCACAGTGTCTTCCACAATGGTTGAACTAGTTTACACTCCCACCAACAGTGTAAAAGCATTCCTATTTCTCCACATCCTCTCCAGCATCTGTTGTTTCCTGACTTTTTAATGATCGCCATTCTAACTGGCATGAGATAGAATCTCACTGTGGTTTTGATTTACATTTCTCTGATGACTGAGAATGATGAGCATTTCTTCATGTGTCTGTTGGCTGCATAAATGTCTTCTTTGGAGAAGTATCTGTTCATATACTTTGCCCACTTTTTGATGGGGTTTTTTCTTGTAAATTTGATTAAGTTCTTTGTAGATTCTGGATATTAGCCCTTTGTCAGATGGGTAGATTGCCAAAATTTTCTCCCATTCTGTAGGTTGCCTGTTCACTCTGATGGTAGTTTATTTTGCTGTGCAGAAGCTGTTTAGCTTAATTAGATCCCATTTGTCTATTTTGGCTTTCACTCATGATTTGGCTCTCTGTTCATTTATTATTATAAAGGTATGTATCTTAAAGTACAGTACTTTATTAGGGAAAAGAAGTTGCTTTTAAAAGATAAGAAACTCGAGTAAGTTCCAAGATGGCCAAATAGTAAGAGCTCTGATCTAGAGCTCCCAGTGTAATCGCCGCAGAAGATGGGTGATTTCTGCATTTCCAACTGATGTCCCTGGTTCATCTCATTGGGCCTGGTTAGATAGTGGGTGCAGCCCATGGAGGGCAAGCTGAAGCAGGGCAGAGCATCACCTCACCTGGGAAGTGCGAGGGGTTGGGGGATTTCCCCTTCCTAGCCAAGGGAAGCCGTGACAGACTGTTCCTGGAAAAATGGGGCACTCCTGCCCAAATACTGTGCTTTTCCAATGATCTTAGCAAATGGCACACCAGGAGATTATATCCCTTGCATGGCTCAGTGGGTCCCAAGCCCACAGAGCCTTGCTTTACTGCTAGCACAACAGTCTGAGATCCACCTGCAAGGCAGCAGCCTGGCAGGGGGAGGGGCATCTGCCATTGCTGAGGCATGAGAAGGAAAACAAAGCAGCCAGGGAAGCTCAAACTGGGTGGGCCCACTGCAGCTCACCAAGGCCTGCTGCCTCTGTAGACTCCAGCTCTGGGGGCAGGGCATAGCTGAACAAAAGGCAGCGGAAACTTCTGCAGACTTAAACGTCCCTGCATGACAGCTTTGAAGAGAGCAGTGGTTCTCCCAGCATGGTGTTTGAGCTCTGAGAATAGACAGACTGACTCCTCAAGTGAGTTCCTGACCCCCGTGTAGCCTAACTGGGAGACACCTCCCAGTAGGGGCCGACTGACACCTCGTACATGTGGGTGCCCCTCTGGGACGATGTTTCCAGAGGAAGGATCAGGCAGCAATATTTGCTGTTCTGCAATATTTGCTGTTCTGCAGCCTCCACTGGCAAACAGGATCTGAAGTGGACTTCCAGCCAAATCCAACAGACCTCCAACTGAAGGACCTGACTGATAGAAGGAAAACTAACAAACAGAAAAAAATAGCATCAACATCAACAAAAAGGATATCCACACCAAAACCTCATCTGTAGGTCACCAACATCAAAGACCAAATGCAGATAAAATGACAAAGATGGAGAGAAACCAGAGCAGAAATGCTGAAAATTCTAAAAATCAGAATGCCTCTTCTCCTCCAAAGGATCACAGCTCCTCACCAGCAACAGAACAAAGCTGGACGGAGAATGACTTTGATGAGTTGACACAAATAGGCTTCAGAAGGTCAGTGATAACAAACTTCTCCGAGCCAAAGGAGGATGTTTGAACCCATCATAAGGAAGCTAAAAACCTTGAAAAAAAGATTAGATGAATGGCTAACTAGAATAAACAGTGTAGAGAAGACCTTAAATGATGTGATGCAGCTGAAAACCATGGCACAAGAACTACGTGATGCATGCACAAACTTCAATAGCCAATTTGATCAAGTGGAAGAAATGGTATCAGTAATTGAAGATCAAATTAATGAAAAAGAGTGAGAAGAGGACTTCAGAGAAAAAAGAGTAAAAAGACACAAACAAAGTCTCCAAGAAATAGGGGACTATGTGATATGTTTGATTGATGTACCTGAAAGTGACGGGGAAAATGGAACCAAGTTGGAAAACAGTCTGCAGGATATTATCCAGGAGAACTTCCCCAACGTAGCAAGGCAGGGCAATGTTCAAATTCAGGAAATACACAGAACACCACAAAGATACTCCTCAGGAAGAGCAACCCCAAGACACGTAACTCTCAGATTCACCAAGGTTGAAACGTAGGAAAAAATGTTAAGGGCAACCAGAGAGGAAGGTCGGGGTACCCAAAAAGGGAAGCCCATCAGACTAACAGCGGATCTCTCAGCAGAAACTCTACAAGCCAGAAGAGAGTGGGGCCAATATTTAACATTCTTAAAGAAAAGAATTTTCAACCCAGAATTTCATATCCAGCCAAACTAAGCTTCATAAGTGAAGGAGAAATAAAATCCTTTACAGACAAGCAAATGCTGAGAGATTTTTGTCACCACCAGGCCTGCCTTGCAAGAGCTCCTGAAGGAAGCACTAAACATGGAAAGGAACAACCAGTACCAGCCACTGCAAAAACATGCCAAATTGTAAAGAACATACATGCTAGGAAGAAACTGTATCAAATAAGGGGCAAAATAACCAGCTAACATCATAATGACAGGATCAAACTCACACATAACAATATTAACTTAAATGTAAATAGGCTAAATACCCCAATTAAAAGGCACAGACTGGCAAATTGGATGAAGAGTCAAGACCTATCAGGGTGCTGTATTCAGAAGACCCATCTCACATGCAGAGACACATATTGGCTCAAGATAAAGGAAGGGAGGAAGACCTACCAAGCAAATGGAAAGCAAAAAAAGCAGGGGTTGCAATCCTAGTCTCTGATAAAACAGACTTTAAACCAACAAAGATTAAAAGAGACAAAGAAGGCCATTACATAATGGTAAAGGGATCAATTCAACAAGAAGAGCTAACTATCCTAAATATATATGCACCCAATACAGAAGCACTCAGATTCATAAAGCAAGTCCGTAGTGACCGACAAAGAGATTTAGACTCCCACACAATAATAATGGGAGACTTTAACACCCACTATCAATATTAGACAGACCAACGAGACAGAAAGTAAACAAGAATATCCAGGACTTGAACTCAGCTCTGCACCAAGTGGACCTAATAGACATCTACAGAACTCTCCACCCCAAAACAACAGACTGTACATTCTTCTTAGCATCACATCACACTTATTCCAAAATTGACCACATAGTTGGAAGTAAAGCACTCCTCGGCAAATGTAAAAGAACAGAAATCACCACAAACTGTCTCTCAGAACACAGTGCAAACAAATTAGAACCCAGGATTGAGAAATTAACTCAAAACTGCACAACTACATGGAAACTGAACAACCTGATTCTGAGTGACTACTGGGTAAATAACGAAATGAAGGCAGAAATAAAGATGTTCTTTGAAACCAATAAGAACAAAGACACAACATACCAGAATTTCTGGGACACATTTAAAGCAGTGTGTAGAGGGAAATGCATAGCACTAAATGCCCACAAGAGAAAGGAGGAAAGATCTAAAATCAACACCCTAACATCACAACTAAAAGAACTAGAGAAACAAGAGCAAACACATTCAAAAGCTAGCACAAGGCAAGAAATAACTAAGATCAGAGCAGAACTGAAGGAAATAGAGACACAGAAAACCCTTTAAAAAATCAATGAATCCAGGAGCTGGTTTTTTGAAAAGATCAACAAAATTGATAGACCACTAGCAAGACTAATAAAGAAGAAAAGAGAGAAGAATCAAATAGATGCAATAAAAAATGATAAAGGGGATATCACCACTGATCCAACAGAAATACAAACTACCATCAGAGAATATTATAAATACCTCTACGCAAATAAACTAGACAATCTAGAAGAAATGGATAAATTCCTGGACAAATACACCCTCTCAAGACTAAACCAGGAAGAAATTGAATCTCTGAATAGACCAATAACAGGCTCTGAAATTGAGGCAATAATTAATAGCCTACCAACGAAAAATAGTCCAGGACCAGATGGATTCACAGCCAAATTCTACCAGAGGTACAAAAAGGAGCTGGTACCATTCCTTCTGAAACTATTCCAATCAATAGAAAAAGAGGGAATCCTCCCTAACTCATTTTATGAGGCCAGAATCATTCTGATACCAAAGCCTGGCAGAGACACAACAAAAAAAGAGAATTTTAGACCAATATCCCTGATGAACATTGATGCAAAAATGTTCAATAAAATACTGGCAAACCGAATCCAGCAGCACATCAAAGAGCTTATCCACCACGATCAAGTGGGCTTCATCCCTGGGATGCATGGCTGGTTCAACATATGCAAATCAATAAACATAATCCATCGCATAAACAGAACCAATGACAAAAACCACATGATTATCTCAATAGATGCAGAAAAGTCATTCGACAAAATTCAACAGCCTTCATGCTAAAAATTCTCAATAAATTAGGTATTGATGGGACATATCTCAAAATAATAAGAGCTATTTATGGCAAACCCACAGCCAATATCATACTGATGGGCAAAAAGTGGAAGCATTCCATTTGAAAACTGGCACAAGATAGGGATGCCCTCTCTCACCACTCCTATTCAACGTAGTATTGGAAGTTCTGGCCAGCGTAATCAGGCAAGAGAAAAAAATAAAGTATATTCAATTAGGAAAAGAGGAAGTCAAATTGTCCCTGTTTTCAGATGACATGATTCTATATTTAGAAAATCCCATTGTCTAAGCCCAAAATCTCCTTAAGCTGATAAGCAACTTCAGCAAAGTCTCAGGATACAAAATCAATGTGCAAAAATCACAAGCGTTCCTATACACCAATAACAGACAAACAGAGAGCCAAATCATGAGTGAACTCCCATTCACAATTGCTACAAACAGAATAAAATACTTACAAATTCAACTTACAAGGGATGTGAAGGACCTCTTCAAGGAGAACTACAAAACACTGCTCAAGGAAATAAAAGAGGACACAAACAAATGGAAAAACATTCCGTGCTCATGGATAGGAAGAATCAACATCATGAAAATGGCCATACTGCCCAAAGTAATTAATAGATTCAATGCTATCCCCATCAAGTTACCATTAACTTTCTTCACAGAATTAGGAAAAACTACTTTAAATTTCATATGGAACCCAAAAAGAGCCCATATAGTCAAAGCAATCCTAGGCAAAAAGAACAAAGCTGGAGGCATCACACTACCTGCCCTCAACCTATACTACAAGGCTACAGTAACCAGCATGGTACCGGTATCAAAACAAATATATAGACCAATGGAACAGAACAGAGACCTCAGAAATAACATCACACATCTACAACCATCTGATCTTTGACTAACCTGACAAAAACAAGAAATGGAAAAAGGATTCCCTATTTAATAAATGGTGCTGGGAAAACTGGCTAGCCATATGCAGAAAACTGAAACTGAACCCCTTCCTTACACCTTATACAAAAATTAACTCAAGGTGGATTAAGGATTTAAACATAAGACCTAAAACCATAAAAACCCTAGAAGAAAACCTAGGCAACACCATTCAGGACATAGGCATGGGCAAATACTTCATGACTAAAACACCAAAAGCAATGGCAACAAAAGCCAAAATTGACAAATGGGATCTAATCAAGCTAAAGAGCTTCTGCACAGCAAAAGAAACTATCATCAAAGTGAACAGGTAACCTACAGATTAGGAGAAAATGTTTGCAATCTATTCATCTGACAAAGGGCTAATATCCAGAATCTACAAGGGACTCAAACAAATTTACAAGAAAAAAACAAACATCCCCAACAAAAGTGGGCAAACAATATGAAGAGACACTTCTCAAAAGAGGACATTTATGCAGCCAAAAATCATGTGAAAAAAGTTCATCATCAGTGGGTCATCAGAGAAATGCAAATCAAAACCACGATGAGATACCATCTCATGCCAGTTAGAATGGTGATCATTAAAATGTCAGGAAACAACAGATGCTGGTAAGGGTGTGGAGAAATAGGAATGCTTTTACACTGTTGGTGGGAGTGTAAATTAGTTCAAGCATTGTGGAAGACAGTGTGGCGATTCCTCAAGGATCTAGAACCAGAAATACCATTTGACCCAGCAATCCCATTACTGGATATATACCCAAAGGATTATAAATCATTAACTATAAAGACATATGCCCACGTATGTTTTTTGCAGCACTGTTCACAATAGCAAAGACTTGGACCCAACCCAAATGACCATCAGTGATAGACTGGATAAAGAAAGTGTGGCACATATACACCATGGAATACTATGCAGCCATAAAAGAGGATGAGTTCATGTCCTTTGCAGGGACATGGATGAAGCTGGAAACCATCATTCTCAGCAAACTAACACAGGAACAGAAAACGAAACACTGCATGTTCTCAGTCATAAGTGAGAGTTGAACAATGAGAACACATGGACACAGGGAGGGGAACGTCACACACCGGGGCCTGTTGGGGGTGGCGGGCTAGGGGAAGGATAGCTTTATGAGAAATACCTAATGTAGATGATGGGTTGATGGGTGCAGCAAACCACCATGGCACGTGTATACCTATGTAACAAATCTGCACATTCTGCACATGGATCCCAGAACTTAAAGTATATAAAAATAAAAAGATACATACCTTATAAACATTTTCATTAGTGAGTGGTGATGGTGATTTCTTTTAGGCAAGCCTTGATTTCTCTTCCTATGTGATTTTTGCCTTCATCTTGACATTGCAGAAAATCATTAGTCTAATCTAAAATTATTCTTCCAATATGAATAATAGTATTCAGGTCTACTGCTCCCTCAATAGCTGAAGGACTTGGGATTTCCTAAATAATGACTTACAATGAAGGCTTTAAAGCTCAGAATATGTACTTAACAACTTTACATGAGTTTAACATGTACTGGATAGACTTACAGAGATGACATTATTCAACTGTGTTCTGAATACAGCTTGTGACTTTTATCCAAAAGATATTTTCAGAATTCAATGTCCTTCATAAAAACTGTGGTGAGAAACAAATCAGATAATCTGTGCAAGATAGACTAGAAATCATACTATAATGAAGTTGTTGATACTGTGGAAATATTAAATACAACAGTAGGCTTCACCATCAATAGTAGTAGTGGCGATACTTTTGTATTCCTATTGTTAATAATAATAACATGGCTACTTACTGAGCACTTACCGTGGACTGGGACTATGCTAAATTCATGACAGGAATTAATACAATTAATACTCACAACAACTTTTTAAGTAGGTAATACTATTATACCCATTTTAGAGGCAAAGAAACTAATGCAGAGAAAGGTTACATAACTTTCCGATTAAGGGTCATAGTGGTAAAAAATAAAGTAATATGCCATGAGAAAAGATACCTGGGTAAAGGGGCACATCAGGGAACTACTGCTGTGGGATTAGACTGTACCAGACATAACTGGTACCTGCATCAATTTCCCCTCTGCTACTCTGTGTTCAGGAAGCCATTATGCATTCTATGTGGGTTTAGACTAAGCTCTACTGCCAGCATCCTGCTTCAAACCTGGGCTTCTTATCTTTTTGCATTCTGCCCCAGCACCTTCTCCCAGGCTGTCTGAGGTCACTAGGTTCTCTTCCTAGGGCAGCAGAGAAGGTAACACTCTCAGGGGGAAACCTGCAACCAGTGGAAGATGGAACTAGTGGACAAATGCTCTGGCTGCCAGCTTTCAGGTGGCCAGAAGGCTTTCTGTACATCCCAGAGGTCCCAGGAGGATCAAGCCTTGTGGCCTACCACAGAGAGAGGTAAGATACCATAACTGGCTATTCCTCCTTCCCTGCCTCACTCTGCCTACTCTCTTACTCCTGTTTTCTGAAATACCTCCCAAATAAACTATCTCTCCTACAGGTGCTTATCCCAGGCTCTGCTTTGGAGGATCCCAAACTATGAAACATTTAACCCTTTTAACTAAATGACGTAGGATACCCAAACATACAGGTTTAATCCTTGCACTTTATCAAAATTAGGTGGCATTCTCATTATATGGTGCTGATAATTTTTAATAATTTGTTTTCTAAATCCTAGGAATGAGCAAGAGATAAGGGAATATATTGTGAGGCTCTTAAAAAAACTATTTTTAGTACTTGCTGAAATGTTTCACACTACAGAGAAAATCCTTTCACTCAACAAGATACTGATTAGATCTTCAGGTAACTGTTTCTATAGCAACACTTTACTCTGCAATACACTATTATTTTTCCAGCCCACCTTCTCAACCAGAGACTAGAGTTCATTACACATAGCCGTCTTTTCCAACTCTGCCACTCAGTGACATGCTTCCCATTTTTTAGCTGATTTCCTCAAGTTTTCTTTACTTCTTCTGTTATTTCAATCATAAATTTAATTGAAAACAATTCACTAAAGCTAGTCTGTATATTCTGTATATTGGTATAAAATGTTTAATGACATAAAAATAATAATAGCAATTTCTTAGAAACCAAATATTCAACAAATATTCTACAAATGTGTTCCAACCTACCTTTACTAGCAGAGAGGGTGAAGAATGTGACAACTCACAGGAGTGGAAGGCTCTCTAGCCAGGATGATCAATTCATACATTCATTTATTCAGTAAATATTCCTAAGCACCAAGTATATTCCAATCAAAGTGGTAACATCCAATAGGACGTTGAATATATAGGTCTAATGCTTTAGTTTCTCTTTAGAACAAATAAATAAATATTTCACCTTTTACTAAAGACATATAGGTCTGGAGCTCAGAGGAGAAATCTGGGCCAAAGATGCAAATTGTGAAAGCGACAATATATAGATGCCAACTACAGCCATAGAAAGGAGTGGCACACTGAGGGAAGTGCATAACATGAGTCAGAGCTCACAGAAAAATAAACACTTAAGGCATAGGAAACATGTTCTCCTCTTTCAGCCCTCAGTTTCTCCACCTACAAAATGGAGAAAATAATACTCCCTAGCTGATAAAGTATTCTAAGAATTAAATTAGATTATTCAATTTAAACATTCATGTAAATATTTAGCACACTGTCTAGTATAGAGAAAGGGATAAGTAAATGTTTTCTGTTCTCATCAACCTTGGGGTTGAAAACAGCATGTGTCATTATGCACAGTGGCTAATGCCTGTAATCCCAAAACTTTGGAAGGCCAAGGCAGGTGGATCAGTTCAGCTCAGGAGTTGGAGAGCAGTCTGGCCACATGACAAAACCCCATCGCTATAAAAAAGTTCAAAAATTATCTAGGCATAATGGCCTGAACCTCTAGTCCCAGCTACCTGGGAGGCTGAGGTGGGAGAATGGCTTGAGCCCAGGAGGCAGAGGCTGCAGCGAACCAAGATCATGCACTGCACTCCAGCCTGGGAGACAGAGTGAGATTCTGTCTCAAAAATAAATAAATAAATAAATAAATAAATAAATAAAAAACAGCATGTGACATCATGAAAACTAAGGAAAGAGAACATTTCAAGAAGAGAGGTGTTATTTACAATGTCAAATGTGGCTAATAATTAAGGTTCTGCATGAGTCCTGCAAGAACCTCAAAGAAACAGATTTTGTCTCCCTTAATGCCTTCCTTTAGTCCTCTGTCAATGCTGGATGCTCCTGACAACACCACTGGTACTGTGTTTCCTGGGCAGTGCAGTATCCTGACTGTAAGTGGAAAGGCAGAAGTGGAAACAGCCTCAGAATATTTACTTGGCTGATTTGACTGCCTAGTTTGCAAGGATTTCCCCTCCTCTTGCAAGTACCTTTCTCCCAGCATGTGAAATAATCCAATTAAAAGGGCCCAGAATCTAATTAAAGTGATGCACTTTAAAGTAAAGGCACTCCCATGGCCTTGTGATTGCCACAACCAGCGAGCAACTGACCCCATGTTTGACCAATAAGTGTCCTATTCCCAACAACTTAAAACTGAAGTGAGAAAGAGGAGCAGCTGCTCTTTCTGGAGGCAGGAAACTTGAGCTGTAAGATATACTTGTGTACTGTTAGCAGCTGTGAACCCTGAAAATTTGAGACCAGTCTCAGTTAATTTAGAAAGTTTATTTTGCCAAGGTTGAGGATGCACACCTGTGACACAGCATCAGGAAGTTATGACGACATGTAACCAAGGTGGTTGGGGCATGGCTCTCTTTTATACATTTTAGGGAGACATGAGACATCAACCAATATATATAATAAGTACATTAGTTTCATCCAGAAATGTGGCGGCAACTCAAAGAAAGCCCCCACCGGGGGGCTTCCAGGTCACAGGTAGGTGAGAGACAAATGTTTGCATTCTTTTGAGTCTCTGATAAGCCTTTCCAAAGGAGGCAATCAGACTATGCATCTATCTCTGTGAGCAGAGGGATGACTTTGAACAGAATGGGAGGCAGGTTTGCCTTCAGCAATTTTCAGCTTGAATTTTAGCTTCATGATTTTGGGGCCCAAGATATTTTCCTTTCACATACCCACCCCCCGACCTTTTCTTTTTTAAAAGGTTTTGGAGAAAGCATTTTAGAAGAAAATGAGTCTCTGGTCTCAGGTTTTATCTGATCTATCATGGTTACGATGGTTTATTCCTAGATGGGTTAGGTCCCAAGGTTTTTAGCAGGTTGTGAAGTCTTATGTCATATGAAGAGAAAATAGGGGGAGGAAGGGAGAAAAACAACAACAAACAAAAGAACAGTCCTACAAAAACTGATACAGGCCACATTACTCTGAAGTCCATACATTAATAGGCAAATATGAAAGTGGCATATGTATGTAAATAGGTTGCTGTTATTTTCTTCTGAAGTTTAAGTTGTCTGGCTTCAGTTCACAGGAATATAAGAAAGCACAGCTTAGTTGTGACTCCAAATTAGGAAAAATGGGTAAAAAAAGAAGGAAAAAAACATTATTTTGAAGATGTGTAGCCAAGAAAAATTAGAATTTGCTCCAAAATATAGAAAATAATAAAAACTGAAAAAAATTAGGCAAGAATAGAATCTACCAACAGGTGTACTATATTTTGAAACATAATTTTTCTCTCTCCAGTTTCCCATTTTTACTAAAGACAAATTATGATAGGACTGGTTTCCTTTATTATACTTGGCCTAATTATTTTTATACAGTGCAGCAAGAAACATAGCTTCCAAATTGGCTTTGATGGAACTTGTTCCATAAGAGGAATCTCAGATAAGACTTAAAGCTGAGCCCAACCATGGATTTGTGTCATCAAATATCTATAAGTTGGGTGAATTTCTTCTCCTCTTGAGGTTTCAAGATAAGCCTGGGGCTTCTCGGCCTATCAGAAAGTGACATTCTTTACTTACTGCATGTCAGAAACCCTGTACAGGGACTGTGCACACAAAATATGAGGCCAGTTTTTCCAAGGGCTTTATTGGCTACATAAGTCAAGTTTGATTCCTTAAATGAAAGCACACCATGTCAGTCAAAGCCTTGGTAAAATAACCAATTTATCTGAGTGTATCCTGTTACAAATGGAAACATTCTTACTGCATTTATGCAAATAACTGTATTGCCATAAGTTAAGAATATCCACAGATTGTTTCCAAATTCTGGAGAAATCAGGTAGAGAGAAAAAAATCTGCTCCAAATTTTGTTCATAGGAGTATACTAAATTGTTAAAAGCTGTGAATAGCTCAAAAGAAGTTTCAAGACTCAAAAACAACAAAACAAAGGATTAGCAATGTTTACAGCAAAAGTCAAAAAGATTGCTTTAGTCTTCTATCAGTTCAGTTTAGGCAGTTAACTCCTATTCTGTTTGATGTTCATAAACATTTCAGCTCTCCATGAGTCCTGAAAGTTTTTTTCCTCTATTCTCATGTCACCATCTCCAAAGTTATCAGAAACTTGCATTTAAGAACACTTGTTAGAGTTCTGTAGCTGATTATAGAACCATCTCATAAAGAGGACCAAAACAAGACAACAATTGTCCATGGATGATAAAAAGTTTTAGGGCAGCCATAGTCAAAGACACAATTGACAAGGAAATTTGTTACTTCTGTGGCACACAATAATTTATCATAACAATTATAATTATTACTAATAATGTAAACTAAGTTATATCAGAATTATAGGAGTTTTCCATAATTCTGGAACACATACTAATGACATTTGTACAAATACAACCCAAAGAAAACCAAACACAATTTTATATTTGACAGTGCTTCCTGTAAAATTTTTGTACCAAAAACTGCCAACTTATGTCATTTTTGGACTTTAGGGAATGTAATATCTTAAAACATTAATTAGGTCAGAAAATAATTTATAATTTAATTTTGGAAAGTTTCTCAAATATCAAAGACTTAACACATGATATCACAAAATAGGATCACAGGTCACTGTAAAATAAGTCATTCATTTAACCAATGTGATAACTCAAGGATTTAAAAAATAATGTGAAAACCTTCATTCTTTGAGAGAGGAGACTTCATTTTCCAAACAATAAGCCCTAATAAAAACAGCATGAAGGCAATTAAATTTGTTATTCAAAATTTTATGAACAATCTATAAACTTTTAATCTTGACCATAAGATGCAGCTTCCATTATATAAAATTTTTGTGTTTTTGGGGGGTGGAGACAAGATGGCCGAATAGAAACAGCTCCAGTCTACAACTCCCAGTGTAAATGACACAGAAGATGGGTGATTTCTGCATTTCCAACTAAGGTTCTGGGTTCATCTCACTGGGGAGTGTCAGAAAGTGGGTGCAGGACAGTGGGTGCAGTGCACCAAACGTGAGCTGAAGCAGGGCGAGGCATTGCCTCACCTGGGTAGTGCAAGGGGTCAGGTAATTCCCTTTCCTAGTCAAAGAAAGGGGTGACAGAGAGCACCTGGAAAATTAGGTCACTCCCACCCTAATACTGCACTTTTCCAATGGTCTTAGCAAATGGCACACCAGGAGATTATATCCCATGCCTGGCTTGGAGGGTCCTACACCAATGGAGCCTCGCTCATTGCTAGCACAGCAGTCTGAGATAAAACTGCAAGGTGGCAGCGAGGCTGTGGGAGGGGTGCCCACCATTGCTGAGGCTTGAGTAGGTAAACAAAGTGGCCAGGAAGCTCAAACTGGGTGCAGCCCACCGCAGCTCAAGGATGCCTGTAGACTCCACCTCTGGGGCAGGGCATTGCCAAACCAAAGGCAGCAGAATCCTTTGCAGACTTAAATGTTCCTGTCTGACAGCTTTGAAGAGAGTAGTGGTTCTCCCAACACGCAGCTGGAGATCTGAGAACAGGCAGACTGCCTCCTCAAGTGGGTCCCAGACCCCCGAGTAGCCTAACTGGGAGGCAACGCCCAGTAGGGGCAGACTGACACCTCACACGGCCGGGTACTCCTCTGAGACGAAAATTCCAGAGGAACGATCAGGCAGCAACATTTGCTATTCACCAATATCCGCTGTTCTTCAGCATCCGCTGCTGATACCCAGGCAAACAGGGTCTGGAGTGGACCTCCAGCAAACTCCAACAGACCTGCAGCTGAGGGTCCTGATTGTTAGAAGGAAAACTAACAAACACAAAGGACATCCACACCAAAAACCCATCTGTATGTCACCATCATCAAAGACCAAAGGTAGATAAAACCACAAAGATGGGGAAAAAATAGAGCAGAAAAACTGGAAACTCTAAAAATCAGAATGCCTCTCCTCCTCCAAAGGAACACAGCTCCTCACCAGCAATGGAACAAAGCTGGATGGAGAATGACTTTGATGAGTTGAGAGAAGAAGGCTTCAGACAATCAAACTCCTCGGAGCTAAAGGAGGAAGTTCAAACCCATGGCAAAGAAGTTAAAAACCTTGAAAAAAAATTAGATGAATGGCTAACTAGAATAACCAATGCAGAGAAGTCCTTAAAGGACCTGATGGAGCTGAAAACCAAGGCACGAGAACTATGTGATGAATGAACAAGCCTCAGTAGCCAATTCGATCAATTGGAGGAAAGGGTATCAGTTATGGAAGATCAAATGAATGAAATGAAGTGAGAAGAGAAGTTTAGAGAAAAAAGACCAAAAAGAAATGAACACAGCCTCCAAGAAAGATGGGACTATGTGAAAAGACCAAATCTACATCTGATTGGTATACCTGAAAGTGACAGAGAGAATGGAACCAAGTTGGAAAACACTCTGCAGGATATTTCCCAGGAGAACTTCCCCAATCTAGCAAGGCAGGCCAACATTCAGATTCAGAAACTACAGAGAATGCAACAAAGATACTCCTCAAGAAGAGCAACTCCAAGACACAAAATTGTCAGTTTCACCAAAGTTGAAATGAAGGAAAAAATGTTAAAGGCAGCCAGAGAGAAAGGTCAGGTTACCTACAAAGGGAAGCTCATCAGACTAACAGCTGATAACTCGGCAGAAACTCTACAAGACAGAAGAGAGTGGGGACTAATATTCAACATTCTTAAAGAAAAGAAATTTCAACACAGAATTTCATATCCAGCCAAAATAAGCTTCATAAGTGAAGGAGAAATAAAACCCTTTATGGAACAGAACAGAGCCCTCAGAAATAATGCCGCATATCTACAACTATCTGATCTTTGACAAACCTGACAAAAACAAGAAATGGGGAAAGGATTCCCTATTTAATAAATGGTGCTGGGAAAACTGGCTAGCCATATGTAGAAAGCTGAAACTGGATCCCTTCCTTACACCTTATACAAAAATCAATTCAAGATGGATTAAAGACTCAAACGTTAGACCTAAAACCATAAAAACCCTAGAAGAAAACCTAGGCATTACCATTCAGGACATAGGCATAGGCAAGGACTTCATGTCTAAAACACCAAAAGCAATGGCAACAAAAGCCAAAATTGACAATTGGGATCTAATTAAACTAAAGAGCTTCTGCACAGCAAAAGAAACTACCAACAGAGTGAACAGGAAACCTACAAAATGGGAGAAAATTTTCACAACCTACTCATCTGACAAAGGGCTAATATCCAGAATCTACAATGAACTCCAACAAATTTACAAGAAAAAAACAAACAACCCCATCAAAAAGTGGGCGAAGGATATGAACAGACACTTCTCAAAAGAAAACATTTTGCAGCCAAAAGACACATGAAAAAATGCTCACCATCACTGGCCATCAGAGAAATGCAAATCAAAACCACAATGAGATACCATCTCACACCAGTTAGAATGGCAATCATTAAAAATTCAGGAAACAACAAGTGCTGGAGAAGATGTGGAGAAATAGGAACACTTTTACACTGTTGGTGGGACTGTAAACTAGTTCAACCCTTGTGGAAGTCAGTGTGGCGATTCCTCAGGGATCTAGAACTAGAAATACCATTTGACCCAACCATCCCATTACTGGGTATATATCCAAAGGACTATAAATCATGCTGCTCTAAAAACACATGCACACATATGTTTATTGTGGCACTATTCACAATAGCAAAGACTTGGAACCAAGCCAAATGTCCAACAATGATAGACTGGATTAAGAAAATGTGGCACATATACACCATGGAATACTATGCAGCCATAAAAAATGATGAGTTCATATCCTTTGTAGGGACATGGATGAAGCTGGAAACCATCATTCTCAGCAAACTATCGCAAGGACAAAAAACCAAACACTGAATGTTCTCACTCATAGGTGGGAATTGAACAGTAAGAACACATGGACACAGGAAGGGGAACATCACACACTGGGGACTGTTGTGGGGTGGGGGGAGGGGGAGGGATAGCACTAGGAGATATACCTAATGCTAAATGATGAGTTAATGGGTGCAGCACACCAACATGGCACATGTATACATATGTAACAAACATGCACATTGTGTACATGTACCCTAAAACTTAAAGTATAATAATAATAAAATAATAATAATAATAATAAAACCTGAAACTATAAACCTACTAGAAGAAAACATAGGGGGAAAGCCTCTTGACATTGGCCTGGGCAAGTATTTTATAGATATGACATCAAAAGCACATGCAATAAAGCAAAAATAGACAAGTAGGACTTCATCAAACTAAAAATCTTCTGCATGGCAAAAGAGACAATTACCAGAGTGAAAAGGCAACCTACAGAATAGATGAAAATGTTTGCAAGCCATGTATCTGATAAGGGGTTAATATCCAAAATATACAAAAATCTCCTACATTCCAATAGTAAAAAAAAATAAATAAAGTTGACAAAGGATCTGAAGATACATTTCTCAAAAGAATACATACAAATGGCCAACAAATATATGTAAAGGTGCTTAGCTTCAATAATCATCAGATAAACGCAAATCAAAACCACAATTGTATGCTTGTTAGAATGGCTGTTATCAAAAAGACAAAAGATAAGATACTGTTGGTGAGAACATAAGTTAGCTCAGCAAATTTAGGATGCTCCTCTAATATAAGAGGAGTCTATTCTTTCAGTAGAGTAGGTTCCTCCAAAAATTAAAAATAGAACTATCTATGATAGAACAATCTCAGTTCTTCATATATATCCAAAAAAATAAAATTACTATTTCAAAGAAATATCTGCGCATTCATTGCAGCATTTTTTACAATAGCAAAAATATGGAAACAACCTAAATGTCTGTCAACATATAAATGAATAAAGAAGATGAGATTGCTGGTAACATTGACAAATAGGAACAGCCCTGTTCTTCAGCTCCCAGTGAGATCAATGAAGAAGGAAGATTATTTGTGTGCATTTCCAACTGATGTACATGGTTCATCTCATTGGGATTCATTGGACAGTGAGTGCACCCCATGGAGGGCAAGCCGAAGCAGAGTGGGACATCACTTCACCCAGGAAGTGCAAGGGGTCAGACAATTTTCTCCCCTACCCAAGAGAAGTCATGAGGGACTGAGCCTGAGGAACCATGCACTCTGGCCCAGAAACTGCACTTTTCCCATGGTCTTTCCAACCCACAGACCAGGAGATTCCCTCCAGTGTCTATCCTGCCAGGAACCTGGGTTTCAAGCACAAAACTGGGCAGCCATTTGGGCAGACACTGAACTAGATGCAGGAGTTTGTTTTTTTTTTTTTCCAAACCCCAGTGGTGCCTGGAATGCCAGTGAGACAGAACCATTCACTCCCCTAGAAAGGGGTGCTGAAGCCAGACAGTCAAGTGGTCTGGCATGATGGGTTCCACCCCCACAGAGCCCAGCAAACAAAGATACACTGGCTTGAAATTCTCGCTGCCAGCACAGCAGCAGTCCAAGACTAACCTGGGATGCTAGAGCTTGGTGGGGGGAGGGGCGTCCTCCATTGCTAAGGCTTGAGTAGGTGGTTTTACCCTCACAGTGTAAACAAAGCCACTGGGAAGTTTGAACTGGGCAGAGCCCACTGAAGCTCAGCAACGCTGCTGTGGATAGACTGCCAGATTTCTCCTCTGTGGGCAGGGCATCTCTGAAAAAAAGACAGCAGCCCCAGTCAGGGGCTTATAGATAAAACTCCCATATCCCCGGGATGGAGCACTAGGGGGAAGGGATGGCTGTGGCCACAGATTCAGCAGACTTAAACGTCCCTGCCTGATGGCCTGGAAGAGAGCAGTGGGCATCCCAGCACAGCGTTGAGCTCTGCTAAGGATCAGACTTCCTCTTCAAGTGGGTCCCTGACCCCTGTGTATCCTGACTGGGAGACACCTCCCAGCAGGGGCCAACAGACACCTCATAGAGAAGAGCACTGGCTGGCATCTGGCAGGTGCCCCTCTTAGACAAAGCTTCCAGAGGAAGGAACAGGCAGCAATCTTTGTTGTTCTGCAGCCTCCGCTGGTGATACCCAGGTGAACAGGGTCTGCAGTAGAACTCCAGCAAACTCCAGCAGACTTGCAGGAGAGGGGCCTGACTGTTAGAAGGAAAACTAAGAAAAAGAAAGGAATAGAATGTTCACTTAAAGACCCCATCCAAAGGTCACCAACATCAAAGACAAAGGCTGCAAAGGGTGCAAAAAGGCTGAAAATTCCAAAAACCAGAATGCTTCTTCTCCAAAGGATCACAACTCCTCACCAGCAAGGAAGAAAACTGGATAGAGAATGAGTTTGACAAATTGACAGAAGTAGGCTTCAGAAGGTAAGTAATAACAAACTCCTCTGAACTAAAGGAGCACGTTCTAACCCAATGCAAGGAAGCTAAGAACCTTGAACAAAGGTTAGATGAATTGCAAACTAGAATAACCAGTTTAGAGAAGAATACAAATGACCTGATGGAGCTGAAAAACACAGCATGAGAACTTCATGAAGCACACACAAGTATCAATAGCCAAATCAATAAAGTGGAAGAAAGGATATCAGAGATTGAAGACCAACTGAATAAAATAAAGCAAGAACACAAGATTAGAGAAAAAAGAATAAAAAGGGACGAACAAAGCTGCCAAGAAATATGGGACTATGTGAAAAGACCAAACCTACATTTGATTCATGTACATGAAAGTGATGGGGAGAAAGAAAACAAGTTAGAAAACACTCTTCAGGGCATTATCCAGGAAAACTTCCCCAACTTAGCAAGACAGGCCAACATTCAAATTCAGGAAATACAGAGAACACCACAAAGATAATTCTCAAGAAGAGCAACCCCAAGACACGTAATCATCAGAATCACCAAGGATGAAAGGAAGGAAAAATGTTAAGCACAGCCAGAGAGAAAGATCAGGTTACCAACAAAGCAAAGCCCATGAGACTGACAGCAGATCTCTCTGAAGGAACACTACGGGCCAGAAGAGAGTGGTGGCCAATATTCAACATTCATAAAGAAAAATGTTTTCAACCCAGAATCTCAATGTAGTGAATAGTTGGAAGTTCTGGCCAGGGCAATTAGGCAGGAGAAGGAAATAAAGGGTATTCGATTAGGAAAAGAGGAAGTCAAATTGTCTCTGTTTGCAGATGACATAATTGTATATTTAGAAAACCCCATCATCTCAGCCAAAAACTTCTGTAAGCTGATAAGAAACTTCAGCAAAGTCTCAGGATACAAAATCAATATGCAAAAATCACAAACACTCCTATACACCAATAACACACAAACAGAGAGCCAAATCATGAGTGAATTCCCATTCACAATTGCTGCTAAGAGAAGAAAATGCCTAGGAGTACAACTTACAAGGGATGTGAAGGACCTCTTCAAGTAGAACTACAAACCACCTCTCAAGGAATAAGACAGGACACAAACAAATGGAAAAACATTCCATGCTCATAGATAGGAAGAATCAATATCATGAAAATGGCCATACTGCCCAAAGTAATTAATAGATTCAATGCTATCCTCATCAAGTTACCATTGACTTTCTTCACAAAATTGGAAAAAACTACTTTAAACTTCATATGGAACCAAAAATGAGCCTGCATAGCCAAGAAAATCCTAAGCAAAAAGAACAAAGCTGAAGGCATAAGGCTACCTGACTTCAAATTATACTACAAGGCTATGGTAACCAAAACAGTATGGTACTGGTACCAAAACAGATATATAAACCAATGGAACACAACGGATACTTCAGAAATAACACCACAGATCTACAACCATCTGATCTTTGACCTACCTGACACAAACAACAGTGGGAAAAAGACTCCCTATTTAATAAATGATGTTGGGAAAATGGCTAGCCATAGACAGGAAACTGAAACTGGACCCCTTCCTTACACTTTATACAAAAATCAAATAAAGATGGATTAAAGACTTTAACGTAAGACGTAAGCCATTAAAATCCTAAAAGAAAACCTGGGCAATACCATTCAGGACATAGGCATGGGCAAAGACTTCATGTCTAAAAAACCAGAAGCAATGGCAACAGAAGGCAAAATTGGCAATGGGATCTAATTAAACTAAAGAGCTTCTGCACAGCAAAATAAACCATCCTCAGAGTGAACAGGCAACATAGAGAATGGGAGATATTTTTTGTAATCTATCCATCTGACAAAGGGCTAATATCCAGAATCTACAAAGAACTTAAATAGATTTATAAGAAGAAAAAAAACCATCAAAAAAGTGGGCAGAGTATATGAACAGATACTTCTCAAAAGAAGACACTTATGCGACCAACAATTATATGAAAAAATGCTCATCATCATTGGTCATCAGAGAAATGCAAATGAAAACCACAATGAGATACCATCTCACGCCAGTTAGAATGGCAATCATTAAAAAGTCAGGAAACAACAGATGCTGGAGGAAACGTAGAGAAACAGGAATGCCTTTACACTGTTGGTGGGAGTGTAAATTAGTTCAAGCATTGTGGAAGACAGTGTGGCGATTCCTCAAGGATCTAGAACTAGAAATACCGTTTGACCCAGCAATCCCATTACTAGGTATATACCCAAAGGATTATAAATTATTCTACTATAAAGACACATGGACACATATGTTTATTGTAGCACTATTCACAATAGCAAAGACTTGGAACCACCCCAAATGTCAATCAATAATAGGCTGGATAAAGAAAATGTGGCACATATACACCCTGGAATACTATGCAGCCAAAAAAAGGATGAGTTTATGTCCTTTGCAGGGACATGGATGAAGCCGGAAACCGTCATTCTCTGCAAACTATCACAAGAACAGAATGCCAAACATCACATGTTCTCACTCATAAGTGGGAGTTGAACAATGGAAACACATGGACACATGTAGGGGAACATCACACACCAGGGCTTGTCATGGGTTGGGAGGCTAGGGGAGGGATAGCATTAGTAGAAATGCCTAATGTAGGTGACAGGTTGATGGGTGCAGCAAACCATCATGGCACGTTGTGTACATATGTAACACAACTACACTTTCTGGACATGTACCCCAGAACTTAAAGTATAATAAACAATAAAAATAAATGGATAAAGAAAATGTGGTGGGTGTATACACACACACACACATATACACAATGAAATATTATTCATCTTTTTTTGTGACAACATGGATGAGCCTAGAGGACCTTATACTGAATAAATTAAGCCAGGCACAGAAAGAAAAATACTATATGATCTCACTTATACGTGGAATTTTAAATAATCAATCTCACATAAGCAGAGAGTAGAATAGTGGTTGCCAAGGGCTAGAGGAGGGAGTAATAAGGTGATATTGGTCAAAGGGAACTAAGTTTCAGTTATGCCAGTTGAATAATTTCTGGAGATCTAATGTACAGCATGGTGACTGTAGTCAACAATACAGTGTTGTATATTTGAAATTCACTAAGAGGGTAGATCTTAAGTGTTCTCTTCCAATAAAAAAGAAGAAAAGAAAATCTTAGCTATGTGAGGTGATTGTACTAGATTGTATTAGTCCATTTTGCATTGTGATAAAGGAATACCTGAAGCTAAGTAATTTATATTATTTAAAAAAGAGGCTTATTTGGCTTACAGCTCTGCCAACTGCATAAAAAGCACCACCATCTGCCTCTGGTGAGGGCCTCAGGAGCTTACAATCATGATAGAAGGTGATGGGGCAACAGGCATGTCACATGGTGACAGAGGGAGCAAGAGAGATGCCATACTCTTTTAAACGGCCAGCTCTTGAGTGAACTAATAGAATCAGAACTCACTCATTATCATGGGAAGGGCACCAAGCCATTCATGAGGGATCCACCCTCATAATCCAAACACCTCCCACTAGGCCCCACCTCCAACAATGGGGATCACATCTAAACATGAGATTTGGAGGGGGACAAACATGCAAGCTACATCAGTGATGCATATGTTAATTAGCTTATGATCATTTCACAATGTACACATATATCAAAATTTCAAGTTGCATACCTTAAATATATACCATTTTATTTGTCAATTATACCTCAAAATCTGGGGGGGAAAAGCATCTTAGATTTGATAAATAATGTAGTAATTAATCCTGCTTGGACCTACACCCAAAATAAGGGTTTTTAACCACCGCATCTCAAGTTTATATCTTAGAAATTCACATGAAGAGTTGAGAGTATGGAGCAGACCCATTCTCAGCCACCTAGAAGTTGTGGTCCATCTTACACAAGGAGGAAAGAGCCTCCCAAAGACTCTCTAGGCCCATCTTCTAATGCAGCAGCTTCCTCCCACATGTGAGTTCCAGTGATTTACAGGTTCTCCCATTTCACCAACCAGATGAATCACTGCCCTCAAGGAGTGAGGCAAGCCAAGGGGTGAAGAGAATGAAGAAGGATACCTCCCTAAAACATTCTAAAAGATAAAATCAAAAGAAAAACATTTCCATTCCATGCTATAAAGTAGGTATTGCTGAGAGAAAAGAAATAGCACTCACTGTAAAGATCATACTCAACATCAAGAAATTATTTCCTTGGAGTTCCTAATTGAGATGAGTGACAGGAAATGATCCCAGTGTAAAGAAGTCATATTTAATCAGAAAAAAATATTGGAAAAGGGCAAAGAATAACAAGAACCTGGGCAGGAGTCATTGTCAAACTGCCCTTTATGGGTCAGATGATTAATTGCCAAATATTTATGTAGCAAATTCTGAGCATTCAGGTGTTCTGAAAGCCCATAGAATACAAAATTAAAGACATATTCACTATGGGAAAAGCATAAAGAAGTCACGGATTAAGGCAAGTATTTCCCATTTAAAGAAGTATAAATAAAAAAGTATAAAGAAAGTGTTTAATAGCACAATATTGATAGTATGATACCAAACAAAATTTTGCCCTTAAGGGATATCATTCATCATGTTATTATTTTTAAAGTTATTTTTATTTAGTTTGTACATTAATACATATATTTTAGGAATAATTTGTGATATGACTCCATTTGTTTAGTCTTTAAAGTCACATTTTAATAAGGTATCACTGTACTGCACAGATCATCTTTTAACTAAGATCTAAACGTTCATCTTTGCTTATCAAATTAATTATGGTATAAAAATAAACTCCTTATTGTTGAAATATATGTGCATAAGGACTTGATATGATCTTTTAAGAAGTAAAGTAACTACTTCAAGGTAAAAATACACAAAGTAGTCAGATAGTAAGTTCTTAATAAGTAACTGTTGAGTTGAATACATCTACCATGAAAACATTGATAAGATTTATGATCACCTAAGACATATGAATAAAAATTGAAGCATTATAACAAAAATTGACAGCCAAAATGTTTGGGTGCCTCTTAAATCTGATTCTCAGGCCAACAATTATATTAAAATGGCTCTTGCAGAAGAGAGCAAAGGACTCTTTATACATCTTTTTAATATATAAATAGCCTGCTATTGACAGCTCTGTATTACTGAAACTCTCCTCCTCTGCTTTCTCCAATTACTGTCTCCTAGTTCCTCTCCTATTTTACAAATAATTTGCAATTTTGTCTTAGGCCAACTTCTATATATTACTCTACAAACTCTTTCTGAGCCACTTCTTCATTCTTCAAGGTTTCAATGCTCTCCTACATGATAATGACTCTCAAAGACCAACCTCTTTCCCAAGCCCTCCATATCTCCAACTACCTATCAGATGTCTTACATACATAGTAACACATCTAAAACACAGTGTCTTGCTGTCTAGTCTGCTCCTCTCCCCACCTGTATCATCCACTGGCTCTTTATTCTGTTTAGCAAAAACTAAAGATGACCTTTACTTCTCCCATTTTAACCCCTAGAAAAAAACTTTTTCATTCTCTGAGTTTAGAAAAGGGAAAGATAGAGTATATTTTGGTCAAAGGAAGAAGTAATATTAGAATCAGTTTTAAACTCATTCCAATCAATCAGTGACAACCTTACTTCAGAAACCACACTTCCAAAAGTAGGGCATTCAGTGACAGCTTCTCAAAGTCACCAATCAATGACAGCTTCACTCCAGTAACCATGCCTACCTGGCTAACAGTCAACCAATCTCAAAAATTCCTACCAATAAGAAGTTCACAATTCATGCTCTCCATGCTTCCTTAAAAGCCATTTGCTTGCTTAGAAAGACTGTATACAAGCACAGCAACCTCTTCTTTAACAAGTAACAAATTAATCTTTTTGTTTTAAGTACTAAATGGTGGATTCTTCCTTTGACCCCCCAATTCAGTCTCTAACCTCCATTAATTCTACTCACAAACTATTTCTCAGTTTCTTCTCCATTACTCCCCATTTATTGTTCAGTCTATATGCTATCCAATCTCCCTCCCAATATTTACCTTAAATACAATTTGTGAATGTGGTTCCTTTCCTTAAATTCACTCAGTGTTCTGTTATTGTATATATAAAACACTCACCTCCTTTCTAATATCACCATCTCTTTTTACTTTTTAATGTCACTTACAGTTACAGTCTCTGCCTCTCCAAAATGCCCTTCTCCATTTAGGTAAATTATTTTCATCATCCAAAATCCATTCATTTTTTTCACTTCTATGGATGTTTTAACCCCCTAGACAAACAATTTCCCTACATCTGTGCTCCCATTCTTCTATATGTCTTTGTTTCTTTTTGTTTGTTTGTTTGACCCAGTCTATATTTCTTTGTTTCTTTTTGGTTGGTCTGTTGTTGGTTTATTTGAACCAGTATCTCCCCATGCCTCTACCCTCCAGCCTCTGGCAACTATCATTGTACTCTTTGCTTCTATGCTTTTGACTTCCTCCGTGTCTCCATTAAAGCACTTGTCACATTGGTTTGAAGTAACTTGTTGATAAAACTGTCTCTTCCACATTCTCCATTGCTTCAGAATCCAGCCCAGAATAGGCTCTCAGTAAATGAATGACTAAGCTAGAACTGAAAAATTAATTTTTATAAGTGTAGCCTCTTGATTTTCCTTCTTTCATAAGAAACTTCCTTCTTTTCATAAGAACTTTTTGAAACTATGGGAATATTCAAGAAAAGCTATTTAAGGCTATTTAAATATTCAAGAAAGACTATTTAAGGATATTTAAATTAAATCTATAAAATCTTTTTTGAATCTTACAATTTTAACTATCACTTTGATGACAGAAGTCTTCCATTTAAGGAAAAAATTATTTTACCGATAATGTAACATGAATTCAATGAATAAAAATAGTTTACTTCATTTGAAAGCCTGGGTCATCTAAATGTAAGTCCAGAAGCTCTTTGAATCATGAGAAGGCTACATTTAAAGTTCTTTTTCATCAATTCTTAATTTGAGAATTTTTGTTTGTTTATTGGCTGTTTTTTTTCCCCCAATATGGAGTTTTGCTCTGTTGCCCAGGCTAGAGTCCAGTGCCACAATCTTGGCTCAATGCAACCTCCAGCTTCCAGGTTCAAGTGATTCTCCTGACTCAGACTCCCAAGTGGCTGGGATTACAGGTGCCCTCAACCATGCCTAGCTAGCTTTTGTATTTTTATTAGAGATGAGGCTTCACCATGTCAACCAGCCTGGTCTTGAACTCCTAGCCTCAAATGATCCACCTGCCTCAACCTCCCAAAGTGCTGGGATTACAGGAGTAAGCCACCATGCCCGATGAGAATGTTTTTAATATAGTCTGAGTGCAAATTAATTATCAACTAAAATTTCAAGTATTTAAGTTTTTTACCTTATTTTTTTGTCAGATTTTTTTATAAGATTTTGTTTTCGCAAAACAGCCTTAACACTCCAAGTTAGCCACCTGATTGTTTACTCTAATTCTAAAGCCAACTTCATCTATTCATGATTTGGAAACAACACTGTTGAATAAATAATTCAGGGTTGGTTCTTCCTAAAGATAAAGGGTGACATTGTCATCACAGACCTGCCAGCCTGGGAAAGCTCAACTTAATTTTTGGAAAAAATAGAGATCCCATTGTGCAGGCACACAAAAGTGGCTCAACAATTTAACAACAACTAAAACAATTCAGTAGAGACAAACCAAGTTGTAAGATTGCATGTCCCTCATAGCTCAGAGAAAAATAATTTTATGAGAGAAATGAGAACAATTAGTCCTGAATATATAGTGTTCAAGGATCCCTGCTGTCATACCAGTCAATACCCTCAAACTAAAGGAAAAAAAAAACTTAATAAGAAAAAGATAAAAAGAAAATAAATAGCCAAAATGACTAGAGTCTAAATTTACCAATATTGTATTTAAAAAGGTAGCAATAATTGAAAGTGGGGGAAAAGAGGGAGGTGGAGGATAGAATGGAAACTTTTCTTTTTAATTATTATGAAGGTAGTACTGATTTTAATTTTTAAATATAAAAGCTGAGATCCTCCAACATGTAAATGTTGGCCCCAATGACATAAAGTTAAATTTGAGTCCTAATCAAATGTTTCACTACAGATTCTGTGTTGTATATTGTGTTTTCAAAAATGGCCACAGCAATATTTCCAAGGCTACATGCTGTCTCAGAACATTGCTACTTTCCCTGAATCTGGGTAGAAATTTGTAATTGCCTCAATGAATAGGATGCAACAAAAATGATGCAGCATGACTCTTGAGGCCTAGCTATTGTAAGGAACCCCAAACTAGCACCACAGAGAGATCACATGAAGAGGCACACATGGAGAGGAGCTGAGGTCCCAGGACAACAGCCAGCATTAAATATGAAAATTGGAATATCAAGCACAGTCATATTAGTTCTCTACTGCTGCACAAGAAACTATCCCCAAATTTTATTTCATACAGCTTCTATGGTTCAGGAATCCAGGGATGCCTTAGCTGGGTGGTTCTAGTTCAGAGTCTGTCTTGAAGTTGCAATCAAGATGTCAGTTGGGGTTCAATCATCTGAACTCTTGACTGGAGCTGAAGGATTTTCTTCCAATGTGGCATACTCACATGCCTAACAAATTAGTGCTAGATGTGGCAGGGGGCTTTTAATTCCTTACATGTGTATCTCTCTCCACAGAACTTCTTGTGTATCCTCACAACACCACATTTGACTTGCTCTGGGTAAATGATTCAAGAAGGAGCAAGGTGGAAGTTTCGATGTCTTTATGAATTATCCTCAGAAGGCATGCTTTGTCATTTTTACAATATCTTGTTAATTAAACTGGCCTTCCTATTCAGTGTTGGAGGGAACTGCCCAAGGACATGAATATCAAGACTCAAGAATCGTGGGGGGTCATTTCAGAAACTGGCTATGACAGAGGTTTAACATCCGAGTAATAGGAATCCTTGCAAAAGAGACAAGAGGAAGTAAATAGTCAGAGAAATAATACAAGAAAACAAAATACAAGGAAATTTTCCAAAACTGAAAACAAAGACTTTACAGATTGAAATGACCCACCAACCACCCAAAATAATAGAGGGAAAATTTTAGAACACTGAAAACAAAAACAAGCTTTCAGGGGAAGGAAAAAATATCACCTACAAAGGATCAGGAAACACAACAGCTTCATATTGATCAATGGCAACACCGAAAACTAAAAGGAATTGTGATCAAAATTATCAAGGAAAATTATTTCAACCTGTAATCCTATACCTAGTCAAACTGTCAAAATAAATGTAAAGTAAAATAAAGGCATTCAAATTCTTTAAAAAATTGTCTCCATTGCACTCTTTCTCAGAAAACTACCGCAAGAGGTATCTCTACTAAAATGAGGGATTAAAATAGGAAAGAGCATTGTGGAGATACACAAAATAATAGCAAAACAAGCAAAAGGATTCCCAAGGACAATGGCAAAAGAAGATCTCAGATGAAACTCTATCAGACATAGAGGAGATGTGAATTGGGGGAGAGACGGGGAGAAGAGCATTAAAGCTTCATTTTCTACTGTGAGAAACCAATAGATAGTGTCTAAAAAGTTAAAGAAGTAGTAATATAAATATGTTTCTTAGATACATGGAGGTAAATAGTAAAATAAGAATCATCTTAAGGAGGTGAAAAGTATAGTAGCTTTTGAAGAAAGGGAATAATGGGGAGGAAATGAGCTTGCTGTTACTTATAAGAATTGTGAAATTATTTGATTCTTTAAATTACGAATATACAGTCATGCACTACATAATAACATTTCAGTCAACAACAGATGACATATACAGCAGGGGCCTCATAAGATGATAGTGGAGCATATATAAAAACCTGATCTATTGCACTTGATTTTGGCATCACATATCAAGTAGGGGAAATGATTGATATTTAGTAATGATGCTGGAAATTTGGTTTTCCAGATAAAAATATATGTATAAATAAAAATATATATACCACCTAGGCTAATGTAAGTACATTCTATCATGTTCAACAATGACAAAATCTCCACGTGACACATTTCTCAGAATGTAGCCTCATTGTTAAGCAATTCAAAACAGTATAAAACTGATAATGTTCTTAATAACTGGTAATTTTAAGAGACAGAGATATTAAGAAGAGATGGCCCCTTTTCTATCTCTAGTTATCTTGGATTTTAAGCATACATGTAAAGATATAACATATACTATGCCAAAGATTCTAGACTTCTTTTTTAAAAATTATAATGGGATGAAGACTTGATGGACTGGTAGAGAAAGGAAAGGGGGAAAAAAAAGTTCAAAATCCTAACTTTAAAAGGTCTGTTATTCACAAGATAAACATGTCAAGCTATTTATCCAGAAGGAAAGAAAAGCAATTTATGTTTGTAATTATAGCTATAAACTTAGCTATTCCCTTAGCCAATGAAAATCACAGTGTTCAGATATTAATTAAAATTCTTTTAAATTTCTTCATGAATGATTTTGCATATCTAAAAGTATAATTTAAATATTTCTCACTGCACCATTCTGTTCTTCATTGACTTGAAATTATTTAAGTACAACTCAATTTTCCACTGCTACATTTTTCCACTGCATGGAAGGTAAGGCCAGAAGACAATTAATCAAAGCTGGTAAATTAATGCCTTGCCATCAGATTCACTTTAACTATACTAAATGTTTCACATATTATAATATTCCATTATTACTTTATGTACTCACTAGTTTCCTGGTTCTCTAATTAGTGAAATATCAGCCAGGTTTTTATTTTGCCATCAAAATGTTTGCCTATTTAGTTCATAATCTTGTTACTTTGCACACAAAGCTAACAAATAGGTATAGTTCATATTTTTCTCTCAAATTTCTGGCGAAAAAAGTGTGCTTTTATTAGAATTGTTAGCAAGGCGAATTTTCTTTTAGTTGATTTTGTGTCTTTTGACAGTTTAATGTGAAATCAGTCTTCTCAGAATGGAGGACAGAATAAATCTGAAGAGATTCATTGAAAATATTTGGTTAATTTTTAATTAACTACTATATCTATCACATCATACATACCAAATGTATCAGTCAAGTTGGATTCCACTTGTAATACTGGTGTAAGAAATAATGACAGTTAATCATCTAACATATAATAATCTGGAGACAGTTGGTTCTAGATTTAGTACAATGGTTCAGCAATGTCATTAAGGGACTTTCACTGTGGTATCTTCGATGTGTTGGTTTTTAGGCTTTTAGACTTTAACACCTGTAGACTGTCAACTCAGAGTTCCAAAATTGCTGCTACAGATTGAAACATCACATTCTTAAACCAACATCATGAGCAGGAGATAAAGGATAAATGGATGAATCATAAAAGAAAATTTTTTCTCAACAACCCCAAGCTGACTTTCCTTCATGCCAAGTCACATGACAACACAGCTTCAAGGAAAGCTTGGCATATGTCAGTGGAATTTCCACAATTGTTTAGATGAATTGTGATTTATCTTCTAGGGCTATGCATTAGTTTCCTATTGCTAGTGTAACAAATTACCATGAATGTAGTGAACTAAAACAACACAAAGTTATTGGCTGACAATTTTGGAAGTCAAAGTCCAAAATGAGTTTCACAGGACTGAAATCAAGGTGTTGCAAGGGCTGAGTTTCTTCCGAAGGCTCTAGTGGAGAATTTCCTTGTGTGTTCCATCTTTTAGAGGCTGCCTGCATTTCTAGGCTCATGATCCCTTTTTCACTTTGCTCTAACCTCTGCTTCCATCATCATATCTCCTCTGACTCTCTTGCCTCCTGTTTTCTCTTAAAAAGACTTTTGCAATTACATTGGGTCTACCCAGATAATCCACAATTATCTCCCAATTTCAAGATCCTTAATCACATCTGTAAAGACCCTTTTGTCATAAACAAAAACATATTCACAAGTTCCCAGGACTAGAAAGTGGTGGTCTTGATGGGGGATGTGGGGGTGGGGAGAGGCAAGTGAGCATTATTCTGCCTACCACAAGCTGATCACATTGCAAATCAAAAAAATAAAGATATTCTGTTATCAAGGCAAAAGACTATTGGATAAAAAACTATCAGTGTCTGCAACCCTTCACCTATACTATACTCATCCCTTATCATGATCATTTCTCTCCTCTACAACAGTGTTAGATAGAAAAGAATAATAAGCATTCCGCTTGTATTTAGTTATGAATAAATATTATCTTCCAGATGCTATCATGGAATATAATTTCATTGCAGCACAGCTACAAGTCAAAAGTCAGACTTTCAAATGTGTTATTTGATAGTGCTATCATAAATGTATTAAAATGTATAGAAGCACATTGGCTAGCAAGATGGCTGAATGGAAACAGCTCCAGTCTGCAGCTCCCAGTGAGATCAACGCAGAAGGTGGGTGATTTCTGCATTTCCAACTGAGGTACCCAGCTCATCTTATTGGGACTGGTTAGAGAGTGGGTGCAACCCACAGAGGGCAAGCGGAAGTAGGGTGGGGCATGACCTCACCCATGAAGTTCAAGACATCAGGGAACTCCCTCCCCTAGCCAAGAAAATCCATGAAGGACTATGCTGTAAGAAACAGTACACTCTGGCCCAGATACTACACTTTTCCCAAGGTCTTCAAAACCCGCAGACCAGGAGATTCCCTTGGGTGCCTGTGCCACCAGCCCCTGAGTTTCAAGCAAAAAACTGGGTGGCTTTTTGGGCAGATACTGAGCTAGCTGCATGAGTTCTTTTCATACCCCAGTGGCACCTGGAATGCCAGCAGGAGAGAACTGTTCATTCCCCTGGAAAGGGGGCTGAAGCCAGGGAGCCAAGAGGTCTAGCTCAGTGGATCCCACCCCCTTGGAGCCCAGCAAGCTAAGATCCACTGACTTGAAATTCTCACTGCCAGCACAGCAGTCTGAAATTGACCTGGGACACTTGAGCTTGGTTGGGGGAGTAGTGTCCACCATTACTGAGGCTTGAGTAGGGGGCTGTCCTTTCACAGTGTAAACAAATTCCCTGGGAATTTTGACTCAGGTTGAGGCCACCGCAGCTAAGCAAAGCCACTGTAGCCAGACTGCCTCTCTAGATTCCTCCTCTCTGGGCAGGGGATTTCTGAAAAAAGAGGTAGCAGCCCCAGTCAGAGGCTTATAGATAAAACCCCATCTGTCTGGGACAGAGCACCTGGGGGAAGTGATGGCTGTGGGCACAGCTTCAGCAAACTTGAATGCCCCTGTCTGCTGGCTCTGAAGAGAGCAGCAAACCTCCCAGCACAGCATTCAACCTCTGCTATGAAACAGATGGACTCCTCAAGTGGATCCCTGACCCCTACACCTCCTAACTGGGAGACACCTCCCAGCAGGGGTCAACAGACACCTCATACAGGAGAACTCCAGCTGGCATCTGGCAGGTGCCCATCTGAGACAAAGCTTCCAGAGGGAGGAACAGGCATTGCTGATCTGCAGCCTCTGCTGGTGATACCCAGGCAAACAGCGTCTGGAGTGGACCTCCAGCAAACTCCAGCAGACCTGCAGCAGAGGGTCCTGACTGTTAGAAGGAAAACTAACAAAAAGAAAAGAATAGCATTAACATAAGCAAAAAGGACATCCACTCAGAAGCCCCATTCGATGATCACCAACATCAAAGACCAAAGGTACATAAATCCATGAAGATGAGAAAAAACCAGAGCAAAAAGGCTGAAAATTCCAAAAACAAGAACACCTCTTCTCTTCCTAAGGATCACAACTCCTCGCCAGCAAGAAAACAAAACTGGACAGAGAATGAGTTTGATGAATTGAAAGAAGTAGGCTTCAGAGGGTGGGTAATAACAAACTCTTTATTCTTCTTTAGAACAAGCTAAAGAAGCATGTTCTAACCTAATGCAAGGAAGCTAAGAACCTTGAAAAAAAGTTATGTGAATTGCTAACTAGAATAACCATTTTAGAGAAGAACATAAATGACCTGATGGAGCTGACAAACACAGCACGAGAACTTTGTGAAGTGTACACAAGTATCAACAGCCAAATCAATCAAGTGGAAGAAAGGATATCAGAGATTGAAAATCAACTTAATGAAAAAAAGTGTGAAGACAAGATTAGAGAAAAGAGAATGAAAGAACAAACAAAGCCTCCAAAAAATATGGGACTATGTAAAAAGACCAAACCTACATTTGATTGTTATACCTGAAAGTAAGGGGGAGAATGGACAAAGTTGGAAGACACTCTTCAGGATATTATCCAGGAGAACTTCACCAACCTAGCAAGACAGACCAACATTCAAATTCAGGAAATACAGAGAACACCACAAAGATACTCCTCAAGAAGAGCAACCCCAAGACACATAATTGTCCAATTAACCAATGTTGAAATGAAGGAAAAAATGTTAAGGGCAGTCAGAGAGAAAGGTTGGGTTGTCCACAAAAGGAAGCCCATCAGACTAACAGCGGATCTTTTGGCAGAAGAATACAAGCAAGAACACAGCGGGGGACAATATTCAACATCCTTAAAGAAAAGAATTTTCAACCCAGAATTTCATATCCAGACAAACTAAGCTTCATAAAGGAAGGAGAAATAAAATCCTTTACAGACAAGCAAATGCTGAGAGATTTTGTCACCACCAGGCCCATCTTACAAGAGCCCCTGAAGGAAGCACTAAACATGGAAAGAAACAATCGGTACCAGCCACTGCAAAAACATACCAAATTGTAAAGACCATTGACACTATGAAGAAACTGCATCAACTAATGGGCAAAATAACCAGCTAGCATCATAATGACAGGATCAAACACACACATAACAATATTAACCTTAAATGTAAATGTGCTAAATGCCCCAATTAAAAGACACAGACTAGAAAATTAGACAGAGTCAAGACCCATCCATGTGCTGTATTCAGGAGACACATCTCATGTGCAAAGACACACATAGGCTTAAAATGAAGGAATGGAGGAATATTTATGAGGCAAATGGAAATAAAAAAAAAGCAGGGGTTGCAATCCTAGTCTCTGATAAAACAGACTTTAAACAAACAAAGATCAAAAGAAACAAAGAAGAGCATTATATAATGGTAAAGGGATTAGTGCAACAAGAAAAGCTAACTATCCAAAAAATATGTGTACCCAATACAGAAGCACCCAGATTCATAAAGAAAGTTCTTAGAAACCTAAAAAGAGACTTAGACTCCCACACAATAACAGTGGGAGACCTTAACACCCCACTGTCAATATTAGACAGATCGACGAGACAGAATATTAACAGAATGTTCAGGATTTGAACTGAGCTCTGGACCAAGCAGACCTAATAGACATCTACAGAACTCTCCACCTGAATTCAACAGAATATGCATTGTTCTCAGCACCACATTGCACTTATTCTAAAATTGACCACATAATTGAAATAAAAAAACACCTCAGCAAATGCAAAAGAATGAAAATCATAACAGTCTCTCAGACCACAGTGCAATCAAATTAGTACTCAGAATTAAGAAACTCACAACTGCATGGAAACTGAACAGCCTGCTCCTGAATCACTACTGGGTAAATAATGAAATTAAGGCATAAATAAAGATGTTCTTTGAAACCAATGAAAACACAGACAAAACATACCAGAATCTCTGGGAAACAGCTAAAGCAGTGTTTAGAGAGAAATTTATAGCACTAAACGCCCACAGGGGAAAGCAGAAAAAATCTAAAATTGACACCCTAACATCACAACTGAAAGAACTAGAGAAGCAAATGCAAACAAATTCAAAAGCTAGCAGAATACAAAAAATAACTAAGATCAGAGTAGAACTAAAGGAGACAGAGACATGAAAAACCCTTCAAAAGAAATCAATGAATCCAGCAGTTGGTGTTTTGAAAAGATCAACAAAATAGATAGACCAGCCTAATAAAGAAGGATGGAGAGAAGAATCAAATACACACAATAAAAAATGACATAGGGAATATCACCACTGATCCTACAGAAATACAAACCTCCCATCAGAGAATACTATAAACACCTCTATGCAAATAAACTAAAAAATCTAGAAGAAATGGATAAACTCCTGGACACACACCCGCTCCCAAGTCTAAACCAGGAATAAGTCAAATCCGTGAATAGGCCAATAGCAAGTTCTGAAATTGAGGAAGCAATTAATAGCCTAACAACAAAAAAAAAGTCTGAGACCAGAGAGATTAACAGCTGAATTCTACCAGCAGTACAGAGAGGAGCTGGTACCACTCCTTCTAAAACTATTCCAAAAAAATAGAAAAAAAATAGACTCCTCCATAACTGATTTTATGAGGCCAGCATCATCCAGACACAAAAACCTGGCAGAGATATGAAAACAACAAGGAAATTTCAGGCCAATATACCTGATGAATATTGATGTGAAAATCCTTAATAAAATATTGGCAAACTGAATCGACTAGCATATTGAAAAGCTTATGCACAACGATCAAGTTCGCTTCATTGCTGGGATGCAAGTCTGGTTCAACATATGCAAATCAAAAAATGTAATCCATCACATAAACAGAACCAATGACAAAAACCACATGATTATCTCAGTAGATGCAGAAAAGACGTTCCATAAAATTCAACACCCCTTCATGCTAAAAATCCTCAATAAACTGGGTATGTATGAAATGTATCTCAAAAAAATAAAAGCTATTTATGACAAACTCACAGCCAATATTATACTGAATGGACAAAAGCTGGAAGCATTCCCTTTGAAAACTGGCACAACACAAGGATGCCCTCTTTCACCACTCCTATTCAACATAGTATTGGAAGTTCTGGCCAGGGCAATCAGGCAAGAAAAAGAAATAAAGGGTATTCAAATAGAAAGAAAGGAAGTCAAATTGTCTCTGTTTACATTACAGATGACAGGATTGTATATTTAGAAAACCCCATCATCTCAGCCCAGAATCTCCTTAAGCAGATAAGCAACTTCAACAAAGTCTCAGAATACAAAATCAATATGCAAAAATTACAAGCATTCCTATACACCAATAATAGACAAACAGCCAAATCATGAGTGAACCCCCATTCACAATTGCTACAAACAGAATAAAATACCTAGGAATACAACTTACAAAAGATGTGAAGGACCTCTTCAAGGAGAACTACAAACCACTGCTCAAGGAAATAAGAGAGAACACAAACAAATGGAAAAATATTCCATGCTCATGGATAGGAAAAATCAATATCCTGAAAATGGCCATAATGCCCAAAGTAATTTATAGATTCAGTGCTATCCCCATCAAGCTACCATTGACTTTCTTCACAGAATTAGAAGAAACTAATTTAAAGTTCATATGGAACCAAAAAAGAGTCCTCATAGCCAAGACAATCCTAAGCAAAAAGATCAAAGCTGGAGGCATCATGCTACCTGACTTCAAATTATACTACAAGGCTACAGTAACCAGAACAGCATGGCACTGGTGCCAAAACAGATATAAGACCAATGGAACAGAACGGATACCCCAGAAATAACATCACACATCTACAACTATCTGATCTTTGACAAACTTGACAAAAACATTCAATGGGGAAATTATTCCCTATTAATAAATGGTGTTGGGAGAACTGGCTATCCATATGCAGAAAACTGAAACTGGACACCTTCCTTACATCTTATACAAAAATCAACTGTAGATGGATTAAAGACTTAAATGTCAAACCTAAAACCATAAAAACCCTAGAAGAAAATCTAAGCAATACCATTCAGGGCATAGGCATGGGCAAAGACTTCAAGACTAAAACACCAAAAGCAATGGCAACAGAGGCAAAATTGACAAATGGGATCTAATTAAACTGAAGAGCATCTGCACAGCAAAAGAAACTATCATCAGAGTGAACACGCAACCTACAGAATGGGAGAAAAGTTTTGCAATCTATCCATCTGACAAAGGGCTAATATCCAGAATCTAGAAAGAAGTTAAACAGATTTACAAGAGAAAAACAAATATCCTCTTTAAAAAGTGGGCAGAGTATATGAACAGACACTTCTCAAAAGAAGACATTTATGTGGCCAACAAATATACGAAAAAAAGCTCATTATCACTGGTCATTAGAGAAATGTAAATCAAAACCACAATGAGATACTATTTCACATCAGTTAGAATGTCAATCATTAAAAAGTCAGGAAACAACAGATGCTGGAGAGGATGTGGAGAAATAGGCATGCTTTTACACTGTTGGTGAGAGTGTAAATTGGTTCAACCATTTTGGAAGACAGTGTGGCAATTCCTCAAGGATCTAGAACCAGATATACCATTTGACCCAGCAATCCCATTACTGGGTATATATTCAAAGGATTATAAATCATTCTACTATAAAGGTACATGCACATGTATGTTTATTGTGGCACTGTTCACAATAGCAAAGACTTGGTACCAACCCAAATGCCCATTACTGATAGACTGGATAAAGAAAATGTGGCACATATACACTATGGAATACTATGCAGCCATAAAAAGGATGAGCTCATGTTCTTTGCAGGGACATGGATGAAGATAGAAAACATCATTTTTTGCAAACTAACACAAGAACAGAAAACCAAACACCGCCTTGTTTTCACTCACAGGTGGGAGTTGAACAATGAGTACACATGAACACAGGGAGGGGAACATCACACACTGGGGCTTGTCAGAGGGTGTGGGGCTAGGGGAGGGATAACATTAGGAGAAATTCCTAACGTAGATGATAGGTTGATGGGTGCAGCAAACCACCATGGCACGTGTATACCTATGTAACAAACCTGCACGTTCTGCACATGTGTCCCAGAACTTAAAGTTATATGTATATATATACATATACATATATACATATATATATGTATATATATATATGTGAGCTGAGATCATGCCACTGCACTGTAGCCTGGGTGACAAAGTGACACTGTCTCAAAAAAAGAAAAAAAATTACAAAATTTAACACCCTTTTTATGATAGAAACACTCAACAAACTAGGAATAGAAGGAAGCTATCTCAATATAATACAAGCCTATGTGTGTATATATATATATATATATATATATATAGAGAGAGAGAGAGAGAGAGAGAGAGAGAGATAAATGAAAATAAAGAAAACAAGCCAGGTGCAGTGACTCATGCCTGTAATCCCAGCACTTTGGGAGTCCAAGGCAGGTGGTTTGCTTAAGCCCAGGAGTTCAAGACCAGCCTGGGCAACGTGACAAAAGGCCTTCTCTACAAAAACATACAAAAATTAGTTGGGTGTGGTGGAACATGCCTGTAGTCCCAGCTAGTTGGAAGGCTGAGGCGGCATGATCACCAAAGCCCAGTGAGTTTGAGGCTGCAGTGAGCAGTGATTGCACCACTGCACTCCAGTTTGGAAAGAAAAGAAAGGAAGGAAGGAAGGAAGGAAGGAAGGAAGGAAGGAAGGAAGGAAGGAAGGAAGGAAGGAAGGGAGAGAGAGAGAGAGAGAGAAAGAAAAGAAAAGAGAAAAGAAAAGAAAGAGAGAGAAGAAGGAAGGAAGGGAGGGAGGGAGGGAGAGAGGGAGGGAGGAAAGAAGGAAGGACCAAAACTTATGTAACACAGCAAAAACAGTGCTAAAAGAGGAATTTATGACTATAAATGCTTACATTAAAAAAGAAAGATCTGAAATAAAAAACCTAACTTTACAATTTAAGAGACCAGAAAAAGAAGAAAAAGTAAACTCAAAGCTATCAGAAGGAAGGTAATAATAAAGAATAGAGCATAGATAAACAAAATAGAGAATGGAAAAATAATTGAAAATCAACAAAACTGAAAGTTGGCTCTTTAAAAAAAAAAAAAAGACAAAACTTTCACTGTATGGACTAGAAAAAAAAAGTAAGCCAAAATTACTAAAATAAGAAATGATAGAAAGGAGATTACTATTCATTCTACAGAAATAAAATGGAATATGAGAGTACTATGGACAACTGTATGAGAACAAATTGGATAACCTAAATGAAATGAACAAGTCCCTGGAAACAAAACCTACCAACTAAGCAATGAAGAAACAAAAAAATCTGAATAGCTCTATAAATAGTAAGAAAATTGAATCAGTAATCAATTACCTCTTAACAAAGAAAGGTCATGAACCTAATGGCTTCACTGGTAAATTATAGCAAACATTAAAGAACTGATGCCAGTCTTTCTCAAGATTTTTCAAAAAAATTGAAGAGAAGAAAATAATCCTCTTTTTAAGAGGCCAGCATTAATCTAACACCAAAGCCAGACAAAGACACTATAAGAAAACTACAGATATCCCATGTAAACATTGATGCAAAAATCACCAACAAAATGCTAGCAAACCAAATTGAGCATATTAAAAGGATTGTACACTCTAATCAAGCGAAATTTATTTCTTGAACGAAAGGATGGTTCAACATATGAAAATTGATCAGTGTAATAATCACATCAACAAAAAGAAGGGAAAAAAACACATAATCTCAAAGCAGAAAAATTACAAAATTGGCCAGGTGCAGTAGTTCACGCCTGTAATCCCAGCACTTTGGGAGGCCGAAACAGGTGGATCACGAAGTCAGGAGATCAAGACCATCCTGGCTAACATGGTGAAACCCCGTCTCTACAAAAATTACAAAAAATTTCCCCGGGCGTGCTGGCGGGCGCCTGTAGTCCCAGCTACTCTGGAGGCTGAGGCAGGAGAATGGTGTGAACCTGGGAGGCGGAGCTTGCAGTGAGCCGAGATCACACCACTGCACTGTAGCCTGGGCGACAAAGTGACACTCTGTCTCAAAAAAAGAAAGAAAATTACAAAATTTAACACCCTTTTTATGATAGAAACACTCAACAAACTAGGAATAGAAGGAAGCTATCTCAATATAATACAAGCCTATGTTAAAAACATACAGCAAAGCAAGGGTGTCACTTTCACCACTTCTTCAACATAACAATGGAAGTCCTAGCCAGAGCAAGTAAGCAAGATAAATAAAAGTCATCCAAATCAGAAAGGAAACAAAATTATCTCTGTTCATGGATGATAGAATCTTACATGTAGAAAGACCCAAAGATTCAACAAAAAAATTTTAGAACTAATTAAATTAATTCAGCAAAGTAGTAGAATACAGAGAGAACACACCAAAATCTGTGTGTTACAAATTCTATACAGTAACAATGAACAATTTGAAAAGGAAATTAAGAAAACAATTCTATTTCCAGTAGCATCAAAAAGAATAAAGTACTTCAAAATTAACTTAACCAAGAAAGTCAAGGACTGTAAAATATTTCCAAAGAAATTAAAGGAAATATAAATAAATGGAACAACATCCTATGTTCATGAATTGGAAGACTAAATATTGTTAAGATCTCAATACTACCATAGCAATCTACAATTTTAGTACAATCTCTATCAAAATCCCAATGACTTTTTGGCAGAAATAGAAAAATCCATTCTAAAATTTATGAATAATTTCAAGGGGCTGTGAATAGCCTAAACAATCATGTAGAAGAACAAACCCAGAGGATTTACCTGAGTTCAAAACTTACTACAAAGCTACGGTAATTAAAAGTGTATGTCTACCAATGGGTCAGTAAAAAAAGAAAAGAAAAAGAAAAAAGAAACAATGTAATATTGGCATAAAGATAGATATGTAGACCAATCAAATAGAAGAGGATACCCAGAAATAAACTCTCACATTTAAGGTCTAATGATTTTCACAAGGGTGCCAAGACCATTCAAGAGAGAAAAGACATTCTTTTCAACAAACGCTGCTTAGAAAACTGGATATCCACTTGCAAAAGAATGAGGTTGCACTTTTACCTAATATCATATACAAAAAATAACTCAAAATTGATCAAAGACTGAAATGTAACACCTAAAACTATAAACTCTTAGAAAAAACCATAAGACAAAAGCTTCATGGCATTGGATTTGGCAACAATTTCTTGGATATGACACCAAAAGCACAGGAAACTAAAGAAAAAATAGGCAAAACTCTTGAACTTTTTTTTCAATTTTAGGACTACATTTTAATAGAATGTGAATCTAAACTCCACATTTACAACAAGAAAACCCTTAAAATTATTGATTGATTCAAAATGCTTTTATGGAAAAAATGATTTGTAACAAAAACTCGGTACTGGGTGCAAAGGCTCCACAGGTTTTTTTGTGCTTTGGGGTTTTTAGTTGTTGTTTTGTTTTGTTTTTTATTTTGTTTTGTTTTGCTGTTTTTTAACAAAAGTTCCAGTGACAGGACCAAGAACAAGGGGCTCGGATATCGACAAGAGCAGGCATTTTCTCTTCCTCTACTTCAAGGGAGGTCAGGAGAAAACGGCTTGCATAGCTTCGTCAAACACTATTTTGAGGCCTGGTTGAACACTCCAGGTATTTTACAGTACCTAAACCCTGCCGTTAGGTGATGGAAGTCTGCTTCTTCTTCTTCAGTGTTTCAGTCTTGTATTTCTCTCACTAAGATCAAGTTTAGTTCCCACAAGGATGATGGGAGTGTTGTGACAATGGTGCTGCACTTCAGGACACCACTTGGCATGGACATTTTCTAATGACGCAGGACTCACAAGGGAAAAGCAAATTAAGAATTCATCTGTTTGTGGATAGGAACGGGGGTGGGGGTCATAATCTGTCCACCTGTGTAATCTTCTTGTCCACTTGTATCTCATACACCCAGATTCACCGGTTTCCCATTTAACATAACACTGGCATAGTGATTGTCAAAGACAATAGGGATATATTCTCCAGGTTGTATAGCTGATCACTGATGAGTTGGTAAGTTTTCCCTACAGCTCCATCTCCCACCACCACATACTTGATGGCCTACATCTCGGCCGCTGGTTGGGCTGCCTACGGCAGAAATAGTGGGCTCAGGGTGCTGCGGGTGGGGCACAGATGCAGGCTACCAGCACTGGATGCCTGGCCACTATTGGCAATGCCTCACCCTCCACCAGCTGGAAGCAGAAGCCCAGCAGCTTCCGTCAGACAAAGCTGAGGGAAACTGCCCAAGAATAATTTTAAATGTCTTTAAATCAAAAGACTATATTAACAAAGTAAAAGGGCAATGTACACAATGAGAGGAAATATTTGCAACTCGTGTATCTAATATGAGATTAATATCCAGAATATATAGAGAACTCCTAAAACTCAACAGCAATAAAAGAAAACAAATAACCTTATTCAAAAATAGACAAAGGATTTGCATGGACATTTCTCCAAAGGAGACACACAAATAGCAAAGATATTCAACGTCATTAATCATTAGGGAAATGCAAGTCAAAACTGCAAGATAACACTTCACTTCCATTAGGGTTGTTAATATTAAAAAGAAAAAGAAAATAACAAATATTAGTAAGGAAGTGGAAAAGTTGAAACCCTTGTGCGCTGCTGCTCAGAAAGTAAAATAGTACAGCCACTGTGGAAAACAGCATGGCAATAACTTTGAAAAATCAAAAACAGAGTTACCATGTAATCCAGTGAATCCATTTCTGGCTATATACTCAAAAAAATGAAAGCAGGGACTTTGAGAGATATTTGTACCCCCATGTTAATAGCAGCATTATTCTAAATAGCTAAAACATAGAAATGACCCAAGTGTTTATTGAGTACTAAATGGATAAGCAAAATGTGGTACATGCATACAATTGAATATTATTCAGCCTCAAGGAGGTAAATGCTAATACATGCTACAACTTGGATGCACCTTGAGGACATTATGCTATGTGAAATAAGCCAGATACAAAGAGACAAATACTTTATGATTCCCCTTATAGGAGGTGTCTAGAGTAGTCAAATTCATAGATACAGAAAAAATAGTAGTTGCCATGAGGCAGAAATTTAAAATAATAATAATAATAAGTACTGCATTTATTCACTCCAAGAAAAGTAAAAGCTAAGGCCCAGAATGTGGCAAGGCAAAGGTTAAAAAAAAAGAACAAGTTTTCCTTCACCTAGCAGCTCATTTCAAGGACAGTTAGATGATAACTCTGTTGGAATAGCCAAGGCCAAAAAAATAGGCTGCAGACACACCCCCTCCCTTCCAGAGCAAGGCTGAAAGAAAATAAAGAGAAAGGTTCTTTTATGGTACTCTTTTTCCAGGCTTCTTAAGCATGAATAGCATGATTAGGTTTTACAAATATCTGTATTTAGCCAGCTCTTGTTTTTCTTTTAATGCAGCTACAAGGCCACAGGCTAGGTCACAAGTTAATGTTATGCTATAGATTATGTGACCTATTACTGTATGATTAACTGCTTTTATTTTGCTACTGCTTTTATTTTGCTTCTGTAAGGCTGCTTATAAAAACCCCACTCTGTCTTTGTTCAGGGATCAGCTTTTGGACGTGAATCCTCTGAGCCAGTGTGTGCCTAAAATAAACAAATCCTCCTGTACTCGGTATTGGTCTCACCATTCCTCAGTTTACAACATTTTTGGTGACCACGAAGTGAATGGAGACAGCAGGCTTACTGTCTCCTTTGCCTCTGGGGTTGGAGCACGGGCCTCAGGAAACCTGTGACCCCAGGCACCACCGGGAGGACTTCAGCCCAGAAGGGAGATCAGCTCTCCCCTGACCCAGTGCCCCTACCCAGCAGCACCATGGAACCTAAAGAGAGACTACAGGATGAATTCAAAAACAGCGTGCTTCAGGAACTGCGGTAAGGTTTTGGAGGCCTAAGGCAGGACCCATCCCTTGGACAGAAGGGGAGCCTGATCACCTCCTGGGGTGTGCTGAATAGTTTGACCCACAGGGGCTGGGGGTGATGAGAGTGACTCACCAATTCAGATGAAACTCACACCCCACCGACACAGGACACGAGAGTGGCTCACTAAGTCAGCTAGTAATCTGGAGGTGGTGAGAGTGGCGTGCCACCCCAACTGGGAACTAGAGGTGGCAAGAGTGGCTCTCCACCCCAACTGGGAACTGGAGGTGGCAAGAGTGGCTTGCCACCCCAACTGCAAAACTAGAGGGGGCAAGAGTGGCTCACCACCCCGATTGCAAACATGAGAACTAAAAGTGTGTGAAAGTGTGTGAATGCAGGGACCTAATTAGGCTCATCAGCTGCAAAGTGGGGAGTCACAGATCTTAATGTGGACTGTGTGCTCCAAGAAAGTGTGGGGCTGACTAAGACTAGTGGAAATCTGCATACAGCTAATAGGAGCTGCCCTACAGGTCAGAGTTGTAGTAGGAATAAGAACCTCTCCAAAGTCAAGCAGCATCTGAAAAATCCCATAATAGGAGACGGTGTAACCGGCCAAAACGAGAGGGTGAGTGTGCAAGAGTGAATGTGCTGTGTCGTAAAAGGAGGAATGGGAGGAAAGTCATCAAAACATCAAAACTTACTCTACTAGAGTGCATGTTACGGAACCTTAAGAAAGGTTTTGCAGGGGATTATACAGTTAAGTTAACCCCTAAGAGGTTGAGAACTCTCTGTGAATTAGAATGGCCCACTTTTGGTGTTGGATGGCCGACCGAAGGAACTATAGACAAGGAACAATTGGCCATGTATTTAAGGTGGTGGCAGGGGTCAGAGGACAGCCAGTGTACCCAGATAAATTCCTTTATGTTGACTCATGGTTAAATACAATACAGACAAAACTGGCATAGATCCAGCCCTGTTTAATGGCTTATAGCAAAAAAGCCAAAAGTGAAAGTAAGAGCAGCTTTGCCAGCAGACACAGAGTTAAAGGGAGAATCCTAGAGAGAGCAAGAGAAGCCAGTTTTACAGGAGCCTCCAGAGGTAACAGAAATTCTTTCTCCATACGTCCCAGCCTACCCCCCTTTTACCAAGACCAACAGCCCCCCAGGAAACAGATTCAGGAGCTAACACCCCCCAGATCTCACCTCGAAAGGGAGGATCAGAGCCCCGAGAGGCCACGGAAAGAAGTCAAGAGAGTCAAGTGGGCCGTCTCAGATCTGGCTGTGCTCAAGCTATGCAAATGCCTCTCAGGAAGATGCAAGGACTTATCTGTTATGATGACCAGGATCCCACCTGGGACCCAGAGGATGCAACTCAGCTCCAGCATTTGCAGAGTTAGCTAGAGGCACTTCTGCAGGGGCTAAGAGTTGGTAGAAGGAAAGCAATTAATATAAGGAAGATTTCAGAAGTGCTTCAGGGAGCTGACGAGAGCCTAAGTCAGTTTTATGAGGTATTCTGTGAAGCATTCTGGCTTTACACCCCATTTAACTCTGCTGAACATCAGCATATGGTAAATACTTCATTTGTAGGGCAAGCCCAGGGTGACATCAAGCAGAAGTTGCAGGCATGAATACCACCCAGTCTATAAAAGTGGCCACAAAGGTGTATGTTAACTGTGACCAGGGAACAAAATGGGAAAGAGCAAAAGCAACAAGCACAGCAGCTAGGCATGCCAAGGGTTAAGTCCCTCTCCCCAGCCCAGCTTTATCTGGAAAAAGAGGGGCCTGGGAACCGACGCCAGGAGAAGAGCAAGGAAGAAGGAAAGGAGAAAGTAAGAGTAAGTGTGAGAAAGGAAAGAAGAAAGTAAAAGGGAAATCAGAAAGAAACAGGAGAGACAGATGGCAGTGTGCAGGGGCAGGGCCCGTGCCAATGCCCAGCCCCACTGGCTGGCTGCAGGAGCAGGAGAACTCAGGAAGGAAAAAGGAAAGTAAATTGAAGGCTTAAGAAAAAGGTCAATTGTTGGCAACAGCTATTATAGAAAGAGAGATTAGCAATGTGAAAGAACACAGTGGACACAGACATAGAGGTGGAAGAAGTCAAGTTAGGCAAGGATTCAAGAGCAGGACAAGGCTAGAAAGAGATTAATGTGTGAGATGAAAAAAGAAAGGACACTGGAAGGATGAATGTTCAGAAGGCAATGAGGGAAATGGCCAAGGCCACGAGACAAAGAGGCCATTGGCCAAGGGCTGCCACACCTTGGAGAAACCAAATACTGATCTGATCAGGCTGGCAGAAGCTGAAGGATGTAAGGACTTGGACAGACCGAGCACCTTCTCATTAGGCTTTCAGGAGCCCACAGTCACATTAGAAGTTAAAAGCAGCAGGATTCTGCTATATCTGGATTCCAGTTTCTCACTGATGGCTAAGCCACTAGATGGAGTTACAAAAGAGGAGAAAAAGAACCCCTCCTCTGGGAAACTGAACAGGAGGAGGAGCCATGCCTTGTGAAAACTTGCTTATAGACTTTACAGAACTGCCCCGTGCCAGCTACTGGTACATGCTAGTGCTTGATTGCACCTTTTCAGGGCAGGTTGAAGCTTTCCCCACCAGGACAGAAAAAGTACAAGAAGTGACTAAAGTACGGTTAAAAAACATTATCCCCAGGTTTGGACTGCCTCTAACTTTATATTCAGACAATGGGCCAGCATTTGTAGCTGAAATAGTGCAAAATTTAACAAGACTGTTAAAAATAAAATGAAAGTTACATACAGCGTATCAGCTGCAAAGTTCAGGAAAAGGTAGAACGTATGAACTGGACACTCAAGCAGCTACTGAAGAAATATTGCCAGGAAATTCATTAGAGATAGCATCAGGTTTTTGCCTATGGTCCTCCTCCGAGTCAGGTGCACCCCCACCAAATAAACTGGGTATTTGCTCTATAAGATTTTGTTTGGTCAGCCACCCCCAAATCATAGCTCAAATTAAAGGTGACCCCCAGGAACTAGGGAAATTAGCCTTAAGAAAGCAAATGCAGGCTTTAGGAATAACCATACAAAGTGTTCATAATTAGGTACATGAAAATGCGTGTAAGCCTCACATCCCTTTAAATCTGGTGACTCTGTTCAGGTTAAAAAGTAGAATCTAATTTCTCTACAATCCACATAGGATGGGCCCTATATTTTAACCTTGTCCACTCCCCACTCCCACTGCTGTTAAAGTTGCAGGTGTTGTGTCTTGGATCCACCACAGTCAGCTAAAACCAGCAGCTCAGGACAAGTGAACCAGCTAGCAGGACCCAGATCACCCAACCTGGCTGATCCTGAGATGAGACCAAGCTGCTGCTGAGGGTGAAAGCCCTGCTCTGGTCACTCCGGAGGCTGACCAGTCTATACACAGCTGAAACTTAAGGAAACAACAAGCTCTGTTGTAGACACACACCAGAAGCTGACTAGTCTATGCACAGCCGAAGCTTAAGGACTCATCAAGCAAGTAATGTAGTTAGAAATCTTCTTAGGACTAGTGGTATTCCCGTATACTAACTGTTTTACTAATGTTCTGTCACTATGCTCAACCTTTATCCCAGGTAAGGACCTCTTTTGTCCTTGCTGGATATGAATATAGTGTACATTGTTTTGTCATTGTCACCCCACTTAACCATGCTAGAAGAAACACCTACAGAAGGGTGTCCCCAACAGAATCAGGGGGATGGAGCCAAGATGGTCGAATAGGAACAGCTCCAGTCTACAGCTCCCAGCATGAGCGATGCAGAAAACGGGTGAGTTCTGCATTTCCATCTGAAGTACTGGGTTCATCTCACTAGGGAGTGCCAGACAGTGGGCGCAGGACAGTGGGTGCAGTGCAGCACGTGCGAGCTGAAGGAGGGCGAGGCATTGCCTCACTCGGGAAGTGCAAGGGGTCAGGGAGTTCCCTTTCCTAGTCAAAGAAAGGGGTGACAGACAGCACCTGGAAAATCAGGTCACTCCCACCCCAATACTGCCCTTTTCCGATGGGCTTATAAAACGGCGCACCAGGAGATTATATCCCGCAACTGGCTTAGAGGGTCCTATGCCCACAGAGTCTCGCTGATTGCTAGCACAGCAGTCTGAGATCAAACTGCAAGGTGGCAGTGAGGCCGGGGGAGAGGTGCCCGCCATTGCCCAGGCTTGCTTAGGTAAACAAAGCAGCTGGGAAGCTCGAACTGGGTGGAGCCCACCACAGCTCAAGGAGGCCTGCCTGCATCTGTAGGCTGCACCTCTGGGGGCAGGGCACAAACAAAAAGACAGCAGTAACCGCCGCAGACTTAAATGTCCCTGTCTGACAGCTTTGAACAGAGCAGTGGTTTTCCCAGCACGCAGCTGGAGATCTGAGAATGGGCAGACTGCCTCCTTAAGTGGGTCCCTGACCCCTGACCCCCGAGCAGCCTAAATGGGAGGCACCCCCCAGTAGGGGCAGACTGACACCTCACACGGCCGGGTACTCCTCCGAGACAAAATTTCCAGAGGAACAATCAAACAGCAGCATTCTCGGTTCACGAAAATCTGCTGTTCTGCAGCCACCTCTGCTGGTACCCAGGCAAACAGGGTCTAGAGTGGACCTCTAGAAAACGCCAACAGACCTGCAGCTGGGGGTCCTGTCTGTTAGAAGGAAAAATAAGAAACAGAAAGGACATCCACACTAAAAACCCATCTGCACATCACCATCATCAAAGACCAAAACTAGACAAAACCACAAAGATGGGGAAAAAACAGAGCAGAAAAACTGGAAACTCTAAAAAGCAGAGTGCCTCTCCTCCTCCAAAGGAACGAAGCTCCTCACCAGCAACGGAACAAAGCTGGATGGAGAATGACTTTGACGAGTTGAGAGAAGAAGGCTTCAGACAATCAAACTACTCTCAGCTACAAGAGGAAATTCAAACCAAAGGCAAAGAAGTTGAAAACATTGAAAAAATTTAGAAGAACTTATAACTACAATAACCAATACAGAGAAGGACTTAAAGGAGCTGATGGAGCTGAAAGCCAAGGCTCGAGAACTACGTGAAGAATGCTGAAGCCTCAGGAGCCAATGCGATCAACTGGAAGAAAGCATATCAGTGATGGAAGATGAAATGAAGTGAGAAGGGAAGTTTAGAGAAAAAAGAATTAAAAAAATGAACAAAGCCTCCAAGAAATAGGGGACTACGTGAAAAGACCAAATCTACGTCTGACTGGTGTACCTGAAAGTGACAGGGAGAATGGAACCAAGTTGGAAAACACTCTGCAGGATATTATCCAGGAGAACTTCCCCAATCTAGCAAGGCAGGCCAACGTTTAGATTCAGGAAATACGGAGAACGCCACAAAGATACTCCTCGAAAAGAGCAACACCAAGACACATAATTGTCAGATTCACCAAAGTTGAAATGAAGGAAAAAATATTAAGGGCAGCCAGAGAGAAAGGTCGGGTTACCCACAAAGGGAAATCCATCAGACTAAGAGCGGATCTCTCGGCAGAAACTCTACAAACCAGAAGAGAGTGGGGGCCAATATTCAACATTCTTAATCAAAAGAATTTTCAACCCAGAATGTCATATCCAGCCAAACTCAGCTTCATAAGTGAAAGAGAAATAAAATACTTTACAGACAAGCAAATGCTGAGAGATTTTGTCACAACCAGGCCTGCCCTAAAAGAGCTCCTGAAGGAAGCACTAAACATGGAAAGGAACAACCAGCACCAGCCACTGGAAAATCATAGCAAATTGTAAAGACCAGCGAGGCTAGGAAGAAACTGCATCAATTATTGAGCAAAATAACCAGCTAACATCATAATGACAGGATCAAATTCATACATAACAATATTAACTTTAAATGTAAATGGACTAAAGGCTCCAATTAAAAGACACAGAATGGCAAATTGGATAAAGAATCAAGACCCATCAGTGTGCTGTATTCAGGAAACCCATCTCACATGCAGAGACACACATAGGCTCAAAATAAAAGTATGGAGGCAGATCTACCAAGCAAATCGAAAACAAAAAAAGGCAGGGGTTGCAATCCTACTCTCGGATAAAACAGACTTTAAACCAACAAAGATCAAAAGAGACAAAGAAGGCCATTACATAATGGTAAAGGGATCAATTCAACAAGAAGAGCTAACTATCCTAAATATATATGCAGCCAATACAGGAGCACCCAGATTCATAAAGCAAGTCCTGAGTGACCTACAAAGAGACTTAGACTCCCACACAATAATATTGGGAGACTTTAACACCCCACTGTCAGCATTAGACAGAACAACGAGACAGAAAGTTAACAAGGATACCCAGGAATTCAATGCAGCTCTGCACCAAGCAGACCTAATAGACATCAACAGAACTCTCCACCCCAAATCAACAGAATATACATTTTTTTCAGCACCACATCACACCTATTCCAAAATTGACCACATAGTTGGAAGTAAAGCACTCCTCAGCAAATGTAAAAGATCAGAAATTATAACAAACCGTCTCTCAGACCACAGTGCAATCAAACTAGAACTCAGGATTAAGAAACTCACTCAAAACCGCTCAACTACATGGAAACTGAACAACCTGCACCTGAATGACTACTGGGTATATAACGAAATGAAGGCAAAAATACAGATGTTCTTTGAAACCAACGAGAACAAAGACACAACATACCAGAATCTCTGGGACACATTCAAAGCAGTGTGTAGAGGGAAATTTATAGCACTAAATGCCCACAAGAGAAAGCAGGAAAGATCCAAAATTGACACCCTAACATCACAATTAAAAGAACTAGAAAAGCAAGAGCAAACACAATCCGAAGCTAGCAGAAGGCAAGAAATAACTAAAATCAGAGCAGAACTGAAGGACATAGAAACACAAAAAAACTCTTCAAAAAATTAATGAATCCAGCAGCTGGTTTTGTGAAAGTATCAACAAAATTGATAGACTGCTAGCAAGACAAATAAAGAAGAAAAGAGAGAAGAATCAAATACACGCAATAAAAAATGATAAAGGGGATATCACCACCAATCCCCCAGAAATACAAACTACCATCAGAGAATAATATAAAGACCTCTACTCAAATAAACTAGAAAATCTAGAAGAAATGGATAAATTCCTCGACACATACAACCTCCCAAGACTAAATCAGGAAGAAGTTGAATCTCTGAAAAGACCAATAATGGGATCTGAAATTGTGGCAATAATCAATAGCTTACCAACCAAAAAGAATCCAGGACCAGATGGATTCACAGCCGAATTCTACGAGAGGTACAAGGAGGAACTGGTACCATTCCTTCTGAAACTATTCCACTGAATAGAAAAAGAGGGAATCCTCCCTAACTCATTTTATGAGGCCAGCATCATCCTGATACCAAAGCCTGGCAGAGACACAACCAAAAAAGGGAATTTTAGACCAATATCCTTGATGAACATTGATGCAAAAATCCTCAATAAAATACTGGCAAACCAAATCTAGCAGCACATCAAAAAGCTTATCCACCATGATCAAGTGGGCTTCATCCCTGGGATGCAAGGCTGGTTCAATATAGGCAAATCAACAAATGTAATCCAGCATATAAACAGAACCAAAGATGAAAACCACATGATTATCTCAATAGAAGAAGAAAAGGCCTTTGACAAAATTCAGCAACCCTTCATGCTAAAGACTCTCAATAAACTAAGCATTGATGGAACATATCTGAAAATAATAAGAGCTATCTATGACAAACCCACAGCCAATGTCATACTGAATGGGCAAAAACTGGAAGCATTCCCTTTGAAAACTGGCACAAGGCAGGGATGCCCTCTCTCACCACTCCTATTCAACATAGTGTTGGAAGTTCTGGCCAGGGCAATTAGGCAGGAGAAGGAAATAAAGGGTATTCAATTAGGAAAAGGGGAAGTCAAATTGTCCCTGTTTGCAGATGACATGATTGTATATCTAGAAAACCCCATTGTCTCAGCCCAAAATCTCCTTAAGCTGCTAAGCAACTTCAGCAAAGTCTCAGGATACAAAATCAATGTACAAAAATCACAAGCATTCTTATACACCAATAACAGACAAACAAAGAGCCAAATCATGAGTGAAATTCCATTCACAATTGCTTCAAAGAAAATAAAATACCTAGGAATCCAACTTACAAGGGATGTGAAGGACCTCTCCAAGGAGAACTACAGACTACTGCTCAATGAAATAAAAGAGGAGACAAACAAATGGAAGAACATTCCATGCTCATGGGTAGGAAGAATCAATATCGTGAAAATGGCCATACTGCCCAAGGTACTTTACAGATTCAATGCCATCCCCATCAAGCTACCAATGACTTTCTTCACAGAATTGGAAAAAACTACTTAAAAGTTCATATGGAACCAAAAAAGAGCCCGCATCACCAAGTCACTCCTAAGCCAAAAGAAAAAAGCTGGAGGCATCATGCTACCTGACTTCGAACTATACTACAAGACTACAGTAACCAAAACAGCATGGTACTGGTACCAAAACAGAGCTATAGATCAATGGAACAGAACAGAGACCTCAGAAATAATGCTGCATGTCTACAACTATCTGATCTTTGACAAACCTGAGAAAAACAAGCAATCGGGAAAGGATTCCCTATTTAATAAATGGTGCTGGGAAAACTGGCTAGCCATACGTAGAAAGCTGAAACTGGATCCCTTCCTTACACCTTATACAAAAATTAATTCAAGATGGATTAAACACTTAAACATTAGACCTAAAACCATAAAAACCCTAGAAGAAAACCTAGGCATTACCATTCAGGACATAGGCATGGGCAAGGACTTCATGTCTAAAACACCAAAAGCAATGGCAACAAAAGCCAAAATTGACAAATGGGATCTCATTAAACTAAAGAGCTTCTGCACAGCAAAAGAAACTACCATCAGAGTCAACAGGAAACCTACAAAATGGGAGAAAATTTTTGCAACCTACTCATCTGACAAAGGGCTAATATCCAGAATCTACAATGAACTCCAACAAATTTACAAGAAAAAAACAAACAACCCCATCAAAAAGTAGGTGAAGGACATGAACAGACACTTCTCAAAAGAAGACATTTATGCAGCCAAAAGACACATGAAAAAATGCTCACCATCACTGGCCATCAGAGAAATGCAAATCAAAGCCACAATGAGATACCATCTCACACCAGTTACAATGGCAATCATTAAAAAGTCAGGAAACAACAGGTGCTGGAGAGGATATGGAGAAATAGGAACACTTTTACACTGTTGGTGGGACTGTAAACTAGTTCAACCATTGTGGAAGTCAGTGTGGTGATTGCTCAAGGATCTAGAACTAGAAATACCATTTGACCCAGCCATCCCATTACTGGGTATATACCCAAAGGACTATAAATCATGCTGCTATAAAGACACATGCACATGTATGTTTATTGTGGCACTATTCACAATAGCAAATACTTGGAACCAACCCAAAAGTCCATCAATGATAGACTGGATTAAGAAAATGTGGCACATATACACCATGGAATACTATGCAGCCATAAAAAATAATGAGTTCATGTCCTTTGTAGGGACATGGATGAAATTGGAAATCATCATTCTCAGTAAACTATCGCAAGAACAAAAAACCAAACACCGTATATTCTCACTCATAGGTGGGAATTGAACAATGAGAACACATGGACACAGGAAGGGGAACATCACACTCTGGGGACTGTTGTGGGGTGGGGGGAGGGGTGAGGGATAGCTTTAGGAGATATACCTAATGCTAAATGACGAGTTAATGGGTGCAGCACACCAGCATGACACATGTATACATATGTAACTAACCTGCACATTGTGCACATGTATCCTAAAACTTAAAGTATAATAATAATAATAGTAATATAAAACCATTAAATAAAAAAAAGAAAAAGAGGAAAAAAGAAAAAAAAAAGAAGGGTGTCCCCACTGTAACATACTACTTGGTCAGGGAACAATATAACTAGAACCCTATTGTACTATACTTATTATGAGTGTACAAGGACTCACTTAGGAGCTTGTACTTATAATCAGACCACCTATTCAATTTGTGACCCAGGAAATGGCCAGCCTTATATATGTTATGACCCTAAGTCTTTACCTGGGACTTAATTTGAGATTCATACCAAGTCAAAAGAAGGAAGTCTTGTAAGTCAAACCCAAGCCTCTCTTTCCAGAGTGGGGAGCTATATCCATATACTTTGATATTTGTCAGTTAACATCCATGAACCAAACGCATCTCACAATCTCTGGTCCTACAAGGTATTATACAAATTGCCAGTACAAAATTGTATGTGCACCCCCTGTTTATCCTTCCAAGGCCCTAGCAATAGCTTACCCGAACTGCACAACGCAGTTCACTGACACATCATCACCAAGGCCAAGCCAATCTTGCTCATCAGAGTAGCAGCAAAACCGAATTGTAAGACAAGCACTTGCAATCCTGTAAATCTTACTATCTTAAAGCCAGATGTACCTATATGGACTACAGGTTACTTCATGGCATTACAAAGCTATGGTCAAAAAGCTAAAATAACTATATATTCTAAACAGGACTCAAACCAACCAGTCAGCCCAGCAACAATTATGGGTCTTTAAGTCATTCTTTGAGCATATAAACCAGAAGTTACCAGAGCCTCCTCCTTTAGCCAAAAACCTATTTATTCAGCTGGTTGAAAACATTGTCAGCAGCCTAGGCATTTGCTCATGTTATGTTTGTGGAAGGACTAACATAGGAGACCAATGGCCTTGGGAAGCAAAAAAGTTAATGCCTCAAGATAACTTTACTCTGAGTGACTCTTTCCCCAAACAGATGCCCACAAGTTCAAGCGTCTGGCTCTTAAAAACTTCTATTATTAGAAGATACTTTGTTGCTCGCTGAGGAAAGGCTTTTACAGACCCAGTAGGAGAAATAACCTGCTTAGGATGGCAATATTACAATGAAACATTAAGGAAAACTTTGTGGCAGGGCACAGATGACTACAGAGCACCTTATCCAAATCTGTTCTCCCGTTTCTCTTCTCTAAACCACACTTGGTATCAACTTGAATCTCCAAATACTTGGCAAGCAACCCCCAGTCTTTATTGGATCTGTGGGCTATGGGCATATCAACAGTTGCCAGTTAAATGGGCAGGGGCCTGTGTGCTTAGAACAATTAGACCATCTTTATTCCTACTCCCACTGCAATAGAGAAAAACTTTAGGGGATCCTGTGTATGATGAACTTAGAAGAAGAAACAAAAGAGATGCAGACATAAAGAGAGATATAAAAATAGGATATTAAAAAGACACAGATGAGCCCCCTGAAAAAATAATTCAATACTATGGGCCAGCTACCTGGGCACAAGATGGATCATAGGGATACCGCACTCCTATTTACATGCTTCACCACGTCATAAGGTTGCAGGCAGTACTTGAAATAATCACTAATGAAGCAGCAAATGCATTAGATTTACTGGCCCAGCAAACCACAAAAATGAGAAACACTATCTATCAGAACAGATTAGCTTTATAGACTACATCCTAGCCCAGGAAGGAGGAGTATGTGGAAAGTTCAATCTAACTAATTGTTGTCTGGAAATCAATGACAATGGAAAAGCAATTATGTAAATAACTGCAAGAATGAGAAAATTAGCCCATGTTCCAGTTCAAACCTGGAAAATGTGGTCCCCAGATTCTCTCTTTGTAGGCCAGTTTTCATTTTTCAGAAGGTCCAAGACTTTAATAGGAGTGGTTCTGGCCATACTAGGAAGTTGCCTAATACTCCCTTGTCTCTTCCTTCTCTTTGTTAGAAGCATTCAATCAACTATAGAGACAATAGTAGCTAGGCAAACTACCACTCAGCTAATGGCTCTGCTTAAATATCAACCTTTGTCTAAAGAAGAAAACTTGTCTCTTCAGGCAGAACTAAGTAATAGTGATACCTCCTATTAAACTTCTTTTATAAAAGGCACCAAAGAGGGGAAACTGAGGCAGATATTTAAAATAATAATAAGTACTGCATTTATTCACTCCAAGAAAAGTAAAAGCTAAGGCCCAGAATGTGGCAAAGCAAAGGTTAAAAAGAAAAGAACAAGTTTTTCTCTGCCTAGCAGCTCACTTCAAGGACAGTTAGAAGATAATGCAGTCCAAATAGCCAAGGCCAAAAAAGTAGGCTCCAGACACACTCCTCCCTTCCAGAGCAAGGTTGAAAGAAAATAAAGAGAAAGACAGGTTCTTTTACTGTTACTCTTTTCCCAGGCTTCTTAAGCATGATTAGCATGATTATGTTTTACAAATGTCTGTATTTAGCCAGTTCTTGTTTTTCTTTTAATGCAGCTACAAGGCCACAGTCTAGGTCACAAGTTAATGTTATGCTATAGATTATGTGACCTATTACTGTATGATTAACTGCTTTTATTTTGCTACTGCTTTTATTTTGCTTCTGTAAGGCCGCTTATAAAAACCCCACTCTGTCTTTGTTCAGGGATCAGCTTTTGGATGTGAATCCTCTGAGCTGATGCATACCTAAAATAAACAAATCCTCCTATACTCTGTATTGGTCTCTCTATTCCTCAGTTTACCACAACAGCCATGACCTGGGGGAAGGGTAAATGGGGAGTTATTGTTAAATAAATGTATTGTTTTAGTTTTGTAAGATGAAAAGCATTCTGGAAATGGATCATGGTGATGAAGGTTGTACAAAAATATGAATGTACTTAATACCACCGAATGTACACTTAAAATGATTAACAAAATACATACTGTGTAATACATATTTTACCACAACAAAAACTTGGAAACAAAGGTGGCTGGCAAGATGGCCAACTAGGAACAGCTCCAGTCTGCAGCTCCCAGTGAGATCAATGCAGAAGGTGGGTGACTTCTGCATTTCCAACGGAGAAATCCAGCTCATCTCATTGCGACTGGTTAGACAATGGGTGCAGCCCACGGAGGGTGAGCAGAAACAGGGTGGGTTGTCACCTCACCCAGGAAGCACAAGTGGTTGGGGAACTCCCTCCCTTAGCCAAGGGGAGCTGTCAGGGACTGTACCACGAGGAACGGTGCACTCTGGCCCAGATACTACAATTTTCCCATGATCTTTGCAACCCGTAGACCAGAAGATTCCCTTGGGTGCCTATGCCACCAGGGCCCAGGGTTTCAAGTACAAAATTGGGTGGCCATTTGGACAGACACCAAGCTAGCTGCAGGAGTTTGTTTATTTTTTTCTCATATCCCAGTAGCACTTGGAACACTAGTGAGACAGAACTGTTCACTCCCCTGCAAAGGAGGCTGAAGCCAGAGAGCCAAGTGGTCTAGCTAAGTGGATCCCAGCCTCATGGAGCCTACCAACATAAGATCCACTGGCTTGAAATTCTCACTGACAGCACAGCAGTCTGTCAGTGAAGTCGAACTGGGATACTCAAGCTTGGTGGGGGAAGGGGCATCCACCATTAATGAGGCTTCAGTAGGCATTTCTTCCTCTCCCATTATAAACAAAGACTCCCGAAAGTTCAAACTGGGCAGAGCCCACCACAGCTTGGCAAAGTTGCTGTAGCCAGACTGCTTCTCTAGATTGCTCCTCTCTGGGAAGAGCATCTCTGAAAAAAAAGGTGGCAGCCCCAGTCAAAGGCTTATAGATCAAACTCCCAACTCTCTGGGAATGAGCAGCTTGGGGAAGGGGTGGATGTGGGCACAGTTTCAGCAGACTTAAACATCCCTGCCCGCTGGCTCTGAAGAGAACAGCAGAGCTCCTAGCACAGTCCTTGAGCTCTGCTAAGGGACAGACTGCCTCCTCAAGTAGGTCCCTGACCCATCTGCCTCCTGACTGGGAGACACCTCCAAGCAGGGGTCGACAGGCACCTCATACAGGAGAGCTCCAGCTGGCATCTGGCAATTGCCCCTCTGGGCACAAAGCTTTCAGAGGAAGAAACAGGCAGAAAGCTTTGCTATTCTGCCGCCTCTGCTGGTGATACCCAGGAAAACAGAATCTGGAATGGACCTCCAGCAACCTACAGCAGATATGCAACACAGGGGTCTGACTGTTAGAAGAAAACCAAAAAACAGAAAGGTATAGCATCAACATCAACAAAGAGGATATCCACACAGAAACCCCATCCAAAAGTCAGCAACATCAAAGACCAAAGGTAGATAAATGCATGAAGATGAGGAAAAACCAACGCAAAAGGACGGAAATTTTCAAAAATCAGATTTCCTCTTCTCTTCCAAAGGATCACAACTCCTCACCAGAAAGGAAACAAAACTGGACAGAGAACGAGTTTGATAAATTGAAATATGTAGGCTTCAGAAGGTGGAAAATAACAAATTCCTCCGAGTTAAAGAAACATGTTCTAAGCCAATGCAAGGAAGCTAAGAACCTTGAAAAAAAGTGACAGGAATTGCTAACTATAACACCCAGTTTAGAGAAGAACATAAATGACCCCATGGAAATGAAAAACACAGCATGAGAACTTCGTGAAGCATACACAAGTATCAATAGCTGAATCAATCCAGCAAAAAAAAAAAAGATATCAGAGATTGAAGACCAACTTAATGAAATAAAGTGTGAAGACAAGATTAGGGAAAAAAGAATAAAAAGGAACGAACAAAGCCTCCAAGAAATATGGAATGATGTGACAAGACCAAACCTACATTTGATTGGTGTACCTGAAAGTGACAGACAGAAGAAAACCAAGTTGGAAAACACTCTTCAAGATGTTATCCAGGAGAACTTCCCCAACCTAGTAAGAAAGGCCAACATTCAAATTCAGGAAATACAGAGAGCACTACAAAGATACTCCTCAAGCGAGCAAACCCAAGACACATAATTATCAGATTCACCAAGGTTGAAATGAAGAAAATAATGTTAAGGGCAGCCAGAGAGAAAGGTCGAGTTACCCACAAAGGGAAGCCCATCAAACAAAGGGGGATCTCTGCAGAAATGCTGCAAGCCAGAACACAGTGGGGGCCAATATTCAACAACCTTAAAGAAAAGAATTTTCAACCCAGAATTTCATATCCAGACAAACTAAACTTCATAAGAAAAGGAGAAATGAAATCCTTTACAGAGAAGCAAATGCTGAGAGATTTTGTCATAAGCATCCCTGCCATACAAGAGCTCCTGAAGGAAGCACTAATGTGGAAAAGAAAAACCAGTACTAGCCCCTGCAAAAACATGCCAAATTGTAAACACCACCGACACTATGAAGAAACTGCATCAACTAACAGGCAAAATAACCAGCTAGCATCATAATGACAGGTCAAATTCACATATAACAATATTAACCTTAAATGTAAATGGACTAAATGCTCCAATTAAAAGACACAGAATGGCAAATTGGATAAAGAGTCAAGACCCATCAGTGTGCTGTATTCAGGAAACCCATCTCACGTGCAGAGACACACATAGGCTCAAAATAAAGGGATGGAGGAAGATCTACAAATGGAAAACAAAGAAAAGGGAGGGTTGCAATCTCAGTCTCAGATAAAAAAGACTTTAAACCAACAAAGATCAAAAGAGACAAAGAAGGCCATTACATAATGGTAAAGGGATCAATTCAACAAGAAGAGTTAACTATCCTAAATATATATGCACACAATACAGGAGCAACCAGATTCATAAAGCAAGTCCTTAGAGACCTACAAAGAGACTTAGACTCCCACACAATAATAATGGGACACTTTAAAACCCCACTATCAACATTAGACAGATCAACGAGACAGAAAGTTAGCAAGGATATCCAGGAATTGAATTCAGATCTGCACCAAGCAGACCTAATAGACATCTACAGAACTCTCCACCCCAAATCAACAGAATATACATTCTTCTCAGCACCACACCACACTTATTCCAAAATTGACCACATAGTTGGAAGTAAAGCACTCTTCAGCAAATGTAAAAGAACAGAAATTATAACAAACTGTCTCTCAGATCACAGAGCAATCAAACTAGAATTCAGGATCAAGAAACTCACTCAAAACCACTCAACTAATGGAAAGTCAACAACCTGCTCCTGAATGACTACTGGGTACATAACAAAATGAAGGCAGAAATAAAGACGTTCTTTGAAACCAATGAGAACAAAGACACAACATACCAGAATCTCTGGGACACATTCAAAGCAGTGTGTAGAGGGAAATTTATAGCACTAAATGCCCACAAGAGAAAGCAGGAAAGATCCAAAATTGACACCCTAACATCACAATTAAAAGAACTAGAGAAGCAAGAGTAAGCACATTCCAAAGCTAGCAGAAGGCAAGAAATAACCAAGATCAGAGCAGAACTGAAGGAAATAGAGACACAAAAAAACCTTCAAAAAATCAATGAATCCAGGAGCTGGTTTTTTAAAATGATCAATAAAATTGATAGACCACTAGCAAGACTAATAAAGAATAAAAGACAAGAGAATCAAATAGATGCAATAAAATATGATAAAGAAGATATCACCACCAATCCCCCAGAAATACAAACTACCATCAGAGAACACTACAAACACCTCTATGCAAATAAACTAGAAAATCTAGAAGAAATGGATAGATTCCTCAACACATACAACCTCCCAAGACTAAACCAGGAAGTTGAATCTCTGAATAGACCAATAACAGGCTCTGAAATTGAAGCAATAATTAATAGCTTACCAACCAAAAAAAGTCCAGGACCAAATGGATTCACAGCCGAATTCTACAAGAGGTACAAGGAGGAGCTGGTACCACTCCTTCTGAAACTATTCCAATCAATAGAAAAAGAGGGAATCCTCCGTAACTCATTTTATGAGGCCAGCATCATCCTGATACCAAAGCCTGGCACAGAAACAACAAAAAAAGAGAATTTTAGACCAATATCCTTGATGAACATTGATGCAAAAAACCTCAGTAAAATACTGGCAAACCAAATCCAGCAGCACATCAAAAAGCTTATCCACCATGATCAAGTGGGCTTCATCCCTGGGATGCAAGGATGGTTCAACATACGAAAATCAATAAACGTAATCCAGCATAGAAACAGAACCAAAGATAAAAACCACATGATTATCTCAACAGATGAAGAAAAGGCCTTCGACAAAAACTCAACAACTCTTCATGCTAAAAACTCTTAATAAATTAGGTATTGATGGGATGCATCTCAAAATAATAAGAGCTATCTATGACAACCCCACAGCCAATATCATACTGAATGGGCAAAAACTGGAAGCATTCCCTTTGAAAACTGGCACAAGGCAGGGATGCCCTCTCTCACCACTCCTATTCAACATAGGAAGTTCTGGCCAGGGCAATCAGGCAGGAGAAGGAAATAAAGGTATTCAATTAGGAAAAGAGGAAGTCAAATTGTCCCTGTTTACAGATGACATGATTGTATATCTAGAAAACCCCATCTTCTCAGCCCAAAATATCCTTAAGCTGATAAGCAACTTCAGCAAAGTCTCAGGATACAAAATCAATGTACAAAAATCACAAGCATTCTTACACACCAATAACAGACAAACAGAGAGCAAAATCATGAGTGAACTCCCATTCACAATTGCTTCAAAGAGAATAAAATACCTAGGAATCCAACTTACAAGGGATGTGAAGGACCTCTTCAAGGAGAATTACAAACCACTGCTCAATGAAATAAAAGAGGATACAAACAAATGGAAGAACATTCCATGCTCATGGGTAGGAAGAATCAATATCGTGAAAATGGCCATACTGCTCAAGGTAATTCACAGATTCAATGCCATCCCCATCAAGCTACTGATGACTTTCTTCACAGAATTGGAAAAAACTACTTTAAAGTTCATATGGAACCAAAAAAGAGCCCGCATTGCCAAGTCAATTCTAAGCCAAAAGAACAAAGCTGGAGGCACCACAATACCAGATTTCAAACTATACTACAAGGCTACAGTAATCAAAACAACATGATACTGGTACGAAAACAGAGATATAGATCAATGGAACAGAACAGAGACCTCAGAAAGAATGCCACATATTTACAACCATCTGATCTTTGACAAACCTGAGAAAAACAAGCAATGGGGAAAGGATTCTCTATTTAATAAATGGTGCTGGGAAAACTGGCTAGCCATATGTAGAAAGCTGAAACTGGTTCCCTTCCTTACACCTTATACAAAAATTAATTCAAGATGGATTAAAGACTTACATGTTAGACCTAAAACCATAAAAACCCTAGAAGAAAACCTAGGCAATACCATTCAATCAGGACATAGGCATGGGCAAGGACTTCATGTCTAAAACACCAAAAGCAATGGCAACAAAAGACAAAATTGACAAATGGGATCTAATTAAACTAAAGAGCTTCTGCACAGCAAAACAAACTACCATCAGAGTGAGCAGGCAACCTACAGAATGGAGGAAAATTTTTGCAATCTACTCATCTGACAAAGGGCTAATATCCAGAATCTATGATGAACTCCAACAAATTTACAAGAAAAAAACAAACAACACATCAAAAAGTGGGCGAAGGACATGAACAGACACTTCTCAAAAGAAGACATTTATGCAGCCAAAAAACACATGAAAAAATACTCACCATCACTGGCCATCAGAGAAATGTAAATCAAAACCACAGTGAGATACCATCTCATACCAGTTAGAATGGCAATCATTAAAAAGTCAGGAAACAACAGGTGCTGGAGAGGATGTGGAGAAATAGGAACACTTTTACACTGTTGGTGGGACTGTAAACTAGTTCAACCATTGTGGAAGTTGGTGTGGCAATACCTCAGGGATCTAGAACTAGAAATACCATGTGACCCAGCCATCCCATTACTGGATATATACCCAAAGGATTATAAATCATGCTGCTATAAAGACACATACACATGTATGTTTATTGCAGAACTATTTACAGTAGCAAAGACTTGGAACCAACCCAAATGTCCAACAATGATAGACTGGATTAAGAAAATGTGGCACATATACACCATGGAATACTATGCAGCCATAAAAAATAATGAGTTCGTGTCCTTTGTAGGGACATGGATGAAGCTGGAAACCATTCTAAGCAAACTATCACAAGGATAAAAAACCAAACACCACATGTTCTCACTCATAGGTGGTAACTGAACAATGAGAACACATGGACACAGGAAAGGGAACATCACACACCGAGGCCTGTTGTGGGGTGGTGGTATGGGGGAGGGATAGCATTAGGAGATATGCCTAATATTAAATGATGAGTTAATGGGTGCAGCACACCAACATGGCACAAGTATACATATGTTACTAACCTGCACATTGTGCACATGTACCCTAAAACTTAAAGTATAATTAAAAAAAAAAGAATAAGTCTGGCCATATGATATGATTTGGCTATGTCCCCATCCAAATCTCATCTTGAAATTCCACATATTGTGGGAGGATCCAGGTGGGAGGTAATTGAATCATGGGGGAAGGCCTCTCCCATCCTGTTCTCATGATAGTAAGTCTCTCGAGATCTGATGATTATTATAAGTGGGAGTTTCCCTGCACAATCTCTCTTGTCTTCTGCCATGTGAGAGGTGCCTTTCATCTTCCACCATGATTGTGAGGCTTCCCCAGCCATGTGGAACTGTAAGTCCAATAAACCTCTTTCTTGGAGCTGCTTCAGAGATGGCAAAATAGGAATAGCTCCAGTCTACAGCTCCCAGCAAAATCAATGCAGAAGATTGGTGATTTCTGCATTTCCAACCGAGTTACCTGGTTCATCTCATTGGAACTGGTTGGACAGTGGGTGCAGCCCACAGAGAGTGAGCTGAAGAAGGGTGGGGTGTTGCCTCATCCAAGAAGTGCAAGGGATTGGGGGATTTCATTTTCCTAGCCAAAGGAAGCCGTGAGTGACTGTACCTGGAGGAATGGTAAACTCCTGCCCAAATACTGCACCTTTTCCACAGTCTTCACAACCAGCAGACCAGGAGATTCCCTCCCATGCCTGGTGTGGCAGGTCCCATGCCCATGGAACCTTGCCCCTTGCTTGCGCAGCACTCTGAGTTTGACCTACGATTCTGGAGCTTGGTGAGGAAAGGGGCGTCCACTATTGCTGAGGCTTGGGTAGGCAGTTTTATGCTCCCAGTGTAAAAAAAGCAGCAGGAAAGCTTGAACTGGGCGGAACCCACCACAGTTCAGCAAGGCCTACTTCCTCTCGAGATTCCACCTCTGGGGGCAGGGCATATTGGAACAAATGGCAGCAGACAGTTTCTGCAGACTTAAACTTCCCTGCCTGACAGCTCTGAAGAAAGCAGTTGTTCTCCCAGCATGGCGTTCAAGACCCGATAATGGACAGACTGCCACCTCAAATGGATCCCTGACACCTGTGTAGCCTGATTGGAGGACACCTCCCAGTAGGGGCCAACAGACACCTCATACAGGTGGGTGCCCCTCTAGGACAAAGCTTCCAGAGGAAAGATCAGGCAGCAATATTTGCTGTTCTGCAGCCTCCGTTGGTGATACCCAGACAAACAGGGTCTGGAGTGGACCTCCAGCAAACTCCAACAGATCTGCAGCTGAGAGTCCTGTCTGTTAGAAGGAAAACCAACAAACAGAAAGGAATAGTATCAACATCAACAAAAAGGACATCCAAACGAAAACACCCTCCATAGGTCACCAACATCAAAGACCAAAGGTAGACAAAAGCACAAAGATGAGGAGAAACCAGAGCAGAAAGGCTGAAAATTCCAAAAACCAGAACACCTCTTCTCCTCCAAAGAAACACAACACCTTGCCAGCAATGGAACAAAACTGGATGGAATATGAGTTTGACGAGTTGACAGAAGTAGGCTTCAGAAGGTTGGTAATAACAAATTTCTCCAGGATAAAGGAGCATGTTCTAACCCATCATAATGAAGCTAAAAACCTTGGAAAAAGGTTAAAGGAATAACTAACCAGAATAACCAGTTTAGAAGAGCTTAAATGAACAATGGAGATGAAAACCACAGTAGGAGAACTTCTTAAAGCATACAGAAGCTTCAATAGCCAATTCGATCAAGCAGAAGAAAGGATATCAGTGATTGAAGATCAACTTGATGAAATAAAGTAAGAAGACAAGATTAGAGAAAAAAAGAGTGAAAAGACATGAACAAAACCTTCAAAAAATAGGGGACTATGTGAAAAGACCAAATCTACATTTGATTGGTGTACCTGAAAGTTAAGGGGAGCATAGAACCAAGTTACAAAATGCTCTTCAATATATTATCCAGGAGAACTTCCCAACCTAGCTAGGCAGGCCAACATTCAAATTCAGGAAATACAGAGAACACCACAAAGATACTCCTCAAAAAGAGTAACCCCAACATACATAATCATCAGATTCACCAAGGTTGAAGTGAAGGAAAAAATATTAAGGGCAGCCAGAGAGAAAGGTAGGATTACCCACAAAGGGAAGCCCATCAGACTAACAGTGGATCTCTCTGCAGAAACCCTACAAGCCAGAACACAGTGGAGGCCAATATTCAACATTAAAAAAGAAAACAATTTTCAACCCAGAATTTTATATCCAGCCAAACAAAGCTTCATAAGTGAAAGAGAAATACATTATTTACAGACAAGCAAATGCTGAGAGATTTTGTCACCACCAAGCCTGCCTTACAAGAGCTCCTGAAGGAAGCACTAAACATGGAAAGAAACAACTGGTACCAGCCAATACAAAAACATGCCAAGTTGTAAAGACCATTAATGCTATGAAGAAACTGCATCAACTAATGGGCAAAATAACCAGATAGCATCATAATGACAGAACCTAATTCACACATAACAATATTAACCTTAAATGCAAATTGGCTAAATGCCCCAATTGAAAGACACAGACTGGCAAATTGTATAAAGAGTCAAGACCTATCAGAGTGCTGTATTCAAGAGACCCATCTGTGCAAAGACACACGTAGGCTCAAAATAAAGGGATGGAAGATCTACCAAGCAAATGGAGAGCAAACAAAAGCAGGGTTTGCAATCCTGGTGTCTGATAAAACAGACTTCAAACCAAAAAGATCAAAAGAGAAAAAAAAAAGGCCATTACATATTGGTAAATGGATCAATTCAACAAGAAGAGTTAACTATCCTAAATATATATGCACAAAATACAGGAGCACCCAGATTCATAAAGCAAGTTCTTAGAGACCTACAAAGAGACTTAAACTCCCACCCAATAATAATGGGAGACTTTAACACTCCACTGTCAATATTAGACAGATCAATGAGACAGAATATTAACAAAGATATCCAGGACTTGAACTCAGCTCTGGACCAAGTGGACCTAATAGACATCTACAGAACTCTCCACCCCAAATCAATAGAATATAAATTCTAATCAGCAGCCCATCATATTTATTCTAAAATTGACCACATAATGGGAAGTAAAACACTCCTCAGCAAATGTAAAAGAACAGAAATAACAACGAACTGTCTCTAAGACCACAGTGCAATCAAACTAGAACTCAGGATTAAGAAACTCACTCAAAACCACACCACTACATGGAAACTGAACAACCTGCTCCTGAATGACTACTGGGTAAATAACGAAATGAAGGCAGAAATAAAGATGTTCTTTGAAACCAACAAGAACAAAGACACAACATACCAGAATCTCTGGGACACATTTAAAGCAGTGTGTAGAGGGAAATTTATAGCACTAAATGCCCACAAGAGAAGGCAGGAAAGATCTAAAATTGATATCCTAACATCACTATTAAAAGAACTACAGAAGCAAGACCAAACATATTCAAAAGCTAGCAGAAGGCAAGAAATAACTAAGATCAGAGCAGAACTGAAGGAGATAGAGACACAAAGAAAAAACCCTTCAAAAAATCAATGAATCCAGGAGCTGGTTTTTTGAAAAGATCAACAAAATAGATAGTCTGCTAGCAAAACTAATAAAGAAGAGAAGAGAGAAGAATCAAATAGATGTAATAAAATATAATAAAGGGGATATCACCACTGATCCCACAGAAATACAAACACACATCAGAGAATACTATAAACACCTCCACAAAAATAAACTAGAAAATCTAGAAGAAATGGATAAATTCCTCCCAAGGCTAAACCACCCACCCAAGATTAAACCAGGTACAAAGAGGAGCCGGTACCACTCCTTCTGAAAGTATTCTAATCAATAGAAAAAGAGGGTATCCTCCCTATCTCATTTTATGAGGTCAGCATCATCCTGATACAAAAGCCTGGCAGAGACACCACAAAAAAAGAGAATTTTAGGCCAATATCCTTGATGAACCTTGATGCAAAAAGCTCAATAAAATACTGCAAACCAAATCCAGCAGGACATCAAAAAGCTTATCCACCATGATCAAGTTGGCTTCATCCCTGGGATGCAAGGCTGGTTCAACATATGAAAATCAATAAATGTAACCCATCACATAAACAGAACCAATGGCAAAAACCATGATTATCTCAATAGATGCAGAAAAGGCCTTTGACAAAATTCAACAGCCTTTCATGCTAAAAACTCTCCATAAACTGGGTATTGATGGAACGTATCTCAAAATAATAAGAGCTATTTATGACAAACCCACAGCCAATATCATACTGAATGGGCAAAAACTGGAAGCATTCCCTTTGAAAACTGGCACAACACAAGGATGTACCCTCTCACCACTCCTACTCAATGTAGTGAATAGTTGGAAGTTCTGGCCAGGGCAATCAGGCAAGAGAAAGAAATAAGGGGTATTAATAAGGAAAAGAAGAAGTTAAATTGTCTCTGTTTGCAGATGACATGACTGTATATTTAGAAAACCCCATTGTCTCAGCCCAAAATCTCCTTAAGCTGATAAGCAATTTCAGCAAAGTCCCAAGATACAAAATCAATGTGCAAAAATTACAAGCATTCCTATACACCAAGAACAGAGAGCCAAATCATGAGTGAACTCCCATTCACAATTACTACAAATAGAAGAAAACACCTAGGGATCCAACTTAAAAGAGATGTGAAGGATCTCTTCTAGGAGAACTACAAACCACTGCTAAACTAAATAAAAAGAGGACACATACAAACGGAAAAACATTCCATGCTCATGGATAGGAAGAATCAATATTGTGAAAATGGCCAAACTGCCCAAGGTAATCTAGAGATTCAATGCTATCCCCATTAAGCTACCACTGACTCTTCACAGAATTGGAAAAAACTACTTTAAATTTCATATGGAACCAAAAAAAGAGCCTGCATAGCCACGACAATCCTAAGCAAAAAGAAAAAAGCTGGAAGCATCATGCTACCTGACTTCAAACTATACTACAAGGCTACAGTAACCAAAACAGCACGATAATGGCACCAAAACAGATATATAGACAAATGGAACAGAACAGAGACCTCAGAAATGACACTACACATCTAAAAGTATCTCATCTTTGACAAACCTGACAAAAACAAGCAATGGGGAAAGGATTCCCTATTTAATAAATGGTGCTGGGAAAACGGGTTAGCCATATGTAGAAAGCTGAAACTGGATCCCTTCCTTACACCTTACACAAAAATTAACTCACAATGGATTAAAGATTTAAATGTTAGACCTAAAACCATAAAAACCCTAGAAGAAAACCTGGGCAATACCATTCAGGACATAGGCATTGGCAAAGACTTCATGACTAAAACACCAAAAGCAATGGCAACAAAAGCCAAAATTGACAAACGGGATCTAATTAAGTTAAAGAGATTCTGCACAGTAAAAGAATATATCTTCAGAGTGAACAGGCCACCTACATAATGGGAGAAAATGTTTGCAATCTATCCATCTGACAAAGGGCTGATATCCAGAATCTACAAAGAACTTAAACAAATTTACAAGAAAAAAATCAAACAACAGGCAACCTACATAATGGGAGAAAATGTTTGCAATCTATCCATCTGACAAAGGGCTAATATCCAGAATCTACAAAGAACTTAAAAAGATTTACAAGAAACAAACAACCCCATCAAAATGTGGGCAAAGGATAAGAACAGACACTTCTCAAAAGAAGACATTTATGCAGCCAACAGACATTTGAAAAAATGCTCATCATCACTGGCGATCAGAGAAATGCAAACAAAACCACAATGAGATACCATCTCATGCCAGTTAGAATGGCGATCATTAAAAAGTCAGGAAACAACAGATGCTAGAGAGGATGTGGAGAAATAGGAATGCTTTTACACTGTTGGTGGGAGTGTAAATTAGTTCAAGCACTGTGGAAGACAGTGTGGTGATTCCTCAAGGATCTAGAGCCAGAAATACCATTTGACCCAGCAATCCCATTACTGGGTTTATACCCAAAGGATTATAAATCATGCTACTATAAAGACACATGCACACGTACGTTTATTGTGGCACTATTCACAATAGCAAAGATTTGGAACCTACCCAAATGTCTATCAATGATAGACTGGATAAAGAAAATGTGGCACATTTACACCATGAAATACTATGCAGCCATAAAAAAGGATGAGTTCACGTCCTTTGTAGGGACCCGGGTGAATCTGGAAACCATCATTCTCAGCAAAATATCACAAGGACAGAAAACCAAACACTGCATGTTCTCAGTCATAAGTGGGAGTTGAACAATGAGAACACATGGGTATAGGGAAAGGAACATCACACACTGGGGCCTGTTGGAGGGTGGGGGGCTGGGGGAGGGATAGCATTAGGAGAAATACCTAATGTAAATGATGAGTTGATGGGGGCAGCAAACCAACATGGCACATGTATACTTATGTAACAAACCAGCACTTTGTGCACATGTACCCTAGAACTTAAAGTATAATAATAATAATAATAATAAAAGCTCTTTCTTTTGTAAATTGCCCAATCTCAGGCATATCTTTATCAGCAGCATGAAAAGGGACTAATACACCATGTTTTGGTAGAGAAGCTGTGTTGTGCTGGGGCATCATTTTTGCCCCTGATCAGCTCAGCCTCTCCAATGCCCAAAGGCTGGAACAGCTAAGTCACCCAAATAGCAAAGATGGCGGCCTACCCCCCCCACCCCCACCCCACAGGGAGCACTGTCCCAGGGAGAATTCAGCTCTCTGTTGACTGAAGAACACACATGGAGGTGGCTGGAGGCCCTGGTTGGGAGGACCCCACCCAGTGGGACTGGGGACCCACTTAAAGAAGGAGTCTGGCCACATTTTGGTTGAGGAGCTGTGCTGTGTTGAGGGATCCATTCAGCCCTGGATTGACTTGAACTTTCCAGAGCCCAATGGCTGAAACAACTAAGTTGCTCAAACAACAAACAAGGCAGCCCGTCTCTCCCTCTGGGAGTGCCATCCCAGTAGCGATTCAAATCTCTGTCAGCTGGAGATCATGAGTGCAATTGGCTGGAGGCCCAAGTTCAAAATTCCCCCCCACCCAGTGAGGAGGGACAGTATATCTGCTTTAAGTATCTGCCTAAAGCAGCAGTCTGGCCATGTTTTAGTAGAGAAACTGTCCTGTGCTGGGGGATCCCTTCTGCCCTCAGTCAGCTTGGACTCTCCAAAGCCTGAAGGGTGGAATGGCTAAGGTGGCCAAATGGCAAAGATGGCAGCCTGCCCCACACCCTGGTAGCTTATTCTTAGGGAGCTGCAATGCTGCTACAATTGGCTGGTTGAAATTGCAAGCCTGTAGGCCTTATCTTGTGAGGTGCTGTGGAACTGGTGCCTGCAGGCTGTCACTGCTCAGCCTCCTGGATTCAGCCTCTTTCCTAGGGGTATGTATGGGGGTGTAATCTCCCATTTTGCCAAAGCTGCAGCTACTTTTGACAGAAATCCCGAGTATCTAAGTCTCCAGGATCTCCACGCATGCCTGGGTGCCTGCTCTGCTGAGAATCCACGTAGCTCTGTCTGTCAGACTGGAGGCTCTGATGGAGTGGGTTCGCAAGATCTCCTGTTACAAAGATTCATGGGAGAAGCATGGTTTCCTGAGGTTGCACATTCACTCACCACTTTCCTGGTTGGTGGAGGTTCCCCGGCTTCATGTTGCTCTCAGGTGAGCCATTGTTCTGTCTTGCTTTTCTATGTTTCCCGTGGGTCAAGTTGTTTCCTTGATTAGTCCCAATGCGAGTACCTGGATGTTTCAGTTGAAGGTGTTGTATTTACTCACCCTTTCTGTTCCTCTCTGTGAGAGCCACACACTAGCTGCTTCTAGTCAGCCATCTTGGCCACTTCCTTCGTGTCTCCTTTTTTCTTTCTGATTTTCTTTATTTGAGTCTTCTCTCTTTTTTCTTAATCTAGCTAATGGTTTGTCAATTTTGTTTATCTTTTCAAACATCCAACATTTTTTCTAATTTTTTGTATTATTTTATTCTCAATTTCATTTATTTATTCTCTAATCTTTATTATTTTTGCCTTCTCCTAATTTGGGTTTTGGTTTGTTCTTGCTTTTCTAGTTCTTTGAGATGCATCATTAGGCCGTTTATTTAAAATCTTTCTACTTTTTTGATGTAGGTATTTCTTTTTTATTTATTTATTTATTTATTTATTTATTTCTGTACCTTAACTGATTTTGGAGATCATTTCTATCTGCACATATAGAGATTATCTTTTTTTTATTTTATTTTTTTTACTGATCATTCTTGGGTGTTTCTCCCAGAGGGGGATTTGGCAGGGTCATAGGACAATAGTGGAGGGAAGATCAGCAGATAAACAAGTGAACAAAGGTCTCTGGTTTTCCTAGGCAGAGGACCCTGCGGCCTACCGCAGTGTTTGTGTCCCTGGGTACTTGAGATTAGGGAGTGGTGATGACTCTTAACGAGCATGCTGCCTTCAAGCATCTGTTTAACAAAGCACATCTTGCACCGCCCTTAATCCATTTAACCCTGAGTGGACACAGCACATGTTTCAGAGAGCACAGGGTTGGGGGTAAGGTCATAGATCAACAGGATCCCAAGGCAGACGAATTTTTCTTAGTACAGAACAAAATGAAAAGTCTCCCATGTCTACTTCTTTCTACACAGACACAGCAACCATCCGATTTCTCAATCTTTTCTGCACCTTTCCCCCTTTTCTATTCCACAAAACCGCCATTGTCATCATGGCCCGTTCTCAATGAGCTGTTGGGTACACCTCCCAGACGGGGTGGTGGCAGGGCAGAGGGGCTCCTCACTTCCCAGTAGGGGCGGCTGGGCAGAGGTGCCCCTCACCTCCCAGATGGGGTGGCTGGCCGGGCGGGGGGCTGACCCCCCCACCTCCCTCCCAGACGGGGCGGCTGGCCGGACGGGGGGCTGACCCCCCCACCTCCCTCCCGGACGGAGCAGCTGGCCGGGCGGGGGACTGACCCCCCACCTCCCTCCCAGATGGGGCGGCTTGCCGGGGGGGGGGTATTGACCCCCCATCTCCCTCCCGGATGGGGTGGCTGGCTGGGTGGGGGGCTGACCCTCCCACCTCCCTCCCAGACGGGGCAGCTGGCCAGGTGGGGGCTGACCCCCACCTCCCTCCCAGACGGGGTGGCTGCCGGGCGGAGACGCTCCTCACTTCCCAAATGGGGTGGCTGCCAGGCGGAGGGGCTCCTCACTTCTCAGATGGGGTGGCTGCCGGGCGGAGGGGCTCCTCACTTCTCAGATGGGGTGGTTGCCAGGCGGAGGGTCTCCTCACTTCTCAGACGGGGCAGCCGGGCAGAGACGCTCCTCATCTCACAGACGGGGTCGCGGCCGGGCAGAGGTGCTCCTCACATCCCAGATGGGGCGGGGGGCAGAGGCACTCCCCACATCTCAGACAATGGGCGGTGGGGCGGAGACGCTCCTCACTTCCTACATGGGATGGCAGCCGGGAAGAGGTGCTCCTCACTTCCTAGATGGGATGGCGGCTGGGCAGAGATGCTCCTCACTTTCCAGACTGGGCAGCCAGGCAGAGGGGCTCCTCACATCCCAGACGGGGTGGTGGCCGGGCAGAGGCTGCAATCTCGGCACTTTGGGAGGCCAAGGCAGGCGGCTGGGAGGTGGAGGTTGTAGCGAGCCGAGATCACGCCACTGCACTCCAGCCTGGGCACAATTGAGCACTGAGTGAACAAGACTCCATCTGCAATCCCGGCACCTCAGGAGGCTGAGGCTGGCGGATCACTCACGGTTAGGAGCTGGAGACCAGCCCAGCCAACCCAGCGAAACCCTGTCTCCACCAAAAAAATACAAAAACCAGTCAGTCGTGGTGGCGCGCGCCTGCAATCGCAGGCACTCGGCAGACTGAGGCAGGAGAATCAGGCAGGGAGGTTGCAGTGAGCCGAGACGGCAGCAGTACAGTCCAGCTTCCGCTCGGCATCAGAGGGAGACTGTGGAAAGAGAGGGAGAGGGAGACTGTGGGGAGAGGGAGAGGGAGAGGGAGAGGGAGAGGGAGAGGGAGAGCTGATGTAGGTATTTCTTGTTATGCACTTCTCTCTTAGTACTACTTTTGCTGTATCCCATAGCTTTTAATATGTTATATTTTCATTTTCATTTCTTTCAAAATTTTTTAATTTCCTTCTTAATTTCTTCATTGGCCCAGTGGTCATTCAGGAGCACATTGTTTATTCTCCATGTATTTGTACAGTTTCCATAGTTTTTCTTGTTACTGATTTCTAGTTTTATGCCCCTGTGATCTGAGAAGATACTTGATAGAATTTTGATATTTTAAAATGTGTTAAGGCCACTTATTTGTTTTTATTTTATTTTAGGTTCAAGGGTACATGTCCAGGTTTGTTATATAGGTAAATTGCATGTCATGGGGGTTTGGTGTACAGATTGTTTCATCACCCAGGTAATAAACATAGTACCTGATAGGTACTTGTTCAGTTCTCATCCTTCTCCCACCCTCCACTCTCACATAAGCCCCAGTGTCTGTTGTTCCCTTCTTTGTGTCCATATATACTCAATGGTTAGCTCCTACTATAAGTGAAAACAGGCAGTATCTTTGTTTTCTGTTCGTGTGTTAGTTTGCTTAGGATAATGGCCTCCAGCTCCATCCATGTTGTTGCAAAGGACATGATCTCATTCTTTTTGATGACTGCATAGTATTCTGGGGTGTGTATGTACCACATTTTCTTTATCCAGTCAATTGTTGATGGACATTTAGGTTGATCTTATGTCTTTGGAATTGTGAATAGTGCTGTGATGGATATATACATGCATGTATCTTTATGGTATAGCAATTTATATTTCTTTAGGTATATACCCAATAATGGGATCACTGAGTCAAATGGTAATACTGCTTTGAGTTCTTTGAAAAATCACCAAACTAAAAAAGAAAAAAAGAAAAAAGAAAAATCACCAAACTTCCTTCCTCAGTGGCTGAACTGACTTACATTTCCACCAGCATTGTATAAGTGTTCCTGTTTCTCTGCAACCTCACCAGTATCTGTTGTTTTTTGACTTTTTGATAATAGCCATTCTGATTGATGTGAGATGGTATCTCATTGTGGTTTGATTTGCATTCCTCTAATGATTAGTGATGCTGAGAATTTTTCCATATGCTTGTTGAAGCTACTTGTTTGGTGGCCTTACATATAATCTATCCTTGAGAATGTTCTATATGCTGCTGAGCAGAATGTGTTCTGCAGCCATTGGATGAAATGTTTGTAAATATCTATTGGGTCTATTTGGCCTGAAGTGCAGTTTAAATCCAATATTTTTTTGTTGATTTTCTAGATGATCTGTCCACTGCTGATAATGGGGTACTGAAGTCCCCAACTAGTATTATTTTGGAGTCTACTGCTCTTCTTAGATATGCTTGTTTTATCTATCTGAGTGTTCTCATGTGGATACATACATATTTAAAATTATTATATCCTCTTGCTGAAGTTATCCCTTTATCAATATATAATATTCTTGTCCTTTTTACTATTTTTGACCTAAATTCTGTTTTATCTGCTACAAATATAGCTACTGCTACTCACTTTTGGTTTCTGTTTGCATGGAATCTTTTTCTATCCCTTCATATTCAGCCTATATGTGTCTTTAAAGGTGAAGTGATATAGGCAGCATATAGTTAGGTTTTTTAATTATTTCAGCCTGTCTATATCTTGTAAGTGAGGAATTTATTCCATTTTCATTCAAAGTTACTATTGATAGATAAGGACTTATTTCTGTCATTTTGTTAACTGTTTTTCACTGTTTTATATATCTTTTGCTTCTTTCATCCTCTTTTATAGTTTATCACTGTCATTGGATGGTTCTCTATAGTGGTAACCTTTGGCTACTTTCTCTTTCTCATCTGTGTATCTGCTCTAAGAGTGAGTATTTTTGTGTGTGTGTTTGCATCATGGTAGATATTGTCCTTTTGCTCCCCCAATTAGAATTCTGTATTAGAGTTATCTAGAGGGACAGAACTAATGGAATACATACATATATATATGAGCTTATTAAGTATTAACTCACATGATCACAAGGTCCCAAAATAGGCCATCTGCAGGTGGAGGAGCAAGGAGAGCCAGTCTGAGATCCAAAACTGAAGAACTTGGAGTTCAATGTTCAAGAGCAGGAAGCATCCAGCACAGCAGAAGGGTGTAGGCTGGGAGGGTAGGCCAGCCTCTCTTTTCACATTTTTCTGCCTGATTCTTATATTGTAGCCATGCTGGCAGCTGATTAGATGGTGTCCACCCAGATTAAGGATGGGTCTGGCTTTCCCAGCCCACTAACACAAATGTTAATCTCCTTTAGCAACACCCTCACAAACACACCCAGGATCAATAATTTGTATTTTTCAATCCAGTCAAGTTGACACTCAGTATTGACCGTCACAGATTCTCTTAAGAATTCCTGGGGGGTGGAGCCAAGATGGTCAAATAGGAAAAGCTCCAGTCTACAGCTCCCAGAGTGAGCGACCCAGAAGATGGGTGATTTCTGCATTTCCAACTGAGGTACCAGGTTCATCTCACTAGGGAGTGCTGGACAGTGGGTGCAGGATAGTGGGTGCAGTGCACTGTGCATGACCCAAAGCAGGGTGAGGCATCACCTCACCCGGGAAGTGCAAGGGGTCAAGGAATTCTCTTTCCTAGTCAAAGAAAAGGGTGACAGATGGCACCTGGAAAATCGGGTCACTCCCACCCTATTACTGTGCTTTTCCAATGGATTTAACAAATGCATACCAGGAGATTATATACCGCCCCTGGCTTGGAGGGTGCTACACCCACAGAGACTCGCTCATTGCTAGCACAGCAGTCTGAGATCAAATGGCAAGGCAGCAGCGAGGCTGGGGGAGGGGCACCCACCATTGCTGAGGCTTGGGTAGGTAAACAAAGCAGCCTGGAGGCTCAAACTGGGTGGAGCCCACCACAGCTCAAGGAGGCCTGCCTGCCTCTGTAGGCTCCACCTCTGGGGGCAGGGCACAAACAGAAGGCAGCAGTAACCTCTGCAGACTTAAATGTCCCTGTCTGACAGCTTTGAAGAGACTAGTGGTTCTCCCAGCATGCAGCTTGAGATCTGAGAATGGAAAGACTGCCTCCTCAAGTGGGTCCCTGACCCCCGAGGAGCCTAACTGGGAGACAAACTCTAGTAGGGGCGGACTGACACCACACGGCCGGGTAATCCTCTGACACAAAACTTCCAGAGGAACGATCAGTCAGCAGCATTTTCAGTTCACCAATATCCGCTGTTCTGCAGCCACCGCTGCTGATACTGAGGCAGATAGGGTCTGAAGTGGACCTCCAGCAAACTCCAACAGACCTGCAGCTGAGGGTCCTGACCGTTAGAAGGAAATCTAACAAACAGAAAGGACATCCACACCAACAACCCATCTGTACGTCACCATCTTCAAACACCAAAGGTAGAGAAAACCACAAAGATGGGGAAAAAACAGAGCAGAAAAACCAGAAACTCTAAAAATCAGAGTGTCTCTCCTCCTGCAAAGGAACACAGCTCCTCAGCAGCAATGGAACAAAGCTGGATGGAGAATGACTTTGAGGAGTTGAGAGAAGAAGGCTTCAGAAGACCAACTACGCCGAGCTAAAGGAGGAAGTTCAAACCAATGACAAAGAAGTTAAAAACTTTGAAAAAAAGTTAGACGAATGGCTAACTAGAATAACCAATGCAGAGAAGTCCTTAAAGGACCTCATGGAGCTGAAAACCACAGCACGAGAACTACATGACAAATGCACAAGCCTCAGTAGCCGATGCGATAAACTGAAAGAAAGGGTATTAGCGATGGAAGATGAAATGAATGAAATGAAGTCAGAAGAGAAGTTTAGAGAAAAAAGAAAAAAAAGAAACCAACAAAGCCTCCAAGAGATAAGTGACTATGTGAAAAGACCAAATCTACGTCTGACTAGTGTACCTGAAAGTGACGGGCAGAATGGAACCAAGTTGGAAAACAGTCTGCAGGATATTATCCAAGAGAACTTTCCCAATCTAGCAAGGCGGGCCAATATTCAAATTCAAGAAATACAGAGAACGCCACAAAGATAATCCTCAAGAAGAGCAACTCCAAGACACATAATTGTCAGATTCATCAAAGTTGAAATGAAGGAAAAAATGATAAGGGCAGCCAGAGAGAAGGATCGGGTTACCCACAAAGGGAAGCCAATCAGACTAACAGCTGATCTCTCAGAAGAAACTCTACAAGCCAGAAGAGAGTGGGGACCAACATTCAACATTCTTAAAGAAAAGAATTTTCAAACCAGGATTTCATATCCAGCCAAACTATGATTCATAAGTGAAGGAGAAGTAAAATCCTTTACAGACAAGCAAATGCTGAGAGATTTTTGTCACCACCAGGCCTGCCCTGAAAGAGCTCCTAAAGGAAGCACTACACAAGTAAAGGAACAACCGGTACCAGCCACTGCAAAAACATGCCAAATTGTAAAGACCATCAAGGCTAGGAAGAAACTGCATTAACTAACGAGCAAAATAACTAGCTAACATCATAATGATAGGATCAAATTCACATATAACAATATTAACCTTAAATGTAAGTAAGCTAAATGCTCCAATTAAAAGACACAGAATGGCAAATTGGATAAAGAGTCAAGACCCACCAGTGTGCTGTATTCAGGAAACCCATCTCACATGCAGAGACACACATAGGCTCAAAATAAAGGGATGGAGGAAGATCTACCAAGCAAATGGAAAACAAAAAAAGGCAGAGGTTGCAATCCTACTCTCAGATAAAACAGACTTTAAACCAACAAAGATCAAAAGAGACAAAGAAGGCCATTACATAATGGTAAAGGGATAAATTCAACGAGATGAGCTACCTATCCTAAATATATATGCACCCAATACAGGAGCACCCAGATTCATAAAACAAGTCCTTAGTGACCTACAAAGAGACTTAGACTCCCACACAATAATGATGGGAGACTTTAACACCCCACTGTCAACATTAGACAGACCAACGAGACAGATATTTAACAAGGATATCCAGGAATTGAATTCAGCTCTGCACCAAGCAGACCTAATAGACATCTACAGAACTCTCCACCCCAAAACAACAGAATATACACTTTTTTCAGCACCACACCACACCTATTCGAAAACTGACCACATAGTTGGAAATGAAGCACTCTTCAGCAAATGTAAAAAACAGAAATTACAACAAACTGTCTCTCAGACCACAGTGCAATCAAACTAGAATTCAGGATTAAGAAACTCACTCAAAACCGCTCAACTACACGGAAACTGAACAACCTGCTCCTGAATGACTACTGGGTACATAATGAACTAAAGGTAGAAATAAAGATGTTCTTTGAAACCAATGAGAACAAAGACACAACATACCAGAATCTCTGGGACACATTCAAAGCAGTGTGTAGAGGGAAATTTATGGCACTAAATGCCCACAGGAGAAAGCAGAAAAGATCCAAAATTGACACCCTAACATCACAATTAAAAGAACTAGAAAAGCAAGAGCAAACACATTCAAAAGCTAGCAGAAGGCAAGAAATAACTAAGATCAGAGCAGAACTGAAGGAAATAGAGACACAAAAAACCCTTCAAAAAATCAATGAATCCATGAGCTGGTTTCTTGAAAAGAGCAACAAAATTCATAGACCGCTAGCAAGACTAATAAAGAGGAAAAGAGAGAAGAATCAAATAGACACGATAAAAAATGACAAAGGGGATATCACCACCGATCCCACAGAAATACAAACTACCATCAGAGAATACTATAAACACCTCTATGCAAATAAACTAGATATTCTAGAAGAAATGGATAAATTCCTGGACATATACACCCTCCCAAGACTAAACCAGGAAGAAGTTGAATCTCTGAATAGACCAATAACAGGATCTGAAATTGTGGCAATAATCAATAGCTTACCAACCAAAAAAAGTCCAGGAACAGGCGGATTCACAGCCTAATTCTACCAGAGGTACAAGGGGTAACTGGTACCATTCCTTCTGAAACTATTTCAATCAATAGAAAAAAAGGGAATCCTCCCTAACTCATTTTATGAGGCCAGCATCATCCTGATACCAAAGCCTGGCAGAGACACAACAAAAAAAAGAGAATTTTAGACCAATATCCTTGATGAACAGTGATGCAAAAAAACTCAGTAAAATACTGGCAAACCAAATCCAGCAGCACATCAAAAAGCTTATCCACCATGATCAAATGGGCTTCATCCCTGGGATGCATGGCTGGTTCAACATACAAAAATCAATAAACGTAATCCAGCATATAAATGGAACCAAAGACAAAAACCACATGATTATCTCAATAGAGGAAGAAAAGTCCTTTGAAAAAATTCAACAACGCTTCATGCTAAAAACTCTCAAAAAATTAGGTATTGATGGGACGTATCTGAAAATAATAAGAGCTATCTATGACAAACCCACAGCCAATATCATAATGAATGGACAAAAACTGGAAGCATTCCCTTTGAAAACTGGCACAAGACAGGGATGCCCCCTCTCACCACTCCTATTCAACATAGCGTTGGAAGTTCTGGCCAGGTAAATCAGGCAGGAGAAGGAAATAAAGGGCATTCAATTAGGAAAAAAGGAAGTCAAATTGTCCCTGTTTGCAGATGACATGATTGTATATCTAGAAAACCCCATTGTCTCAGCCCAAAAATCTCCTTAAGCTGATAAGCAACTTCAGCAAAGTCTCAGGATACAAAATCAATGTGCAAAAATCACAAGCATTCTTATACACCAAAAACACACAGAGAGCCAAATCATGAGTGAACTCCCATTCACAATTGCTTCAAAGAGAATAAAATACCTAGGAATCCAACTTACAAGGGATGTGAAGGACTTCTTCAAGGAGAACTACAAACCACTGCTCAGTGAAATAAAAGAGGATACAAATAAATGGAAGAACATTCCATGCTCATGGGTAGGAAGAATCAATATCGTGAAAATGGCCATACTGCCCAAGGTAATTTATACATTCAATGCCATCCCCATCAAGCTACCAATGACTTTCCTCACAGAATTGGAAAAAGTACTTTAAAGTTCATATGGAACCAAAAAGGAACCCGCATTGCCAAGTCAATCCTAAGCCAAAAGAACAAAGCTGGAGGCATCACGCTACCTGACTTCAAAGTACACTACAAGGCTACAGTAACCAAAACAGCATGGTACTAGTACCAAAACAGAGATATAGATCAATGGAACAGAACAGAGCCCTCAGAAATAATGCTGCATATCTACAACTATCTGATCTTTGACAAACCTGAGAAAAACAAGCAATTGGGAAAGGATTCCCTATTTAATAAATGGTGCTGGGAAAACTGGCTAGCCATATGTAGAAAGCTGAAACTGGAGCCCTTCCTTACAGCTTATACAAAAATTAATTCAAGATGGATTAAAGACTTACATGTTAGACCTAAAACCATAAAAACCCTAGAAGAAAACCTAGGCAATACCATTCAGGACATAGGCATGGGCAAGGACTTCATGTCTAAAACACCAAAAACAATGGCAACAAAAGCCAAAATTGACAAATGGGATCTCATTAAACTAAAGAGCTTCTGCACAGGAAAAGAAACTACCATCAGAGTGAACAGGCAACGTACAGAATGGGAGAAAATTTTTGGCATGTTCTCATCTGACAAAGGGCTAGTATCCAGAATCTACAATGCACTCCAACAAATTTACAAGAAAAAAACAAACAACCCCATCAAAAAATGGGCAAAGGATATGAACAGACACTTCTCAAAAGAAGACATTTATGAAGCCAAAAAGCACATGAAAAAATGCTCATCATCACTGGCCATCGGAGAAATGCAAATCAAAACCACAATGAGATACCATCTCACACCAGTTAGAATGGTGATCATTAAAAAGTCAGGAAACAACAGATGCTGGAGAGGATGTGGAGAAATAGGAACACTTTTACACTGTTGGTTGGACTCTAAACTCGTTCAACCATTGTGGAAGTCAGTTTGGTGATTCCTCAGGGATCTAGAACTAGAAATACCATTTGACCCAGCCATCCCATTACTGGGTATATACCCAAAGGATTATAAATCATGTTGCTGTAAAGACACATGCACATGTATGTTTATTGTGGCACTATTCACAATAGCAAAGACTTGGAACCAACCCAAATATCCATCAATGATAGACTGGATTAAGAAAATGTGGCACATATACACCATGGAATACTATGCAGCCATAAAAAATGATGAGTTCATGTCCTTTGTAGGGACATGGATGAAGCTGGAAACCATCATTCTCAGCAAACTATCGCAAGGACAAAAAACCAAACACCGCATGTTCTCACTCATAGGTAGGAATTGAACAATGAGAACACATGGACACAGGAAGGGGAACATCACACAGCAGGGACAGTTGTGGGGTGGGGGGAGTGGGGAGGGATAGTATTAGGAGAGATACCTAATGGTAAATGACGAGTTAATGGGTGCAGCACACCAACATGGCACATGTATGCATATGTAACAAACCTGCACATTGTGCACATGTACCCTAAAACTTAAAGTATAACAATAATAAAATTAAGAAAAAAAAGAATTCCTTATAAGACCAGTCAAGTAGTAACAAATTCTCTTCATTTTTGCTTGTCTAGAAAAGACTTTATTTCCCTTCTTTTATGAAGGATAACTGTTCTGGGCATAGTATTTTTGCTGGAAGTTTCTTTCAGCACTTTGAATATATCATACCATTCCTTACAGAACTAAAATGTTTCTGCTGAGAAATTCACTGCTAGTCTAATAGAGATTCCCTTATATGTGATTGAACACTTTTCTTTTGCTATGTTTAGAACTGTCTCTTTGTCTATGATTTTTGCCAGTTTGACTACAATGTACCTTAGAGAAGACTTCTAGGATTTGAACTAATTGAAGTTTTTTCAGCTTGCTGTATCTAGATGTCTATATCTCTTTAAGACTTGGGAAGTGTTCAGCTATTTTTTTTTTTTTTGAGACAGTCTCACTCTGTTGCCTGGGCTGGTGTGCAGTGGCATGTTCTCTGCTCACTGCAACCTCCACCTCCTGGGTTCAAGCGATTGTCCTGCCTCAGCCTCCCAACTAGCTGGGATTGCAGGTGCCCGCCACCATGCCTGGCTAATTTTTGTATTTTTAGTAGAGATGGGTTTTCACCATGTTGGCCAGGCTGGTCTCAAACTCCTGGCCTCAAGTGATCTGCCTGCCTCAGTCTCCCAATGTGCTGGTATTACAGGCATGAGCCACTGTGACCAGCCAGCTATTATTTTTTAAAGAGTGTTTTTTATATCTTTGCCCATCTTGCCTTCCAGAACGCCCTGAATTCAAAAATGTGGTCACTTTATGGTATCCTATATGTTATGTAAGCTTTCTTCATTCTTTTTTATGGGTTTTTTTTTTTTTTTTTGTCTAACTGGGTTATTTCAGAATACATCTTAAAGTTCAGAAATTTTTCTGCTGAAGCTCTTGATATATTATTTTAATTTTGTTCATTGAATTCTTCATTTTCAGGATCTCTGTCTTGTTCTTTTTTATTATATCTATTTCTTGTTGAATTTCTCATTCAGATCATCAATTCTGTTTCTGCTTTGTATTATTTATCTGTGTTTTCTTGTATCTCACTGAGTTTCTTTAATATCATTATTATTTTTCAGGTATTTTATAGATTTCCTTTTCCTTAAGATTTCTTTCTTTGGAATAATTGCATTCTTTGGAGGTATGATCTTTCCTTGCTTTTTCATGGTTTTTGTGTGTCATTACATTGATATCTATGCATATTGTGTGACAGTTGTTTCTTTCCTTTTTGTTTTTTGTTTTTGTTTTTGTTTTACTTTTGAGACAGTATCTCACTCTGTGCCCCAGGCTGGAGTGCAGTGGCACAATATCAGCTCAGCGCTACCTCCACCTCCCAGTCTCAAGCAAATCTCCCACCTGAGCCTCACAAGTAGCTGGGACTATAGGCATGGGCCATCACACCCAGCTAATTTTTATATTTTTTCATAGAGATGGGGCTTTGCCATGTCATTCAGGCTGGTCTCGAGCTTCTGAACTCAAGTGATCCACCTGTCTCAACCTCCCAAACTGCTGAAATTAGAGGCATGAGCCATCATGCCCAGTCCTGTTTCTTCCACTTTTATGTAATAGCCTTTGTAGGGAAAGACTTTTTCCTATAGATGTAATTATAGTGTTGGGTGGATAGAGTGCTTTGGCTTTGATTCTGGATGGATGCAGTTTAGTCTCTGTATTATTTCATTGGCTATAATCAGCCTCAGTGGTGTCCATGAGATCTCCAGTGGCTTAGGCTGCAGCTGTTAGTGGAGACTGTAATAAGGTTTTGCTAGGGAGAGGGATTCCAGACAGGCCAGCCCTTGGGCAGCAGTGATGGCAACAATGGTCTGGTCGTGCCATTCCTTGGACCTCCTGTGCAGTGTACATGGGAACTAGTGGTAGTTAATCCAGGCAGGCCAGTCCCTGGGCCTCAAGGCAGTTTGCTTGTGTATTGACCATTGCAGTGATGGGCAGAATGAGCAGGTGGATCCTAAAGCCCCTGGATGATATTCATAGCATCAATAGTAGTAGTAGGGGCATCAGGCAAACCCTTGGATCCTTGAGTGGCACATGTGAGCACCAGCAGTGGCAGCTGTGGACTGGATAGGCCAATCTCCAGGACCCCAGGAATCATATGCAGGTGGGTACCAGCAGCAGTGACAGTGGCAAGCTGGGTGGGTCAGTCCCCAGGCCCTCAGGAAATGCATGCGGCCAGTGGTAGAAGATGTTACATGACCATCCTCAGGCCCCCAGAAGGCATGTGCAGGCCCTGGCACCAACAGGTGGAGTGGATTCTCCCCAGGTCCCTGGATGGCACACTTGAATATCAGTGGCAGTGATGGTGGTGGGGTAGGCCTGTCCTCAGGCCTCTGGATGACACATGTATATACTGGCAGTGGCAGTATATGGGGTGGACATGCCCTTAGGACCCCCAATGGTGCACGTGGATACCAGCTGCAGCAGGCAGGGTAGGCGAATCCCCATCCCTGGAAAATATTCTCAGGAACTAGCAATAGTGACATTGAGGGGACAAGCCTTTCCTCAGGCCACCAGGTGGTGTGCGCAAGAGCTAGTACACCTCACACGGGCCTGTGGTAGGCCCTGGGACAGTTCCTGGGAGGGCTGTTCCCCAGGAACCCTGAAGGACCATGCAGGTGCACAGTGGCCCTTCTGCTGGAGGGAGTCTAGTTTCTATCAGAGTCCACAGCCCAGGCAGGCAGCACTCAGACTCTTAGGAGCACACACCTTTGCTCCCTTAGTCCCAGGGTTGGCATCTCTGGTGCACTGCGCCACCCATTTCCTGGGATGTAGAATACTGCATAGGCTAGAGTGCTGGGAATCCAGCCGCATCACTGAGTCCAGCCAATGTCATGACACTTCAGCCCTCTGGGTGGACATGGGTTGGGGGTGGTCAGCATGGTTCCAGGGATGTGGCAATATCAGAACTATTGGGACTCGGGAGAATGCAGTCTGGTGAGGGCTGGGCTCCTAAAATGGCTCTGTGCTGTAGCTGCTTGTGTCTCAGGGGATGTGTGGGACCCAGGGCAAACTCCCTCTCTGGAACAATGCCATCACATGGACTCCAGGCAGTTCCCCATACTAGTTTCAGGGCCTGTAAGGGCCAAGGGTATCTCCCATGGCTAGGATTTCAGGAGTCTACCTACAGTGGGGATGTGGACTGTTGGGAATCTCTAGCTTACCTTTCCCCACAATGGGGAGTCCCTCCTGGCTTCAAGCCAATCTCAGCCAGGCCAGCTGCTTTGCTTTTTTCTCCTTCCATGCCTCAGAGGGTCCCTGTCCCTTCCCTCCTGAATTCCAGTATTCTTCAATGCTCTATTGGACATGTGATTATCTATTCATGCTTAATTTCTCTTTGTGGAGGAGGCAAGTGCCAGGCATCTCTAGTAAGCCATCTTGAAGCCCCCATCTCGTCTTCTACTTTTGACATAAATAAAGAAGTAACTTGTCAGATAAAATGACTGATTTTTAAGAAAGAACAATAATACAACTATTTCTTAAAGAACTACCTTGATTGAATAATGAATATTCCTGCTTGAGTCCAACACTGTTTATTCCATTATCAAAAATAAAGTTATACATAGGGAATGTCACTTTTACCACAGCATAGAAAGTTTATCACTACCATAATTTGTGACAAGAAATAGTGACTCAACTTCTCTTCAACTTAAAATCTGGGCCTGAACACAGGGTCAGATGCATAACAGATATCAAGTAATATATATGGAATGTTTTAGTTTCCAAGATGGCTGACTGGAAGCATTTCCAGCATGCCTCATCCACTTAGATGAACCAAAATAATGTGTAGACAATCATATTTTGAATATATTATTCAAGATAAAACATAGGAGTTAAACAGAAAAGTGAAAGGAAACTTTAAAATCTAGGAAAAAGAAGGAAAACAGACAGCCCACATGGCTAGGAAAATCTAGGAACCAGAAGTGAATGCCAATACAGGACAGGGTAAGTGCTTTCTGCAATCTACTTTTCCATGAATCCAGGCCACAGGAGAGTACCTTGACTCACCCAGTCCCTGAATCTAAGTTAGGAAGCAGAAGGGAGATTACCAGAGGGAACTGCACAGGAAGTGTCACATGCCTTTTTGAGACCTAACCAGCTACTGTAAGATGTCATTCCTGACCCTAGCTCTTCACAAATTGCACATGGTCCTGGGATCCTGGGAGCCAGTGGTATCACTGTTAGCTGTTAAAAAAAAATCTGGAAGCATTTGCAGAACTGTGGCTTCAGTGGGAGTTGGGATCCCACAACAAGGTCTGAAAAGGGAACATGGGGTGGGCTCCAGCTACTGGTGCTGGAACCAGGCAACTCGCCCCCTGGGACCTATGCAGGAGGACAGTCTCTGCATAGGCTTGGTGTTGGGCTGGGCAGCAGCTCCTATGGTGCAAACTCCTGGGATTAACTGAATAGCTGTGTTGGCTGAGACAACCAATATGGGGAAGGGAAATTCACCAGGACTAAGGCATGAGGGTGACACAAGTCCCACTTCTGCCAATCAAAGCTTTGGCTGCTGGGACCACACTCCCCCTCCCCATGCTAAGACCTCAGTACAGCAGCTATGGTCCCTCACCCAAGCATTTCATCAAGGCTGATGTATACACTCACTACTGAAGGGCCTGAGCACAACATTGCCCACTTCATTGTCCAGCCTTGCCATGCCCTTCACAAGACAGAGCACGGAATCCAGGCTTCTAGATGTTCCACAACACAATTTGCCACCTGGGATGCCCAAGCACTTTTCCTGAGGAACAAAAATGAGCATAAACATTATACCACTACCACCACAGCTGGATCTTGCCTAAAAGTGCCATCTACTGGTCTGGAGATCAACTCATACAGTCCATTGCAATCACTGCTGCTAACACAAGAGCACAGCACTCAAGACTTTGAGGAACACATCACAATCACTGCTACTGCCATTGCCCATAAACAGGCTGCTCAGAAGCCTATGGTTGATTTTCTGCTGTCCCATCCCATATACTGCTAACAACTGACATCAGAGAAAGTCATCCAGAGGCCCAACCACAGCCTGCTTGAATTGCAAACACACATGCCAGCATATGCTGCTCCAGGTAGTAAGGATAAACACATTAACCCACCACTCCTACCACTAAAACCTGAAGATGGACACATCTAGCATTCCAGTCCCTGATAATTTTACCACAGCCCCACAAACAAATATACTGTAACACATAAAGGAAAACACAGATTGGACTAACACTATTTATAGCCTAAGAAATCATACAGACTCTTCACCACTGTATGCACTCAGAAGAAAAATCAAAGACTTCCACCAAACAAACCCTATAGTCACAAGTTTAAGAAAAAAAGTCTCCTTCCCAAAAAAAGTAAATTCAAAAATAAGAAGAAGCTACTTTTTCTCCTAATGCACAAAAATCAATGTTAAAAAAAACAGGAAACATGCAAAAGCAAGGTAATATAACATCTTCAAAGAAACACAATAATTCTTCCACACCATATCCTAACCCAAAAGAAATCCTCAGTATGCCACATAAAGAATTCAAAATCTTTTTCTTTTTTTCTTTTTTTGTTAATAATTCAAAATACTGATTTTAAAGAAGCTCATTGAGATGCAAGACAAACCTGAAAAACAAAGAACTCAAAAAATCAGTCTAGGAAGTGAACAAGAAATTTACCAAGGAGATAGATTTTTTTTTTTAAAGAACCAAACAAAAACAGTGGAACTGAAAAACTCACTGAAGGAAATACCAAATACATTATTTAAAAGCTTTAATGATAATAGGCTAAATCAAGCAGAAAAAAACTTTTTCAGAAGTTAAACATAGGTCTTTTTAAAAAAACTTTTATTTTAGATTTAGGGATACATGTACAGATTTGTCATATAAGTAAATCACATGTCATAGGTGCTTGGTGTACAGATTATTTTGTCAACCAGGTAAGAGATATAGTACTCAATAGGTAGTTTTTTTTTATCTTCACTCTCCTCCGACTCTTCACCCTCAAGTAGGCCCCAGTGTCTTTTGTTCCCTTCTTCATGCCCATGTGTACTCAATATTTATCCCACTTATAAGTGAGAACATGTAGTATTTTGTTTTCCGTTCCTGTGTTAGTTTGCTTAGGATAATGGTCTCCAGCTTTATCCATGTTGCTGCAAAGAACATGATTTTATTCCTTTTTGTAACTGCAGAGTATTCAGTGGTATATATGTACCACATTTTCTTTATCTAGTCTACCATTGATGAGAATTTACATTGACTCCAAAAAAAAAAAAAAACAGATCTTTCGAAAAAAATCAAGTGAGACAAAAATAAAAAAGAAGAAAGAATAAGCAAAGACTACCCAAGAAAAGAGGAGAGAAGACCCAAGTAAAACTAGAGATGAAAAAGGAGACATTACAATTGATACCTATGCCAAAACCAGACAAGGACACAACAAAAAAAAATCCAGACCAATATCCCTGATGAATATATAAGCATAAATATTCAACAAAATACTAGCAAACTAAATTCAATAGCACATCAAGAAGATAATACACTACAATCAAGTGGGTTTTATATTATGGATGCAAGGATAGTTATGCATATGCAAATAAACAAATGTAATACATCTCAATATGATCATTTCAATAGATGCATAAAAAGCTTATGATAAAACTCAACGTACATTTATAATAAATACCCTCAACAAACTAGGAATAGAATGAACATACCTCAAGATATTAAAGGCTATAAAATCACAAAACCTCAGTTAGCATCATACTGAAAGGGAGAAAGCTGAAGGCATTTTCTCTAAGAACCAGAAGAAGACAAGGACACCCACGCTTATTCAACATAGTAGTAGAAGAACTTAGATAAGCAATTAGGCAAAAGAAAGAAATAAAAGGCACCCAAATTGGAAATTAGGAGGTCAAATTATCACTGTTCGCTGATGATACAATCTTATAGCTACAAAAAGCTAAGGACTCCACCAAAAATATTTTGGACTTGATGAATGAATTCAGTAAAGTTTCAGGATAAAAAATTGATGTACAAAAATAGTAGTGCTTTTATGCACCAATAATAATCTAGACAATAATGAAATTAAGAAGGCAATCCCATTTACATAACAAAAAAAATACCTAGGAATACATTTAATCAAAGAGGCAAAAGATCTCTACAAGGAAAACTACAAAATACTGATGAAATAAATTGTAGACGACACAAAGAAATGAGAAAAAATCCCATGCTAATTAATTGAAAGAATTAATATTATTAAAATGACAATACTTCCCAAAGCAATCCTTTTTTATTATTATTACTGTTATGCTTTAAGTTTTAGGGTACATGTGCATAATGTGCAGGTTGGTTACATATGTATACATGTGCCATGTTGGTGTGCTGCACCCATTAACTCATCATTTACCATTAGGTATCTCTCCTAATGCTATCCCTCCCTGCTCCTCCCAACCCACAACAGTCCCCGGTGTGTGATGTTCCCCTTCCAGTGTCCGTGTGTTCTCATTGTTCAATTTCCACTTATGAGTGAGAACATGTGGTGTTTGGTTTTTGTCCTTGCGATAGTTTGCTGAGAATGATGGTTTCCAGCTTCATCCATGTCCCTACAAAGGACATGAACTCATCATTTTTTATGGCTGCATAGTATTCCATGGTGTATATCTGCCACATTTTCTTAATCCAGTCTATCACTGGTGGACATTTGGGTTGGTTCCAAGTCTTTGCTATTGTGAATAGTGCCACAATAAACATACCTGTGCATGTGTCTTTACAGCAGCATGATTTATAATCCTTTGGGTATATACCCAGTAATGGGATGACTGGGTCAAATGGTATTTCTAGTTCTAGATCTGTGAGGAATTTCCACACTGACTTCCACAATGCTTGAACTAGTTTACAATCCAATCAACAGTGCAAAAGTGTTCCTATTTCTCCACATTCTCTCCAGCACCTATTGTTTCCTGACTTTTTAATGATCACCATTCTAACTGGTGTGAGATGGTATCTCATTGTGGTTTTGATTTGCATTTCTCTGATGGCCAGTGATGATGAGCATTTTTTCATGTGTTTTTCGGCTGCATAAATGTCTTCTTTTGAGAAGTGTTTGTTCATATCCTTCGCCCACTTTTTGATGGGGTTGTTTGTTTTTTTCTTGTAAATTTGTTGGAGTTCATTGTAGATTCTGGATACTAGCCCTTTGTCAGATGAGTATGTGGCAAAAATTTTCTCCCATTCTATAGGTTCCCTGTCCACTCTGATGGTAGTTTCCTTTGCTGTGCAGAAGCTCTTTAGTTTAATGAGATCCCATTTGTCAATTTTGGCTTTTGTTGCCATTGCTTTTGGTGTTTTAGACATGAAGTCCTTGCCCATGCCTATGTCCTGAATGGTATTGCATAGGTTTTCTTCTAGGGTTTTTATGGTTTTAGGTGTAACATGTAAGTCTTTAATCCATCTCGAATTAGTTTTTGTATAAGCTGTAAGGAAGGGATCCAGTTTCAGCTTTCTACATATGGCTAGTCAGTTTTCCCAGCAGCATTTATTAAATAGGGAATCCTTTCCCAATTGCTTGTTTTTGTCAGGTTTGTCAAAGATCAGATAGTTTTAGATATGCAGCATTATTTCTGAGGTCTCTGTTCTGTTCCATTGGTCTATAGCTCTCTTTTGGTACAAGTACCATGCTGTTTTGGTTACTGCAGCCTTGTAGTATAGTTTGAAGTCAGGTAGTGTGGTGCCTCCAGCTTTTTTCTTTTGGCTTAGGATTGACTTGGCAATGCAGGCTCTTTTTGGTTCCACATGAACTTTAAAGTAGTTTTTTCCAATTCTGTGAAGAAAGTCATTGGTAGCTTGATGTGGATGGCATTGACTCTATAAATTACCTTGGGCAGTATGGCCATTTTCACAATATTGATTCTTCCTACCCATGAGCATGGAATGTTCTTCCATTTGTTTGTATCCTCTTTTATTTCATTGAGCAGTGGTTTTTAGTTCTTGAAGAGGTCCTTCACATCTCTGGTAAGTTGGATTCCTAGGTATTTTATTCTCTTTGAAGCAATTGGGAATGGGAGTTCACTCATGATTTGGCTGTTTGTATGTTATTGGTGTATAAGAATGCTTGTGATTTTTGCACATTGATTTTGTATCCTGAGACTTTGCTGAAGTTGCTTATCAGCTTAAGGAGATTTTGGGCTGAGACAATGGGGTTTTCTAGATACGCAATCATGTCATCTGCAAACAGGGACAATTTGCCTTCCTCTTTTCCTAATTGAATGCCCTTTATTTCCTTCTCCTGCCTGATTGCCCTGGTCAGAACTTCCAACACTATGTTGAATAGGAGTGGTGAGAGAGGACATCCCTGTCTTGTGCCAGTCTTCAAAGGGAATGCTTCCAGTTTTTGCCCATTCAGTATGATATTGGCTGTGGGTTTGTCATAGATAGCTCTTATTATTTTCAGATACGTCCCATCAATACCTAATTTATTGAGAGTTTTTAGCATGAAGGTTTCTGAATTTTGTCAAAGGACTTTTCTGCATCTATTGAGATAATCATGCGGTTTTTGTCTTTGGTTCTGTTTATATGCTGGATTATGTTTATTGATTTTCATATGTTGAACCAGCCTTGCATCCCAGGGATGAAGCCCACTTGATCACGGTGGATAAGCTTTTTGATGTGCTGCTGGATTTGGTTTGCCGGTATTTTATTGAGGATTTTTGCATCAATGTTCATCAAGGATATTGGTCTAAAATTCTTTTTTGTTGTTGTTGTGTCTCTGCCAGGCTTTGGTATCAGGATGATGCTGGCCTTATAAAATGAGTTGGGGAGGATTCCCTCTTTTTCTATTGATTGGAATAGTTTCAGAAGGAGTGGTACCAGCTCCTCCTTGTACCTCTGGTAGAATTCAGCTGTGAATCCATCAGGTCCTGGACTTTTTTTGGTTGGTAAGCTATTAATTATTGCCTCAATTTCAGAGCCTGTAATTCGTTTATTCAGAGATTCAACTTCTTGCTGGATTAGTCTTGGGAGGGTGTATGTGTCGAGGAATTTATCCATTTCTTCTAGATTTTCTAGTTTATTTGTGTAGAGGTGTTTATAGTATTCTCTGATGGTAGTTTGTATTTCCATGGGATCGATGGTGATATCCCCTTTGTCATTTTTTATTGCATCTATTTGATTCTTCTCTCTTTTCTTCTTTATTAGTCTTGCTAGCAGTCTATCAATTTTGTTGCTCTTTTCAAGAAACCAGCTCATGGATTCATTGATTTTTTTGAAGGGTTTTTTCATCTCTATTTCCTTCAGTTCTGCTCTGATCTTAGTTATTTCTTGCCTTCTGCTAGCTTTTGAATGTGTTTGCTCTTGCTTCTCTAGTTCTTTTAACTGTGATGTTAGCATGTCCATTTTAGATCTTTCCTGCTTTCTCTAGTGGGCATTTAGTGCTATAAATTTCCCTCTACATACTGCATTGAATGTGTCCCAGAGATTCTGGTATGCTGTGTCTTTGTTCTCGTTGGTTTCGAAGAACATCCTTATTTCTGCCTTCTTTTCGTTATGTACCCAGTAGTCACTCAGGAGCAGGTTGTTTAGTTTCCATGTAGTTGAGCAGTTTTGAATGAGTTTCTTAATCCTGAATTCTAGTTTGATTGCACTGTGGTCTGAGAGACAGTTTGTTATAATTTCTGTTCTTTACATTTGCTGAGGAGTGCTTTACTTCCAACTGTGTGGTCAATTTTGGAATAGGTGTGATATGGTGCTGAAAAGAATGTATATTCTGTTGATTTGGGGTGGAGAGTTCTGTAGATGTCTATTAGGTCTGCTTGGTGCAGAGCTGAGTTCAATTCCTGGATATCCTTGTTAACTTTCTGTCTCGGTGATCTGTCTAATGTTGACAGTGGGGTGTTAAAGTCTTCCATTATTATTGTATGGGAGTCTAAGTCTCTTTGTAGGTCACTAAAGACTTGTTTTGTGAATCTGGGTGCTCCTGTATTGGGTGCATATATATTTAGGATAGTTAGCTCTTCTTGTTGTACTGATCCCTTTACCATTATGTAATGGTGTTGTCTCTTTTGATGTTTGTTGGTTTAAAGTCTGTTTTATCCGAGAGTAGGATTGCAACTCCTGCCTTTTTTTGTTTTCCATTTGCTTGGTAGATCTGCCTCCATCCCTTTATTTTGAGCCTATGTGTGTCTCTGCATGTGAGATGGGTTTCCTGAATACAGCACACTGATGGGTCTTGACTCTTTATCCAATTTGCCATTCTGGGTCTTTTAACTGGAGGATTTAGCCCAATTACACTTAAGGTTAATATTGTTATGTGTGAAATTGATCCTGTCACTATGAGGTTAGCTGGTTATTTTGCTCATTAGTTGATGCAGTTTATTCCTAGGCTTGATGGTCTTTACAATTTGGTATGTTTTTGTAGTGGCTGGTACCGGTTGTTTCTTTCCATGTTTAGTGCTTCCTTCAGGAGCTCTTTTAGGGCAGGCTTGGTTGTGCCAAAATCTGTCAGCATTTGCTTGTCTGCAAATTATTTTATTTCTCCTTCACTTATGAAGCTTAGTTTGGCTGTATATGAAATTCTGGGTTGAAAATTCTTTTCTTTAAGAATGTTGAATATTGGCCTTCACTCTCTTCTGGCTAGTAGAGTTTCTTCTGAGAGATCAGCTGTTAATCTGATGGGCTTCCCCTTGTGGGTAACCCGACCCTTCTCTCTGGATGCCCTTAACATTTTTTCCTTCATTTCAACTTTGGTGAATCTGACAATTATGTGTTTTTGGAGTTGCTCTTCTCGAGGATTATCTTTGTGGCGTTCTCTGTATTTCCTGAATTTGAATGTTGGCCTGCCTTGCTAGATTGGGGAAGTTCTCCTAGATAATATCCTGCAGACTGTTTTCCTACTTGTTTCCATTCTCCCTGTCACTTTCAGGTACACCAATCAGACGTGGATTTGGTCTTTTCACATAGTCCCATATTTCTTGGAGGCTTTGTTGGTTTCTTTATATTTTTTTGCTCTAAACTTCTCTTCTCACTTCATTTCATTCCTTTCATCTTCCATCACTGATACCCTTTCTTCCAGTTTATCGCATCAGCTATTGAGCCTTCTGCATTTGTCATGTAGTTCTCATGCTGTGGTTTTCAGCTCCATGAGGTTCTTTAAGGACTTCTCTGCATCGGTTATTCTAGTTAGCCATTCGTCTAATTTTTTTTCAAGGTTTTTAACTTCTTTGTCATTGGTTTGAACTTCCTCCTTTAGCTCAGAGTAGTTTGGTCTTCTGAAACCTTCTTCTCTCAACTCCTCAAAGTCATTCTCCATCCAGCTTTGTTCCATTGCTGCTGAGGAGCTGCGTTCCTTTGCAGGAGGAGAGGCACTCTGATTTTTAGAGTTTCTGGTTTTTCTGCTCTGTTTTTTCCCCATCTTTGTGGTTTTCTCTACCTTTGGTCTTTGAAGATGGTGACGTACAGATGGGTTGTTGGTGTGGATGTCCTTTCTGTTTCTTAGATTTCCTTCTAACGGTCAGGACCTTCAGCTGCAGGTCTGTTGGAGTTTGCTGGAAGTCCACTCCAGACCCTATTTGCCTCAGTATCAGCAGCGGTGGCTGCAGTACAGCAGATATTGGTGAACCGCAAATGCTGCTGCCTGATCATTCCTCTGGAAGTTTTGTGTCAGAGGAGTACCCAGTCGTGTGAAGTGTCAGTCTGCCCCTACTGGGCAGTGTCTCCCAGTTAGGCTACTCGGGGGTCAGGGACCCACTTGAGGAGGCAGTCTGCCCATTCTCAGATCTCAAGCTGTGTGCTGGGAGAACCGCTACTCTCTTCAAAGCTGTCAGAGACAGACATTTAAGTCTGCAGAGGTTACTGCTGCCTTTTGTTTGTCTGTGCCCTGCCCCCAGAGGTGGAGCCTACAGAGGCAGGCAGGCCTCCTTGAGCTGTGGTGGGCTCCACTGAGTTCGAGCTTCCAGGCTGCTTTGTTTACCTACTCAAGCCTCAGCAATGGTGGGTGCCCCTCCCCCAGCCTCACTGCTGCCTTGCAGTTTGATTTCAGACTGCTGTGCTAGCAATGAGCGAGCCTCTGTTGGCATAGGGCTCTCCGAGCCAGGTGCAGGATATAATCTCCTGGTGTGCCGTTTGTTAAGCCCATTGGAAGAGCACAGTATTAGTGTGGGAGTGCCCCAATTTTCCAAGTGCCGTCTGTCACCCCTTTCTTTGACTAGGAAAGGGAATTCCCTGACCCCTTGCACTTCCTGGGTGAGGCGATGCCTCACCCTGCTGTGGCTCATGCATGGTGCGCTGCACCCAGTGTCCTGCACCCACTGTCCAGCACTCCCCAGTGATATGAACCTGGTACCTCAGTTGGAAATACATAAATCACCTGTCTTCTGCATCGCTCACCTGCCCAAAGCAATCTACAGATTAAATGCAGTTCCTATCAGAACATCAACCTCATTTGTCATATAATCAGAAAAAACCATCTTAAAATGTATATGGAACACAAAATGAACCCAAATAACCCAAGCAATCCTAAGCAAGAACAAAGCTGGGGGCATCACAATACCTCACTTCAAATTATATCATAAGGCCATAGTAACCAAAACAACATGATGCTGGTATAAAAATAGACACATAGATCACTGCAACAGAATGAAGAACCCAGAAACAAAACCACATATTTATAGCCAACTGACCATTGACAAAGCTGACAAGAACATACATTATGAAAAGATCTCCTTTTTAATTTTAATAAATAGTGCTATCAAAATGGTATTGCCATATGCAGAAAAATGAAATTAGACCTGTATCTGTCATTATTTACAAAAATTAACTCAAGGTGAATTAAAGTCTTAAATATAATAATGAAAGCTATAAAAGTACAAGAAGAAAACCTAGGCAAAGCTCTTCTGGACATTAGCCTAGGCAAAGAATTTATGACTAAAACCTTAAAAGCACAGACAATAAAAACAAAAGAAACAAATGGAACATAATTAAACTAAAAACTTCTGCACAGCAAAAGATATAATCAACAGAGGGAGCAGACAACATGCAAAATAGAAGAAAATATTTGCAAACTATGCATCCAACAAGAAACTGATACACATAATTTACAAAGCTCTCAAACAACTACAAAAACAACCACCAAAAAAACACCAATTAATCCCATTAAAAAGTGGGCAAAAGACATGAATAGACATTTTTCAAAAGAAGACATACAAATGGTCAGAAGGTGTATGAAAAAATTCCCAGCATCACTAATTATCAGAGAAATGCAAACCAAAACCACAGTGTATTATCATCTTAGCCCAGTGAGAATGGCTATTACTTTTTTAACTTTTATTTTAGGTTTGCAATACATGTGAAGCTTTGTTGCACAGGTAAACTCACGTCATGGTGGTTTGTTATACAGACTATTTTAGCACCTGAGTATTAAGCCCAGTACCCAATAGTCATATTTTCTGCTCCTCTCCCTTCTCCCACCCTCTACCCTCAAGTAAACCACAGTATCTGTTGTTTCCTTCTTTGTGTTCATGGGTTATTATCTAGCTCCCACTTATAAGTGAGAACATGTGGTATTTGGTTTTCTGATCCTGACTTAGTTTGCTAAGGATAATAGCCTCCAGCTCCAACCATGTTCCCACACAAAAAAAATTCTTTCTTTTTTATGGCTGCATAGTATTCCATGGTGTGTATATACTACATTTTCTTCATCAAATCTGTCATTGATGGGCATTTAGGTTGATTCCATGTATTTGCTATTGTGAATAGTGCTGCAATGAACAGTCATGTGCATGTGTCTTTGTGGTAGAATTGTTTATATTCCTCTGGATATATACCCAGTAATGGAATTGCAGAGTCAAATGACAGTTCTGCTTTAACTCTTTTAGGAATCATCACACTGCTTTCCACAGTGGCTGAACTAATTTACATTCCCACCAACAGTGTATGAAAATTCCCTTTTCTCTGAAACATTGCTAGCATCTGTTATTTTTTGACTTTTTAATAATAGCCATTCTGACTGATGTAAGATGGTATCTCATTGTTGCTTTGATTTGCATCAGAATGGCTATTACTAAAAAGATAGAAAATAACAGACATTGACAAGGGTGCAGAGAAAAGGAAATTCTTGTACACTGTTGGTAGGAGTGTAGATTACTACAATCTTTATGGAAATATGTAGATTAGTATAATCTCTATGGAAAACAGTATGGATATTTTGCAAGAATTAAAAATAGAATTACCATTCAATTCAGGAATCTCACTACTGAATATCTACCCAAAGGAAAAGAAATCAATTTATCAATAAGATACCTGCACCTGTATGTTTATCACAGCACTATTCACAATAACAAAGATATGTAATCAACCTAAGTGTCCATCAACAAATGGATAAAGAAAATGTGGTGTATATATACATAATGAAATACTATTTGGTAATAAAAAAGAATGAAATCATGTCATTTGCAGCAACACGGATGGAATTGGAGGTCATTATCTTAAGTAAAACTAGCCAGACACAATATCATGTGTTCTCACTCATAAATGGCTGCTAAAAAATGTGTACACATGGATGTAGAGAGTGGAATGATAGAAAATGGAGACTCAGAAGGGTGAGGTGGGAGTGAGGCAGAGGATGAGAAATTACTTAATGGATACAATGTATATTATTCAGATAATGGATACCCAAAAAGCCCTGACCTGACCATTATGTGATCTATGTATGCAAAGAAATTGCACTTGTACTTTATAAATTTAATAAATTTTTTGAAAACACATAAAAAATTAATACATATTAAAGTAAATAATAAATGGACAAACACATTTAGATCAAAACACTAAAGTTTTAATACCATATAAGCTTCCTGGCCTGTTAGCTAAGATCAAGTGTAGTATCTGTTCTTATCAGTTTAAATACCATATAAGATTATATATAATGGTGTCAAGTAGTTGGTGATAATTCCTTATAGTTACATAGTGCCTTATCACTAATATAAGTATTTCACAAATACTCAAATACTGTTTGATACATTCAATGAAGCATATTATGCTCACAGATGAGAAAATGGAGGACTTGAAAAATTAACCCTATCAACCCAGGACACACAGTTAACAAATTACAAGCCAGGAGTCTCATTAATTAAAGTGACTGTGCATCCTGGTTTGCCTTGAAGATTTTCAGTTTATGCCTATTACTGCAAAATAATTAACAAACTCATTTTTCCATTCAAAAGTGTCCAACATGGACAATAACTTAAGTGGCCATCCTATACTTTGATCATCTCCTAGTAAGTCTACCAGACTTTCTTCTACAGGAGCTCAGAAAAGAGAGTGATGCCTGTGAGTAGAGATGGCCAAAGAAGACTTTACCAAGGAAGAACTCAAGAAGGAACCTGGGAAACAATAAAAATTAAGAAAAATGGAGAACAATGAGGAAGGCATATCAGAAAGAAGAACTGGAGTGAACAAAAACTATAAGCTAAGAGTCTTAAATGTACTATGAAATCCACAGAAGAATTTCAAGCAAGAAAGCAATATAAGCAGATTTGTGTTTTTTTAAAAACATCCTAGCAGCAACATAGAGAATGAAATCAAAGATGTAAAAATGGAGACAAAGTAACCCAGATATAATGGGAAGAACGTCTGGAGTATCTTCAGATGTATTTTCTCAGCTATATATTCCCACCTTTAGAATTACTGACATCCATTTTTCCATGGGGTAAGGAGATACCAGTTAGGGCAAAGGGACACTATTCAACTTTGTTGAGTCTCAAAGCTGTCTTCTTTTCTTAGTTCTCACAAAATAATAGTATTTACTTAAAAATAGAAGGTTTCTAAATTTAAACACAAAATAAAAATATCCTTTTACATAGGTAAACCAAAATCTACAAGTCTGAACATTGAGGTTTACAATAAGAGACAGGAAATAGGAATTCAGTATATGAAATACATGAAGGCTTGGTCAGGCAGGAAGAAGTAGAAAGGCATATACAAAAAAAAGTGGAAGAAGAAAGAGATATGCAAAAGTTGAATGCTTAGAGAGAAGGATGCCATAAGGAAGAATTTAAGTACCTTGGAGCTAATGGCCTGTTTTGCAGGTTTAGCCTAGAAGAGTCTGTAAGACCATCAGAGAAAATCCCACATCCAGCACCAAACCATATCTACCAAGCCTAGGGATAATTTGCATAGTATGGCCAAAGGAGAGGATCCAGACTGATAGCTAGGGCTGTTATTGCTGGTTCTCTACAGCTTGGCTGTGGTGGGGGAAGATCCAGAAGTTCCCACGAGTCCCCAAGAGAACAAACAGCCAAAATAATAATAATAATAATAATAATAATAATAATAATAATAATAATGAAGAAGCACAGGCTGAAGCTTGGAAGTAGGTGGCTAATCCTGATGCCTGAGGCAATATCCAGAGCTGTAAGCAATGAATGCCAGTACACAAAGACAAAGTGGGATAATTTGCTCAAGAAAACTCAGTGAGGTCAGAAGACAATCTGTATCAGACAAAGAACAACACAACTCAACCAAAGCCAGTAATGATCCAGAGGAAGTTTTGAACCTTTGTGCATAGATCCAAGTTTCTCTTTCTTTTACCTTTACATGGTCATAAAAAATCCACCATATGCACTGATATGGTTAGGCTTTGTGTTCCCACTCAAATCTCATCTTCAATTGTAATCCCCAGGTGTTGAGGAAGGAATCTGGTGGGAGGTGATTGAATAATGTAGGTAGTTTCCTCCATGCTGTTCTTCTGATAGTGAGTGGGTTCTCTCTCTCTCTCTCTCTCCCACCTGCCACCATGTAAGATGTGTCTGCTTTCCCTTCCACCATGATTGTAAGTTTCCTGAGGCCTCCCCAGCCATGCAGAACTGTGAATCAATTAAACCTCCTTCCTTTATAAACTACCCAGCCTCAGGGAAGTTCTTTATAGCAGTGTGAGAATGGGATAATACAGAGAATTAGTACTGATATAGACATGAGGCAGAGAAATTATGGGCAGAAGAGGGCGGATCCCTGATAAAGGCCCCACCATCAAGTCAAAAAGCCTGAGACTGTGGCCCAAAGTGAGAACTTGGATCTCTGTTTTCCTGCTTGAATGTTACCTTTTCCAAAACCTCTCATGGCCCCACTCCATCCCATTCTGTGCCTATAAAAACCCCAGACCCAGCCAGCAGAGGTAGGAGAAGCAGCTGGACATTGGAGACTACAGCTGAACATCAGACAGAAGTGGAACATCAGACCAGAGGGACAGCTTGATGGCATAACTTCAAAGAAGGATCCAGCCAAAGTGGGTGAGGCTTCAGGAGATTACCTTCCCACCTCCTCCCCTTTTCAGCTCCCCTTCCTGCTGAGAGCCACTTTCCTTAACAATAAAATCCCCCACATTTACCAATCTTCAATTTATTCATGTGCCCTCCTTTCTCCTGGATTCTGAGCAAGATCTCAGGAACCACAAGTGTAGACACAAAAACACTGTCACACTTGCCTTTTGCCTTCCCTTGCAGAAGGCAGCTACCTCATGCAAAATGGCAGAGGGCCCACTGAGCCATTAACTCTTAAGCTGTCTGCAGACAGCAGAGCTAAAAAAAGCATGTAACACTTCCTCTGCGGTTTCAGGCACCCCCACTGTAGATGCTGCAGTGGGGCCAGCATGAATTTGGCTCCTGCCAGTGCCTAAAAGCACTCACTCCAGCTCTGCACTCACTTACCTGCATGCCCCTTCCCACAAGGGGCAGAACACAGCAGGTTCAAGTGAATGAAGTTTGCTCCTGCCAGTGTCAGAGTGTCTGGCTAACTTCAGCTCTCATGTACTCCAGTTCCTGCCTCATTTGCTCATGTGCTCCCTCCTGAGAAGAGTTTAGAGCTATGGACTGAGTAAATGGGATGCCCTTGTCATGAGTCCCATGAAGGGGTCAGAAAAATATCCTGCTTCAGTACCAGTAGAGTGGGGTACCACTAAAGATAGCATGAAAATGTGGAAGCGACTTTGGAAGTGGGTAACAGGCAGATGTTGGAACAGTATGGAGGGCTCAGGAGACGACAGAAAAATGTGGGAAAGTCTCGAACTTCTTAGAGACTTGTTGAATGGTTTTGACCAAATTGCTGATCGCGATATGGACAATTAGGTCCAGGCTGAGGTAGTCTCAAATGGAGATGAGGAACTCATTGGGAACTAGAGCAAAGGTTACTCTTGCTATGCTTTAGCAAAGAGACTGGTGGCATTCTGCCCCTGCCCTAGAGATCTGTGGAACTTTGAACTTGAGAGAGATTGTTACCAGTGGAAGAAATCCGAGTTACCCCAGGTTACCAGTGGCCTGCCCACGTGGGTCTGTAGCAACTTCAGTCCTTAACACCTCAGAAGAAACAATTCAACTGAGATGCATAAAGCAGAAAAAGAGACTGAGGCAAGTTCCAGAGCAGGAATGGAAGTTTATTTTAAAAGGCCTTGGAATAGAAAGAAAGGAAAATTCACTTGAAAGAGACCCAAGCAGTTGCCTGAAGCTCCAAGAGAGAAAAGAGAGCAAAAGAAGACAGCCAAAAAAAGGGCCTTTAGCCTTAATCCTAGGACTTCATAGGCTCACCACTTTCCCATGATTCTTCCCTTAGGGTGGGCTTTCTGCATGCCCAGTACTTTCCTTACCCTTTGGAACTGAGCACACACAATGTGTTTACAGAGTTATACTCATGCCCATCTGAGGATTTCTTCCCTTTTCTGGTGGAATGTGCCCCTGGAAGACCATACTTCACCATTTTGTCCCTTAACACGCATGCCCAGGAACTTGCTTCTCCCTGGGGGCCAGCATTCTATTAACATTTTGATGTTAACAGGTGCGGGCCATCAAGAAATGGCTTCTCCCTGGTGCTGCCAAAGTATCATTTTTAGAGTGGAAATGTGGTAATTTCTGAACCATCACCTGACATTTCTAGTGGGTAGGGGGAGAGCCCTCCCTGCCCCACTCATCCCTAACTACCTGTAAAAAGATGGTCTAAAATTGGAACTTATGTTTAAAAGGGAAGCAGAGCATAAAAGTTTGGAAAATTTGCAGTCTGATCACATGGTAGAAAATAAAAACCCATCTTCTGGGGAGAAATTGGTATTAGTCAGGGTTCTCTAGAGGGACAGAACTAATAGGATACATATACATATATAGGGAAGTTTATTAAGTATTAACTCACATGATCACAAGGTCCCACAATAGGTCGTCTGCAAGCTGAGGAGCAAGGAGAGTCAAGGAGTGGTAACATTTGGCTACTTTCTCTTTCTCATCTGTGTATCTGCTCTAATAGTATATGCTTTTGTGTGTTTGCATCACGGTAGATATTATCCTTTTGCTTCCTCAATTAGGACTCCCTATTAGGGTTCTCTAGAGGGACAGAACTAAAGGAATATATATGTGTGTGTGTGTGTGTGTGTGTGTGTGTGTGTGTGTGTGTAAAGTATTAACTCACACAATCATGAGGTCCCACAATAGGCCATCTGCAGGCTGAGGAGCAAGTAGAGCAAGTCTGAGTTCCAAAACTGAAGAATTTGGAGTTCAATGTTCGAAGGTAGGAAGCATCCAGCATGGGAGAAAGATGTAAGCTGGGAGGCTAGGCCAGTCTCATTTTTCTGCCTGCTTATATTCTAGCCACACTGGCAGCTGACTAGATGGTGCCCACCCAGATTAAGGGTGGGCCTGCCTTTCCCAGCCCACTGGCTCAAATATTAATCTCCTTTGGCAGCACCCTCACAGACAGACCCAGGATCAATACTTTGCATCCTTCAATCCAATCAAGTTGACACTCAGTATTAACCATCACAGAATTCAAGCTGACTGCAGAAATTTGCCTGAGTAATGAGTTAATAGCCAAGACAATGGAGAAAATGTCTCCAGGGCATGACAGAGACCTTCACAGCAGCCCCTCCCATCACAGATCTGGAGGCCTAGAAGGAAAAAATGGTTTCATGGGCTGGGCCCAGGGCCCCACTGCTGTGTGCAACCTCAAGACTTAGTACCCTGCCTCCCTGCATCCCAGCTTCTCCAGCTCCAGCCATGGCTAAAAGGATCCATGGTACAGCTCAGGCTGTTGCTTCAGAGGGTGCAAGCCCCTAGCCTTGGAAGGTTCAACAGTTGAGCCTGCAGGTACACAGACGTCAAGAATTCAGGTTTGGGAAGCTCTGCCTGGATTTTAAAGGATGTATGGAAACACTTGATGTCCAGGCAGAAGTCTGCTGCAGGGGTGGAGCCCTCATTGAGGACCTCTGCTAGGGCAGTTTGGAAGGGAAATGTGGCATTGGAGCCCCCACACAGGGTCCCCACTGGGACACTGCCTAGTGGAACTGTAAGAAGAGGGCCACTGTCCTCCAGACCCCAGAAAGGTAGATCCACTGACACCTTACACTGTATATTTGGAAAAGCCACAGGCACTCAACAGCCCGTGAGGGACCTGCCGAAGGCCATGGGAGTCCACCCCTTGCATCAGTGTGCCCCAGATTTGAGACATATAGTCAAAGGAGATAATTTCAGAGCTTTAGGGCTTAATGACTGCCTTCTGGATTTCAGACTTGCATGAGGTCTGTGGCCCCTTTGTTTTGGCCAATTTCTCTCATTTGGAATGGGAACATTTACCCAATGCCTGTACCCACATTGTATCTAGAAGTAACTAACTTGCTTTTGATTTTACAGGATCATAGGTAAAATGAACTTGCCTTGTCTCAGATAAGTCTTTGGACTTGGACTTTTGGGTTAATGTTGGAATGAATTAAGACTTTGGGGGACTGTTGAGGAGGCTTGAAATGTAAAAGGAACATGGGGCCGGGTGTGGTGGCTCATGCCTGTAATCCCAGCACTTTGGGAGGTTGAGGTAGCTGGATCACGAGGTCAGGAGTTCAAGACCAGCAGCCTGGCCAACACAGTGAAATCTCGTCTCTACTAAAAATACAAAAAATTAGCCAGGCATAGTGGTGTGTCCCTGTAATCTCAGCTACTCAGGAGGCTGAGGCAGGAGAATCACTTGAACCCAGGAGGAAGAGGTTGCAGTGAGCCAAGATTGTACCACTGCACTCCAGCCTGGGTGACAGAGTGAGACTCTATCTCAAAAAAAAAAAAAAAAAAGAAGAAGAAAAAAGAAAAAGGGACATGGGATTTGGGAGGGCCAAAGGGTGGAATGATATGGTTAGGCTCTATGTCTCCACCCAAATCTCATATTGAATTGTAATCCCCAGGTGTTGAGGGAAGAACTTGGTGTGAGGTGATTGGATCATGAGGGCAGTTTCCCTCATGCTGTTCTCATAATAGTGAGTGATTTCTCATGAGATCTGGTGGTTTTATAAGGGGCTCTTCCCCTTTCTCTCTCTCTCTCTCTCTCTCTCTCTGTGTCTCTCTCATCTATCACCATGTAAGACCTCCTTCTTCTTCCACCATGATTATAAGTTTCCTGAGGCCTCTCAAGCCATGTGTAACTGTGAGTCAATTAAACCTCTTTATAAATTACCCAGTCTCAGGGAAGTTCTTTATAGGAGTGCGAAAATGGGCTAATACATATACATACACCAGTTTAGCAAGGAATAAGGGAAAAAAGAAAGAACCCAGAAAGTCTAATGACTTACCTAAAAGAGACTATTTTAAAACCCTTCCCCCCTCCAAAACTTTTTTAAACAAGAAGAAACTGAATCACCTTTAACTGAGAAGTTTAAGTTATAATTTCCATATTAGTGGGATAGAGGCTTAATAGAAATAACTGTTACACTATCTGATACACATAAAGTCCTGTTCATTTTAACCCCAAACTCTGGTAGAATGAAGAATATTCAAGAATTTAATTGGATACAGGAAATGTGGAAAAGAGAGAATTCTAGATGGTTTCAAGGTTTCAAACGTGTATTTTTTACTTGATACTGGTTTACTGTGTTAATCACTGCGTGCCCTGACCTCTATCAGAGCTCACCATTCAGTGGAGCTGCTATATATGAATCTCCAGATAGGCTGCGAAGGAAGTGGGGAAGGCATATAATTTATGTTCCCCCACCAAATTTACCATCTCTTTGAGGGTTACTCCCCACATAAAACTCTTGCCCAAGGTGGACACTATAGGTTAATTGGGAAAAATCTGGAATGAGGCTTCAGTAATGAATCAGATATAACAATAACTAAACTAAAAAATCTAACTACAAGAGGCAAGTGAATATCTAGAACTGGGAGAATTCAATGCGTTCTGAGTCTATGTGGTAGATGCCAGCTTGGTGACCCTCTCTACCTTCATCCCTTCAACAAAAAAGTTTTTGCCTAAATATCTACTGTCCTTGAATTCTCAAAACTCCCTTTTTTACCTGCTGTAGGTTTGCCTTGCATGCACTGACTTTCTATTAAGGACCCACTACCTGTCTTTACAACGTTAATGGGAGATCTTACCTACAGGGGTGTGTCCATACTTTATAATCTCGACCAGCTAATTAATGTCAGAATATATCACAATCCACCTTATATCTATACAAGCCATAGATGCATACAATACCAAAGAACAGAAATAGTTTCTTTATAGTGTGCTGATTCAAAGCAGAGAAAAGGAAGCATAAATTTTTGCTGTTTTTGAGACAGTCTCACTTTGTAATCCAAGCTGGAGTGCAGGGTGCAATCATGGCTCACTGCAGCCTCAATCTCCCAGGCTCAAGCAATCCGCCCACCTTAGCCATCCAAGTAGCTGGGACTACAGGTACTTACCACCACATCCAGCTAATTTTTTTCATTTTCTGCAGAGACAGGGTCTCACTATGTTGCCCAGGCTGGTTTCAAACTCCTGGACTTAAGTAATCCTCCTGCTGTGCCTTTCCAAAGTGCTGGGATTATAGGCATGAGCCACTGCACCCACCCTGGGAAAGATAGCTCTTCTCAGGCATGTTAAGAAGAATAAGACACAAAGACGGCTGGGCGCGGTGGCTCACGCCTGTAATCTTAGCAGTTTGGGAGGCCAAGGCGGGCGGATCACGAGGTCAGGAAATCGAGACCATCCTGGCTAGCACGGTGAAACCCCATCTCTACTAAAAATACAAAAAATTAGCCGGGCCTGGTGGCGGGCGCCTGTAGTCCCAGCTACTGCGGAGGCTGAGGTGAGAGAATGGCGTGAACCCGAAAGGCGGAGCTTGCAGTGAGCCGAGATCACGCCACTGCACTCCAGCCTGGGCAACAGAGTGAGACTACGTCTCAAAAAGAAAAAAAAGGAAGAAAGAGAAGAAGAAGAAGAAGAAGGAGAAGGAGAAGGAGAAGGAGAAGGAGAAGAAGAAGAAGAAACAAAGACTTGAGACACCAATTGAGGTAAAAGACGATCCAAGTTCATGAAGAAAAATGTGACCAAATTTTGAAATAGAACTAGGTATTTATTAAGGTGGTGTCAAGTTGAACATGCTAACCAGGTTTCTTATTCATGTGTTTGATCAAGCAAACTGGAATCACTGTGAACTGAGAGAAGTAGGTGTAGGTATGTGAGGTGGTGCACTTCTGACTGTCTTATTCTGCATCTTCCCAAACACACAGCTGTGGCCTGAGAGCAGATGGAGAACTTCAGAACGTAATATTCATTATAAAAGGTTGATCTGTGCCCTCTTCATTTTTTCTGCCTTCAAACAAGAATCACAATATAATGCCCCACAGACCTTAAGAGAAGAAAATCACAGACAATAACTGCATTCAGGTTGATCATAGGAACAGAGGCAAATTCCACCACATTTACATTAGACATTAATCATTTTAACTGCATAATGTCATTTGATGTAATTTTTCTTGTATGGTGGTCTGTTTGCCATTCAACCAAAAGATAATTTACATTAAATTACCCCCTAGAGGTGGTCAGAAAAAGAAACTGAGTTGTCAAGAAATAGTAAAGTCCAAATGAAACACTAGTAAATAGAAAATGCAGAAATGGATAATATAATCTTTACTATTTACATATTCCCCTTTTTCTGAGCCAAGAATGAATGTAGGATTTTCTAATCATCTATTCTAAGTGTCTACTCAAATTGCTGAAATACAGTTTTTTTTTAACCTGTACAAAAAAAAGAATTTCCTTCTGGTAAATGTATATGGCTTAGCAATTCCCTACAAATGAGATCACAGAGCATAAATACAGACAAAAATACTTTTAAGAACGTTTGATTTTCCCAGAAATAACTAACAATTTCTAAATGTGCATTTGATTTAACAACCTGTTATATTGGTTTGATTTTTTTTTATTGCAATGAGGATATCAAACATGGTTTGATTTTGTTGATGTTGTTGTTACAGGTTTTAAAATTCTGTTTCTATATCATTAAGAAACTTTCTTGTGTCACTTGACTATACCCACTGACCTCATTAAAAAAAATGGCTTTAAATCAAGGAAAACAGGAAAGATCCAGAAAAGGTGTTGATGCCCTGCTTTGTATGACATGCATAATGCAGCTGGAATTTTCCATTCCCATATAAAAGCCCAATGCTATCCTCACACCCTAGTGAGAGTTCTAAGGGAAAGGAAAGAACCAGTTTAATAATTACTGAAAGCAGTGAGCCCACCATGCTGTTCATGACAATTGAGTACAGGAAGTAGCCTGCAGAGGAAAATGGGTTTGGCTCGATTGCCTTTATCAATATTTTCAATCAAACAGCAGTTTCATGTTCTTAGATAGATAGATAGATAGATAGACAGACAGACAGACAGACAGACAGACAGACAGATGCCGGGTATGAAACAGGAGTTTGAAAGCTCAAACTAAAATAAAAAGTGATTCAGAGAAAGCAGCACAAAGCTGATTTGAACATGATGAATATTTAGAATCTAGAAAAAAAAATAAGCCTCAGAGTTAATGAGCTGGGAAAAAGGAACAAACTGGTAATTGACCATCGTTGGGATAATGATTAATGTATATAAAAATGTGAATAAGAGAAAACTATTCTCTTCTTTTAAGGCAAAATGATTTCCTTATGCTTAAAATGAGGCCCCTAAAATTAACCACTTAAGGAACAACACTTTTTTTTGAGACAGAGTCTCACTGTGTCACCCAGGCTGTAGTACAGTGGCATGATCATAGCTCATTGCAGCCTCCAAAACCCAGGCTCCAGCCATTCTCCCACCTCTACCTCCCAAGTAGCAGAACCACAGGCCCATGCCACCACATCTAGCTAATTTTTTATTTGTTTGTGGAGTTGGGGGTCTCTTTATGTTGCCCAAGATGGTCTCAAGTTCCTGGACTCAAGTGATCCTCCCACCTCGGCCTCCCAAAGTGCTGGGTTTATAGGTGCAAGCCACCACACCTAGCCACAACACTTCTTTAAACATAAAAAACTCCTACACATTAATTAAGGTTTGTATTCTATTGTGTTTCTACACAAGTATGTCAGACACCTTAATAAATTTGTAAGATCAATTGCTTACCTGCATAGTCTGAATCTGTCAGTTGGTGTCACATGACTAACACACATCATTTAGTACAACTATAAGAAACATGCAAGTAAAACACCATGAATAATTTTAAATGAAAGGTACATTCTGAAAATAATTATTCAATTTAGATAACTTCAAATTACAAAGAACACAAATTAATGCATTTTCTTACATCTTTTCAACTTCTAGATTTTGCTCAGATTAGGATTTGATAAACTGCAAAAGCTTTCAGTACTCCTATTTTATCTGAGGCCTTATTAATAGCCTAATTGTGAATTGTTTAAGGGATACCTGGAAACCCATCCTAATAAAGATTTCTTTGCAAATTTCTTCCATTATTCCTGAGAACTCCTCAATACGAAGCTGCTACTTTGACTTTACAAAGGTTTTTTGAGCTTCACTACAATGACAAAATATTTGTGGTTTTTTTAAAAACAAAGGATCATTTTACACTCATGCTACATGTCAGTGGCAGTTTTGACCTGGTATTCTATTCCATATCATGTCTGACCCGGGCTAATGGAACAGTTTTCATCTCAAACATTGCCAGTTACTGTGGCAGAGAAGAAAAAGTTCTAGAGGGCCCCACCCTGCCTATTAAATGCCCTGACCTCAAAATGAGACACATATTTCTGTTCACAACTCATCACATGGCCCTATCCAGCCATAAAAGAGTCAAGAAAGGCAATCCCACCCAGGGGGGAAGAAATGTAAATATTTGAGGAAAAACATTTATGACTCCTAGAGATGCATCATCAGTTTTTTGCTATTACAAACAATTCTGCAAAGAATAACCTTGTACATCTATCATTTTGCAAGTATATCTGTAAAATGAATTCCTAAAAACGGGATTGACCCACCTAATGCTGTACCTACTTGTAATTTTGTCGAAGTTGCTATATATAGAAATCTCAACAATCTATTTAAAATTTGACTTGTAAAACTTCAAATTATGCACGAAATTTTTTGAATAACTTAAATAAATCTCAATTTATAAGCTGTATACAGAAATAACTGTATTATGTTGCCATTTATGAAAAATATCACAGGAGTACTGGAATGGACACTATGAGTTAGAGTTGTTCAGAGCTGGGAGGGATTACATCCAGCTAAAATTATTCAACAAGGATTCATGCAGGAAGTCAGGCCTTAAGGGATACATCATTCTCTACCTTACATCCCCTGATATTCCTTTCCCTAAATACCTATACCTATTAAGAACAAGGACTTTAAAGCCAGAGCACCTGAATTTAAATCTCAGCTCCACCACTTACTAGACTCATCTTTGGCAATTTACTTATACTCTGATTTACCACCATATTCTTTCATAAATCCTTGAAATTTTTCTTTGGTAATCTTAAATTATTGCTTTCTATGCCATCTTGTAATGGAAACCAGTGTTACAAATAGCCGTAGCCAATCTCTGACTTTCTCAGCTACCTGAAGTCCAACAAATAGCTGACTTCATGGTCACCCCCTTACTTGCTTATGATTGGAAGGGTGATTATTTCACAGGCTTGGAATGACTAGTGAATAAATAGCCAGAGTCATTTTTAATGAAGGGCTTCCAGTTCTGCAGAAACTATAAAATTAAACTTCCATCCTCTCAAAAATAAACTATTTAACTTGTAAGGTCCAGGACCTCAGCCCCGAAAGCCATTTTTTGGCCACAGTGCAAAAGTCAGATGTTAGAGCTATCAGTAACTTTACACCTGATATCAAAAGATAGGCTGTGTAGGGTAAAACACCGACAGTCTGTTAAAGCCTACGAGCTGATACATGTTGTATAACTCAGATACTTCACTTTATGTTAAGAACAAATATGTTTTTACTTAAAGGATTGATATTGGAACTTGGTGTTTTCTTCATTTTATATGGGTGTGTGCACAGATGTGTGTGTACATATGTGTGTATACATATATATGTCTTTTTAAAATATATGCATATAAAACATGTCTTTTTTAATATGTTTCTCCTTTTGAGAGTCTAAAAAGTGATTTAATTAAATTGAATTTCTTACTGACATAAAGAAATTTATTTATCAAATTTCATAGATATAGAGCACATAAAATTACCCTTAAACAGATTGATACATAGAAATAATCACTTTAGTTTGGTGCTATTTTATCTGAACTCATAAATAATATCAATATTCCAACTTAAAGTAGTTTGAGATTTTTCCTCCTAGTAAACCTTATTATTATTTTTAAAATTTCTTTTATGTTTATTTCCATGTTTATGTCAGTCAGGAAACAGAAAGCAAACCAGCAATTTGAACAGGAAAAATATACAGAATTGTTAACTAGTATGTATTGGTTATCTATCGCTGTTACAAATTGTCCCAAAATTAAGCAGCCTAAAACAACAGACATTTATTTATCTCACACTTTCTGTCTGTCAGGACCCTGGGAGAGGCTCAGCTAAGTGGATCTGGATCAGAGTCTCTCATGAGGTTACCTCATGAGGTGAACTTGTTCAAGGAAAACAAACCCACATAGTCTACAGAAGAGGCACAAGATCAGTGGTTGCTTCCTAGTTCCTCAACAGCTGGGCCACACACAGAGCCAGGCTTCATAGGCCCCAGTTCCCCAGATGTGACCTTTCTGCCATATATAACCCTGCAGGGAGAGAAGTCGAATCCAGTCTTTGCTCCCATCACCTTTTCCTCAGAACACAACCCCTTCCAGGTGATGTGCCTTACCCAGGCAGCACACAATTTAAGTGAGCAAGCTTTCATCCACAAAAGAATGTAAATTAGTACAATGTCTATGGAAAACAGCATGGAAATTTCACAAGGAACTAAAAATAGAACTATCATTCAACCCAGCAATCCCAGTGCTGGGTATCTACCCAAAGGAAAAAAAATCAGTGTATCAGAAAGCTACCTGCACTCATTGTTTGTCACAGCACTATTCACAATAGCAAAGATACAGGATCAACTTAAGTGTCCATCAATGGATGATTAGAAAAGAAAATGTGGTATATACACACAATGGAATATTATTCAGCCAAAAAAAATGAAACCATGTTTTTTGTAGCAACATGGATAGAACTATTAATAAAAGTAATTGTGTTAAGTGAAACAAGCTAGACACAGAAAGTGCAATATCACATGTTCTCACTCATGAGTGGGTACTAAAAATGTGTATATGTGGATGTAGAAAGTGAAATGACAGACAACGGAGACTTGGAAAGGGGAGGGAGTGGGCTGGGGGTAGATGATGGGAAATTACTTAATGGGTACAATATATGTTATTCAGGTGATGGATATTCTAAAAGTCCTTACTTGACCACTACACAATCTATGCATGTAACAAAATTGCATTTGTACCCCATAAATTTGTGCAAATTTTAACAAGTTATGTGAATGCAGGCAATTCTCTTTTTTTCTTATTTTCATCGGTGTAAACATCTGGAGAGACAATCCTTTATTGTATGATACTGTTCTTGAATTACATGACATTAGCATACTGGTCCCTCCTCCACAAAATTCCAGTAACACCCTCAATCATTGTGTTAAGCACAAAAGTCTCCATTAATTTTCAGTCTATCCCCCACAGGAGGCAGTACTGCCTCACTGAGAGCCATTATTCCAGAGTTTAGTAAGAGGGAACCCAATACAGCCTTAGGGGCTTAAGAAAGACTGGTGTATAGTTATATCTAAACTGAGCCAGTAGGAATTGAGCATGTGCTAACAGGACCAAATGGTACAAAGGGTTGAAGATAAAAGATTGCACAGCATATTCATGGTGCTGCATATATTTCAGTATCGCTGGGACATTAAGTCATAGTAATATTTACTCTGCTACAAAAAAAAAAAAAATGTAGAAAAAGAATCAGGCCAGAAAGTCAAGTTTGACTGGTACATAAGGAAGAAGTTTCCGACCGCCTTCCAAAAATTGGCACATAATATTAAGCCATAAAAAGCAATGTTGCACAATTCTCAACTTTAAAATTTTATAAGAGGACATCAACAAGAAACTGACCTTTCAGATTTAAAAATTATTTGAGCTTCTCATTGAATTAAAACAGCAGAGAGTGGCCAGTCAAAGTTAATATTAGCATCTTTCTTCCTATCTCAGATGGCATTAGACTCACCACCTCTCTCATCTCTAGGGTGAAAGTTCTCTGCTCTTTTCATTAAGGCTGCTCTCTGAACCTCAGACTGTAGACAAGAGTTCACAAACTGTCAGCTTGCTGCATCTGACCCACAGACAGTTTTGCTCTCCCCATAGTGTTACCTACTCTGTGCAGGTTTTTAAACTTTAATTAGTTGCCAACACATAAAAAGCTGGATTTCCAGCTTCTGGGGATATCAGAAGATCTGGCAACAGTAGGTCTGCATGTCAGCAGTCAGCCAGAGCTGAGGAGGAGCTGGACATGTTAGACAGGGCACACGCACTCCAGCATTCCACACACCAGCCCCCAACCTCCCACTAATACTCAACACTAGATCTGGTATAGGTTGTCATTCCTCATCTGATTATGCAGTGTTTTTCTTACACCTTGTGTAGTGGGTTGAATAGTAGCCCTCAAAAAGATATGTCCATGTCCAGTTTCTAGAACTTGCAGATTATCCTCTTTGGTAAAAGAATCTCTGCATATGTAACTTAAGTGAGAGCTCAATCTTGAGATGAAGAGATAGCCTGAATTATCCAGGTGAGCCCTAAATTCAATGTTGAATGTCCTTATAAAAGAGAGACACACAGAAGAGACAGGCAGAAAAGGAGAAGACAGACAGAGGACCAGTGATATGAAGACAGGGGCAGAGACCGGAGTAAGGTGGCCGCATGCCAAGGAAGGCAGGAACTGGCTGTAAGCCACCAGAAGTGGAAGAGACAAGGAAGGATTTTTCCCCTAGAGCCTTGGAAGCCTGTGAGGGAGTACAGCCCTGCTGACACATTTATTTTGGACTTCTGGCCTCCAGAATTGTCAGAGTACATTTCTATTATTTTAAGTCATTTAACATGTGGTGCTTTGTTATAGCATCCCCAGGATGTCTCATAGATAATGGCAGAAGTTAGAACTAATGATAAAAAATGTGAATGACAAGCACCTAATTGAAATTTAAAAGTATAGATAATACATCCAAAAGAATTAATTTAGTAAGAGAAAAAATGGAAGAGATGTGACCCAAGTGATAGGCATAAGGAATATCCATTACTAGGAAATATAGGAAGATAATGAGGATATGGCCAAGGACTGGGGAAATAAGAGAATACAGTCATTTTTGTTGAGTGCTGACACAGTACAGAATGGGAATGAAAACAGCATGTAAATGTGTTCCAGTGTGATCAATATGTTCAAGATGTATTAACTACTCATCTCAAGAATTTGCCACCAAAAGGAAAAAAAAAACTCAAGATGTCTGAAAATGGCAGTAGTTTAGCAGGGATGAGTGGTATGTTTGCTTTGGCTTCTTGTTTTGTTTTGAAATTTCTCTTTCTTTTTTAAATATAGGGAAAATATGGTTGAAGGGAGCAAAAAAATTTTCCTGCCTCTCTATTCTATTTTTTATTATGAGAGTTTACGATAAATATTGATAAATGTAAGACTAATAATTGAATTATGACTATAAAAATAATAGATTTTATTATACCTTTCAAATTATTGGTATACAGTTAGTGCAATTGGTAATAGTTATTAGCAAATGTGTCACTGAATTGAATGTGTCATTATTTACCAATTCAACATTATATATTATTTGCCTATTACATTCACTGATATAAATGCCAATAGACATTCAAAGGCAGTTAAACTGAGCTGTATAATTTTTACTTACTACCTATAATTAGGGAAAATATCCACATAGTACATAATATCCTTTGTTCCTCAAGGCAGAAAATACTATGGAAAGATTTGGAAAAGAACTATCACTTCTAGCTAGTACTGAAGTTATAAAAGTACATTAATCACTGAATCATAATTTAGCATTTACAGGTATTAACTTTAATTTTAATAGCAATGCATGTATATTTGACATCAGTAATAATAGCTAACACCTACTAAGTTTTCACTACGTGTTGGGCCACACACAAATTAAATCATTTAATCCTTCATAATAATTCTGACAGGTAGGTATAATTATCATTCCCATTTTACAGATGAGGAACTTAAAGCACAGAGAAGTCAGGTGTATTACCTAAGTCAGAAAGCTAAATCCAGGCAGTCTGGCTACAGAGTCTGCACAAACAGCCACAAATATCTAAAATGCAAATCTTAAATGGAAATATAATAACTTTCATTTACTCAAATACAACAGCTGTATATAGATCCAGGCACTGGAATTTCCATGTTATCTGATATGACCAAGTGACTGGGATATCAGAATTAAAATATGCATTGAAATTAGAATACATGAAATGAAGTCACAGTTATTTTAATGTGTTTATAATTCATTACTTTTTTAATATGTTGACAACTCACATTTTTATATAAAGAAACCAAGAAGAGTTTCAAAGAAATAGAACCCCCATGAATATAGTGTATTAAGACATGTATTTAATTACACTGTAGATTCAACACTCAATGCCCAGCAATAATATATTATCAGAATTTACCGTACATGGGTTACCCGTAAAATGGGTTCCTGTTCATTGGTGACAGTAAACATATCACTGCATCCAAATACACACACACGGAGAGAGAAAGATAGAAATCTATTGATCTTGCATAATTATATAAATTTATTTCTCATGGAGGAAAATATAGTGTGCATGGAAAGGCTTCCACTGTATTTGATGAGATTTAAATTCTGCCAACTGACAAGCATTCACAGTTCAGGAGACTCATTAATTCAGCCTGAGGGTAGGATTTGGCTCTGTGTATTTTAAATAGCATCCCAAGGGATTATTGTCCTCATAAATGTACAGTGTGAGAGCAATTTTAACTTTGTAATTGTATCTAGCATGTGGTGATCCATTATTATCCTCTGAAAGCAGGCATCTGCTACTTAGCTTTTAAGACTTTTGACAAAACTGATTACAAAATTGTGAACATTAATATAATAGCTTTTATCAAACATTCAAATAATTGCAATTACTAAGATTAATGCTACAGCTAATAGCAATTAGCAGTAAAATAAATACTAAAACAGAAAGAGGAGGAATGTCACAGTTTGTAAGACCAATTAGCTGTCAAGTCTACTGATTCTGCTTTTACCACCTCTATCACAATCCTGCTTCCCTCTCCATTCCCTCTGCCACCTCTCTCACTCAGAGTCCAGCACCTCAAAACTGCCCATTTGGAAAAGTATACTGGTCACATAATTAACTCCTGTAACATACCACCTACATACCACCTCTCCTTGCTGCAATCCATTCATACATAATTCCCAGTGACCTTCCAGACCCCCCCTGCTCCAATTATGTTACTCTCCTACATAAACCCTTCCCCATTGCTTACAGAATGAACACCATGTTCTCCAGTAATCGTACAAGTACTCCAAAGACTGACCCTAATAGAAATCACAACCTTGTTTTCCACACTTGCTCTTCCCTTGTCCTTCAATTAAAACAACTTCCTCTTCTCCACATGCACTCTAAGCTTTCCATCTCTAAATCTTGCTTATAATAACATATTATTCAGAATGTCTTTTCCTCTCCATCTCTGAAGTGCCTCCTTTGTATAAACCCAACTCAAATTTGACCTTCTGAAAGACTTCCTTGAGATCACCATATAATACTATTTTTTGCCCCTAAACACTCATAGCATTTTACATCTGGCTTTCCTACAAAAATTTGCCACTTTCTATTTTGTATTATTATTTACATATAAAAATAACCTACTCCAAAGATGAGAAATTTTATCTTATACATGCCTTAACCCCATAAATGTTTATTGAGTACCAACTATCTCTCTGACAGACACAGTTATTGGTGCTGAAGACACTATAACAAAACATACAATTTCCAACCTATGGAGCTTAGAGATGAGTACTATGAAAAAATTAAAACAAGGTAATTGGATAGAGAGTTAGCTGGGTAATTACATGTCTATTTTAAATAGGAGAACAGAATGCAGAAACCTCAAAAACGAGGGGACCCTGAATGCAAACATCTGAGGTCTGAGAAGAGAGAATCAGAATCACAGAAGTCTCTGAGGCAGAATTAAGCTTGGCATGTTTGAGAATGGAAGAGTGTCAGTGTGGCTGGACTACAGTGAGCAAAGGGAAGAGTGGTGGGGATGAAGACTAAGGTGAGCAAGGGCAAGTCACAGAGGCCATAGAGAGGATTTGGGATGTTATTCAAAGCATGATGGAAGCCAATTAAGGCTTTAGCTGAAGAGTGATATAATCTGGTTTAGATACTTTATTTATTACTTCCATTTGTCCTGTGTGCAAAACTGTGTGCACACAAGACTAGGGAGAAACCCAGTCTCTGGCTTGGCCAAGGTTTAAATTAATAAAAATGAAGATGAAAATAAGTTGTCAGATTTAGGATGTATTTTAGAAACCCAACTGATAATTTGCCAACTAATTGGATGCAGAGAGTAAGAGGGAGACTCAAGAACACCTCTAAGATTTTTACCCTGATCAATGGGATAGGTGAAAGTACATTAATGGAGATTGAGAATCCTGGTGGAGGTACAAGTTTAGGGGTACTGAAGAGTGCTTTTGGACATGTGAATTCTTAGAAGCCTACTAGATTCTCCAAATGGAGACATAAAACATAATTGAATACAAAAGTCAGGAGTTCAGGAGAGGGCTGAGCTAAAGATACAAATTTGATAGACATGAGCATTTAAAAAAAACTGCATGAAAATACTAAAGATAGGCTGTCCTGCCTATGGAATAGCCATTCTTTGATCCCTTTACTTTCTTAATAAACTTGGTTTCACCTTACTCTATGGACTTCCCCCAAATTCTTTCTTGTGTGAGGTCCAAAAACTCTCTGTTGGGGTCTAGATCAGACCCTTTTCCAGTAACATCTTCCTGATGAACCACAAAGGGATTATACTAAAGAGACCCCCCAACCCCAAGGAAATTGACTGCAGCACCAATTAGCCAACAATTGGTGACACTTTGGGACACAATTTGAGACACTGGTTTTCCTACCAAGGCTTTTAGATAAAAACACACTTTTAAGGAATCAAATTTTACTCATAGAGCCGATCAAATCCTGTTTGGAAAACTGGCCTCATATTTTGTCTACATAGTCCCTGTACAGCAGTGGTCACCAACAATTTTGGCACCAGTGATCGGTTTCATGGAAGACTACTTTTTCACTGGGGTGGGGTGTGGGGGTTCACGATGATTCAAGCACATTAAATTTTTTGTGCAATTTATTTCTATTGTTATTACATTGTAACATATAATATCATGAAATAATTATACAACTCACCATAATGTAGAATCAGTGGGAGCCCTGAGCTTGTTTTCCTGCAACCAGACAGTCTCATCTAGGGATGATGGGAGACACTGACAGATCATCAGGCATTGGATTCTCATAAGGAGCATGCAACCTAGATCCCTCATATGTGCAGTTCACAATAAGGCTCACAATTCTATGAGAGTCTAATGCCACCACTCGTCTGACAAGAGGCAGAGCTCAGGCAGTAATGCAAGTGATGGGGAGCAACAGTAAATAAACATGAAGCTTTGCACACATGCTCACCACTCACCACCTACTGTGCAGCCCAATTCCTAACAGTCCACAGACTGGTATCAGTCCATGGCCCAGGGGTTGGGAACCCCAGCTGTATAGAGTTCTTGACCTGCAACTGACCCTGCTTATTCCTTTGAACCAACCAGTGAACTTTGGTTTCAGCTCAGAACAAACAAGAGGGATGGATATCACCTTTGGTCAGAACTCAGAGTTATAGATGGCCCTCACCATATTGATGCTTTCAGAATGAGCTCCTCTCTACACTGAATACAAGATACCCTAATAGGCAGAAATATCATCACCTCTATTCAGTCTGAAGAAGTTATAGAAGATGGATCTTCATCCTTCTGCAACCCTTAGAATTAAGGGTCCCCTTGTAAAAGGGAGGGGGGAATATGTCCGAGGCATTCCATCCAGAGTGACTCCATCTTGAATAGGGGCTGTGTTTTAGTCGAGTCTCACACTGCTATAAAGACATACCTGAAACTGGGTCATTTATAAAGAAAAGAGATTTAATTGACTCACAGTTCTGCATGGCTGGGGAGGCCTCAGGAAAATTACAATCATGGTGGAAGGTGAAGGGGAAGAAAGGCACGTCTTCACATGGCCAGAGCAGGAGGAAGAGAGAGTGAAGGGGAAAGTTCTACACACTTTCAAACAACCATATCTCATGAGCGCTCACTCACTATCATAAAAACAGCAAGGGGAAAATCCACCCCCAAAATCCAGTCACCTCCCACCAGGTACCTCCCCCAACATTGAAAATTACAATTTGACATGAAATTTGGGTGGGGATACAGAGCCAAACCATATTAGTCTGGATAAAATAAGCCTGAGACCTACTGGGCTGCATTCCCAGGAGGTTAGGCATTCTTAGTCACAGAATGAAATAGGAGGTCAGTACAAGATATAAGTCACAAAGACTTTGCTGACAAAACAGGATGTAGTAAAGAAGCCTGCCAAAACCCGCCAAAACTAAGATGTCAATGAAAGTGACCTAGTCATCCTCACTACTCATTATATGCTAATTATAATGCATTAGCATGCTAAAAGACACTCCCACCCACACTATGACAGTTTACAAATTCCATGGAAATGTCAGGAAGTTAACCTTTATGGTCTAAAAAGAAGAGGAACCCTCAGTTCTAGGAATTACCCACACTTTTCCTGGAAAACTCATGAATAATCCACCACTATGATCAAAAAATAAGTATACCCAGTCAAGCCGCCCATGCTGCTGCTCTGGCTATGGAGTACCCATTCTTTTATTTCTTTACTTTCTTAATAAACTTGCTTTCATTTTAAAAATAAAAAGAAAGAAAGAAGGAGGCTGGGCACGATAGCTCATACCTGTAATCCCAGCACTTTGAGAGGCCAAGGCAGGCGAATCACCTCCAGGTCAGGTGTTTGAGACCAGCCTGGCCAACATGGTGAAACCTCGTCTCTACTAAAAATACAGAAATTAGCCAGGTATGGTGACACATGCCTGTAATTCCAGCTACACAAGAGGCTGAGGCAGGAGAATCACTTGAACACAGGAGGTTCAGGAGGTTGAGGTTGCAGTGAGCCAACATCATGCCACTACACTCCATTCTGGGCAAGAGAATGAGACCCTGTCTAAAAAAAAAAAAAAGGGAGAGAGAAAAGAGAATACTAAAGATAGAGTATAGCTACATAAAGAAGGTAGGGCACTCCAACATTTAAAGAAGAACAACCAGCAAAGAAAACTGAAAAGAGTGGCCAAGAAGGTGGCAATAACACTAGGAGAGTGAGAGACCGCAGGCACCAAATGAGAAAAGTGTTTCAGAGAACAGAGGAGGAGATAGTGATTAACTGAATAAAATGCTGCTAAGAAGTTAAATAACCTAGACAGAAAGAGACCATTAGCAGTACCACCTTGTATTCATCAGGGTTTTCTAGAGAAACAGAGCCAATATGACATATATAGATATACAGAAATAGATTTATAATGAGGGATTGGCTCAAATGATTATGGAGGCTGAGAAGTCCCACAATCTGCTATCAACACACTGGAGGCCCAGGAAAGCCAGTTCTACTCAAAGCCAAAAGGCTGAAGAACCAATGGAGCCAATAATATAAATCCCAGTATGAGTCTGAAGGCCCATAAACCAGAAGCATCTATGTCTGAGAATTGGAAAAAATGAATGGTTCAGCTCAAACAGAAAGGGTAAATTTGTCCTTCCTCCACATTTTGTTCTAGGCAGGCCCTTAATGGATTGGATGATGACCAACCATATTTGTGAGGGTAGATCTGCTTTACTTATTAGACTAATTTAAATGCTAATCTCTTCTGGAAACATCTTTGCAGACATGCCCAGAAATAATTTTCTGCCAGCTATCTGGGTATTCCTTAGCCCAGTCAAGTTGACATATAAAATTAACCAACACACACTCTTAGAACTAAGCAAGGAGCTTTTGGCAAGTTCCACTCTGATACTCCTTCAGCTGTCTATGGGGCAAGGATTCCACAAGGCCAAAGGGAGGTATCAATCAGAACCTACATCCTTCAAGATTATATATGCATACCCAGAACTCCCTGTCTCAACAACCTCAAGCCACTTTCAAGCCGGCTTGAGCCTTGTTATTGTCTGAATGTTTGTGTCCCCCAAAATTCATATGTTAAAACCTAATTCCTAATGCAGTAGTATTAAGAAATGAGGTCTTTGGAAGGTGATTAAGCCACATGGATGGAGCCCTCATGAATGGGATGAATTCCCTTAGAAAAAAGACCCATGGTTTCTTGTTCATCCCTTCTGTCATATGAGTACATAGCAAGAAGGAACAATCTTAGAAGCAGAGAGGGCTATTTCTTACCAGACATCAATCTGCTAGTGTCTTGATTTTGGACTTCACAGCCTCCAGAACTGTGAGCAATAAATTTCTGTTATTTATAAATTAAGTAGATTAAGAACATTTGTTATAGCAGCCTGAAAGGACCAAAATGGGCCTCATCCTCAGGTCTGTTTTGACAGGTGACTGAGCTGGTGTACACATCTGTTGGCTTAAGGGGTAACCAAAGGACAATTGATTTCATGGGGTGAGGTCACAGTTGTGATGCCTGAGCTGGGGAGTCCATTCTTGTGCATGCAAGGCTGTTTCAAGATTGTCTCTTTTCCCCAGGGCTTCCATAACAAATTACCACAAACTTGGTGGCTTACAACAACAAAAATTTATTTTCTCAAATTTCTGGAGACCAAAAGTTCAAAATTAGGGTATTGGCAGGGTTGATTCCTTCTGAAGGCTCTGAGGGAAGATCTATTTGCTATGTTTTAAATATCTGTGCCATGCAAAACTCACATTGAAACTTACTCTCCACCAGGCATGGTAGCTTATGCCTGTAATCCCAGCACTTTGGGAGCCTGTGGCAAGAGGGCCACTTGAGATAAGCAGTTCAAGACCAGACTGGCAATATAGTGAGACCCCATCTCTACAAAAAAAATTAAATGGCCAAGTGTGGTGGCCTACACCTGTAGTTCCAGCTACTCAGGAGGTTGAGGTGGGATGATTGCTTAAGCTTTGGAGATAAAGATTTCAGTGAACCATGATCATGGCACTGCACTCCAGCCTGGGTTACAAAGCAAGACCCTTACTCAAAGAAAAGGAAAGGAAAAAGAGAAGAAAAGGAAGAGAAAAGAAAAGAAACTTAATCCCCAGTGTTGCATTTTTGAGAAGTGAACATTTAAGTGGTTGGGTCATGAAGGCTCTGCCCACATGAGTGGATTAATTCATTCGTGGATTACTGGGTGTATTCATTTGTTTTCACACTGCTATAAAGATCCTACCTGAGACTGGGTAATTTATTTTTAAAAAGAGGTTTAATTGACTCACAGTTCCACATGACTGGAGAGGTCTCAGAAAACTGACAATTATGGCAGGAGGCAAGGAGGAAGCAAGGCATGTCTTACACAGCTGCAGGCAAGAGAAAGAGAGAGAGAGAGAGGGCAAAAGAAACATACCACACTTTAAAGCCATCTGCTCTTGTGAGAACTCACTGACTATCATGAGAACAGCATGGAGGGAAACACCCCAATAATCCAATTACCTCCCACCATGTTCTTCCCTCAACATGTGGAAATTACAATTTGATATGAGATTTTGGTGGGAACACAGAGCCAAACCATATCAATGGGTTAATGGATTAATGGATTATCATAGCAATGGGACTGATGGCTTCATTTTTAAAAGCAAGAGAGACCTGAACTATCACACTTAGCCCCCTTACCATGTGATGTCCTGCACCATCTCTGGACACTGAAGAGATTCCCCATCAACCAGAAGGACATCAACAGAGATGGCCACTCAACTTTAGACTTCTCTGCCTCTATAACTGTAAGAGATGAATTCCTCTTTATAAATTACCCAGTTTCCAGTAGTCTGTTATAAGCAATAGAAAATGAACTAAGACACTGTTCTATGGCTATGTCCCAGCTTCTGATGCTTCCAGCAATCCTCAGCATTTCTTGTATAATAGATACATAACCCCAATTTCTGCCTCTGCCTTCACATGTCCTTCTTGCCATGTCACTGTGTCATATCTCCCTCTCTTTCTCTTGTAAGAACAGCAGTCATTGGATTTATGGCCCACCCATGATCCAGGATGATCTCATCTAAGATCCTTAATTTACTTACATCCACAAAGACCCTAATCCCAAATAAGATCACATTCACAAGTGCCAAGAGCTAAGACTTGGACATATCTTTTGAAGGAATACCATTCAACCTAATACAAAGTGCAAGATACAGATACAAAATACAAGATATCAAGAGAAGAGAATAAATTATAGGCCAGGTGTCAGGAGATATTTGTCTTATGCTGCCACATTGTAGCAAGAAACTCTGAAGAGTTTGAGATTTCAAAATTCAAACCTGACCATCTAGGTCATTGTGATATTGTGGCATATGCTTATTTGGTCTTCGTGCCTGGGCATATATCTTCTAAAATCCTTGAACCCCCTGAAAAATGAGAGTGTGTTTTTTATGTTCATGAGGTGGTTAGTGCCAGTGGGAAGGGAGCATATAACCTCAGAATGAAGGTCAATGGCTAAAAAGATCGAGGCTTGATTAGGCATAACAACTTTCATGCCCCCCTAAAACCTTAGGGGAGGTGAGAAGGGATAAAAGTTGAGCTGGTCAACACAGAGGGACTGAATAGAAACAGCCCCGTTCTGCAGCTCCCAGCATGATTGATGCAGAAGACGGTTGATTTCTGCATTTCCAACTGAGGTACCTGATTCATCTCACTGGGACTTGTTGGACAGTGGGTGCAGCCCATAGAGGGCAAGCCGAAGCAGGGCAGGGTGGCGCCTCACCTGGGAAGCACAAGGGGTTTGGGGATTTCCCTATCCTAGCAAAGGGAAGCTGACGGACTACCTGGAAAAACAGGACACTCCTGCCCAAATGCTATGCTTTTCCCAAGGTCATAGGAACTGGCAGACAAGGTGATTCTCTACTGTGCCTGGCTTCATGGCTCCCACACCCACGGACCCTTGTTCACTGTTAGTGCAGCAGTCTGAGATCGATCTGCAAGATGGCAGCCTGGCTGGGGGTGGGGCATCCACCATTGCTGAGGCTTGAGTAGGTAAACAAAGCAGCCTGGAAGCTCGAACTGGGCAGAGCCCACCGCAGCTCAACAAGGCCTACTGCCTCTAGATTCCACCTCTGTGGGCAGGGCATAGCTGAACAAAAGGCAGCAGACAACTTCTGCAGACTTAAACATCCCTGTCTGACAGCTCTGAAGAGAGCAGTGGTTCTCCCAGCATGGGGTTTGAGCTCTGAGAATGGACAGACTTCCTCCAAGTGGGTCCCTGGCCCCAGTGTAGCCTAACTGGGAGACACCTCCCAGTAGGGCCCAACAGACACCTCATATAGGCAGCTGCCCCTCTGGGATGAAGCTTCCAGAGGAAGGATCAGGCAGCAATATTTGCTGTTCTGTAGTATTTGCTGTTCTGCAGCCTCCACTGGTGATAGCCAGGCAAACAGGGTCTGGATTGGAACTCCAGCAAACTCCAACAGACCTGCAGCTGAGGGACCTGACTGTTAGAATAAAAACTAACAAACGGAAAGGAATAGCATCAACATCAACAAAAAGGTCATCTACACCAAAACCCCATCTGTAGGTCACCAACGTCAAAGATCTCAGATAGATAAAACCACGAAGATGGGGAGAAAACAGAGCAGAAAAGCTGAAAATTCTAAATATCAGAGCACCTCCTCTCCTCCAAAGGATCGCAGCTCCTCACCAGCAACGGAACAAAGCTGGATGGAGAATGACCTTGACAAGTTGACAGAAGTAGGCTTCAGAAGGTTGGTAATCACAAACTTCTCTGAGCTAAAGGAGCATGTTCCAACCCAATACAAGGAAGCTAAAAACCTTGAAAAAAGATTAGACGAATGGCTAACTAGAATAAACAGTGTAGAGAAGAACTTAAATGATGTGATGGAGCTGAAAATCATGGCACAAAAACTTCGTGATGCATGCACAAGCTTCAGTAGCCAATTTGGTCAAGTGGAAGAAAGGGTATCAGTGATGGAAGATCAAATTAATGAAATAAAGCAAGAAAACAAGATTAGAGAAAAAAGAGTAAAAAGAAATAAATAAGGCCTCCAAAAAATATGGGACTATGTGAAAAGACCAAATCTACATTTGATCGGTGTACCTGAAAGTGATAGGGAGAATGGAAACGGGTTGAAAAACAGTCTTCAGGATATTACCCAGGAGAACATCCCCAAATTACCAAGGCAGGCCAACATTCAAATTTAGGAAATACACAGAACACCAAAAAGATACTACTCAAGAAGAGCAATCCCAAGACACATAATTGTCAGATTCACCAAGGTTGAAATGAAGAAAAAGTGTTAAGGGCAGTGAGAGAGACAGGTAGAGTTACCCACAAAAGGAAGCCCATCAGACTAACAGCAGATCTCTCTGCAGAAACCCCACAAGCCAGAAGAGAGTGGGGGCCAATATTCAACATTCTGAAAGAAAACAATTTTCAACCCAGAATTTCATATCCAGTTAAACTAAGCTTCATAAGTGAAGGAGAAATAAAGTCCTTTACAGACAAGAAAATGCTGAGGGATTTTTGTCATCACCAGGCCAGCCTTACAAGAGCTCCTGAAGGAAGCACTAAACATGAAAAAGAAACAACTGCTACCAGCCACTGCAAAAACAAGCCAAATTGTAAAGAGCATCGATGCTATGAAGAAACTGGATAAATTAACGGGAAAAATAACCAGCGAACATCACAATGACAGGATCAAATTCACACATAACAATATTAACGTTAAATGTAATGGGTTAAATGACCCAATTAAAAGACACAGACTGGCAAATTGGATAAAGACTCAAGACCCATCAGTGTGCTGTATTCAGGAGACCCATCTCACGTGCAAAGATGCACATAGGTTCAAAATAAGGGGATGGAGGAAGATCTACCAAGAAAATGGAAAGCAAAAAAAAGAAGGGGTTGCAATCCTAGTCTCTGATAAAACAGATCTTAAACCAACAAAGATCAAAAGAGACAAAGAAGGCCATTACATAATGGTGAAGGGATCAATTCAACAAGAAGAGCTAACTATCCTAAATATACATGCAACCAATACAGGAGCACCCAGATTCATAAAGCAAGCTCTTAGAGACCTAGAAACAGCCTTAGACTCACACACAATAATAGTGGGAGACTTTAACACCCCACTGTCAACATTAGACAGATCAATGAGACAGAAGTTTAACAAGGATATCCAGGACCTGAACTCAGCTCTGCACAAAGCAGACCTAATAGACATTTACAGAACTCTCCACCCAAAATCAACAGAATATACACTCTAATCAGCATCACATCACACTTATTCAAAATTGACCACATAATTGGAAGTAAAGCACTCCTCAGCAAATGTAAAAGAACAGAAATCACAACAAACTGTCTCTCAGACCACAGTGATATCAAATTAGAACTCACGATCAAGAAACTCACTCAAAACCACACACAACTACATGAAAACTGAACAACTTGCTCCTGAGTGACCACCGGGTAAATAACGAAATTAAGGCAGAAATAAAGATGTTCTTTGAAAGCAAAGAGAACAAGACACAACGTACCAGAATCTCTGGGACACATTTAAAGCAGTGTGTAGCGGGAAATTTATAGCATTAAATGCCCACAAGAGAAAGCAGAAAAGATCTAAAATTGACACCCTAACATCATAATTAAACGAACTACAGAAGCAAGAGCAAACAAATTCAAAAGCAGGCAGAAGGCAAGACATAACTAAGATCAGAGCAGAACTGAAAGAGATAGAGATGCAAAAAACCCTTCAAAAAATAAATGAATCTAGGAGCTGGGTTTTTGAAAAAATCAACAAAATTGATAGGCTGCTAGCAAGACTAATAAAGAAGAATAGAGAGAAGAATCAAATGGATGCAATAAAAAATGATAAAGGGGATATCACCACCGATCCCACAGAAATACAAACTACCATCAGAGAATAATATAAACACCTCTATGCAAATAAACTAGAAAATCTAGCAGAAATGGATAAATTCCTGGACATGTACACCCTCTCAAGACTAAACCAGGATGAAGTTGAATCTCTGAATAGACCAATAACAGGCTCTGAAATTGAGGCAATAATTAATAGCCTACCAACCAAAAAAAGTCCAGGACCAGATGGATTCACAGCCGAATTCTACCAGAGGTAGAAAGAGGAGCTGGTGCCATTCCTTCTGAAACTATTCCAATCAATAGAAAAAGAGGGAATCCTCCCTAACTCATTTTTTGAGGCCAGCATCATCCTGATACCAAAGTCTGGCAGAGACACACACAAAAAGAGAATTTTAGAACAATATCCCTGATGAACATCGATGTGAAAATCCTCAATAAAATACTGGCAAACCCAATAAAGCAGCACATCAAAAAGCTTATCCAACATGATCAAGTCAGCTTCATCTCTGGGATGCAAGGCTGGTTCAACATATGCAAATTAATAAATGTAATCCATCACATAAACAGAACCAATCATAAAAACCACAACATTATCTCAATAGATGCAGAAAAGGCATTTGATAAAATTCAACAGCCCTTCATGCTAAAAACTCTCAATAAACTAGGTATTGATGGAATGTATCTCAAAATAATAAAAGCTATTAATGACAAACCCACAGCCAATATCACACTGAATGGGCAAAAACTGGAAGCATTCCCTTTGATAACCAGCACAAGAGAGGGATGCCCTCTGTCACCAATCCTATTCAACATAGTGTTGGAAGTTCTGGCCAGGGCAATCAGGCAAGAAAGAAAAAAAGGGTATTCAATTAGGAAAAGAGGAAGTCAAATTGTCCCTGTTTGCAGATGACATGATTGTATATTTAGAAAACCCCATCATCTCAGCCTAAAATCTCCTTAAGCTGATAAAAACTTCAGTAAAGTCTCAGGATACAAAATCAATGTGCAAAAATCACAAGCATTCCTATACATTAACAGACAAACAGAGAACCAAATTATGAGTGAACTCCATTCACAGAAACTGCTACAAAGAGAATAAAATACCTACGAATCCAGCTTACAAGGGATGTGAAGGACCTCTTCAAGGAGAACTACAAACCACTCCTCAATGAAATAAAAGAGGACACAAACAAATGTAAGAACATTCTATGCTCATGGATAGGAAGAATCAGTATCATGAAAATGGCCATACTGTCCAAAGTAATTTATAGATTCAATGCTATCCCCATCAAGCTACCAATGACTTTCTTCACAGAATTGGAAAAAGCTACTTTATAGCTCATATGGAACCAAAAATGAGCCTGCATTGCCAAGACAATTCTAAGCCAAAAGAACACAGCTGGAGGCATCACACTACCTGACTTCAAACTATACTACAAGCCTACAGTAACCAAAACGGCATGGTACTGGTACCAAAACAGATATATAGACCAATGGAACAGAACAGAAGCCTCAGAAATAACACCACACATCTACAACCATCTGATCTTCAACAAACCTGACAAAAATAAGAAATGGGGAAAGGATTCCCTATTTAATAAATGGTGCTGGGAAAACTGGCTAGCCATATGTAGAAAGCTGAAATTGTATCCCTTCCTTACACCTTATACAAAAATTAATTCAAGATGGATTAAAGACGTAAATGTTAGACCTAAAACCATAAAAACCCTAGAAGAAAACCTATGCAATACCATTCAGGACATAGGCATGGGCAAGGACTTCATGACTAAAACACCAAAAGCAATGGCAACAAAAGCCAAAATAGACAAATGGGATCTAATTAAACTAAAGAGCTTCTGCATGGCAAAAGAAACTACCATGAGAGTGAACAGGCAAGCTACAGAATGGGAAAAAAAATTTGCAATCTACCCATCTGACAAAGGGCTAATATGCAGAATCTACAAAGAACACACACAAATTTACAAGAAAAAAACAAACAACCCCATCAAAAAGTGGGCAGAGGATATGAACAGACACCTCTCAAAAGAAGACATCTATGCAGCCAACAGACACATGAAAAAATACTCATCATCACTGGTCAATCCCATTACTGGGTATAAACCCATAGGATTATAAATCATGCTACTATGAAAACACATGCACATATGTTTATTGTGGCACTATTCACAATAGCAAAGACTTGGAACCAACCCAAATGTCCATCAATGATAGACTGGATAAAGAAAATATGGCACATATACACCATGGAATACTATTCAGCCATAAAAAAGGATGAGTTCATTTCCTTTGCAGGGACATGGATAAAGCTGGAAACCACCATTGTCAGCAAACTATCACAAGGACAGAAAACCAAACACTCCATGTTCTTACTCATAGGTGGGAAAGGAACAATGAGATCACGTGGACACAGGGTGGGGAACATCACACACTAGGGCCTGTCAGGGTGTGGGGGGTTGGGGGAGAGATAGCATTAGAGAAATCCCTAATCTAAATGATCAGTTGATGGTTGCAGCAAACCAACATGGCACAGGTATACCTATGTATCAAACCTGCACATTTTACACATGTACCCTAGAACTTAGAGTATAATAACAATAATAAAAAAGTTGAGCTGATCACCAATAGCCAATGATTTAATCAATCTTACCTGCATAATAAAGTCTCCATAAAAACCCTAAAAAACTGAGTTTGGATGAGCTTCCAGATAGCTGGCACCCAGAAAAAGGATGAAAGCTCTGGGCTCCTTTCCTCATGATTTGTCCTATTTATCTCCTCTGGATATTCATCTGGATCATTTATTAATAACCATGTAAACATAAGTAAAGTGTTTCCCTGAGTTCTGTAAGCCACTCTAGCAAATTAATCAAACCTGAGGAGGGGGGTCTTTGGAACGCCAATCTACAGCCAGTCTGGTAGAAGTATGGGTGACAACCTACTACAGTTGTCCCTTGGCATTCAAAGGAGATAGGTTTCAGGACACCCACGGATGCCAAAATCCAAATCCAAGGAAGCTTAAGCTTCTTTTTTTTTTTTTTTTTTTTTTTTTTTAGAGGACTAGTTTTACCTGATGAATGGGACACAAAGTAGTTTTTTTGGGTTTTTGTTTTGTTTTGTTTTGTTTTTGTATTTATTGATCATTCTTGGGTGTTTCTCACAGAGGGGGATTTGGCAGGGTCATAGGACAATAGCGGAGGGAAGGTCAACAGATAAACAAGTGAACAAGGGTCTCTGGTTTTCCTAGGCAGAGGACCCTGCGGCTTTCCGCAGTGTTTGTGTCCCTGGGTACTTGAGATTAGGGAGTGGTGATGACTCTTAACGAGCATGCTGCCTTCAAGCATCTGTTTAACAAAGCACATCTTGCACCGCCCTTAATCCATTTAACCCTGAGTGGACACAGCACATGTTTCAGAGAGCACGGGGTTGGGGGTAAGGTTATAGATTGACAGCATCCCAAGGCAGAAGAATTTTTCTTAGTACAGAACAAAATGGAGTCTCCTATGTCTACTTCTTTCTACACAGACACAGCAACAATCTGATTTCTCTATCTTTTCCCCACATTTCCCCCTTTTCTATTCGACAAAACCGCCACCATCATCATGGCCCGTTCTCAATGAGCTGTTGGGTACACCTCCCAGACGGGGTGGCGGCCAGGCAGAGGGGCTCCTCACTTCCCAGAAGGGGCGGCCGGGCAGAGGCGCCCCCCACCTCCCGGACGGGGAGGCTGGCCGGGCGTGGGCTGCCCCCCACCTCCCTCCTGGATGGGGCGGCTGGCCAGGTGAGCTTAAGTTTCTTATATAAAATTGTGGAGTATTTGCATATAAACTATACACATCCTCCCATATACTGTAAATCATCTCTAGACAAATCTAGAGATGATCATCTCTACACTAATAGTAATAGTAATAGCAATCTAGAGAGATTGTATAATATCTAATACAATATAAATACTAGGTTAATAACTGTTTACTGTGTTGGTTTTTATTTGTATTTTTATTATTGTGTTTTGTATGCTTTTATTGTTTTTTTTTTAATATTTTTGACCCCTGGTTGATTGAACCCTCAGACGTGGAACCTGAGATATGGAAGGCCAATTGTACTTGCAATTGACATCTGAAGCGAGAGCAGTCTTGTGGAACTGAGCCCCTAACCTCTGGGATTTAACATTATCCACAAATAATGTCAGAATTGAATTGAATTATAGAGCACCCAGCTGGTGTCCACTGGAGAACTAGTTGGTCTGCAGGGAAAGACCCCACACACATCTGGTGTTAGAAGTGTTGTGTTAAGTGGAGCATGAGTAAAAGTAGGAAAAACACTTCGAGCTTTTTTTCAATACCATATAGTGAACATAAAGTTATGTTTGTTAAGGTAAAAAAATTGACACATTTTATTAAACAGTCTAAAAGCTTGATTTCTAACTTCTAAACACTTGGTAACATGTTTTATAGCTCTCCATTTGAACTCTTGCCTTAAGCACTGCAAAAAGTTAGGGGTGGGTGTAACCATTCAGAAATATGAAAGTTATCAGTGACCTGAAAAACAGCAGTCCAACTTGAGTGGGTTGGTGAAAGGCGGTAAGGTGAGAAAGTACAGGATCTGACCAGAAACTGTGTTTTCATATAGCTAACCATGAAAGAGAGAAGATAGATAAGAAGTTAGTAGGAAGGGGATGTAAAGACAAGAAAGGTATTTTGTTTTGTTTTGTTTTGAAATGTTTGGTTTTAGATGGGAAATGTAATATATTTTTATATTTATGAGGATAATCTGGTAGAGAGAAACAAATTCATGATGAATGGGAGAATAATTACGAAGTCCTTGGAGGGTGGAGCAAGATGGTCAAATAGAAGCTTTCACTGATAATCCTCCTTGCAGGAACACCAAATTTAACAACTATCTACACAAAAAAGCACCTTCATAAGAACCAAAAGTCAAGTGACCACTCATACTACATGGTGTCAATTTCATATTGCTGAAAGAGGCACAGAAGAGGGTAGGAAAGACGGTCTTGGATCACTGATGCCACCCCTCCCCCATCCCATGACAGCAGCCACCTAACACAGGGAGATAGCTTGAATGCTTAGGGGACAGAGAGCACAGCAACTGTGGATCTTTGTGTTCAAATCAGTGCTGCCCTCACATAGCAGAAAGAAAAACCATGGGGTGGTGGGGGGCGGGGGGCAGAGACCACAAAAAAGACAAAGAAAAATAAACAAAAAAGAAAAAATAAACAGAAAAAACATGCTGAACTCAGCCAATGCTTGCTCATGGAGAGAGTATTTAGGCCAGCCCTAGCCAAAGGTGAATTGTCCATCCCAGCTGCTGGAACCTGAGTTTCAGCAAGCCTCAACACCATGGGCTAAAGGGCTCTGGGTTACTAAACAAACTTCAAAGGAAATCTAGGACACAAGAACTGCAATTCCTAGGCAAGTCCTAGTATTCTGCTGGGCTTGATGCAAGTAGACTTGGGGGACACATGAACTAGTGAGATACCAGTGGGGGAAACTAAGGGAATGCTTGCACTATCCCATCCCAAACCCCAGGCAGTGTGACTCACAGCAATGAAAGTGACTTCTTCCTTCTGCTTGAGGAGAGCAGAGGAAAGAGTAAAGAAGACTTTGTCTTGTATATTATACACCAGCTCAGCCACAGTAGAATAGGGCATTGAACAGAATCATGAGGCCTCCCATTCCAGGCCCTGGGTCCTGAATGACTTGTCTAGACACAGCCTGCACAAGAAGGGAACTCACTGCCTTGAAGGGAAGAACCAAGTCCTGGCAGAATTTTTCACCTGCTGAATAAGGAGCCCTTGGACCCTGAATAACCAGCAGTGATACCCAGATGGTACATGTAACGAGCCTTGAGTGAGACTCTGAGACATGCTGGCTTCAGGTGAGACCCAACACATTCCCAGCTGTGATGGCTATGGTGAAAGACTCCTAATTGAGAACAGCAGAGGGAAAAGTAAAGGAGATTTTGTCTTGCCATTTAGGTACCTGCTCATCCACAGTGGGAAAGAACACCAAGCAGGCTCTTGGGGTCCTTGGTTCCAGGCCTTGGCTCTTGGATGGCATTTCTGGACTTACTGTAGGCCAAAGTGGGGACCACTTCTCTGAAGCGTAAGTCCTAGGCCTGGCAACATTCACCACAAGCTGACTGAAGAGCCCTTGAGCCTTAAGTGAACATCAGCGATAGCCTGGCAGTACTCTCCATGGCCATGTCATTGTGGTTGCCATGAAGACAGGTTCCCCTGCCTATGGAAAAAGAAGGGAATATTGGGAAGGACTTTGTCTTGTGGCTTGAGTGACAGCTTAGTCACAGTATAATAGAGCATCAGGTAGATTTCTAAGGCTTTTGAATCCAGTCCCTGGCTCCTGAATGGCACTTCTGAACCTGCCTGGGTCCTAGGGAACTTGCCACTCTGAAGGGAAAGACACAAGCCTGGATGATCTCACCACCTGCTGATAGTAGAGTGCTAGGGCCCTGAGCAAACATAGGCAATAACCAGGTAGTGGTTACAACAGGCCTTGGGTGGCACCCAGTGCAGTCCCAGTGGTAGTGGCCACAGGAGTGCTAACTTTCTTCCCCAGCTCCAGGTGGCTCAGCAGAGAGAGAGACTCTGTTTGCTTGGGAGAAAGTAAGAGAAGAGAACAAGAGTTTCTGCCTGGTAATCCAGAGAGTTCTTTCAGATCTTCTCTAAGGCCACCAAGGTGGTACCTCTACGAAACTACAAGAACCAAAGTATTACTAGGCTTTGGGTACCCAACTAACATAGATACGACTTAGAGCTCAACACCTGAGTCTGTTTGAATACTTGGAAAGCCTTCCCAAGAAGGATGGATACAAAGAAGCCCAGACTGCAAAGACTACAATAAATACCTAATTATTCCATGCTTATACAGCAACAAACATTCACAAGCATCACAATCATCCAGAAAAACCATAACTTCATCAAATGTACTAAATAAGGCACCAGAGACCAATCCTGGAAAAACAGAAATATGCGAACTTTCAGACAAGGAATTTAAAATAGCTATTTTGAGGAAACTCAAAGAAATTCAAGATAACACAGAGAAGGAATTCAGAATTATATCAAATAAATTTAACAAATAGATTGATATAATTAAAAAGAATCAAGCAGAAACTCTGGAGTTGAGGCTAGTCCAAAGGTAGTAAGTTATCTAAATTGTTCACAGTTATACAACTGTTCACAGATTGAATTCCCTGTTCTGCTCTTTCCTGCCTTCTCACTACTGTACTTGCCTAGGCTTTAAAAATTAATCTTAAAAAGTGGATCCTGGAGTTGAAAAATTCAACTGATATACTGAAGAATGCATCAGAGTCTCTTAGTAAAAGACTAGATCAAGCAGAAATAAGAATTAGTGAGCTTGAAGGTAGGCTATTTGAAAATATACAGTAAGAGGAGACAAAAGAAAAAGAATAAAAAAGAATAAAGCATGTCTACAAAATCTAGAAAACAGACTGAAAGGCCAAATATAAGAGTTATTGGTCTTAAAGAGGAAGTAGAGAGAGAGAGATCAGGTGGAAAGTTTATTCAAAGGGATAATAACACAGAAGTTTCCAAACCTAGAGAAAGATATCAATATCTAAGTACGAGAAGGTTTTAGAACACAAAAATAGATCAAATCCAAACAACATTACCCCAAGACATTTAATAATCAAACTCACAAAGGCCAAAGATAGAGAAAGGATGCAAAAAGTAGTGAGGGAAAAGAAAGAAATAACATACAAAGGAGCTCCAGTACATCTGGCAGCAGACTTTTCAGTGGAAACCTTACAGGAGAGAGTGGCATGGTGTATATAAAGTGCTAAAGGAAAAAAAATTTACCCTAGGGGAGTATATCCAGCGAAAATATCCTTCAAACATGAAGTAGAAATAAAAACTCTCCAAACCAAAGCTGAGAGATGTCATCAACACCAGGCCTGTCCCTCAAGAGATGTTAAGGGGAGTATTTCAATCAGAAAGAAAAGAAGGTTAATAAGGAATAAAAAAAAATCATCTGAAGGTACAAAATTCACTGGTAATAGTAAGTTCACAGAAAAACACAGAATATTATAACACTGTAATTGTGGTGTGTGAACTACTCTTATCCTAAGTAGAAGGACTAAAAAATAAACCAATTGAAAACAGTAACTACAATAAATTTTCAAGAAATAGTACAATAAGATATAAATAGAAACAACAAAAAGTTAAACAGAAGAGGACAAAGTTTAAGTACAGAGGTTTTCTTTTATTGCTGTTGTTGTTGTTTGGAGATGGAGTCTCACTCTGTCACCCAGGCTGGAATGCAGTGACCCCATCCCAGCTCACTGCAACCTCCACCTCCCAGCTTCAAGTGATTCTCCTGCCTCAGCCTCCCAAGTAGCTAGGATTACAGGCATGTGCCACCATGCCCAGCTAATTTTTGCATTTTTTTAATAGAGACGGGGTTTCACCATGTTGTCCAGGCTGGTCTCAAACTCCTTACCTCGGGTGATCCACTCGCCTCGGCCTCCCAAAATTCTGGAATTGCAGGCATGAGCCACTGTGCCCAGCCAAAATGCAAAGTTTTTATTCATTTTCTTTTTGTGTGTATGCAGTGTAAAGTAGTCATCAGTTTGAAGTAATGGGTTATAAGATAGTACATGCAAGCCTCACGGTAAGCTCAAATCAAAAAAATATGCAATGGATACACAAAAACTAAAAAGCAAGAAATTAAATCATACCACCTGATACGGTTAGGCTTTGTGTCACCATCCAAATCTCATCTTGAATTATAATTCCTATAATCCCCACATGACAAGGGAGACACCACGTGGACACAATTGGATCATGAGGGAGGTTTTGCCCATGCTGTTCTCGATAGTGAGTGCATTTTCACCAGATATGATGATTTTATAGTGTTTGATAGTTCCTCCTGCATTCATTTTCCTTCCTACCACCTTGTGAAAAAGGTGTCTTGCTTCCCCTTCACCTTCTGCCATGACTGTAAGTTTCCTGAGGTCTCCCCAGCCATACTGAACTGTGAGTCAATTAAAACTCTTTCCTTTATAAATTTCCCAGTCTTGGGCAGTTCTTAACAGCAGTGTGAAAACAGACTAATACACCACCAGAGAAAATCATCTTAACTAAAAGGAAGACAAGAAGAAAGAAAAGAAGGAAGAGAAGACCACAAAACAACCAGAAAATAACAAAATGACAAAAGTATATCCTTACTTATAAATAATAATATTGAATGCAGTAGAGTAAACTCTACAATCAAAAGGCACAAAGTGGCTAAATGGATTTTAAAAATACCCAACAATCTGCTGCTGAAAAGAAATACATTTCACCAATAAAGGCACACATAGACTAAAAATAAAAAGATGAAAAAAAGATATTCCATGCCAATGGAAACAAAAAGAGGCAGGAGTAGCTATATTTATATCAGACAAAAATAGATTTAGAGACAAAAACTATAAGAAAAAACAAAGAAGGTCATTATATAATGATAAAGGGGTCAATTTAGCAAGAGGATATAACAATTGTAACTATATATGGACCAGATATATAAAGGAAATATTATTAGAGCTAAAGAGAGAAATAGACTCCCATACAATACTAGCAGGAGACTTCAACACCACATTTTCAGCATTGGATAGATCTTTCAGGCAGAAAATCAACAAAGAAACATGAAACATTCTGCACTATAGACCAAATGAACCTAGTAGATATTTACAGAACATTTTCTCCCATTGCTGCAGAATACCACATTCTTCTCACCACATGTATCATTCTCCAGGATAAGCCATAGGTTAGATCACAAAACAAGTCTTAATAAAAGAAAAGAAATAATATCAAGTATCTTCTGACCACAATGGAATAAAACTAGACATTAATAGCAAGAGGAATGTTAGAAACTATACAAACACATAGAAATTAAACAACATGCTCCTGAATGAACAGTGGGTCAATGAAGAAATTAAAAAGGAGATTTTAAAATTTCTTGAAAGAAATGATGGTGGAAACACAGCATACCAAAACCTGTGAGATTAGTACAGCAAAAGCAGCACCAAGAGGGAAGTTTATAGCAATAAGCAACCTATATAAAAAAAAACACTACAAATAAGTAACCTAATGATGCATCTTAAAAAACAATAAAAGAACCAAACCTAAAATTAGCAGAAAAAATAATATGACAGCAGAAATAAATAAAATTGAAATGAAGCAAACAATACAAAGATCAATGAACCAAAAAGCCATTTTTTTGAAAATATAAAACAAAATTGATAAGCCTTTAGATAGACTAAGAAAAAGAGAGACAAGATCCAAATAAATTAAATCAGAAATAAAAAAGAGACATTGTATCTGATACCACAGAAATTCAAGGGATCATTAGTGATTTTTATGAGTAGCCATTGGCTAATAAATTGGAAAATCAAGAAGAAATTAATAAATCTCTAGATACATACAATCCCGATTGAGCCATTAAGAAATCCAAAGCCTGAACAGACCAATAACAAGTAACAGGATGAAAGCCATAATAAAAAGTCTCCCAGCAAAGAAAAGCCTGGAACCCAGTGGCTTCACTGCTGAATTCTACAAAACATTTGATGAAGAATTAATGTCAATCCTATTCAAACTGTTCTGAAAAACAGAGGAAGAGGAAATATATCTAAACTCATTCTAAGAGGCCAGTATTACCCTGATACTAAAACCAGACAAAGAACAACAACAAAAAAAACACTACAGGCCAATATCCCTGATGAACATTGATGCAAAAATCCTCAACAAAATACTAGCAAACTGAATTCAACAACACATTAAGAAGAGCATTCATCATGATCATGTGGGATTTATCCCAGGGATGCGAGGATGGTTCAACATATGCAAATCAACCAATGTGATACATCATATCAACAGAATGAAGGACAAAAGATGTATGATCATTACAATTGATGCTGAAAAGGCATTTGATAAAATTCAACATCCCTTTATGATAAACCCTCAAAAATCTGGTATGGAAAGAACAGGCCGGGCACAGTGGCTCATGCCTGTAATCCCAGCACTTTGGGAGGCCAAGGTGGGCAGATGACAAGGTCAGAAGACCGAGACCATCCTGGCCAACATGGTGAAACCCCATCTCTACTAAAGATACAAAAATTAGCCAGGCGTGGTGGCATGCACCTGTAGTCCCAGCTACTCTGGAGGCTGAGGCAAGAGAATCACTTGACCCCGGGAGGTGGAGGCTGCGATGAGCCAAGATCATGCCACTGCACTCCAGCGTGGGCGACAGAGCAAGACTCTGTCTCAAAAAAGAAAAAAAAGAAAGAACATATGTGAACATAATAAAAACCATATATGACAGACCCACAGCTAGTATCATACTCAATGGGGGAAAACTGAAAGCCTTTCCTCTAAGATCTGGAGTCCAAAAAGAATGCCCACTTTCAACACTGTTATTCAACATAGTACTGGAAGTCCTAGCTAAAGCAACAGACAAAATAAAGAAATAAAGTGCATTCACATTGTAAAGAAGGAAGTCAAATTATCCTTGTTTGCAGATGATATGATCTTCTATTTGAAAAAACCCAAAGACTCCACCAAAAAGCTATTAGAACTGACAGAGGACAGAACAATATGGCTGACTAGATGCAGCCAGGCAGAACA